>NC_000016.10:9385000-10010000 GCF_000001405.40 Homo sapiens
AAAATACAATATATGTAACAAACCTGCACATTGTGCACATGTACCCTAAAACTTAAAGTATAATAATAATAAAATTAAAAAAGAGAGAGGAAAAAAAGCAAAATACACCATTCCAGTGTAGATGCTTTCTCTTTTGTGTCTCTTCCTTGCTCCCCATTTCCCTCTCCCTCTCCTTATCCCCCTTCTCTTTTTTATTGTTTTTTTGAGACAGGGTCTCACTCTCACCCAGGCTGGGGTGCAATGGCACAATCTCAGCTCACTGCAGCCTCAATCTCCTGCACTCAAGCAGTCCTCCCACCTCAGCCTCCTGAGTAGCTGTGATCACAGTTGCACAGCACCACACCCAGCTAATTTTCTGTACTTTTTTTTGTAGAGACGGGGTCTCACCTTGTTGCCTAGGCTGGTCTCGAACTTCTGACCTCAAGTGATCCACCCACCCCCGCCTCTCCAAGTGTGGAATTACAGGTGTGAGCCACAGCACCCGGCCCCTCCTTCTCTTTCTCTCTAATCTCTTACACCTCCACTTTCTTATAATCTTACCAACAGCTAACATTTATTGAGCATTTACTTAGTGCCAGGCCCATCCCAAGCACTTTACAACTATCACTTACTTAGTCTGAACAACAGTCCTGAAGGTTGGTACTATCATTATTCCCAGTTTATAAATGAGTAAACAGAGGATAACTTGCCCAGTGCCACTCAGCAATTAAGTGGCAGAGCTGGGATGGGAACCCACACACTGTGTCTCATGCTCCCATCATGTTCCTCCCACTGTCTTCCCATCAAATATGCTGTTCGAGTGAAAAAGAAACAGCACAGCACCAGAGGTCTGGGACCATCTGGGGTGGGGGACCCTCAGCCTGGGGCTGTGACGGGAGAGTACAGAGGATTAGAAGGTGTATTAGTCTGTTTTCACACTGCTGATAAAAGACATGCCTGAGACTGAGTCATTTATAATGAAAAAGAGGTTTAAAGGACTCACAGTTCCACGTCACTGGGGAGGTCTCACAATCATGGTGGAAGGTGAAAGGCAGGTCTTACATGGCAGCAGATAAGAGAGAGCTTGTGCAGGGGAACTCCCCTTTATAAAACTATCAGATCTCTTGAGACTTATTCAGTACCACGAGAACAGCATGGGAAAGACCCGCCCCCATGATTCAGTTACCTCCCACTGGGTCCCTCCCACAACACGTGGGAATTGTGGAAGCTACAGTTCAAGTTAAGATTTGAGTGGGGACACAGAGCCAGACCGTATAAGAAGGGGACAGATATACCCAGCAGGTTTCGCAGAGCCTTTTCCCTTCTGATGGGAGGGGAGGCAGGCAGGCTTTTTCTCATTTTCCTTTGAGTACCAGCAGCAGCTGAGGAGAGATGCTGACCATTCCTTTTCTTAATGAGGGAGGCTCAGGAAAGAGCAATTAACAGCATCAGCTTTTATTTTCTCCCAGGAGGGACAGGGCTGATCTTGTTCTTTCTCTCTGGACCAGGCAGGCTTTTTTTTTTTCTTTTTTTTTTTTTTATTATTATTATACTTTAAGAATTTGGTCAGGAGTGTCAACAGCAGGAGTCACAAGACTTTGACAGAAGCCACCACATGAAGGGGCCACAGTGTCTGCCCTGCTTCTGGGGTTTCTGGTCTGTATCCTGAGAGGTACAAGGCTGCTCTGGGGCACCACAGAGAATGCCAGCCTTGCTCGTTTCTCATCCTTTCTGGGAGTGGCAGCAAGCGTGAGCTCTCTAAAATCCAGCCAGGAGGCTGGGTGCGGTGGTTCATGCCTGTAATCCCAGCACTTTGGGAGGCCAAGGTGGGCAGATCACTTGAGGTCAGGAGTTTGAGATAAGCATGGCCAATATGATGAAACCCTGTCTCTACTAAAAAATATAAAAATTAGCCGGGCATGGTGGCACATATCTGTAATTCTAGCTACTAGAGAGGCTGAGGCAGGAGAATTGCTTGAACCTGGGAGGTGGAGGTTGCAGTGAGCTGAGATTGTGCCATTGCACCCCAGCCTGGGTGACACAGCTAGACTGTCTCAAATAATATGCAGCCAGGAATGTCCACTTCTCCTGGGACCCTGAATAAAGTCCAGACTCCCTGGGCACTCACTGCTCCTTCCAAGCTGACACCTTCACCATCTTTCCTTCTCCATCCAGGCACCTGCTTTACCAAACTGTTTATGGGTTAAAATATGCAATCAGTTGAGACCTAGTAAGAAATATATATTTGGTCTCTGCCTCTGGTTTCTGGAACAGAGCTTCTAAAACTCGTGTAACTTCCTGAGTGATACTGATGATAGGAGCATCTTTTGTTATAATATTTGGTCTTCGTCCCTGGTTCCTTACACAAGAGCTTCTGAGATACTTGGAATCTCCAGAGTGATATGAGTGCCTTTTTGTATGCTAATGAGATTATCTTGGCTGGGATCCTGTAGATAGCTTCAAAATAGAGGCTGGTTGTCAGAAAAACCAACTATGTGATTAGAGAGTTGGAATGGTTAGCCCCACCCCTGAACCTCTAGGGATGGGAGAGGGGCTGCAGCCTGAGTTCAGTCACCAGTGGTCAGTGATTTAACCAATCATGCCTATGTAATGGAACTTCTATGAAACCCCTGAACAATGGGGTTCAGAGAGCTTCTGGGTTGGTGAACATGTCCATATACAGGGGTGGAGGGTGGTGCACCCCAGCTTCACACAAATAGAAGCTCCTGTGCTGAGGACCTTTCCAGACCTAGCCCTACATACTTCTTCCTCTGGCTGTACATTCATATCCTTTATAAAAATAAGCCTGTATTATTAAGTAAAGTATTTTCCTCAGTTCTTTGAGCCATTCTAGCAAAGTACTGAACCTGAGGAGGGGATAGTGGGAACTCCTGACTGATAGCCAGTTTGTAAGAGTGGCCTAGAGCTGAAGATTGACATCTGAAGTAGGAAAGTCTTGTGGGACTGAGCCCTTAACCTGGGGGGTCTGCACTGTCTCTGGATAGTTAGCATTATAATTGAATTAAATTGTAGGACAATCAGTTGGTATATAGAGAATTGGAGAACCACTTGGTGGTGAAGGAACCCACACATTTGGTGTCAGAAGTGTGAGTAGAGTTTTTTTTCAGTTGCATGTCTCTTGCTAGCATCTCAACATTTGCGCCATCCATCTCCTCTGCGTGCAATTCTCCACTCACCCTCTACAACCTACTTGGTGTTCTGATCTTGGTTGGGAATCACATTCTTCTGGAAGCCTTCTCTCACTTATTAGGCCGGATCAGCTCTCTTTGTTTGTTATATGATCTCAGAGTGCCTCACATTCTTCTCTACCCACACTTTTCTTGGTTTATAACCATGTTTATGTGTGTGTGTTACAGCCCTGAAACTCTTTGTACTAGAAATTGTGGTTTCCTGAGAGTAATAGGTGATTTAGACAATACAAAGACAAAACTAGTTCACTGTAAATTTTATCCTTTGTGTGTAGTCAAACACCGCCAGGGATTAGAGCATGGGGACATCTCAATCTCACCTTAAAGAAGAAAGTTTTGGTGCTCTCTCAGGTCTGTTCTAGATAAGAATAATCCCTTCCCCATGATATTAAACAGAGGGATGCCTTCGACCTGTTTTATCCAGAGCCATCCCTTACCCATGACCCCTGTGGTGAGCAGCACCTCCAGGTGTTTCCCTGTCGTCTCAGGCTTTCTGGAGCTACACTCTGAATCTTGTCTTTGAGCATTGCAAGTTGGCTAATTGAGGTGTCTGAGTCCCTGTTAGGGTCATACAAATCTAAAGTTGGTCAGATAAGGGGGATTCACAGGGGCAGCCCAGAACCAGTAACTGCACTAATGGAAGGAATAAAATATTAAGAATTGTGCATAGTTTAGGCATCCAAAGCATCTTGTCTCAAGGTGACTTTCTAACAGTGGATATTGGTGGAAAAAGGGAAGCAAATGTCAGTGGAAATGGGGAAGTAGAAGTTGCTGGGTAGGAAGTAGAGATAAAGGGAAGGAAGAGCTCTCCTGGCATAAGAAACACCCTGAGTGAGGGGGACAGAGAGAGCTTGGGGCATTGGGGGAATGGAAAGGTGAAGCCTAGAGATGGAGTCCGGAGACAGCACCAGGTGAGGGTGAAGGAGAAGCCAAGGTCAGACCATGCAGGACCTCAAAAAGGAAATTAGTCTGTTTTCTAAATGCCATTAGGCATTTTTCTTGTTGTTGCTGGGCAAAGGTATGAAAAGATCATGATTTCATTGTCTCTTTAAAGATCACTCTGGCTGCTGCATGGAGAATGGGTTGTAGGGGAGGCGAGGATGGATGTGGTGGAATTGTTATAATCTTGGCAAGAGATGATAATGGCTTGGACCCTCGTGGTAACAGTGGAAGTAGAAAGAGAGGGCAATTTAAAAGATAATTAAAGGGTAAGCTTGACAAAACTTGGGACTTATTTATCTCTATGTCCATGCTTAGGGGGGTATGGTAGGTTGAGTTATTGATTTCAAATTTTTAATCCCTCCTCCCACCATCCATACTTTGCCATGATCTCATCAGGTCTGGAGTTTATACTTCATTCCTTGACCTCAGGCAGTGTCATGTGAGTTGTGGTAGGCAATTACATGAAAGAAGTGACATATGCCAGTTCCAACTCTAGGCCTTAAGGGGACTTACCTGTCTTTCTCACCCTATGCAGAGGCCCATGGCATATGTGGGGAACTGAGAGGTCTTTGGTCAACAGTCACTGGGGACCTGGGTCCCGCCAACAACCACATGATTCATTTTGGAAGCAGATCCTCCCCTACATGAGCCTTCAGATGATCACAGCCACATATGACAGCTTGATGGCAACCTCATGAGAGAGACAGAACTGAAACCACCCTGATTCCTGACCCACAGAAATTGTGAGATAAAAAATGTTTGTTGTTTCATGCTGCTAAGTTTTGAGGATAACATGTTATGCAGCAATAGATAACTAATACATCCACTCACTAACTTATGCTTACTTCTTATTGGCTAGACTCTGTCACATGGTGCATCCATTCACAAGGGAGGCTGGGAAATGTAGTTTAAACCAGACCAATCTGAATAAAGGGAGGGCTCTATTAGTGAGGATGAAGGGGGAAATGGGTTCTGCATTAAGCCATTTCTGTCCTGCTTTAGTAGCACAAAGCTGCAAGGAGTTCACAATAGTTTGTGGATGACATCTTCCTTTTCCTTTGGTTTTTCTTTACTAATTTCAGGTAGATAGACTGGAATTCAGCTCCCATGCAATGGGTGTGCTATTGCTTCAGTTGTAGGTTTTTGGATAAAATTTTGGGTTGAGGAAAGTAAAAGTTCTACCTGTGAATATCTTTCCTGTAAATAAGTCAGTTACAAAGATATCTGCATCATCAGTCAACCATTTAATTTGTTAAGAGGACATTAATTTAAGACCCTTCCACAGGGCAATTGCATGCTATGCAAGGATATGGAAGGATTTACAGTTTCTTAATTTTTTGAAGTGGCAGATCTTCTTTCTTCCCTTTTCAAGAGGAGAGGACCAAAATGCCATCATAATATTTCATGTCATATACTTGAATATCTGCCACAGGAACATATTACTTTTTTTCTAATTAAATGGGGAGTGCAGTCCTATTTTTTACATTCTCATAAAATGCATTAATCACACCAAAAGCCTTTTCGTGCTGTTTCCCAGCAGGAAGGAAATTAACAGTCATTGATGACCTACTGTGTGCCAGGTGCTTTCCATAGATTAACTACTTTATATGCTTGCAACATCCCAGTGATGGAGGTCATTATTATTATCTCTAATTTATAGATTAGATTTTAGAAGTGACTTGCCTAGAGGAAAGTTGAGATTTGAATCCAGGACTTTCTGGTTTCAAAGTCTTTCCATGCTGATAAATTTTCACTCACCCCTGCCCCCAATTTAAGAAGGACCAATTGATCCTTAATGACCAACATTTAACTTTCTTCTGTTAGTTGGTTCCTTGACCCAGTTAAAAGGAAAGTTAATTCTGAAACTTTTAGGCACTTACATAGTGCCTAATTGTGTTTTAATATTTGATGTGCTTAGAAACGTATGAGGAATTAGTGCTAATTCTGAGATGATTAGCATATTCTGGCGTGTCTTATAGTATGTGAACTGTGGTCTTCAGGACATTCTTGAACTTTTGCTTCTAATTATCCCCACGTGGATATGAACAGTGCTGCTATTCAAGGAGCATGTCAGAGCTTCATTTTTAAAAAAGAATTAGCAGCAACTGGATCTGTTTTTTCTGAAGATATTGGCTGAATGACTAGTTGGTGGTATTCTATTGCTTATTGAGTGGTGAACCTCTGCCCAGATTTAATTTGGATGGCAGGATCAACTTCAGTCAAAATTTTGTTTTCTAGTTTTTAAAAATTAAGTTTTTTTCGGATGGGGCAGGGCATTTTAGATTCACATCCAGTTGTAAGAGCTAATATAGAGAGATACTATATATCCTTTACCTTATTTAGTGGTACTAAGGACAATATCACAACTAGGATATCGACACTGATACAGTGAAGACACAGAAGTCACAAGGGTTCCTTCTGCTGTCCTTTTATAGCCATACATAGTTAAGGTACTTTGATTGAGAGGAAGAAAGTCAACTTAAGAGAGCTTAAGCAAGAAAAAATATTAAAAGGAATTTCTTGGAAGGTTTAGTTAATACCTGCTGTTATCTGATTGCCATCTCCTATTTCTTCTTTTCTTTCTCATCTCATCAAGTGACCCTGTTGAGGCTGTCAATTATAGCCTCTTTGGTGAGGCTGTCAATCGTAGACCTTGCTTCCGTTGCCATAGAGAGCCAGGTGATCCAAGCCCAGCCAATTACAGTAAACCAGTTCCCCACTAAACAGAGATTAGTGGTTGGGTGAGTGGGTGAGTGTATTTTCAATTCTGGCCTAAAAATTTTCCCTGGAAGTTTTTGATGTGGAGCTGGAGAACGGGCTTGCCTCTGAGGTCCTGGAGCTGGACCCATGGGGATTCATTTCTTGCAGCCTGCTTCTTACCTGGAAAAATCCTGTCTGTAGAAAAAGAGAATGAAGCCCACATCAAAGATAGGTAAACTGGAAAGGTGTCAGATAAAGCAAGTCATGGAGATGTGAACTTGTTTCTTCTTTGGACCCAGTTATGCCTGAGGTCACCTCCTTTTCTCTACTTATTGTTAAGTAAATTAGTAACTCCCAAATTTTACTTACATTGATTTGAGTACTGCCACTTTCCACCCAATGAATGCCATTGAATCCTGAAGGATCCCAGGAAATATCTTGGGCCCAACCACAGCAGGACCTCTCTAGGTTCTGACACTAGGGGCTCAAGGCATTAAGACCTACCAGGACTCTCTTTGATTCTGTGGGGAAGAAACTTGGGAGATGCTTAGCTGAGTGAGTCTGTCTCATCTCAACGGGGACTGCAGTTATCTGAAGGCCCAATTGAGGTTGGAGAACTCACTTTCAAGATGACTCATAGACTTCAGATTGGTCCTGGATATTGGCAGGAGACCTCACTTTCTTGCCGCCTGCCCTAGTCATAGGGCTGCTTGAGTGCCCTCACAACATGGCAGATGGAATACTTCAGAGTGAGTGATCCGAGAGAAGAGCCACAGTGTCTCTTACTACCCAGCCTCAGAAGTCGCACGCTGTAATTTCTGAAATATCCTATTAGTTTCACAGGTCAGCCTTTTCAATATGAAAGTGGACTACACAAGGGCATAAACACCAGGAAGAAAGAATCACTGGGGGTCATCTCGGAGGCTGGCAAACATAACTAGATACAATAATGTCCACAAGTTCGTAGTTCAGTGAGGCACACAGCAGACTGTCAGTTCCTCCCTTCACTTTATTTAATGACAATCTCTACATTTAAATTTCTGACTCAATCAGAAAGAATTTCCCATCTTTCTATTTTTCTCTGAGGCTCATAAGTGTAGGAGTTTGTAAATCTAGAAACGTGCTGTCTGTATTGTGGATTCTGTTTTCTTTCTCACCCGTGAGTGTCTTCTTAATTCACAAGACCCACTTACCAATTAACCTTTATTCTCTCACTGAATGGAAGGTAATCTCTCCCCCATGAGGGCCTGGAGCTCCAGGAGGGGCTTAATTCTGAAAACTCATGAAAAGTAGCAACACAAAGACAAGTGTCATTTATGAGCCCTCGTGGGCCCCAGGCTGATTAGAAAACCGTTGTAAAGTAATTGCAGAGCTTGAGGAGTCTCCGGAGCGGAATTCCGGCTGGCGATAAGGATGTTGCTAAAATCAGTCTGAATAAAGAGAATTTTGTGGAATGAACCAAGCCTGTGAAGCAAACAAGGCCTCCAGCTTCCTGAATGACTGGAGCCCCATGATACAGAAAAAGGCATCTCAAATTCAAATTTCACCACAAAGGCTAATTTTAGGTTGATTTTAATGAGGCAAAGGGAGGGAGAAAAGAGGAAGGGAAATTTAAAAATTGGGGAAAAGGACAGCTTTTATTCATTCAGTAAATACTCATCAGGCATCCACCTTGGACTTCCCCCTAGTTAGGGGCAGTGCACAAGAAGATTAGCTTCATGGAATCCCTGCCCTCAGGGAGTGCATCATCTGGACAGGGAAACTGAGCTGGAAACAAGTCATGTCTCTTAATGTGTGGGATGAGAACACAGAAGATGGTATGCACCCCAGCCAGAAGATCAGAATAGATTTCCTGAAGGAGGCTATGATGCCTGAGCTGAATTTTAAAGCTCAGCAGCAAAGGAAAGTGCAAAGAAGGCACCCGGATAGAGAGGCCAATAAGTGCTATGACACGGAGACGTGAGCTGCAGGAAACCAGGCAAACGTGGAGAGGAAGCCTGTCCTCACATTCCCTGGGGCTCCCAGGCTGGTGAGAAAGATGGAGGTGGAAACCACCAGCGTTTTAATCTTGTGCTTCATGCTTAATGTATTCACTTCTTTTATTAGAGCAGTGTGCACGGTCTCTGCATACACGCCTGTTAAACAGCACGCCCTTCTCTCCCCTCCCCTTCCCTCCCCCTTCCTGTCTCCCTTCCCCATCCCCCTTCTTCCCTCCCTCCCTCCCTTCCTGCTTCCCTCCCTTCCTCCCTCCCTCCCTCCCTGCCTTCCTGCTTCCCTTCCTTCTTCCCTCCCTCCCTTCCACCTTTCCTCCCTTCCTGCTTCCCTCCCTCCCTCTCTCCTTCCCTCCCTTCCTTCTGCCTCCCTCCCTTCCTGCCTCCCTCCCTCCCTTCCTGCCTCCTTCCCTTCCTGCCTCCTTCCCTTCCTGCCTCCTTCCCTTCCTGCCTCCTTCCCTCCCTCCCTTCCTGCCTCCTTCCCTCCCTCCCTTCCTGCCTCCTTCCCTTCCTGCCTCCTTCCCTTCCTGCCTCCTTCCCTCCCTCCCTTCCTGCCTCCTTCCCTTCCTGCCTCCTTCCCTCCCTCCCTTCCTGCCTCCTTCCCTTCCTGCCTCCTTCCCTCCCTCCCTTCCTGCCTCCTTCCCTTCCTCCCTTCCTTCCTCCCTCCCTTTCTCCCTCTCTCCCATTCTTCTTCGCTTCCTCTCTTTCTCCCTCCCTTCCTGCTTCCCTCCCTTCCACCCTCCCTCCCTTCCTGCTTCCCTCCCTTCCACCCTCCCTCCCTTCCTGCTTCCCTCCCTTCCACCCTCACTTCCTCCTTCCCTCCCTTCCACTCTCCCTCCCTTCCTGCCTCACTCCTTTGCTCCCTCCCTCCCATCCTGCCTCCTTCCCTTCCTTTCTCCCTCCCTTCCTCTCTCCCTCCCTTCCTTCCTCCCTTCTCCCTTTCTTCTTCCCTTCCTCCCTCCCTTCCTGCTTCCTTCCCATCCTGCTTCCTCCCCTTCCTACCTCCCTCTCTTCCTCCCTCCCTTGCTGCCTGCTTCTGTCCCTTCCTCCCTCCCTCCCTCCCTCGCTTCCTGCTTCCCTCTCCCCTCCCTCCCACCCTCCGTTGCTCCCTCCTTCCCTTTCTTTGTCTCCATCTTTTTATTTTAAAGCAATAACATCTCTTCGCCTCTACTAGGTATTCTGAGTAAAGGACCTGGTTTAGAAATTACAAAGGTAGAGACACAAGGATGAGGACAGGCGGGAGATGGATGAGAGAGACACTTCCTTAACTGATTTATTTTTGTTCATTTTCATTTTTTAAAATTTATTTATTGTCTTTACTTTGTAATTTTTTCCTTTTATTTTTATTTGGCACCTAATAATTGTACGCGTCCGTCAGGTACAGAGTGATATTTCAGTAGGTGTATTCGATGTATAATGATACAAATCAGGGTAATTAGCATATCTGCCATCTCCAATATGAACCATTTCTTTGTGTTGTGAACATTCAAAATCCTCTCTTCTTGCTTTCTCAAATATACAATAAATTATAGTTATCCATTTTTGCCCCACAGTGCTGTAGAATACCAGGGTGAGTTCTGGTGTTGATTTATCTTTTAGAGATAGGCAGACTCTATTCTAAGGGGGTCATGGAGATTGCCGTAGGGATCCCCGCAAGGGCTTCTTGCAGTGGGAGAGAGAGATGGGACTCAACTCCTAAGACGCATCCTAATTTACTACGGGTCAAGGACAAGGGTTTTCTTTTCCTTCTAAACAATAAATGACCTTTCCCCTCATTATAAGCATTTATTCGTGGCTGTTAATTGATACCTGCTTTAACAGAGGTTAGTCTCCATCTGAAGGCTCAGGTTAACACTTTTGCTGGGTCTCTTTGGCTCCAGAGGGGAAATGTTTTTTCTTATAAATAACCAAAGGATGTGCTTGCTACCTTTTCTCTGCTGTCAAGAGGAATGTGAAGCAGGCTTTCTAGAATACTCCTGGCAGCAAAAACATTACTGTTTTTTTCCTGATAAGGGATCATTTTTAAAAAAACATTTTAAAAACCAGTGATGAAAACTATTTCCCTTTCCCTTAACTTCAGCAGCTGAGACACTTTTTCTGGCCAACAAGACTAAATGTGATTGAACTTAGAATTTTCCCTCTGTCTATGCCATAATTACAGTACTGTTTACACAACACACTCTGTGTTTAACTGCAGCAAACACTGCTACAACAGGCTTAACACATAAGCAGAGGTGAGGGTAAATAAATCACCTCTCATGCAGGAGGCAAATGCACCAGTGCTCTGTGCTAAGTTTAGAAATGGGGAGTTTTCCAGCGGTGAGGCCTCAGAATGCTGTGAAGTTCCCATATCAGCACTTTGTGTCCCCTGCCTTCCTCTGGGCCCCACCTGCCAGGAACACCTGAGGAAGCACCTTACAGCCACATAAAGCCCTGGGTCGACGCCTTATGTGGCTATCACACAAGCTTCAGTCAACAGTGTCTTCTGGATAACCTTGAGACATAGGGAGACACATTTGCTCAGTTCAGCATGCATTGGTCGAACACCTGTTATATGACAGATACTGTGTTAGGTCCTGGGATGTAGGGGAGGGCATATGAAATCTGATATCAGAGACCTGGATGCAATAACTGAATCTGAAAATTGCCTTTGCTCATGCTATCCCCCAGGCCTGGAATGCCTGTTCCACCCAAACCTGGTGAACTCCTCCTTGCTTCAAAATTTCACTTGGCTGGGACTTAATTAAACTAAAGAGCTTCTGCACAGCAAAGGAAACTACCAACAGAATAAACAGACAACCTACAGAATGGGAGAAAATATTTACACACTATGCATCTGACAATGGTATAATATCCAGAATCTATAAGAAACTTAAACAAATCAACAAGCAAAAAACAAACAACCCCATTAAAAATGGACAAAGGATGTGAATAGATACTTCTCAAAGAAGACATACAAGTGGCCAAGAAGCATATGAAAAAATGCTCAACATTACTAATCATGACAGAAATGCAAATCAAAACTACAATGAGATACCACCTCACACCAGTCAGAATGGCTATTCCTAAAAAGTCAAAAAGTAACAGATTCTGGCGAGGTTGCAGACAAAAGGCTATGCTTATATACTATTGATGAGAATGTAAATTAGTTCACCCCCTGTTGAAAGCAGTTTGGAGATTTCTCAAAGAACTTAAAACAGAACTACCATTTGACACAACGATCCCATTATTGAGTGTATACCCAAAGGAATATAAATGGTTCTGCCATAAAGACAGATGCACACATATGTTCATCACAGCACCATTCCCAGTAGCAAAGACATGGAATCAACCTAGGCACCCATCAGTGTTGGATTGGACAAAGCAAATGTGGTATATATACACGATGGAATACTACACAGCCATAAAAAAGAACAAAATCATGTCCTTTGCCACAATATGGATGCAGCCGAAGGCCATTATCCTAAGCAAATTAATTCAGGAACAGAAAAACAAATACCACATGTTCTCACTTATAAGTGGGAGCTAAATATTGAGTACATGTGGACACAAAGAAGGGAACAACAGACGCCAGAGCTGCGTGAGGGTGGAAGGTTGGAGGAGGGTAAGGATAAAAAAAATTACGTATTGGGTACTATGCTTATTACCTGGGAAAGGAAATAATTTGTGCACCAAACCCCAGCAATAGGCAGTTTACCCATGTAACAAGCGTGTGTATGTACCCCCAAATCTAAACTAAAAGTTAGAAGGAGAAAAAGTTCTCTTGGCATCACCTCCCCTCTAAAATGTATTTGGATGGGATGGCAGATTTGCCATCTTCCTTCCTGTTTCTCTATTCCCTCATGGGACCTTGAATCAATCTCTCCGTTTTACCTTCCTCTCTCTCTGTCTTTGACACACACACACACACACACACACACACACACACACACACACACAGCTCTTCATTTATTTGCCTATTTACTTGCCTTCATGTCAGTCTCCCTAATGGGCTTCCTTGGATGTTTTGAGGACAATGCCATTATCTTCCTTATTTCTCTATTCCTGTTTTAAAATTTGAGTCCCTGGAATGTAACAGGTGCTCAAAAATGTTTCTTAAGAAAGTGAATAAAAGTATAATTCTAGATACTTCCCATTCCTCTCTGGATCTTTATATCCTCAATTGCACCAAATAAGACCTGACTTGATAATCCTGAGGGTCCTTCTAAGGTCTAACAGTCTTTGACTTTACAAATTGCCAATTACAACTAAGTATGGTTCTATACTAGAATGAATGGAGGAGATGTTCCAGGGCTCCATGAGGCTTGGAGCTATTTTGTTCCTTGATGGAGAAAGAAATAAAAAGAAAGTCCTTGCTTCCTTGTGCATGTCCGTGTCCATCTTAAGCGAGAGTGTTTCATCTCTGGTGGGAATGGTGGTCTCACTGTGGTAGACATTGCTAGCTCTCACCAGTACCTGTTCTCCTTTCTTTCCTGTACATGTGCAAGACCATGTTTACCAGATCCTTTGGAGTTAGGTGGAACCATGCTACTCATTCAGGCTTGAAATGATGTATATTGCTTCTGGGCTGAAGTGCGTTAGAGATGGAGCATGCTTCTCTCTTTCTTTCCTAGCTGTAGCAGATAAGGAGGTCACATATCCAGATCTACAAGCTGGTGGGGCCTCCTACAGCCTGGAGGTCTGAGTGACTATGTAGAGCAGAATGCCCTGCTGATTCAGTGGTTCATGTAGTATAATTGAGAAATAAAATTTTCTTGTGTTAAACTACGGAGATTTGAGGGCTGTTTGTTACTGGACTAAAACCTGGCTCATCCTGACTGACTGAGGCATGCAGCTGTTTATTGGCACTTGTCCAGTGGACTCAAAATCCCTAAGCCCTTCTCTGAGGCATTTTTTTCATGCTGCAGTGAGAACAGCTCTAAAATTCCTTAACAACCTAGTACCACTTACCATTAGTGAACTGCTAAAATTAGAAAAGACAGCTTCTGATAAAGGGGTGATAAAAGAACTGAGAGGGAGAGACCAAATGATTTTGGCTTGTCTCCTGTTAATAAGTTCGTAGACCATTACCATTCTAAGCAGGCAACTGCTTTATCTCTAGGTGTCTGGGGAGTTGGTTATTTCTTCTTTCTGAACAAGGAGGATCATTTGGATAACAAATGAATAAGTCAGCTGGACAATATTTGAGGATCCCAGAAAACAAAAGCTAGGGTTGGAGTCTCAGGACTAGATCTAAGCTGGTACCACACATTGTGGGTCCAAAATGAATCCACAGATAACCCCGAGGATCAGAACCGGGGAAGCCAGATTTGAGCTTCCTCCTTAAGGATGGCTCCAAGCTCAAGTTCAGAGTCAAGTGACCGCAGTTCGAATCACAGCTCCCCCACTTTCTAGCTGCGTTATCTGAGAGAAGGCGCTTTACCTCTCTGAGCAGAGTTAAGAGTAAAAGAGGTGAGATGGTAAAACTGACCTCATGGAACTGTTGTGGGTCTTAAAGGAGACGATATATTTTTGGCAATAAGAAACTGAGGTCACAAATTGGCCATGCAATAAGTGCTCCCTTTTTCCTTTCTGTGTCTTAATTTAGTCTCTTTCACATACTCTTACACTGACAGCTGAGCCTGTCCACTTTTCTGGTTCTTATTGACATGTGTATGCTGATTTCATCCCAAAAGAAATGATATGGACATTCCCAGAGCCAACCTGTGCTGGATGGGGGCTCAAAGGCTACCCCAGGGCCTGTACTGGACACCTTCCATTCTGCATTGGTTATCTATTGCTGCATAAAATATTGCCTGGAAGTATCACTTAAAAAAAAACCCCAACATTTATTATCGCAGTTTCTACAGGTCAAGAATTTGCATGCAGCTTAGCTGAGTGCCTCTGGCTCAGGGACTCCTAAGAAGCTGTAATCAAGGCATCAGCTGGGGTTGCAGAAATCCCTGCTGCAGAGGTCCAGACATCAATTCCTTGCAACAATGATGACTCCATAGGACAGCTGGCAGCTTGCTTTCCTGGGGTGGGGGGCGGGTAGAGAGATGGAGCGAGCGAGCGAGCGAGAGCAAGAGAGAGAGAGAGCGAGAGAGAGAAAGAGAAAGATGACCCAAGACAGAAGCAACGGTCTTTTTGTAATCTGATCTTGGAAGTGAATCCCACTGCTTCTGCCATACTCTATTCATGAAAAACAAGTCAATAATTCCAACCCGTCAACCCATATACCAAGGGATTGGTTTACACAGGTTGCGAACTTCAGGAGGTAAGAATTGTTGGGGGGCATTTTAGGACTTACTCCCTCTGAACCTTCACCTGGAGAACAAGAAACAGGTCTTTGCTTTCAGTTCCTCAAGCATATTCTCTTTCCTTTGGTTGTGTTCTCCTGAGATTTGACCTGGGAGAGTAATGGGGCAGGGTTCAAAATCTCTTCTCAGGGATATAGCAGCATGTAATCTTCCTTGCTCTTCTCCCTAACTGAACTCAATCCTTGCAATCTCTGACTCCTTGAAGGCAGAAAAATACACTCTGATTGATGATCAATTCTCCCGAATCTATTATTAACGGCACAATTTCTGTGCCTAGAGTCTTACAGGGTCTTGATTTCTGATGGTCAAAACTTAGGATTTCAGAATGCAGAAAACTGTTTCTGAAGCTCCTGTTTCTGAAACACAGAAGCAAGTTTCAAAAGCTTGTCTTGAAACTCAAAATCATGGAACTGATTCTCCTCCTCTTTCTGAATTTCTTATGTAACATTCTTTCCCTGAAGCAGAGAACAAAGAAAGTCCTGGCATCCCAGGCTGGCAGAAGCATCATTAGGAAATTAGGGAGAGGATTAGAAACAT
Source organism: Homo sapiens (assembly GCF_000001405.40). Taxonomy (NCBI): domain Eukaryota; kingdom Metazoa; phylum Chordata; class Mammalia; order Primates; family Hominidae; genus Homo; species Homo sapiens. The sequence continues at coordinate 9,400,658 of NC_000016.10, forward strand.
ATCTGTTACTATTTGCCAATATGCTTTTGCTAAACGCATCAGACAGGTAGGACATTGTCATAGCTCAATACATATTAATCTTTTCCTCTTTATATGTTTTGGAAATGGGGCAGTTTCTGGAGATGAGTAGATAGTGAGATCAAGTGTATAGGTGAAACTATAGTATCTAGTCCAGTAACTGGAAATTGCATCCATGGATAGGGATATAATTGGCTTCTGGCAACCAGTGTGCTGTCCTGGCTTACAGATACCAAGACGGGGATGAAGAGGAAGGAAGGAGAGAGACACAGGAAAAACATCAGTGCTTTGTAGTATGCCAGGGAGCCACAGAGTGAGATGAATTGGCTTAGGTCACAAAGCAAGTAGAAGAGTTATTATATCACAGGGCTTAGAATCCTAAGGTATTTCTAACCTCACCAGGTAATCAGTTGAATAAGAGGAAATACAAGAAGATAAGCGGGTCTCTTTGACATATCATCATTATCATCACCTTCATCACCATCCTCATAATCACCTCCATCATCATCTTCATCATCACCTCCATCACTGTCAGCACTTCCACCATCATAACCTCCATCATCACTGTCATCTTCATCATTATCACCTTTATCATCACCACCTTCATCATTACCTCCATCACCATCATCACCTTCATCATCATCACCTCCATCACCATCATCACCTTCATTATCACCTCCATCACCATTATCATAATCTCCATCATCATCATCATCATCACCTTTATCATCACCACCTTCATCATTACCTCCATCACCATCATCACCTCCATCACCATCATCATCACCTTCATTATCACCTCCATCACCATTATCATCATAATCTCCATCATCATCATCATCACCACTATCATCATCATCCTTGTCACCTCCATCATCACCATCATCATCATTAGCATCACCTTCATTGGTACACTAACATTTTTGAATTCTGTATTGAATACATGTTCTCCATGTTACCTCTTTGGCTCATTTACTACTCCAACAATTGCTGCAGCATTCTACTTTGTTTGTGTGCAAACTTAGAGTATTTCTCCTCTTGCTTTCTGCCCCAGGGCTTCTATGAGGCTGTCTTGTAGGATGCCCATGACGATCCTCCAGACACTAAGGTACAGAAAATCTGAACATGTGGGAGAGTGCCTTCTACCATGGGAATAGATCAATGATCCCTTCTTATGGCTTTGGGGCAGATAGCACCTCTGAAAATCCTGGTGATATGGAACCCTATCTGCTCATGGTGGTGACCAACCAAGGACATATCCTTTATGTATTTCTCTCCTTCTCTGTTCCACCAGTCCTTGTCCTGCATTCCTGTCCCCTGGGATCACTTCCCCAAGCAAACTGCCTGCCCCAAACTCTTGCCTCAGGGGTTACTTTCCATGGTGGGAACCCTGGCTAAGGCAACTCTTCTGTAGACTAGATCCTATGCAAAGAATTTTATGCATAATAACTCATTCAATCCTCACAACACCCTATGAGGTAGGTGCTATTATATCCATTTTACAGATGTGGAAATAGAGACTCAGAGACGTAAAATGACTCAGCTCAGCCAACGACACACTGCCAGGAAGTGTCAGGGTTGAGTTTGAGCCCTGGTCAGTATAACTTCAAAGGCATTGTTCTGACTCCACTGTCCTATCTACAATCACATATCATCATCAGAACCCAGTGGGTTCCAGTTTGTGCCACGGGTTTTCCCTTCTCTGGGTGGTGGAGGACTCTCTCACCAAGGGTGTTGCAGGTGAGCACTGTCTTTGTTCTGCGCCTATGGTCTGTGTCCACCCCTGGGAACTGATGTTCCAAAATTTCAGATTCAGGACCATGGCCAAGAGCTTGAAGGCTCCCACCCTTCTGAATTCTAAGTACTTTGAAACTCATTTGAGATTCGTTGGCAGCAGAAAAAGGGGAAAATACACTTGACTTGCTGTGTTATTTTTGTTTTCTTAAAGTGGCCCCAAGACCAATTTGGTAGCGAGCCCAAGGCCCCTGGACGAGTCAGTTCTAGTCTGGAGACAGGAGCTGACTGCTGATGTCTGCCAAAGCTGGCATTGTTTTCCTTTTGCAAGAAGAAAGTGAGTCTCATCTTAAAAAATGTTCTGTTCCTGTGCTCCATGTTTCTGCAGTGTCAACCTCTGGACACCCATCCCAGCTAGACTTGTGATTCAGTCATTGGCATCTGCTTATGAATGCAATTTAGAGGGTGCCAGGAAAACTCAAACCTCTCGAGTAACTCACCCTCATATGCTGCAGGGACCTGAATTCATCTTTGGTGCAGATAGAAACCAATATGTACTGAACATCACACCTGCTATGTGCTGTGTGTTTTATATGAAATTTCTCATTCCACCTTCATATTTCCATTACACAGATGAGAAAACTAAGGCCCAAAGGGACACCTGGCTTTCCTAAGACCTGTAAGTGGAAGAGTCAGCATTTGAATGGAGAACTCGCAGCTTTCGGAGTCTAGACTTGTTTTACCTCACCAGACTGCTTCTACTCCTAGTGATTCCTTCCCTTAGATTAAGCCTTGCTCTCTTCCCGTGCAATCATGAAGAGGATTATATTAGTAAATCCCTGAACATTCCCTGATTGGGGAGTGAGGGTCAAACCAAGGCAAATGGCAGGATTGACACTCACATCAAGGGCTGGCTCATTAAGGGCTCGGGACCTGGCGATCGAGTTGCATTGCAGATTTTGGAAGTATGCAAGACCACGCCAGCCACCTTTCCAGGGAGAGACCATGCAAAGAAGGCAGGTGATCCAAGGGCTGGGAGTGGTGAGGACTGCTCCAGCCCCTGAGCAGCTGTCATCCCAGCACAAAGTGTCAGAAGAGACCTCAAAGTGTGGTCTGCAGACGAGGCAGCATCTGCATCACCTGGGAGCTTGTTAGAAATGCAGAATCTTCTGAGAGAACCAGACCTGCTGCATCAAAATCTGCATTTTAACAAGATTGTAACTTAGATACACAGTAACACTTAAAAAGGATGGGGCAGAGAGGCTAAGTCAGCAGCTTCTCATCACACTCCAATCTGATGCTGCTAGTGCTCCAAAAAGCTCTCATATCCTCACTGACTAGCCTAGGGCTGTGTCTATCAATGCATTATATGACACAGATGAAGACTATTGTGTACCTTCCTCAATTTTTACCCCATTGTTTCAGCCTTTTGTACATCTTTAATGCAAACATCCATGCGAGAATTCTTGTGACATTAATTTTTTGGAACAACCTGTTTTGCAGAGCAAATTTCATTAAGCCATTTTAATCCAGAGTTTAATTTTTTATACAGCTCGACTCAATCATTTCCATTTTTTTTCCATTAGAATGTCTATTTGTAGTAACATTATTTTCATGGGATCAATTATTTTCTGTTTAAATTTACAACAGGCATTTGACTCATCAGTCTCTTTTTATATACCATCTTTTTGCTGATTCTGACTTCTGCTATTTGGAGAGGTTTTCTTGTTTGTGTGTTTGATTCTTTTGTGGCCATTCTTTCTATTAAGTGAAAATCGTCTGGATCAAATTTTGTAGATTTAAATTTTGTTATTAGTGATACCTGTTTTTTTTCCCTGTCAATTTTAGCTCATTACACATTCTAGTCATTTTAACCCTGCTAGTTTTGTTAGTTGCTGATCACTTTTACCATACCAGTAATACGTGGTAGAAATAATCACCAGAATGAAAACTCTGCAAAGGCAGGATTTCTGTCCCTTTTTTTTTTTGTTTTTTTTTTTTTCCTGCCTTATACTTGAGACTTAGTGCATGGCACATAGAAAGTGCTCCATATGGCCAGGCGCAGTGACTCACGCCTGTAATCCTTGCACTTTGGGAAGCCAAGGCAGGTGGATCACTTGAGGTCAGGAGTTTGAGACCAGCCTGGCCAACATGGTGAAACCCCGTCTGTACTAAAAATACAAAACATTAGCCAGGCATGGTGGCGGGCACCTGTAGTCCCAGCTACTCGGGAGGCTGAGGCAGAGAATCACTTGAACCCAGGAGGCAGAGGTTGTGGTGAGGTGAAGTCACACCACTGCACTCCAGCCTGGGTGACAGAGCGAAACTCCATTTAAAAAAAAAAGAAAGAAAGTACTCCATAAATATTTGTAGGTGGAAAGAATGATATTCACATATGATTTAATCAAAGACTGACAGTTTATCTATTTGATAAAAAGACTGTGAGAAGCAGAGATTGATGGAGACAGGAGAGAAAGTGGAGGAGAAGAGAAGATGGAGACAGCACACACACATGCACAGACTTGAACATGCAGACACACATTGCACATGCACATGCATGCACACAGCCACACACGTATACACAAACACACATGCGTGCACACAGCCACACGTATACACAAACACATGCGTGCACACACCACACACATATATGTAAGCACACATGCATGCACACAGGCATACACATATACATAAACACGCATGCACACAGCCACACACATATACACACAAGCATGCACATACACAGAGGCATATATACACATGCACTAACATACGCATAGTCACAGATACACCTGTAGGTGCAAACACCTATATATGTGTTCACATTCATACACGGGAGTTATTATATTTGTGCTCACACATGTAGAGGGTAGAATTGTGGTTATTAGATGCTGGGAAGAGTAGAGGAAGAGAAGATAGGGAGAGGCTGGTTGGTGGATACAAAGTTACAGCTGAATGAGAGATAATTTTGACTGTTCTGTATACTGTAGGATGAATATGGTTAACAATAACTTAGTGTATATTTTCAAAAAGCCAGAAGAGAGGATCTTGAATGTTCACAGCACAAATAAATGATAAATGTTTGAGGTGATGGATATGCTACTCTGATTTGATCATTACACATTGTATAAATGTATTGAAAAATCACTCTGTATCCCATAAATATGTATAATTATTATGCATCAACTAAAAATTAAAGACCACACATATATGCACACATAGACATGCACATGAACACACATACTCATGCATATGTGTATACATGCAGAGTTACACATATACACAAACACACATATATGCACACATAGACATGCACATGAACACACAGACATACTCATGCATATGCGTATACATGCACAGTTACACATACACACACATGCACACATAGACATGCACATGAACACACAGACATACACATGCATATGCGTATACATGCAGTTACACATATACACAAACACACATATATGCACACATAGACATGCACATGAAGACACTATGCACATGTCCACACATGCACACAGCCACACACATACATATATACACAAATACCCATAAATATGCACATGTAGACAGCATGCACACAGAGATACATATGCACACACACAGCCACATGTATACACACTTGTGCAAATGTATGCACACACAGACACACATATGCCCATACATAGGCATATACACGTACAGATTCAGATATAAACACATACAAACACTCATGTACATATGCAAACACATGTACACACACAGTCTGCTGGCATAGTGATGGCTAAACCAATGCAGGGTAGGGTAAAATGTCTCTGGTGCAAGGTCAGTAGGATAAAATCTGCAGGATCAAATGGAATGCTTAACAACACTCCTCTGTGGGGTATCAGTGTCTCCATTTTACAACCAGTGCTTAATCAAATGCACATTGAGTTGAACTGAATATTGGAAAATGAATTGCTACCTTTGAATGAATCTACTGAAAAATTATACTTGTCCTGGGTCAGACCGTGTGAAAAGCACTGGGTATTGGAGATGAAAAGTGGTTGGCCCTTTTTCTTTGAAAGCTTAGTCCAGTGGGGAAGATGGATGTGGAAGCTGAGCAATTAAAATGCAGCTTGATAAAAGCTGTGCTGAAAAACCCTCACTGAGCTGAGCAGTGGGGGCTGGGAGGGAGCAGGTCTTAAACTGAATGATCAGGTTTAGTGGGAGCTGTTTAAATTCTGAGCCATCAGGCATTTTTGCTGGATTCCTTTCGGTGCGCTTGTTAATCAATTATAAAATAATAATAATGAACACTTCAGGAGAGAGGATGGAGGTTGAAAGACAGTGGAGGGCTGGACTTGAGGTTGGAAGATTTGCAGAGACCTGGATTGTGCATTCGACCTTTACAAATTGAAGCGAGAGGCTTTGCATCTCTGAACATCAGGATTCCACTCTATAAAAAGGAGAATGAAAGCATTCAGTTTATAGGTTTGCTGTGAGGGCTCAACGAGAATGTGGATCCAAAAAAGCTTTGGAAACCAAAATACCGCTAGTTAGCTTGCTGCTTTATTATCCAAAAGAGGCTGCAAAGATTTGAGGTTTGTTTGTAGTTTGTTTGTAGATTAGTCAGTGTCTACTAAAATAACACTGTGTAACAACCATGCCCAAATCTTGGTGGCTTAATACCTTAAACGTTATTTTTCTCATTCATGAGGCTGTAGGTGGGTTGGAATTTGGCAGATGTAGGCTGGAATTAGCTGGACCTGCCTCCAGGACCAGGGTTGGACCCAAGTCTTCTGTACGTGTCACCTTCTTTTGGTGCCAGTGCTACCTGGGATTTTAATTTCATGGTTTTGCAGAAGCGTAAGAGGGCATGCCAACCACGTGAACACTTTTAAAGCCTAACATCCTATAGGCCAAAGCCAGCCACAGGTCCAAACTCAACTTCAATAGGCAGGGAAAGTCCTCCACCTACTTTACCAGGGGAGTACTGCAGAGCAATGACCGAGGAAGGAAATGTTTAATCCTATTAGGGAGGGAGGGGGGGACCAGGAACACAAATCCCTCAAGGCAGGACGAGTAATGGTTGGCTGCCCAAGGTTGACAGACTGGGTCTCAGTTCCTGGCACTGCTCCTCTCTAGCCATGAGACTTTAGGCAAGTCAACATTTCAGAGCCTCAGTTTCCTCATCTGTAAAGTGGGTATAATAATAGAATTCTCACAGAATTTCAGTGAGGATTGCCTGATTCATGACAACAGCCTTATAAGTGGTCCCCTTCTTTTACCTCGCATCTTCTGTAATCTCTTCTCTATGCTTCATCCTTTAAATACAAAAGTCACCCGTAAAGACAGAAAACAGATTAGTGGTGGCCAGAGGTGGTGGAGGGAGAGAGGGGGAGAAATGAGAGAAGTGCTAAGGGGTATGAGGTTTCCTTTTGGGGCGATGAAAATGTTCTAAAATCGATGTGGTTATGGTTGTACAACTGCAAATATACAATCCCTCTGCCTGGAACCTTTTCCCCAAGAAATCTGCCCCCACCGTAAATCCTCACTTGCATACTGTATAATGAGGCTTTTCTGGACCACCCTATTTAATTACCCACTCCTTTCTGTCCATGCCTCTCTCTCGATATATTTTCTCTGAATGTTTGTAGCAACTTGACATATTTTGCATGCTTATACACTATGTACTTTATATTAAAGCACAGTTATGTAATTTATTTCTCTGGTCCTTTCACCTCCTTTCCTCCCTCCCTGAAATATGCCAGTAGAATGTAACCTTCAGGAAGGCAAGGATATTTACCTTCTGGGTTTGCTGCTGTCTCCCTAGACAGCTCCTGGCACACAGTAAGCCTTTTAAAAATATTTGTTGAATGCATGATATAAGCCATATAATGCTTAGTAGGTGCTCAGGGCTGAGGAACATAATTGATGTTAGCTTTTATTATCTTTATTTACTTCAAATAACCTACTTAATTGGGAAATTTTCCGGGTCTGGAGGGACTCTGAGTTTGAGTCCAGTATCTTCCCTGGGAGTCCTTGCTTGCACAAATGTGTGGGATAGACTCCCGCTGTGTCTGTGGACTCAACGTCTCAGCTCCAGGCTCTTTGCTGCCAGGCATAGTGAGCCGTGACATTTATAAATCTCTGGGCTCTTAATCCCCTGCTGATCCTCGGAGAGGAGTAGACATTTGTTGCTAAACACATTGCCCCACTTTGAACAAAGAAACGAAGAGATACCCCAAGCATCAATACAACAGCTGCCTGCGATGGCTGTGACGTCCCTTCTATCCTAAGGAGGAGGGTACTGGGACTCAGTCCTGTGCACTGACCTGCCCCACTCACCTGGCTGGTGAGGGGTGCAGTTACTACCTTTGGAACACATATCATTGGGTTTTTGTATTGCATTCTTCTGTCTCTGAGCAGATCTGTTTGTTTAATGGTCTCTTCCTCACATTCAGCTCAAGCCTGTAAATCCTTCGTATAAATTCTGCCTGCTCCTTGATACCAATCTGTTCTCCTCCAAGTAAATCTTTTAAAGACAATACTCCAGCAGCACCGGGAGAACATTTCCTGCAAAATCATGCCCGGAAGCCCCTGTTAGCATGCAAATATGCCCCTTTGCAGCATGTTCTGATTGTAACTCGTGATGCACAGTGCAGAGAATTAAGCCGGGTCCCTTCCTCATCAGTCACCATTTAATGGAGACTGAATGGTTGTGGATACTTTTGTTAGGGTCATCAAGAAGGTTTGCCATGCTTGGCTTGGTAAGGAGGAGGTTGTGTGCTCCTGTAAGACAAACCTAGCACTTTATAGGCTCCCAAAAGCCCATGGTAGTTACAGGAGCCATGAAAAACAAACATGTAGACATTCAGTAGTGGTCTCAGGAACCCCTATTGGCAAACTCACCATTTATGGAAAGACCTGGAGGGCAGTGTCTTTGGCCATGACATGAAACAGCCCAGTAAGCTGCAAAGGCCAGATTGAAGAGAGCTGTTGAAAATTCATTTGCTTGCTATAGGCTGGCTTTTTATTTCATTTTATTTTATTTGTTTATTTATTATGTTTTTTAGCAAACCATCTGAAATGGGATGAGAGAGCCATATTTGGGCATACCACCTATTGGACCAGCAGTTCTACAGAGGCGAGGGTCCATTTTTTGTTTTGCAGAAGCCTCTCTGTCAGCAGTTCTCAAAAGGAAAGGAGTTTATTTATCTTCAGTTCAGCAAAATTTACTAAGTGCTGACAATGGGCTAAGGGGATAGAGACGAAGAAGGAGATTCTTGCCCTCCAGAAATTTACAGCCCAACATAATGTAAACACTTTTCTATACAACACTTGCAAATAGTAATTGTGTGGAAATTCAAATGGTGGACTTACATGTTATCAGACTCTGTGTGTGTGCATATGTGCATGTGTGTGTAGGTCACTCCCTAAAGAATGACAAATATGCTAAGATTTTAGTTACTCCTTGCTTTTTTTGTCCCCCCTCCTCGTTTTTTAACCTTTATTGAAGTATCATTCACATACCGCAGACTGCAACCACTTCAAGTGTAAAGCTCAGTGACTATTAATATATTTACAGAGTTGTGCAACCATAACTGCAATCTTATTTTAAGTAATTTCTACCTCCCCAGAAAGAAGCCTTGTGCCCATTTGAAGTCCCTCTCCTTCCTAACCCCAGCCTGAGGCAACTACTAATCTATTTTCTGTCTCCATGGATTTTCCTTTTCTGCACATTTTATGTAATGAAATCATGCCATATGTGGGTTTTTGTGCCTGGTTTCTTTCACTTAGCATAATGTTTTTTGCAGTTTATCCATTAGACACACTCGGAAGCAGTATTTCCAGTATCAGTCTATGCTCTCATTTTGTCCTTTTCCTTTTACAATTGAAGGCGCAATTAACTGGCCTAAATTCGATGAAGTTAAAGGTTGGCCATTTGTGGCGTGCTTACTCAATTCAATCTCGGCTGAGATTTGATCCCTTATTATTACATTAGTGCTTTTTACTTTTCTGTTTTCAGTTACTTTTTATAAAATAGTAAGAGTGGAAGATAATGAAACGGCTAAATAAATCTTATCGAGAGATAGTGAAGGTGCTGGAGCTTCCTCACTGAGCAAACAGAACTACAGTAAAATGATAACTCATGAAAAAATTAAAGTTGGACATATGCATTGGATTTAGGGGCACCAGCGCACAATGTGTGAAAGTGCAGCTTGCTCAAAACTTGAAGGTGTGAATGTCAGAGACTACCTGTGAATCTCGTCATCATTGTCATCATTCTCATAACGATAATAGCAATTCCCTTTTCTGAGTGCATGGTATGTGCTATTCAGTTCCCACACATTTCCTCATTGAATCCTCACAACTGCTATTGGAGGAATATATTATTTTTATTATTATTTTCATTTTACAGATGGAGACAATGAGTCCCAGTAAATTTAAAGACACATGCCTAAGACTGAGAACCCAAAATATCTGAGACAGGTCTCAGTCAATTTAGAAACGTTTATTTTGCCAAGGTTAAGGACGTGGTCGGCACATAGCCCAGGGAGGTCCCGATGACATGTGCCCAAGGTGGGCAGGGCACAGCTTGGTTTTATACATTTTAGGGACACATGAGACATTAATCCATATGTGTAAGAAGTACATTGGTTCAGTCCAACGTGGAACAACTCCAGGTAGGGAGGGGCTTCCAGGTCATGGATAGACAAGAGACAAAAGGTTGCATTCTTTTGAGTCCTTGATCAGCCGTCCACTGAACACAGTGTTCATTCCTGGGCATAGGCCGAACTAACTTTGGGAAGGAATTCAGTTCATGGTTTGACTCTGAAACAAAATTGATAATAACCCTTTCCCAAAAAGACCCTCTTCTTGCTCGGGGACCAGTCTGCCTTTGCAAGACTAACAAGTTAGCTACAAGATTAGAAATTACAGTTTAGGGGTCATGCAGCCTCTGGCTCCAAGAGTCTGAACCTCCTCAAATTGCTCCTGGGGATAACATCACTATTGTAAAACCTAAGATCAGTGCTTGAGATATTTTGCAGACCGTGCACTCCATGGATCAGCTGACACCATGCAGACCAGTAATCTGGCTCAATCAGTTCTGCCGTCTCATCCAGGAACAGCAAGAAAACCTCACTTCAACCCCCTAGGACTCCATCTCCAACCTGACCAATCAGCACTCCTCACTTCCCGAGCCCATACCCCCCAAATCCCCGAATGCTTGGGGAGACTGATTTGAGTAATAATAATTAAACTCCTGTCTCCCGCACAGCTGGCTCTGTGTGAATTACTCTTTCTCTATTGCAATTCCCCTTCCTTGATAAATTGGCTCTGTCTAGACAGTGGGCAAAGTGAACCTGTTGGGCAGTTAGAAAAGGAGCCTGAGAGATGGGTTGAGGGCGGGTAGAGAAAGTAATGACTGTGATCAGACCCCGCTGAGAGATTTGCCATTGTCATGAAGGTAAGAGGGAGACGTTGAGGAATTTTAAGTGCAGATGTGATGTGAACAGATTTGAGTTTTACAAAAGTGAATTCCTGGTGGTAATAACGGTGCCTTGGATCAAAGTTCTCAATTCCAAGTAGCAGGTGAGCATCTCAGAAAAGATACAAAGCTTCGGACCAAGGTTTCCTCTCTTCTCTTCAGCAGGAATCACAGTTTGGGGAACTAAACTTGCCAAGGAGAACTTCAGGTTTCTAGAATCCGAGGCTGATGAAGAAAGAATGTTGGGGCAGATTTTGACAGGGGTCTAAGCTTTGCCTAATCACACTGCCCGAATGAGCAGCCACTGCTGATGAATTCTCATTTTCTTAACTGGCAAAGCCTTCTTGGCACAAAAAAAGTGTTTATGGTTTTTCTTAAAAAAGCGTTTAGTGCCTCTGAGTTGAGAAGGCTGGTGTACTGAGATGTGGCATCTCTTTTCTTGTAAAAGTTAAGGGGCTTTTTTCAGTCACTTTATAGTTTGTTTTATTGATGGAGAAAGGGAAAGTGATAAAATATTCTTGTCTTCTAAAATTTCTGTCCTTTGGCAACAAGGATGAGAAGGTATATGTCCCGGTAAATTTTTGGGTTACAAAATAATCCCTTCTCTTAGTGCTCTACTGACTGAGTTACCACAGTGCTTCCCATACACTGTCGCCTCAGGCAAGTTGTTTAATTTTTCCAGGCCTCAGTTGCTTAGTCTGTGAAATGGGAATATGAACACCAATACCACCTACTTCTTAGAAGTATTATGAGGATTAGGTATCTAATATTTGTAAAGCATTTAAAACAAAACAGTATCTGGAACATATTAAGCTGAGAAGTGTTTGTTCAATAAAAGTAAATAGATTTTGAACCACAGCTGGGTCAAGTTGTGGCGTGTGAATTACACATCTAGCCGAGTGACCTTGGACCAATTGCTCATTCTCCCCGAGTCTCAGCTTCACCACCTGTGAAATAAGGGAGGCTGGACTGGGTGATCTCCAAGCCCCTTTCTGACCTCTCAGCACATTTTCTCTCATCGTCTGGTGAAAGAGAGAAGGTTTGTCCATATGCCATGGAAACAGGGATGAAACCAAGACACAGAGAGGTCACACAGTTTGCCAGAAGCCTGGGATTAAAGCCAGCCCCACACAAACAATTTTCAGCTTTTTCTGTCCACAAGAAACATCTGAGAAGCTTCAAAAACACTGACGCCTGTGCCTTGCCTCAGAACAACGGCACAGCATCCCTGCGTGTGGGGCCCGGCACTGGTCCTTGAAAAAGTCTTCCCAGATGATGCTAATAGCTGCCAGGGTGGCACATTATTGGCCTAGATTAAAATTCAGGTCTAGCCAAGGTTGTTATCTTTCAGTTGTAGATTTATGAGGATGGATGGTGCTGGTCCACAGTATTCTGGCCGGAGTTGCCCAAGCATTGCATTTTCCTCTTGGTGACAGCACACATTAAATGCCTACTCGATCACATTGCATACCTGTTTCATTTTACCTTCTCATGAAATAAAGAGTAGCAGGTGCTCATTTTACAAACAAGGCTCTGAGATGGGTGCACATTTCTCAAGATCCACTGTTTAGTAAGTGGTGGGACCAGGTCCAACTGATGCTTAAAAAGCTTCCTATCCTCCCTCACCACCAAGAGAGAGCAAACAGAGAGCTCCTTGGTGGAAGTGCACCCTTGACTTGCAGGCAGTTCAGATTTCATTGGATTTTTGTTTTTGTACCTGCTAAGAATCAGGCTTTAGACAGTGGCTTGCTTCTAGTTTGGGTTAATTTCATCTCTGGGTCAGCATATAGTAACCCAGGGGTTCTCCAAAGGTGATGCCTAGACCACGAGCATCAACGTCACCTGGGAATTTGTTAAAAATGCAATTTTTCATGCTCAAGTCTTACTGACTATGAATGCAGATGTTCTCAGAGAGTAGTGCCTGGACTATCAGCATCAACACCACCTGGGAACTTGTTAGGCAATTGACTCAGAAACTCTTGGGGTGGGGGTCCTACAATCTGTGTTTTAACAATCCCTCTAGGGGAGACTAAGGCTTGCTGAAGTTTGAGGAGCACAGACTTAGCCTGGTGCTTCACAGCCCTGGCTGCAAATGACAGTCACCTGGAGAGCTTTCAAAACACGCAACATGGGTATGCCCAGGCAATTAGGATCTTTGAGACAGAATGAGGCTTGGGCACTGACAGTAAAAAAAAAAAAAAGAAACTTCTCAGGTGCTTTTAATGTGCAACTAAGGTTGATCAATTTAGCAAAATAGCAACAACTACAACAAGCCCAGTTAAGTTTGCATTCCAAATAAACAACAAATCATGTTTTAGTAGAAGTACACCACCTGAATTGTTTGGAACATCATCTTCCCATTCCCCTCACCCTCCATTCTATGCAAAAAGCCGTATCTGGAAAGCAGCAATAAGTTTGTGGGTTTTCTTTTTTTGAGATCTTTTGCACAGCGTGGTGGATATAGTTAATAATAGTGATTGTGCACGTTAAAATCGCTAAGAAAATAAATTTCAAATGTCCTCACTACAGAAAATAATAAACATTTGAAGTGATACATATGTTAATTAGCTTGATTTAATTATTCCACATTGTATTCAGAAATCATAACTCAACTTGGCACTTGCATAAATATATACAACTATAATTTGTGAGCTTACAATAAAAAATGTCTGGGACATATTAACACTGAGATTTTTCTATTAAGCCTATGTGCAACCAATGGTGAGAACCACTGAACTTAGGATTCGAAGATTATACTGCAACCTCCAAGAGACTAGAGGTACCTCCAAAGCAAGAGGTACTACATAAAATAGGAAAGTCCCTGAATCTTCTGTATTCAATTTAATGAATTAATGCAAATGATAATGTAACCACCACCCTGATCATCTGCTTCTCAAAGGGTGGTCCAAGGACTAGCAGCATCACTCAGGAGCTTGTTAGAAATGTGGAATCCTAGGCTTCACTCCATCTACTGAGTTGGAATCTGCATTTTAACAAGATCCCCTGGTAATGAGCATAAACGTTAAGTTTGAGAAGCTCTGATCTAGTCTAGTTTTAGTTTTTAAAACTATGCTGTCCACTATGATAGCCACATGTGGCTATTTAAATTCAAACTAATGAGAATAAAATATATTGTAAAAGTTAGTTCCTTAGTCACATTAGCCATATTTTCAGTGCTCATTAACTGTACATGGCTACCGTCTTGCACCTTGCAGCTGTAGAACTTTCCATCACCACCAGTAGTTCTACCGGAATGCCCTGTTTCAGAAGGAGGCATCAAAAGAACCTTCTTTGTGAACCAACAGATGGGCATTGAGACCTTGTTCAAAGACAAACATAAAAATGGTTATGGGTCAGAGAGGCAAAAGAGGTGCCGTTTGGCAGAAATACCTGAGCCATCTGAAAAAGATGGGAGTGGGGAAAGGAAAACCTTCTTTTAAAGTTGGCTGAAGCCTGGGGAACATGGCGAAACCCCGCCTCTACCAAATATACAAAAATTTAGCCGAGCATGGTGGTAGATGATTGTAGTCCTAGATACTCGGGAGGCTGAGATGGGAGGATCACTTGAGCCTGGGAGGAAGTGGAGGTTGCAGTGAGCCGAGATTGCACCATTGTGCTCCAGCCTGGATGACAGAGCAAGAACCTGTCTCAAAAAAAAAAAAAAAAAAAAAAAAGAAAAGAAAAAGAAGAGAAAGTTTTAAAATTGGCAGAGTTCCTGGGCTAGCCACGTTGCAGCTCTGCTGGAGAAATGCTGCACAATGCCGAGTGTAAGTGCATGTGGCATCCACATTATTATCAGATAAATTCATTATGATGGATGCGATCACACTGAATACCAAATGAAGTGGCAGTAGCAGGACAATAAATTAAAGTGTTAGACAAACAGCACCCATCCTGAGAGAGGCCTCCCTCTGGCTCCCTCTGCCTGTCTGCAGGTGGCGTGGGGGAAGAGGGGAAGGAGTGGCTGCTGAAATGTCAGAGCACCTTGTTGTAAGGGGCAAGCATAGAACCTGGGAGGGCTTGAAGACATTTAAGAAGAAAAAGGCCTGGGGAATTTGGATCCTGGCTTCTGGGTTTGTAGGAAGGAGGCTGGGGTTGTTAAGGGCAATGGTCACCCATTGCATTTGCCAGGATTTATTATTGCAAATATTTTGTGCATACATTTCTCTCATTTGATTGCCAGCTACCTATAAAGTGGTGGGAGGGATAAACCAGACAAAAGCTCTAAAAATATTTTGAGAAAATTCATTTTGTTTTTCTCTGGGTTTTAATCCTAGATGCATCGCTAGGCAGCTCTGAGATCTTGGGCAAAGTGCTAGCCTCTTTGAGCCTCAGTTTTCTTATCTGCAAAGTTCTTGCCTCAATAGGTTGGTGGAATGAAGATAATCTGTGCTGCCCCATAACAGGAGCTGAGCAAATGGTAACTGACATCTTTAGCCTTCATATGTTTTCTGAGAGCCTACTATGTGTCAGCAGAAATGCTAAGATGCTGAAGACATTACTCTTGTCCTGTGCAGAAAGTGACAATGCAAAATTCATCCCAATATTTAGTGCTAAGGTGTTTGCAGAGTGTTACGGGAGAAGAGAGGTGCATATCTCCTGGGGAAGGCTTCATGGGGAGGTGTCATTTGAGGTGGGTTGTAAAGGAAGAGGTGGAGTTCTCCAGAAAGGATTGGTGGAAGGGCATTGCAGAGAGAGGGAGAATGGCATTTGGGAAGGTATAGATGTGAGAAAGAGCATGCTGTCTGCGTTTAGAAGATTTAGGGAGGTCTGTTGGGTCAGGACCAGGGTGTACATGTCTTATGTGGGAGGATGATGAGTGGGAGGTGAGACAGAGTCTGTGAGTCAGGGTGAGGCTTCTGTATCAGGCTAAAAAGTGTGCCTTCACCCTTTATTATTAGGGGACTATATTAATTCTATCTCTGCCTAACAAATCACCCCCAAACTTGCAGCCTCCAATATTAATGAACCTTTGTTATCTTGCAGTTTCTGTGGTCAGGAATTTGGGAGTTACCCATTTGGGTGCTTCTGGCTCAGGGTCTTTCATGAGGCTGTAGTCAAGTTGTTGTTAGGGGCTGCTGTCATCCGAAGGCTCAACTGGGGCTGGAGGAGCCACTTACACAATGGTGCCCTCACATGGCTGGCAAGTTGGTTCCTGATGGTGGCTGGAGGTTCCTCATCACCTGGACCTTCCCAGAGATCTGCTTGGGTGTCCTCATGATGTAGTGTCTGATTTCCCCAAGAGAGAGAAAGGCAGAAGCAGCAGTGTCTTTTATGCCCACACACCAGAAGTCATGATCATTTTTGCAATATCCTGTTGGTTACAAAAGTCAGCCTGTTAAATGTGGGAAGGGGCTACACAACAGTGGAACCATCAGGAGAAGAGAATCAGTGAGGCCATCTTGGAGGCTGGCCATCTTTCCAGTAGGATGAGGGATTTACACCATTGGCTCCTCCCTACCAATGAGAGACCAAGGCTTGAGGCTGGCAACTTATCCTAGGATTATCCAAGGATCACACCACTAGATGTTGGCAGTGTTGGCACTCTGCTGCCTTCTCAGGGGCTCTTTCTTTCATTCAAAGCCATTTCATTGGGATTTCTGTGGTGTTGCTGGAATAGTAGACAACTCAATTCTCTGTGTGGGATTTTGGGAATTCACACTCAGAGGAGAAATCAAAGCTGAAGGAAGTTATCCACCTCTCCCACCCAGAACCTACTGCTTAGGCAAAAGCAGTGTTAGCTTAGGAGGGAGGCTGCTCTGTTGATTAATGCTGGATTATTGAAGACTAGTTTATTTAATGTTGGTTTTCAAGAAGTTTATGATTACATTAAAAAAAGAGCTGTTATATGGATAGATAGGTGGATGAATGGATGGATGAATAGATATATAGATAAGACAGACAGATGAATGGATGGATACATAGACACATGGATGCATAGATGGATAGATAGATGAATAGATAGATAAATGGATGGATAGCTTGAAAGATGGATAGATGGATGAATGGAGGGATAGATAGACAGACAGACAGATAGATAGATATGTAGGCAGGTAGAGAAATATATGGATGCCAGCATAAGGCTACAATCTTCCTCTTGGAAAGGACTGTCCTCTGTTGTGAAGTTAAGCCATTTTTGAACAATACTTTTTTATAAAAACCAAAAACAGGCCTTAAATCTTGGAGTCATCTTTGATGTCTCTCTTTTTCTTACACCCCATATTTTGTCTGTCAGCAAATTCCATCAGAATTTGTCTTCAAAATATACCCGGAGTGCAGCCCTTTCTTACCGCTTCTACTGCTGCCCCCTATACTATTCCATCTAGAAGGTGGATGAGGCCCTCATGTTCTCCTCCCTGCTCCAATATTACCTCTCCCTCCAGGCTCTTCTCCCAAGCTGCTGGAGGGATTGCATGAACATGGAAATAGATCCTGCTGCTTCTGTGCTCAAACTCTTCCAATGGTTCCCAACTCAGGGTAAAACTCAAACTCTTACAGTGGTCTGGCTGGCCGTACGCAGCCCTGTCTCCTGTGGTCTCTCTGACTCTGTCTCTTACTGTCTCCTTCTTGTTCACTCTGCTCTGGACTCCCTGGCCACCTGGCTGTTCCTCATACCCCTGGCCTGTTTCCTTTTCAGCAGCTTTGCTGCCCGCCATGTTCTTTCCCAGATATCTGCATGGCCCACTGCCTCACCTTCTCAGCAAAATCTTTTCCGGCCATGCTAACTAAATCCTTCACACCCCTCAAATGTGTTTTTTTCATGGAGGTAGTCCCCACCATCTAGAAGAATGCTGAGTGGAGAGAAACCTCTGAATAATTATTTGTTGAATAAATGAACAAATGAACAATTAACAATAGGCAAGACCTTTATATTCATCATCTCATTTCATCCAGCAAGGTAGGTATGATTTGTGACTATCTCCATTTGACAGATGAGGAAACTAAGTCTGGAGAGGTTAAATTTGTTGGCCTAGACCATGATGGAGTTGAGATTTGAACCCACAATCTGTCTGTCTCCAAGGCTGATGTTCTCCTTGCCTGTCACCACCCTGTGAAATCCTCCAGGATGAGATATTTCTGCTGTGAGATTGTAGGGGCTCCAGCATCACAACCTCAAATGGCACTTTTTCACCAAATTGAGTCTTCAGAGATGTGACATTTAGAGGCAGTGGGAAGTGTAGAAAGCTTGTCTGTTAAATTTGCCTCTCCTCTTTTTATTTTCTAATATTGTTTTTCTTTCTGGAAAGTTTTCTCACCAGGCCTGTAATAATGGCATCCTTCCCCAATCATGCCATTCTGCACATATGTGTAGAAACCTTATTGGCAAGGACTGTCAGCTCCAGCTACCACACAGCACTCTGGGAGAGGGCTGGCTTCTCTTAGTTCTGCTTGGAGGTGACAAAGCCATTCAGAGTCTCTGAAGACAGTAATTATGCCTAAAAATAACTGAGCTGCCATTTTCTTCACTTTTCACTTTTAAGACAACATGATCGTATTCCAGAAAGTGTTGCAAACAGAGGGGGAAAAGGCATTCCTAATTCTGCCTTGTATCCCGGCAGCTACGTTGAGTCATAAGTATCCTCCAAGTTATCAAAGCCTCTCCTGGTGACAGAACTTGGTGATATTTTGGTAGAGGAGTGTCAGGGAGGAGACAGAAATAAAAGTCACTTAGACACACATTCACACACACAGAACCTGGGAACTGTCACTAAATCATTTGGGAATCAGGGCTGGTCTTACCAGGCAGATGATCCCCATAGTGAGGGGAGAGTAAGAAGATAGGTAATAAACAAACAATTAATAATAGCTTTCATCATGAGCCAAGGCCTTTCCATTCATCATTTCATTTAATCCATCAAGGAGTTATTATTTATTACTATCCCCTTTTTACTGATGGGTAAACTGAGCCTAGAGAGGTTAATTAGATCAGTCTGTGGCCAAGCTGAGATCCTAAGGTTGGACTTGAAGAGCAGAAGCTAATAGTTCACAAGCCTTCATGCATGAGCTGCACCCTTATTACAGGTTCCCAACCAACCTGGGGAGCTTTAACGTAATGCTGAGGTCCATGCCCCACCCTGAAGAATTTTGATTTAATTGGTGTGGATGGGGGCATTGGTCATGGGTTCCAATGTGCAGTCAGGATTGAAATCCATTGGGTTAAGTCTTTGCTGACTCTGAGAAGCACCCAGCAAGATGTGAAGACTCTGCCAGCTGTGCTCCACTAAACTGTGAGCTGTTGGTAGGTTTCACACCTCACTGAACTCCATCAGTGCTGACAGAGAGGACACTTTGTGCTGTGTCTCTTCCAAGAGCCCTACTGGGAGACCTTCTAAAAACAATCATGGGCCAGGCGCGGTGGCTCACGCCTGTAATCCCAGCACTTTGGGAGGCATAGGCGGGTGGATCATGAGGTCAGGAGATCGAGACCATCCTGGCTAACATGGTGAAACCCCGTCTCTACTAAAAATACAAAAAATTAGCCAGGCGTGGTGGCGGGCGCCTGTAGTCCCACTTACTCGGGAGGCTGAGGCAGGAGAATGGCGTGAACCCGGGAGACAGAGCTTTCAGTGACCCAAGATCGCGCCACTGCACTCCAGCCTGGGTGACAGAGCAAGATTCTACCTTAAAAAAAAAAACATGGCCCCAGTGTCTTGAGATCACCCAACACTGAGGCTTGATGGTGGCAGAAAGAATGTTCTCCTATCTGAAGCATCCACTGTAGCTTTCCCAAATTAGGAAAAGGAGCATAGAAGTGTGGACCAGAAGGTAGAGAATTCTCCAGGGAACTAGACGAGGGAAGTGATGTTGGGCTAGCAAAGAAAGGGTCAAAACAAAGACCCTGGATGTGTGGTGGTGGGCACCATACCACCTTGGAAAAGATGGGTCAGAGAGTTGAGCCAAGGAGACCAAACACACAGAGAAAGCAAACTCTCCCAAGGAATGGGGCTGTCTGTCTTGATCTTGGTTTCATGATCTTTCCAGCTCCCGGTACAGTGTCTGGTCCCTGTACGTACCCCATAAATGTTTGTTAAATGAATGATAAACACACTTTGCAAAAAAAAAAAAAAAAACTTTGGTGTTTTTCAATACCTTGTCATGATTGGCCCCCATGGCTTTCTCTCTTGATCCTTCTGAGTATCAGAATAAGTATGATCCAGGACTGGAAGACATCCATGTATGACTGCAAGGTGCTAGAAAGAGTGGAAACATATTACTTGAGGAGCACACTAGGGTCTAGGAACATGTTGGGGCATTATGACGCAAGGAAGTAGGAACTAATGCACACTCACTCGGCTTTGCTGTGAGAGCCTCCTGGATTAGATAAGGCAATATTACTCCTAAGGCTGCTAACTGAAGGTCCATGCAGAGAATCTAGCCTGTAGATATTTTGCTTGGGTCACCATTTTATTAACATTATTTTTAATGTGTTACCAATCCTTAAAAATTGGGAGATCTCTTTAGAAATCTAGATTTCTGGCTTCTTTTGAAGATTCAGAAGCTGATGCATCCCTGGACCAAAATTCCCACTGGCAATAGTAGGCTATTTTGGAATAGCTGCTGGTCCCTTTGGACAGATGGGCCCTCTCCCATTTGTTTTGACCTCTGTCCAGGTTGCTTTGCCCATTTTCATTGCCAGCCTGGTCCCTGTAGACCCTGGAGTTTGAGACTCCCTGTGCTATTCCTTTGCTTCTATGTCTGGCTATCTCAGCTCCCCCAACAGGCGCATATTCTGGGCTCCTTTTCCCACTGGGTACTTGGCACCTCAGCTGGTCTGTTTCTCAGCATTTCCTGGTGATCTCCTTACACTGAACCCAGGCTCCCTCCCACAGCAGTGTCTCTTGTATTCCTGACTGCACCTGATATCTTTCATCTGTCCAACAAACATTCTCCCATTTTTTCTTTCTTTCTTTTTTTTTTTTTCACTAAAGAAAGAGTCAATTGTTCAGCCTCAGGGGATGCATCACAATTGGTCTGATTTATCTGTGGAAATTCCATTTTATTTTGCCTGGAATTGGTTTAGGGGTGGGCATGTGACTCAGTGGCTCGGTTCTTGCCAACGACACCTAAGAAATCTACCAGGAGTTTCCGACAAACATTTTCCTCTCTCATTAAAGAACGATTCCTTCCTTTTGGAAGAGTGTCATCATGTGGAGATGTATTGCTTGGAGTCATAGCAGCCATCTTGTGACCATGAGGTGAGACCTCATTTTCACACTGAGAGTAACAGAGGACAGGATGGTCCCAGGATTCTCATGCTATCACTGAGCTGCTAAGCCAAATCTAGGTTTGTTTATTATGAGCTTCTTTGGTTATAAGCCCCACATGTACTTACAGCTTAAGACAGTGTGGAGCTTTTAAAAAAAATTAATTGTAGCCAAACGCATTTCTAACCAATACATTTTTTCTCATCAGGTAGATTACAAACTTCATGAAGGCAAGACTGCATCTGTTTGTTCACTAGTATATAGGCAGGGCTTAGCACAGTGTCTGACATATAGCTTGTAGTCCACAGATATTTATTTAATGGATGAATGAATCCATCTTGGCATTTGAAACTAAGTTAAGTATGAAGACAGCAGCAACATCTGACTTATGTGCTGTGGTCCAAGTATGTAATATATTAAACAAAATTCAGGTGAGTAGTAACATAATATGCTGAAAACCATTTTACACATGAGGGTTCTTGGGCTTTAGAGAAGGTAAATTAGTTGCCTATATCCATGGATGAAAAATAGTTGAGTCTGTATTTGAACCCCGGCAGTTCAGGTTCAAAATCTGTACTCTATGGACTCTGGTTATGTCCTAAAATCTACTGCTTGCCACCCTCAAGGGAAGACATAATGTTTGCAGCAAATGATATAATTCCTACAGGCTTTGCTTTGCAAAATACAACGATGACAGAACTATCCAGCAGAATTCGGTTCCCGTGAGCCTTTGTTCACCAGATGCTATTTTTGTGCCAGTTAAGAGTAGAGCTACAAAAACTGGCGTCATAGAACCCGACAATTAGAAGAAAATTTTGGCATTCATCCCTTTAACTACCAGCTTCCGAGCTCATGCTGTGGCAGCCAGAACATGGACCTTGGAGTCTGATTGGCTTGATTTCAAATTCCAGCTCTGCCACTCAAAAGCTGTGTGACCTTGGACATGCAATATCAGCCCTCTGAACCTTGGTTTTATCACCCGCAAAAGACAGGTGGTTCTAATGAGGTCAAACATGCAAAGTGCTTTGCACAATACCTAGCACATAGTAGGCACTCAACAATTACTAGTTTCTGGATACTATGCTCTTCCATCTCAGTTCTGAAGTCAACCATAAGTAAATTTTTTTTATAAAAATTATCTCATTTTACATATAAGGCAGACGTTAAAGGGATGTGGAAAATTCTTTTGAAGATTTCATAACCTTTATTTCTAGGTTTGGTGCCAAAGAAGTAAACCTCAGTTCATCCCACTATAAAAGAGAAAGAACTTTCTACCTAATGGACAGTACAGCTGAGATATTCTATGATTTAATTAAAAGCTGCAGAGTGTCTTCCTATCTGCAAATGAATGACATTTAAGTAGAAACTAGTGTTCAGCTATTTCATTACCTGGTTAAGTAATATGCCCCAAATAGCAAGCTTTAGTAATTACTGTACACTTTTCTTAAATACGCTGTTTACTGATTACCTTATAACCGGATAATACACATACATAATTTTATATTTATAGATAAGTGCTCTTTCCCGACAACTTGAACACTTAAATTATGCAATGCAAAAATCACATAATTGTGGAGAAACATTTGTCGTCTGGCATGTGAGATCTCCAGGTAAATAGCATAATTATAGGTATCTGTTTGGAATCAATAGAAGGTAGGTCCTTCTATTGATTTACAAGTTATCTTTCCATCATTTTTCCACTTTTAAAAGTGAAATTCAAGGGCTGGGTGCAGTGGCTTGTGCCTGTGTTCCCACTTTGGGAAGCTGAGGTGGGTGGGTCACTGGAGCCCAGGAGTTTGAGACCAGCCTGGGCAACATGGTGAAACCCAACTCTCCAAAAAAAAAAAAAAAAACCAACAAAATTAGGTTTGTCGGTGTGTGCCTGTAGTCCCAGCTGCTTAAGAGGCTGAGGTAGGAGGATCAATTGAACCCAGGGAAGTTGAGGCTGCAGTGAACCATGATCGCACCACCGCACTCCAGCCTGCGTAACAGAGCGAGATCCTGTCTCAAAACAAACAAACAAAAAAGTAAAATTGAAAATTACCTTAAATAATGACTTCTATCTATGACAACTCTCATAACCTGATGTTCTTGCTTTCATAACCTGATGTTCTTGGAGCTTATGGGTATAGATAAAAGCACGCTTAACCAAGCTGGCTATTTTTTTTTTTTTCTGAGATGGAATCTTGTTCTGTCACCCAGGCTGGAATGCAGTGGTGCAATCTCGGCTCACTGCAACCTCTGCCTCCCGGGTTCAAGCGATTCTCCTGCCTCATCCTCCCGAGTAGCTGGGATTACAGGCATGCACCACCACGCCCAACTAGTTTTTGTATTTTTAGTAGAGACAGTGTTTCACCATGTTGGCTAGGCTGGTCTCGAACTCCTGACCTCAGGTGATTCACCCAGCTCAGCCTCCTACAGTGCTGAGGTTACAGGCCGAGCCACTGTGCCCAGCCAGTAGCTATTTTTAAAAAGATTGTCCAACAAATTTGTGCATCTCCCTTCTTCTGATAACAGATATGGCCAATGAGGTTGGCATATGACTCAGGTCTGACCAGTCATTGACCTCTATTTCTTAGGTGTCAGTAATTGGTTCAGTGGGTGGACATATGACCTTAACAGAGCCAATTAGCATTCTTCCCCGGAATTGATGTATAGGAAAGATACTGTGAGAAAGATACTCTTGCTTTTGGCTCTAAATACAAAGTAGGGTGTAAAGTTGGAGGTGCTGAGAGTTATCTTTTTTCCCGTCATGTAGAAAAGGCCTGTTTGTAGTGGAAGATATGAAGCCAAGGAGGGAAAAGGGAGGTGAGAAATATATGGGGGGGAGAGAGAGAGAGAGAAGAGAGGGAGAGAAGGTGGGGGAGGGAGGGAGAAAGTGGGAGTGAGAGAGAAGGAAAGAGAGAGAGGGGGAGAGAGGAAAAAAGAGGGAGCGAGAGAGGAGAGAGAAAGAGAGGGAGAGAAAGTGAGGGAGAGACAGTGAGGGGGGAGAGGGAGGGGGAAGGGGAATGAGAGAGAGAGGGAGACAGAAAGAGGGAGAGAGGGGGAAAAGGGGAGAGAGAGAGGGAGAGAGAGAAAGCACAGGGAGAGAGAAAAAGAGAGACGGTGAGAGAGGGAGAGGGGGAGAGAGAGGAGGAAGAGGGGGAAGAGAAAGAGGGAGAGAGAGAGAAGAGAGAAGGATGAGAAATGTATTTTGGCAGTGTCGAGTGCCAGTTCAACTGCTTGGGGACATTATCCCTGTAACCCATCCTTTCAATGCTATATACTCCTTCAGTATCATTTTCAAAGCGTGTGAGCCAATACATTCCACTCCCCCTTAGCATGGCTTAAGTTCAGTTTCTGTTCCGATTTCTCTTGCAGATTTCCCTATACATTTTAAGGGTGAATGGACACTGGCTCCCACACTGCTTTCTGGGAGGATCTGTTCTAACTTGGAAAAGGATCTTGTATGGCCTGGAACAAGGCAGAATTAGTGGCTTTTTACTCATCTTCTGGGTGTTCAGCTCCTCTCTGTCAGGGCTGGAGACTGCAGGACAGAATGTAACAGCTGGATAGAGTCTGGTAAGGGCATTTTATATAAGCCTTGCTGGATGTAACAAGGGCCCCATTCATATTTCTCCTCTTTTACTCAGTAACTTTAATTCTTCATTTTTATCCTGAAAATAGCACAATAGGGAGTGAAGATTTTCTCCTAAAGATACAGAGCCAGGCTGTCTCACAATGGTCAATGGGAAACAGCCCAGAGATGCATAATCTGAACAAAATTCAATTAATTATGGTTTTTCCACATATGGCATTTATCTTGTTCCATGGTGAGTTTGAAATAATGTTGTAAATATTTATGCTACAATAGTGAATAAAAAAGTAAGGCAGAGAAATTGTAAAAATACTGTCAATTATGTAAAGGGTCCTAAGTACAAAGATTAGAGGAAAATATGCTATTATTTGACTATAACTAAAGCTTAGGATTGTAGGGCACATTTATTCGTGTTTCCCTAGACATTCCTTCATCTTTTAAATGTTGTACAATGACGATGTATTACTTTTACCATCAGAAAAATGAAATAAAACAAAATATAATAAAGTTAAACAAAACCTGGCTTGACTACACTCTATCTCCCTTTGGTTGAGCAAAGATGTGTAATTGCTTGTGCTTTTAGCTTAGGCATGGAGTCCAGAAGACCAAATATTCTCTGTGACCTTTCAGCAAGTACCCTGACATTTCTTTTCCTAGGCATTTTGCCTGTAAAGTGGAGATACTAATTCCCACACAGTTACTATTCAAATATGTAAAGAGGGTATAAAGGGAATGGAATAGATGGAGTGTTGAGTATGAGTTGATTAAACAGTAATTTTAGGAACTATTTTGCTGGAGGTGGAGGGATGTCTACAGTGTTCCACAAGACGTTCCTTGGGATGAGCAGCAGAGGCCTTGTTTCCAGGATGAAAGAGAGAAAGAGAGAGAGCGAGAGAGAGAGAGAGAGAGAGAGAGAGAGAGAGAGAGAGAAAATGAGAGGGCCATAGCATCACAGAACCATTCCCAGTCTGCTGAAGTGCTCACCCATTTAGTCTCTCATTCATTCAGCCAACAATGACTAAAATATTCTTTATGTACCAAGACTGTGCGTGACATTCACTTACAGATGAATAAAGCAGCCAACATTCTGTGGGGCCTGTGGGTAAAGAAAGCTTCTGTAGCAATTGATTGATTAGACCAATGCTCCCCAGTGGAAATATAAAGTGAGCCACAAATGTGATTTTATATAATTATAGAATCTATGGAATTATATAATTTGATGTAATTTAAAATTGTCTTAGTAGTCACATTAAAAAAGTAGAAAAAAAACAAGTGTAATAAACTTAAATAATATTTAACAGTATATTTAACTTAATATGCCCAAAACATTAACATTAGCCTTAATATAGCCTGAGTATTTAGATGCGGAATTATTTCAGTGCCCTGCCCTAAACATTTTTATGCTCTGCCAATTTAATTCTCCTTTCCCCAACTCCTGGCAGCCACAGATCTTTTACTGTCCTTATAGTTTTGCCTTTTTCAGAACGTCACAGAGTTGGAATCATCTAGAATGTAGCCTCTTCAGACTGGCTTCTTTCACTTAGTAATGTACCTTTAAGTTTCCTTCATGTCTCCTCATGGCCTTTCATTCTTTTTTGTACTAAGTCTTTGAAATCTGGTGTGTATTTTACACTTGATCCCATCTCCATTTGGAAAAAACATATTCCAAGAGCTCGATGACCACATGTGGCCAGTGGCTATGGTGTTGGACAGTGTGGGCGGGACTAGATGGTCCTCAGTGCACCCCCGAGCATTAGTTGCTGTGACAACTGTGAGCTCAGAACTAAAGGCACAAGCGAGGTATCACTGTGGAGTTACCAAGGGACAGACAAGACGATCCCAGCACCTGGGGGTCTATTTAATGGAGCTCCCAAGGTGGGAAGGTTGGTCATGATTTCTGAAGAATGGAAAGTTCTGAGTGTGCAGGTATGGAATAAAGGTAGTGGCAAAACTGATAACCCAACATTTTCTGTCTTGCTAGACACATTGATGAATTTTTAGCTGAAGGATATCAGACACAAGGAATTTCAGCCTTCATTTCACAAAGCTGTGTTAATATGGCAGAATCATCTTCCAATTTAATGATTTGAAATTGAACTCTTAGCTGTATGAAACTGAAAAGGAGTCGTAGTTCCATCTTCCCAATTGTGGTAGACAGCATAATAGCCCCCTAAAGTTGTCTACCGTGAAATTCCTGAAACCTGTGAATATATGACCTTACATGGCAATAAGGACTAAGTTAAGAATCTTGAAGTGAAGAGATTATGCTGAATTATTGGGTGGGCTCAAGCTAATCACAAGAATCCTCGTAAGAGGGATGTAAGAGAGTCGGAGTCAGAGGCGATATGATGAGGGAGGCAGAAGCAGGGCAGGGGAGACAGAGAGAGAGATTAAAAGACACTACGCTGTTGGCCTTGAGATGAAGGAGGAAGCTAGGAGCCAAGGAGTGTGTGCTGCTTCTAGAAGGTGGAAGAAGACAAAGGAGACAGATTATCCTCACACGGCCTCCAGAAGGAACTTTCAAACTTTCCCAACATCTTGATGTTAGCCCAGGAAGAGCCGTTTTAGACTTTTGACCTCCAGAACTGCAAGGAAGTACATTTGTGTTGCTTTAAGCCATTACATTTTTGGTAATTTGTTATAGCATCAATGGGAAACCAATACACTAACCAAGCCTTTGAATCACCAAGGCTTGGGACTTCTTTGCTCCTGGGAAGAACTGGCAAGACTTTATTTTCTGACTCTGACTCCCTTTGACTTGACAGAGGTGGGCTTTCTAAAAGGGGAAAAGCCTCCAGAATTGGAAGAGATGGGAGTTTACTGGGGAGTGTTCTAGGGCTCAGCACTTGCTGGGAGTGAGGGAAGCAGGACCCGGCAGAGGGAGCAGGTGAACTGTTAACATCATAAGCTACCTGGGGCTGGGATGACCCTGAAGGTCCTCCCACCTGGAGGGGAGGGGGCTGGGCCATTGGATATAGGCTGCCCCTGGGGTGGAAACTTCGGGTTAGGCAGTGCCCTTCCTCCGGGTAGGTTTAATTCCCGAAGAAGAAATTGGCTGAGTTGTTTGTCAGCCAATAATATTCTCAGCAGCTGGGGGAATGAGCACTTCAGTCTTGAAGGGAGATCTGGGTGGTGCACCATAGCATGCATGATGAATATCAACTTTATAGGGTAATTAAGATGGTTAAATTTGAACAAATGCACCAAGGGCTTGGCACAGAGTATGGTACATACTAGACTTGTTCCCAGACCAAACCGAGGTTGGACTGCTTATTCTCGTAACCCAATAACGAGATGCAGATGAACTGGGGGAGAAGGGAGTTTATTTCTATAACAGGGTACAGGGAGAAGACCTGGAAAATATTGCCAGACCAACTCAAAATTACAAAGTTTTCCAGAGCTTGTATAGCTTCTAAGCTATATGCCTATGTGTAAGTGTGCATTCATCTAAAGACATAAGTGATGAACTTCTTCTAGTCTGTACCTAAGGTCTGAGTCCTGAAGACCTTCCTCCGGAACCTCAGTAAATGTAATTAATCTAGATGGGTCCAGATACTGGGGTGATTACCCTTATCTTGTCTCCCACTAAATCATAGAGGTTTGAGGAGTTCCTTTAGACCGACAGTAAAACTTGTTTGTGGAGGTCTGGGGAGTTTCTTCAGACCCCCAGTAAAAATTCGTTTAATCCTAAATGGGTCCTATTAAGAATTCCTTCATTATTTTGTCATGCTTCAAGGCCCAGGAAAGGCCTAGGCACAGCTCTTGGTGGGCTTTTGTTACCTTCCAGCCTTTGTATAGGGCACTAGCTCTTTCAGCTTTTAATATTTAACTTAACCACTCATTCAGTGCTGAAACAGTTGTTATGGAGGCCTTCCTGTTCTGCTGTCAATGAGACCTGGCCTGCCACAGACTCTCAATAAGTGGGTGTTGATGATATATTGTCATTATTATTACATTTATTCCGATATCGAGAATATTTCTGAAGATGCTAATGGATAAAAGAGGCAATGAGTGAATTCCAAGCAGCCTTAAAGTCCAGGCAATTCCGAGGAAATAATAATCTTCAGTGGCCTTAGAAAAGCCTCTAATCTCAGAGGTGCTGACAATGGATTTGGGTCCTGAAAAAGCTGCCAAGTCTGCAAAGAAAGAAAGCAGTGTTGCTTTTGAAGGGGAAATTCAGAAGGAAGCAGAGGTTTCAACAAAGCCATTTGGCATTTGAACCATCCCTGGTTTATGGTTCTCCAGAGCAGCGAGGACAGGTCTGCAAACACCAGAATGTGCTGTTTTTTTTTTCCTTGCGTTGATTTTATTCTGCATTCTGTATTCTCGCTGGGCCGGATGCTGCCTGTGACTTGACTAATTATTTCCCGCATGAAGTGCGCTGAGTGCTTTGAATTTAAACATGATACCTTGAGGTCCCCGTGGCAGGCCCTGTCCCTCACCCTTGGCCCCACTGGGGCAGTCTTTGGATTCTTGCTGGAAAAAGGCCCAGTCAGCAGGATATGCTGCTGGAGACACCAAGGAGTCTATAAAAGCCCCTGGGAGTTTATTCTCAAGGTGGCGGCCCTTCCCCCTCTCCTGGGAGCTCCATTAGGCCCAGTCTGAAATCTGCACTTGTAAGAGATGGGGATGTGAGGGTCAACCGTGAACTCCATGAGAATACAACCTGTTGGTTTACTTTGTCATTGTATCCCCAGAATTTATCATGAGGCCTGGTACATAGTAGAACCTCAGTGAATATTTATTTGTTGGATTAATGAAAGAATTCTTCCCCAGAAGGTACTGGAAGGCCAGAACTCACTCTCCTGAATTTTAGGGCCCAGGAAGGCAAGTGTGTTGCCAAGAACTGAGACATGACTATGCATGGGTTACCTCAAGGTGCTTCACTTCCCCTGAGCCCTGGGACTCTTCAGGAGTTGTATTATGTGGTCGGTCTCTCATGTATGCATGTTCTACCGTAATGGAGAGACAGCGTGCAATGTTCTTTTATACACCAGTGGCTTTACACAGACCAATCCCTCTGCCTGGTCACGGTTCCTTCCTCCTCACTTCCCGTTGAAACAGCCTTTGCAAAATTATAACAGTGAGAGAAATCTTACATAACTGACTCCGTCTTGATTCTAACCTCACAAGCTAACTTCCCTTGCTTATTCTTGTGCATAGGCCAAGCTAAATGAAGGAATTTAGTTTATAGTTTAACTTCAAAGCAAGGATGACCTTCTCAAAACTGACCCCATCCTTGTTTGGGAACTGCAACCACCTTTGTAAAACTAATGAAAGGTCATAAACTTAGAATTTTGTTAGGCATCTGAATTCTGCTAAGATGTAGAGATGAACTCTAACCAGTCATTGCTTCTTCTGCTAAGCTAGGACCATAAACAATAGTCAGCTACTATTCTCTAGCTTCTTTTCTGTAATTGCTTACTGCTCAGGAGTCATATAACTGGAGGTCACAAGATTTGTAACTTCCCCAGTTGCTTCTATAGATAACATCACTATTACAAAAAGTTTTTTATTCTCTGTAGCAATGGGGTCTTGCTGTGTTTCCCAGGCCGGTCTTGAACTCTTGGCTTCAAGCAATCCTCTCTCCTTGGCATCTCAAAGCACTAGGATTACAGGCATGAGCTGCCATACCTTGCTTCTACAAACAATTTTTAAATGCTCCTTTCTCTTGCTCACCTTCTCTGAACTTAATGAGTAGATACTTTACTTTATTCTTTTGTGTTTATTGTAAATGGAGTTGCTTTCTTGATTTCTTCCTCAGCTAGTTTGTTATTGGTGTATAGAAACACTAGTGATTTTTGTATGTTGATTTTGTACCTGCATCTATACTGAATTTGTTAATCTACTCTGAAAGTCTTTTGGTGGCATCTTTAGGTTTTTCTCTGTAAGCAATCATGTCATCTGCAAACAGGGAAAATTTGACTTCCTTGTTTCCAATTTGAATGCCCTTTATTTTCTTCTGTCGCCTGATTCCTCTGGCTAGGACTTCCAGTATTATGTTGCATTAGAGTGGTGAAAGTGGGCAAGCTTGTCTTGTTCCAGTTCTTAGAGAAAAAGTGTTCTATTCCCCATTCTGTATGATGTTGGTTGTGGATTTATCATACATGGTCTTTGTTGTGTTGAAGTACATTGCTTTTATACCCAATTTGTTGAAAGTTTTTTTTTTTATCGTGAAAGAATATTGAATTTTATCAAATCTTTTTTTGTATCTGTTGAGATGATTACATGGTTATTATCCTTCATTCTGTTGATGTGATGTATCACATTTATTGATTTGCATATGTTGAACCCTCCTTGCATCCCTGGAATGATTCCTACTTCATTATAGTGTATAATCTTTTTGATGTGCTGTTGGATTTGGGTTGCTAGTATTTTGTTGAGAATTTTTGCATCTGTGTTAATCAGGGATATTTACCTGTGGTTTTCTTTTTTGGTTGTGTTTTTGTCTGCTTTTGGTATCAGGGTAATGTTGACCTTGTAGAATGAGTTTGGAAGAACTTTCTCCTTTTCAGTTTTTTGGAGTGTTTGAAGAAAATTGGTGTTTGCTTTTAAAATGTTTGGTAGAATTCAGTAGTGAATCCATTGGTCTTAGGCTTTTCTTTTTTTGGGAAACTCTATTATTGCTTTAATCTCATTACTTGTTATTGGTGTGTTCAGATTTTCTATTTCTTTCCGGTTGAATCTTTGCAGATTATATTTGTTCAGAAATTTATCTATTTCTTCTAGGTTTTCCAATTTCTTGTATATAGTTGTTTGTAATAGTCTCTAATAATGTTTTAAAAATATCTGTGGTATCTAATGTCTTCTCTTTTTGTTCCTGATTTTATTTATTTGAGTCTTCTCTCTCTTTTTCTTTTCATAGTCTAGCTATGGTTTCTGATTTGCTAGTCTTTAAAAGAACAACTTTTCATTCTATTTATCTTTTGTATTTTTTAAATCCTACTTTGTTTTATTTTTTTCTGATATTTATTATTTCTTTCCTTTAATTAATTTTGGGTTTGGTTTGTTTTTGCTTTTCTAATTCCTTGAAGTGCATTGCTGAGTTGTTTACTTGAAACATTTCTATTTTTTGAATGTAGGCAATTATTACTATAAACTTCCCTGTTTGCTGTGTGCCACAGATTTTGATATGTTGTATTTCTATTTTCATTTGTTTCAAGACATTTTTAAACTTTCTTCTTAATTTCTTCACTGACCCATTGGTTGTTCCTAAGCATGTTATTTAATTTCCATGTATTTGTACAGTTTCCAAAGTTCCTCTTGTTGTTGATATCTAGTTTTATTTCATTGTAGATAGAAAATATACTTGATATGATTTTGATTTTTAAAAACTTGTTGAGACTTGTATTGTGGCCTAACATATGGTCTATCCTGGAGAATGTTTCAAGGGAAAATATGTCCTACTGTTATTAGGTTGTACTCTATCTCCCCCTTTAGATCTATTTGTATTTGCTTTATGTATCTGAGTACTCTGGCGTTACGTGTATATATATTTATAATTGTTATATCTTCTTACTGAATTGATTGATCCCTTCCTTTATCATTATATAATGAGATTGTCTTTTTTCACAGTTTTTGGCTTAAAGTCTGTTTTATCTAAGTATAGCTACTCCTGCTTGATTTTAATGTTCATTTGCATAGAATATCATTCTCTATCCCTTTATTTTTAGTCTATGTGTGTCATTACAGATGAAGTGAGTTTCTTTTAGGCAGCATATTGTTGGGTCTTTAAAAAAATCCATTCAGCCAATCCATATCTTTTAATTGGGGAATTTACTTTATTTACATTTAAGGTTGTTATTGATGGGTGAAGATGTACTCCTGTCATTTTGTCGATTGTTTTCTGGTTGTTTTGTATATCCCTTGTTCCTTTCTTCCTCTTTTTGTTTGTGGTTTGGTGGTTTTTTTTGTAGGGATAAGGTTTTATTCCTTTCCCTTTTGCATTTGTGTATCTGCTCTACCAGTGAGTTGTATACTTTCATATGTCTTCATTATGGTAGCTATGACTGGCCTTTTGCTTCCAGAGGTAGTACTTCTTTAAGCACTTCTTGTAAGGCTGATCTACTGGTGATGAATTCTTCATTTAATTTAACCAAGGAGGTAAAAGATCTCTGAAATGAAAATTATAAAATTCTGATAAAAGAAACTGAAAAGGACACAAAAAATTAGAAAGACATCAAAAGTTCATGAATTGGAGGAATAAATATTGTTAAAATGAATACACTACCTAAGGCAATCTACAGATTCAATGCAATTCCTATTAAAATACCAATAACATTTTTCATAGAAATAGAAAAAAAATCCTAAGATTTATATGGGATCACAAAAGACCCTGAATAGCCAAGCAATCCTAAGCAAAAAGTACAAAGCTGGAAGCATTACACTATGTGACCTCAAAATACAGTACAACCGTATAACCAAAACGGCATAGTAATGGCATTAAAAACAGATACATAGACTAATGGCAACAGAATATAGTATCTAGAAATAAATCCATATATTTATAGCCAACTGATTTGCAACAAGGCACCAAGAATGTACACTTGGTGGAGAAAGGACAGTCTCCTTAGTGAATGATTCTGGGAAAATTAGATATCCATCTGCAGAAGAATGAAACTAGACCCCTATCTCTCACCATACACAAAAATCAACCCAAATGGATAAAAGACTTAAATATAAGACCTGAAACTGTGAAACCACAAGAGGAAAATGCAGGGAAATGTTTCTGAACATTGTACTGGCAGAGATTTCATGGTCAAAACCTCAAAGGCATGTAAAACAAAATAAAAAATAGACAAGTGAATTTATATCGAACTAAAAAGCTTCTGCACAGCAAAGGAAACAACAGAGTAAAGGGACAACCTACACATGGGGAGAAAGTATTTGCTAACTGTTCATTTGACAAGCGAGTAATACCCAGAATATACCAAAAAACTCAATCAGTTGTATCCAGAATGTACAAAAAAACTCAGTCCAATGGTAAAAAAAAAAAAAAATCTGATTAAAAATGAGCAAATAATCTGAATAAACACTTCTCAAAAGAAGACATAAAAATGGCCAAGAAGCACATAAAGATGCTCAAGATCACTAATCATCAGGGAAATGCAAATCAAAACCACACAGAGATATCATCTCACTCCAGTTAGAACGGTGATTATAAAAAAGACAAAAACAAATAAGCAAACAAGTGCTGGTAAGAATGTAGAGTAAAGGGAACTCTTATGCACTCTGGTGGGAATGTAAATTAGTACACCCATTATGGTAAATAGCGCAGTGGTTTTTCAAAGAACTGAAAACAGAATTGTCTTATGATTCAGCAGTGCCTTTACTGGGTATTTATCTAAAGGAAAGGAAATCACAATGTCAAAGAAATATCTGTACTCCCAAGTTTATAGCAGCACTATTCACAATAGCCAAGGTAAGAAATCAACCTAAGTGTCGATCAACAGATGAATGGATAAAGAAACTGTGCTATATATACACAATGGAATACTATTCAGCTATAAAAAGAATGAAATCCTGCATTTGTGGCAACATGGATGAGCCTAGAGGACGTTATAAGTGAAATAAGCCAGGCACAGGAAGATAAATATTGTATGCTCTCTCATTCATGCAGTGGAAGCTAAATAAGTTGATCACATAGATGTTGAGAGTAGAATAGTGGTAACTAGAAGAGTGGGGGAAAGGAGGAATAGAGAAAGGTGGGTTAATAAATACAAAATTACAGCTAGATATGAGGGAATAAGTTCTAGTGTTCCATAGAACTATAGGGTAACTATAGTTCAGGGGATCAGGGCAGAGCATCAGAAGGTGAGCATGGCTGGTGGGAGTTGGGCGAGCAGGGGGCAGCCCCTGGAGCTCAGGGGACCAGGGCAGAGCAGTCGCAGGTGAGCACGGGTTGGTGGGAGGTAGAACGAGTAGGGGGCAGCTCCTGGAGCTCAGGGAACAGGGGAGAACATCAGAAGATGAGAAGGGCCGGTGGGAGTTAACAACTAACTCCATATTTTCAAAGCGCTAGAAGAGAGGATTTTAAATGTCCACAGCACAAAAAAATGATAATTATTTGAGGTGGTGGATATGCTCATTACCAGAATTTGATCATCATACATTGTATACAGGTATTGAAATATCACGTTGTAACCCACAAATATGTACAATTACTACGTGTTAATTAAAAATTTAAAAAGCATATGGAGAGTGTTTCTTATGTAAGACCTATGGAGAGTGTTTCTTATGTAAGATCAAACAGACCATCATCCCAAATGGATTACATGTGGTACTAGATAGCTTGATACAGAAGGTAATTCCTTTCCAGGAGAGTTGAGGGAGTCAGTCACTGGGGGTGGAAGTGGAGGAGGGAGAGATCAGGGCAAAAAAAAAAAAAAAAAAAAAAAAAAAAGAGAGGAGGAAGTGGGCAGTTAATAAAGGAGAGAAGAAGGGAAGTGGAGAAAGAAAAGTTCAGTGAATTCCATAGGAGGGAGTAGTTTCTCCCAGACCTGGAGCAAGGTGGCATTTACTGTGTTAGTGCATCACTGAGTAACATAAGTGCTGTACTCAGAGGGCACAGGTGCAGACACACCTACAACACTTGGATGCATCTCGATCTGTTACTGCTCCCTGTTTCTGTCATTTGCACTGGAGTCCGAGGGGCGGAAGTTTCTGGAATACTCATATTAAGAATAACTCAGCATTTGTTCATCCGGCTTACAATGACCTCATAAGAAATCAGTGAGGTCATCATGTTGTCCCTTCTCCCACTGAAAGGAGTTAGCCGGCTTGCTTTAGGCAGACAGTAAGGAAAGGGTCCCCAGAGAACCTCTGACCCACCCACAAGTGCTTACACCGGATTTTGTGCAGATAGGGAACATGCAAAGGGGATTTGCATAAACATACCTGCAGTGGAAAATTCCATTCCTTAACACATGTGCAGTAAGGAAAATAAATCAGCATGGAGTGGCTGAGTTTAAGGGCCCACAAATGCACTCGGAGGATGGGGTGGAGCTGCCAGGAATTTGCACCTTAAGCCTTGGTATTCAACTGTGAAGAGGGCAACTGGCAACTGCTTTCAGGACCCCTCTCTTTGCTGAGAGCTTTCCTTTTGCTTAATAAATTCTACTCCACTCACTCTCTGGGGTTCAGGTGCCTGATTCTTCCTGGTCATGAGACAAGAACTCAGACCTAGCTGAGCTAAGGAGCAAAAGTCCTGTATCACCACTAGTGTCCGTCACTCAAAGAGAGAAAAATTAACTTTGTTCAAGGGTGCGTTAGAGGGTGTGGGGACTGGGGAAATGTTGGTCAAAGGACACAAAATTTCAGTTAGGAAATAATTTCAAGAGATCTAGTGTACATTACAGTGACTGCAGTTAACAATATATTGTATACTTAAAAATTGCTGAGAGTAGATTTTAAGTGTTCTCATCACAGAAATAATGTGCGTTATGTGAGGTAATGCATATGTTAAGTAGCTTAATTTAGTCATTTCACAATATATACACATATCAAAACATCATGTTGTATACCATAAATATATACACTTTTTACTTGTCAATTAAAAAAGAGAGAGAACACACAGCCACTCAGTTCTGGCTCAACTCCTGTGACAGACATCACTAATCAATCATGGCACTACCTGATCCAACCCTTGATTCAGGCAGTCACGACTAATCAGATGCAGATGAAAGCTATTTGCTACTGGGCAAAGAATAAGACCATGCTGCCCCGGGTGGTATTTCAAGCCATACCCAGCATTATGTAACTCTCTCTCCATCATGGCCATTAATCGCTGTTGTATTACTGGAAAAGGCTCCCTATCCAGACCCCAAAAGACTGTTCTTGGATCTCACGCAAGAAAGAATTTGAGGCTGTTCCATAGAGTAAAGTGAAAGCAAGTTTATTACAAAAGTAAGCAAATAAAAGAATGCCTACTCCATAGGCAGAGTAGCCCAGAGGGGTGCTGGTTGCCCATTTTTATGGTTATTTCTTGATCATATACTAAGCAAGGTGTGGATTATTCATGCCTCCCCTTTTTAGACCACGTAGGGTAACTTCCTGACGTTGCCATGGCATCTGTAAACTGTCATGGCAGTAGTGGGAGTGTAGCAGTGAGGATGACCAGATGTAACTTTCATCACCGCCTTGGTTTTGGTGGGCTTTGGCTGGCTTCTTTACTGCAACCTGTTTTGTCAGCAGGATCTTTATGACCTGTGTCTTGTCCGACCTCATGTCTCATCCTGTGACTTAGAATGCCTTAACCTCCTGGGAATGCAGCCCAGTAGGTCTCAGCCTTATTTTACCTAGCCCCTATTTAAGATGGAGTTGCTCTGGTCAAACACCTCTGACAGTTGGACCAATGACTTTATGACCCCTGATCATTTCCACCTCCCGTTCATCTCCTTCTTCTCTTATGGAACCTCGCATCACACCTGCTCTCTCAACTTTGCTGAACCCTCCTTGACCAGGAAGCCTTATTTCACATAGATCCTTTGCTCCTATAGAATTCCTTAGAGCAGGATTTCTCACCCTTGGCACTATTGATATTTTGGGCATCTAGTTCTTTGTTGTGGGAGGCAGACCTGTGCGTTGTAGGCTGTATAGCAGCATCCCTGGTCTCTACTCACTCGAGGTGCCCTTATTCCCTTTCACAATTGTAACATCCAGAAATATCTCCAGGCACTGTCACATGTCCCCGGGGGATTAGGCAAATTTGCCTCTGCTTGAGAACCACTGCTTTAGAAGTTCTTCTTTGACCGTGATACCCCAAGCTGTTTGTGTTGTGAACATGCTTCATGACCATTGCATTTCGTAAGGCAGTAGCCAGGGCAATTGCTTGGAAGTGCTAATTAGATCAGGTCCATTCCCTGTTTAAAATCCATCAGGGGCTTCTCATGGCCCTCAGGATAAAGCTCCAAAGCTCTGCCTTGTCCTACCAGGTCTTGTTTTCTCCTCAATATTATCTTGGGCCACCTTCTCCCTGGATCACAAGAGACAGTGCCTGGGTCAGGAAATACTGGGAATTGTACTCAGGTCACAAATACCTCCTGGGGAGGTACAACAGATAGTACTACAGATGCCCTTGACCTGTGGTAGCAGATGCTGGTGGCATCTCAGTTCTCAGATGCTGATGGTTTTCTCTGACATTCTGGGGTGCTCTCTGGCCACTGGGATATCTTTGGCTTGTGCCTTGGGTAGATGAACATGCCAGAGAACTAATGCCCCAGGAGTAATGCTCAATGGATGAGGGATGGGAGTTTGGTGGATGAGTAGTCCAGCTTCCCCACCCTTGGGTGGGACAGTTCTGGGTGTGTCCCAGATGAAGCCCTACTTGCCCAATGGCAACCCATGTGTGAATGCACCCTCTGTTGGCTTTCCCATTTCCCCGTCTCATGTCTCACTTTCCCACTGGTGCTAACTGAGATCATCCTCCAACTAAAGGACTTGCACCCAGGTTCTGTCTCAGGCTTAAATCATGTTCTCATAGTTGAAGGGCAACCAATGGCTGGGATGAATGTAATGTAAACAAGACAGACAAGACAGCCCATCCTTGTGGCTTGTGAGTCATGGACCTTTGGGATTTCCAGGACTTCTGAGAATGGACCTGGATGGCATTCAGGCTCACAGGTGACTGGCCTGCACTGCATGGGGCTCTGTGGGAGTCTCCATTACCAAGAACCCCAGGAGATAATTTCAGAATCTGAGGCAAGCAAGTGTGGTGGTTAGTGCAGAGAATGGACTTGAATGTCTGGGTGTAAGTCCTGACTCTCTTGTGTGATTCTGAGCAAGTTACTTCTCTCACCTCGATTTTCTCCTCTGGATAATAACTATATGATTGATTTATGGTCCAGACAGAAAACTGGGAGCATGAAGGGTATGCTGATAATAATCTATGCTGAACCATGGGCACGAACCAGGATGTGTGGGAATCCCTTACTCATCTGCTAAGTGGGGATAATAATAGTGCTTTTGGAGAACCCAAATGAAGACATGTTACTTTTTGAATCTTTGCAATAATCCTATGAGACAAGTACTATTATTATCCCCATTACAGGGATGAGGAAACTGACACCAAGGGAGGTGCAATGACCAGCTCAGGCCCTAGAACGTGCTCACATCTAGACAGTGCTCTTGACCACAATGCTACAATGTGGGGGCGGGAAGGGGGCTGCACTGGTGGTACTGCCAGGTAGACGCCAGCTTTCTGAGCTCTCTGCAACGCTTGAGTGTCTGCTGTGTGCCAGCCCCTCACCTATGTCATCTCATTTATCCCTAGCACTACTCTCTGCCATCCAGGCACTGTTATGATCCCCGCCTAGCAGACCTAACTATTCAGCGCTACCCTTGCCTGCTTCAGATTCTGAAAGCATCTCCCAGTGTTCTTGCTAAAGAGGCTCTGGAAGGGCTCCATATAATGCCAGTCATTCACCTGCAAGCCCGGGAGCTGTCCTGGTTCCTTCTCAGAACTCCTGGGAATCCCCCAGATCCATTCCTCACAAGCCAAATGGATGGACTGAATCGTGTCTACATGAAGCTCAGCCATCAGTGGCCCTTTAATTATAAATGTATAAATTGAGCGTCTTTTATTTTTCAAGGCCATAAAACTATTCATTTAAAGTAGCTCCTGCTCAGCCTATCTTCACAGATAAACATAAATAAATCACACCACTTTTCCATGAATTATGCATTAAACACACATCTGTGAAACTTCCCCGTCAATGGTAGGACTTTGAACATATGGGGTTTTAATTGGACACTAAATCAATTTTCAAATCTCTGTTGATGGAATTAAAAAAATATTCCTAGCTTTATTTAAACTGTCTGTCCTTGTTACATAAGAAAAATAGGGCTGGGCATGGTGGCTCAAGCCTGTAATCCCAGCACTTTGGGAGGCCGAGGCAGGCAGATCCCCTGAGGTCAGGGGTTCAAGACCAGCCTGACCAAAATGGCAAAATTCTGTTTCTACTAAAAATACAAAAATTAGCTGGGCGTGGTGGTGGGCACCTGTAGTCCCAGCTACTCAGGAGGCTGAGGCAGGAGAATTTCTTGAGCCCAACCCGGGAGGTGGAGGTTGCAGTGAGCTGAGATCATGCCATTGCACTCCAGCCTGGGCAACAGAGTGAAACTGTCTCAGAAAAAAAAACAAAAACAAAAACAAAAAACGCTTTCTCAGACCCCTGCAATTTTGATACCTGCTGCTTTTGCTCACTTTCCATAATTCAAATCCCAGCCCAGGTACTTATGGAGAGATTAAAACAGTTCTCGTGAGCTGAGCAGCAGAATGTCCACATGGCATCAGAAAGTAAAAGGTGAAAAATGATCGGGTTACTGAGGAAATATGCACGTGTGGGCATTCACCACAGGCACCCTCTGTGTTAAGGCTCCTTGTATGTTTTAGCACCATGACCCTTTCCTGGGGATGCCCGAGAGGCAGGGAGCATTACAGGAAATCACATAGCTGGTGACAGGCTGAGCTATGTCTTGCAGCACCGTCAAACCAGGGGCCTTTTTGCTGCCTCCCCATGTGTTATCCTGTCACTGCATTTCCTCTTCTGACCTCATAGCTGCTCCCAGGTGGCCTTGAGGACTTCTCTGCACTGATAGGTGGAGTCTTCCAGTTGAGTGATTGACAGGCATTCACAGGAGAACCAGCCCTGGAACGGCCCTCATGTTTATTTCCTCATTATTTTGATTCCGAGCTTTTGCAAATTGAGGACTCAGCAGAATGAGGATTAGGCAATTTTCTTTCCTCCTGTAATGTACTTTCTCCAAATTGCTTCTTTTGAGACAATTATTTGAGGCCTTTGAATTGCTTCTGTGGGCAGGCTGAGGGAGTCAGACAGCACATCTTCATTTTCACAGGTCTTAGGGCTTTCTCCCTACAAACACAGAAAGGGAAGGCAAGGAGAAAAGGAACACCACTCCTTGGACCACAGCAAGGGTCCCCCCCATGCAAATCTTCTAAGAAACATGCATCAAGCTCCTCTGTACTCATTCATATGACACCCTCACCCTCTGAAATGAGCACTATCATTTCCTTGTCTCACTTAAGGAAACTGAGGCTCACAGAGGTGAAATAAAATTTCAGGTAACAGAGCAAGGGCTCACATCTCTCCATCCTTCACTGATGTCTCCTTCCTTTGAACTCTCAGAGTATAAATTGCCTGTCTTTTCATTTGGCACTTGCTAAAAAATGTAACCTTCTCTTTTATTTAACTGCATAGAAGAGGCAGCAGAACATAGAGAAGAAAACAATAAGCTCTAGAATTGGGGAGATGTAGGTTTGAATTCTGGTTCCACCTCCTGTTAGCTGGGAGAATCTATTAGTTATTTAGCCTCTGAGCTTGTTTCTTTTTGTTGGGGCTCAGAAACCAATACCCCCAAATACTGCGCTTTGATGTACTGAACTAAAGAAGTAGCCTCACGGTCTCTCTGACTTTCCCTCGTCCCAACTCTCCATCCTCTGTCTCTCCCAAAGCACAGGATAAAGTTGTTCTCTGAAGTTCTCTTATCTACCTAGAAACCAGACCTGCCAAAAACACAACTGTCTTCCCCAAGTTTTCACAGTCTTAACTTATATTGCAGAAGGAAAGATGGAAGTCTGTTAATACACCTGCACAGACTTTCGTCACCAGCCATTGGCTGCGCTGTGGGCCCAAGAGACTTTGTCTGAGGCCGTTGTGTGTTCTCCAACTCCATTCATTTCCCCCTAAACATCATTCACTGTCCCTCAAATTGCCACACTTCCCCCATCTCCTCTTCCCCTATGAAGAGTATATAAACATCTGTGCCCCACCGGGTTATTCGGTAATCATTCTCCTGCAATTTTCCCACACTATGCATGTTAAAATACAATTCTGCATACCTTTTCTTCTCTTAATCTGCCTTTGGTCTGTTGATTTTCAGTGAACAATCAGAGAGTAAAGGGGAAGTTTTCCTCTGCCCCCTACACTTTTCTGTAAAATGGGGGAAAAAGGAGTACTTATTTCATGGAGTTCTTTTGGGGAGGATATATTTAAAGTAGTTAGAGCAGTTCCTGCACATTGTCAGTGCCTACTAGAGCTTAGCCTGCCTTGTTTGTGTTGGCTTGAATTCCTACTTTGATATTTTTCAACAGTACCCTGAGATGCACTACAGAATCTTTCTGAGACTTGATTTCCCCAACTCTAAAAAGTGCGCTTATATTACCTACATCATAGGGCCGTGGTGAGGATTAGCAAGACAGTAACTGGGAAGTGTTTAGCACGGAGCCTAGTGCTTAGTGATTATTTAATACTGCTGTTATTGCTGTTATTGCGAATACTTAGCACTGTGCTGGGGAGGTGTACCTAGGAAACTAGCATGTATTAAAGACCGACTTTTTATTCATATTTTATCTAATCCTCACAGCAACCCAAGAGGGAAATGCTATGATTATGCCCTGTGTGTTTACAGATGATGATCTGAGGCTCAAAGAAATGAGGTAACTAATGGAAATGCAGCACTAGGAAATGATGGAGCCCAGTTTGTCCCGAGGTCTATCTGACTCTAAAGACCTTGGTCCCTGCACCTCAACACAAGGACGGGGCTTTCACAACTGGGTGAGGAAGGAGAGGAGGGAAGCAGGGAGCCCAGAAGAGCTGCAGACGAGTCAAGCAGAGGCAGCTCCTGTAGCTACACCCTCGTGTCAGCAAGGAGGACCTCAACTGCTCTGGGAAACTGCCTGATCTATGATATTTAAAATGCCTTCTTCATTTTGGGAGGCTGAGGCTAGAGGATCACCTGAGTCCAGGAGTTCAAGACCAGCTTGGGCAACATAGGGAGACCCCCCCCATCTCTACAAAAGAAATTAAAAAATTAACCAGGCATGGTGGCACATGCCTGTAGGCCCAGCTATTCAGGAAGCTGAAGAGGGAGGATCGCTTAAGGTGGGTAGGTTGACGCTGCAGTGAGCTATGATTTTGCCACTTCACTCCAGTCTGGGCAACAGAGCGAGACCCTGTCTCTAAAAAAATAATAAAATAGCCTGTAATCGCAGCAATTTGGGAGTCCAAGGTGGGCAGATCGCAAGGTCAGGAGTTCAAGACCAACCTGGCCAATATGGCGAAACTGTCTCTACTAAAAATACCAAAAAATTAGCTGGGCGTGGTGGCACATGCCTGTAATCCCAGGTACTCGGGAGGCTGAGGCAGGAGAATTGCTTGAACCCGGGAGGTGGAGGTTGCAGTGAGCGGAGATCGCACCATGGCACTCCAGGAAAAAAAAAAAAAGCTTTCTTTCTTTTAGAGTCTATAAAGATTTTTTGCAATTTCTTGACCTTTGGTGGGGTCTACAGACTCTTAGGAGCATAGCATGTAGAGGAAGTACCTGGCTTCCAAGGCTCAGCTGGAATCAGGAAGAAGGTGTTCGTTGGTGGGCTGGCCCCTGTGGAGATGTCTTTCTTCAGTGAGCACCTGCCCAATCCCCTTCCTCATTCCCTTCACACACCTGGCTTTGTGGTCACCTTTCCCTGCATGTTGGTCCGGCTTGTCCTGTCTTTCCAACATTTGAATATGAAGAGCAGGGACAAGTGAAGGGTTGAGTTCACGGCTTTGTGTGCTTTCTTTACAGTCTCTCTATAAATGAATCCATTCAGAGAGTTCTGGCAACACTGTGAGCTCTCTTTGAAGTTCCCTTGCTCAAAAGGTCTAATCACTGTCTCACTACGTCTATGCACTATGCACTTGGTTATGTAGGGGAAAAGGGCTTAATGACACACATGGGACCTCTTCTTCATACCAGGTCTTTGGTTAGCATATTTAATCCTCACAGCAACACTATGGAAGGAGGGCTTTATAATCCCCAGTTAACGGTAAGGCAATTGGGTTTTGGAGAAGCAAAGTGACATGTCCTAGGTCACACAGCTGGTAAAGAAAAGATGCATGACTAGAACCTAGGTATATATGATTCCTGACCCTGTGCCCTGGCTACCGTGCCAGCCTGGGAAATTATGGGGCTTTGAGATGAAAATAATTGACCAGACAGCCAAAAGAACATGGGGGTAGATGTCACAGCTGTCATGACCAGTGGCCTCTGGTGAATAGCATTATACAAATGTAGAAATGGTTTGCTCTGAGGCTGAGATGAGTCAAGATCTGGAGAAACAGTCTTGATCTACAGTGGTCAGTTGCCTGTGCTGGGTACTACTGAGGACAGCTGCCCAGGAATGGAGGCACTGAGTGGTGCAAAATCCGAGGATACGGGACACCAGGGGAATCCACCTTTCGGAGCCTGCCCTTTCACAAAGGAGCGGCTGCGTGCTCCCAGCCCACTTACCAGGCTGTGTCATGCTGAAGTATAAGCAGCTCCGGAAATACCCCATTGTGTCTTGTCTCCGCTGGGCCTTGGCACAAGCTGGTCTTCCTTGCTGGAGGACGC
Organism: Homo sapiens; assembly: GCF_000001405.40. Taxonomy (NCBI): domain Eukaryota; kingdom Metazoa; phylum Chordata; class Mammalia; order Primates; family Hominidae; genus Homo; species Homo sapiens. Next base: position 9,445,035 of record NC_000016.10, read on the forward strand.
CTCTCTGCCTGGCTGATTCTCATTCACCCAAGACGAAGGCTGGAGATATTTAGTATCTCCTTTGATTGGTAACTGGTTCTAGAACCTGTGATTGAGGAACAGGTAGGGGAAGGGGTAGAGATTCACTGCTTTCCTGAGAGTTCTATAAATCCTGAGTAACTTGGGATCTGATGTAGGAGGCAAACATTGTGGAGACTCAGAGTTGGGAGACGAAAGTATGGAAGTAGCTGGGGCAGCTGGGGGCTTAGGTGGCTCCACTGGAGGTGATTGTATATTATCATGTGTTTTAAGAATAAGACAAAGTTTTGAATTGTAGCTTAAAGATACAAATCTCAATCTCTGCTTTTGCTATTGATTTGAATTTAAAAAAGTAGGATGTTGGGTTTTGGTCAGAGGACTGAGTCTGCATAGGGAAACATTTTGAGATAATTCTTCTCTGTGGGCCAGAGGTCCTCCATAAAACTTTTGTAGAGGTTCCCATAGTGCTGTGGGTAAGTAGACTCCGAGGTCAGAAGACTAGGGCTGGAATCCCTGCTTCTCTGCTCATCAGCCATAAGTCCTTGGACCAGATACTTAGCTGTTCTGGACCTCAGTGACCTCTTCTCTAAAATGGGCATATTGATGCCTACCTCGTGGGATCATTACAGGAAAGAATAGAAGGCATGTTAAATGCTTAGCTTAGCGCCTAGCATTCGGTAATGTGATCATTAAATGTCAGCTTTTGTTATTTTTAATACTTTTAAAAGCTCAGGTTTTGGAATCAACACAGATACGTGTTTCAAAAAAGCATTGTCATTTGCCTGACAATGGAAGGGTAAATTAATTAAACACTCTGAGCCTCAGTCTTTCTCCTTGCAAAATAATAGCAGCAACAATGAGGAGGACAACAACCACATAACGCATCAGGATCTTGTAAATTTCAATGAAAGGTAAGGCCTGTGAAGTGATTAGAAAACTGGTAAACATTCAATACATAACTTGTATTATTTTTTCTTATTCTCTTGGTCTTACTGGTGAAGGGCCATTGTCTGCTTCTGTGAAAGTACAGAGAGTCCAGTAAATCTTTAGAAAATATGCAAGCTTGACTGGTCTGTGTTCTCAACACTGTCTGAAGAACCTGGCTGAGTCCTACTCACCCAAGACAAAGGCTGGAGATATTTGGTATCTTCCTTTGATTGGTAACTGGTTCCGGAACCTGTGATTGAGTAATACGTAGAGAAAGGGGGAGTGATTCACTGCTTTCCTGAGAGTCCTATAAATCCTGAGTAACTTGGGATCTGATGTGGGATGCTGAGAGGAGGAGGCAAGCATCGTTGAGACTCAGAGTTGGGAGGTGGAAGTATGGAAACAGCTGGGGCTTTTGGGGGCTTAAATAGCTCTGTCGGAGGGTACTGTGAGACCTGGGCCCTGAGGGGTTATGATGGCAGCAACCAAGACAACGTCTGTAAAATACAGAGCATGATCCATTTGCAGCAGGCACCTCAGCAGGGGTCCAGGGGAGCTGGGAGCGGGATCATGGTTCTGAGTGCACAAAAGGGAAGGCTGATTAGAGGAAGTTCTGCCCATTTTCCTGCTATTTCCCAGACATTCCAGGACCAAGAGTCACTTTTATTTTTATTTATTTATTTATTTATTTATTTATTTATTTATTTATTTATTTTGAAGCAGAATCTCGCTCTGTTACGCAGGCTGGAGTGCAGTGGTGCAATCTCAGCTCACTAAAACCTCTGCCTCCCAAGTTCAAGCGATTCTGCTGCCTCAGCTACCAGAGTAGAGTAGCTGGGATTACAGGTGTGCACCTCCACACCCAGGTAATTTTTGTATTTTTAGTAGAGAAGGGGTTTCATCATTTTGGCCAGGCTGGTCTTGAGCTCCTGACCTCTGGTGATCTGCCCCCCTTGGCCTCCCAAAGTAGTGTGAGATTACAGGCATGAGTCACCATGCTCAGCCAAGAGTCACTTTTAAAGGAAAGAAAAATCCTATTGGAGTAATGGAGAGTCTCATCAGGAAGAACAGAGCTTCAGCATAAATATAGACTGAGTTTCTATGGAGTTCCCTGTCATCTGTTTATGGGTGAGGGCACATGATGGGGTGAGGTTTATTTTATCTTTAAGGGGCGTGGACCCAACAGACCTGCTCTAATGCAATTATTTTTGAAATACCCTTGAGGATTTGATATTTACAGCTCAACGTCTGAAATGAGCCAAGGGTATTGATAAGACTGTGTGTGTATGTGTGTTGTGTATACTAAGTTATTTTCAATTCCTGCTCCCTCGAGCCTCTCCTTTCTTGGCAGGAGCCCTTGGAGGCCACTTGGCAGATGGCAGCTGGCCCATAGCTGCAAAGATCTGTCAGTCATGAGGCACCTCAGGGCTGGTATGTTTCACCAGGGCCCTTCTACCATCTCTGGGTGATTGGGTCCAGGAAGCTCCAGAGAAAAATTTAAAAATAAAAAACAGACTCAGGCACACTGTAGGTTCTTTAACTGAAATGTTTTCAGAAGCTGCTTAGGTGGCTTCTAGCTCAAATGGCAATAACAGTGATAATAATTGTTAGAGGACAGTGATTTTTCCCCTTTTCGTAACAGTGCCACCCCAGAATAGCAGGAAGTTCAAATACCTTGGAACTGAGTTTATTAGAGCCAAATGCATGCATTAAGGTCTGTCCCACATGAGTCTGGGAAGAATGGAAGGAAAGCCAAATTGAAACCTGCTAGGTTCAAGGGAGTAGAGCAGAACATTTCATAAACAAAATAAAATCTCACAGAATGGGATGCTCATAAGAGGGAACTGAAATCTCCAGAGGGCAGTGACTTTATAACAACAATGGTGATGATTTACTTGTTTGTTCACTCAGTACACATTCATTGAATACCTGCTTTGTGCCAGGCTCCGTTCTTGGCACTGGGATTACAAGCGTGTCCTGACCTTCACGTTCTATCAGGAGAGACAGTCTTTGAACATGATTTCACTCATACAGGTAATTACAAGGCAAAATCCATCGGTGCTCTGAGATTGACAAAGGGAAGCAAGTCAGGTAGGAGGTTGAAGGAAATGACAGTGAAGATGAAGTTTGAAAGATGAGTGTGAGCCCTGTGGGTGGGTTGGGGAGATGGGGCTAAAGGAACATTCCAGGCAGAGGAAAGAGCATGTGGAAAGACCTTGCGATGAAAGAATCTGGCTCACAGAGGAGACAGATATGCGTGGTTGAAGCAAGAGGGAAGACAAAGATCCTAGGGTGAAGCTGGAGGGGGAGAAGGAGACAATCAGGCTGCCCCTGAGGGGCATGTTGTAGATTTTGAACTTGATTTTACAAACAAAGAAAAGGTATGAAATAGGTGGGTGCAGTGGTTCATGCCTGTAATCCCAACACTTTGGAATGCTGAAGTGGGAGGACTTCAGCCAGGAGTTGAATACGAAGCCTGGGCAACATAGTGAGACTCCCATCTCTACAAAAATATTAAAAAAAAATAGCTGGGCATGGTGGTGCACACCTCTTTCCAGCTACTTGGGAGGCTGACTTGGAAGGATCACTTGAGCCCAGGAGGCCGAGGCTGCAGTGAGCCATGATTACCCCACTGCACTCCAGCCTGGGTGACAGAATAATACCCTGTCTCAAAAAAAAAAAAAAAAAAAAAAAAAGCATGAAAGATCTTTTAAAAATGGAGAGTTAACTAAAGGGGCCAATAGTGGAAGTTAGGAAACAACAATAATGGTCCTGGTGACATGGGAGACAATCTCATGAGCTGAGGGGATGATGCACAGAAGTAGACATGCTCAAGAAATATATTTTAAAATTTGTATAAATTTATGGGGTACCAGTGTAATTTTGTTATATGCCTAGATTATGTAGTGGTGAAGTCAGGGCTTTGAGAGTATCAAAAACATTTATAAGGTAAAATCCATAGGAATTTGTGAGTGAGAGAGTGTTCGGGAACAAGAGAAAGGGAGTGTCGGACATAATTGCCAGGTTTATTGTGAGATGATGATGGAAGTCATGGTTTCATTTCCTAAGACAGAAGATACAGGAAGGGAGGGGGCAGATTTGGAAGGGGAGGGCAAGAGTCCAGCTTTTGTCAGATTGAGTTTGAGGCTTCTGAGAGACACCCAAATGTAGATTCCAGGAGAGGAGTTTTTTCCAAAACATGGAGAAGTCATGTTCAAAATATCTTGACTGAAAATGCCTATGAGAACTCATCAAAATATAGCATTTTAGAGGGAATTGTTGACATCATCTGAAGGAAAGCACAGAGTGCTAGGGAAGGGTACCAGGGTTGGGGGTGGAGGAAAGATGGATTGAGGGAAACTGAGAGGGAGCACCCAGAGAAGTAAGAGAAAACCAAGAAATGAGTGTCATGGAAGCCAAGAGTAAAGTGTGCTAAAAATAGCAATAGCAGTGATTGTCATAGTAATAGTAGAAATAATAGTAATAATGGCATTAGTAGCAGTATTAGAATAGCAGTAGTAGTAGAAGAGGAGCAAGAAGAAACAGTGGTAGTAGGAGTAACAGCAGCAATAGTAGTTGTAGACATAGTGGTAGTCATAACAGCAACAGCAGTAGTGGTAGCAGTAACAGCATCAGCAGCAGCAGAAGTAACAGTGGAAGTAGTAGTAGCAACGGCAGTAATAATGTCAGTAGCTGCAGCAGCAGCAGGGGTAGGAGTAGTAAATGCTTGGAGTTATTACCTGTTTGGTGTTCTTTAGAATATAGCAGTCTGTGTTTTTTTTTTTAAGCAGATTGAGTCACGTGACCACTTCATGCAACAGAAAGTGTAAGTTGCATTGTTCCCACTTTACAGATGAGGAAATGAAGAAATAGAAATGTTAGGTAGTCTTACTGAGAGAGAAGCTAGTTAGCAACAGGACTGGAGATAGAATTCTGGTCTCCTGAGTCCTCATTAAATATCATGTTCACCATTTAGATTTACGGCATAGCATTTCAGAAGTTCCATGGTGTTTCCTACTGGAATGTAACTTCTGCAGGGCAGGGCTTTTGTCTATTCTGTCCACTGAGGGATCCTCAGTGCTTTGAGTGGTGCCTGGTGCATAGGAGGACTCACAGATTATAGGGACTCACAATGAACTAACGTTGGAAATGAATGAATGAATGAATGAAAGAACAAATCTTCCTCCCTAACTTGGGTATAACTTCAGGAATGTTTTATTGTTTTAATGGGTCTCACACCCCTGCCCAACCTTTCTCTTCCTGCGCTTGCAAACTTTATGTTGCAAATCTGTTTGGAAATATTAAAAAAATTAATCTAATAAAATAAAAAGATCTTGGCATTTTTCATATGTTCATATCATTAAAAGTCCACATCACAAGTTCCTGCTTTCACAATCAATATTCAAGAAGTAATTTAAATCTAGCTTCCTCCCCTTCCCCGATCATTCACATTCATTTGTATTAAAGGTCAACGTGGAAGTAACTTTTTTTCCTAGGCCAGCCTGCCTGGAGAGAAGAGCTTTGAAATCATGCTGTGCCAAGGAGGGGCCAGCTATAGCTCCATGAATGATTCACTATGCTCTTTAGGAATATAATATTCTGCATCCCCTCCTGTATTTATGAATGTTTAGGTATAGCAAAAAGGCAGGATCATGTAATAAAAAGAGAACAGACTTGAGAATCAGATAGACGTGAGTTAAAAACTCCATGTTCAGACCTTGGACAAGTCATCTTCTCTGGGTCTCAATTTCCCTAATCTTTTTTTTTTTTTTTTTTTTTTTTGAGACGGTGTCTCGCTCTGTCACCCAGGCTGGAGTGCGGTGGTGCAATCTCGGCTCACTGCGAGCTCCGCCTCCCGGGTTCACACCATTCTCCTGCCTCAGCCTCCCGAGTAGCTGGGATTACAGTTGCCTGCCACCACACCCGGCTAATTTTTTGTATTTTTAGTAGAGACGGGGTTTCACCGTGTTAGCCAGGATGGTCTCGATCTCCTGACCTCATGATCCACCCGCCTTGGCCTCCCAAAGTTCTGGGATTACAGGAGTGAGTCACCGAGCCCGGCCAATTTCCCTAATCTTTAAGCAGAGATGGTAACTAGTACTCACATCTCAGGCATGTGGCTGGATTTACATAGGATAAGTTAAAACCTCAAAGCTCAAATGCCAGGAGTATATTAGGTAATTCAGTCTTTGTAAGTTTCCTTTCTCCATACCTTGCAGAACCATTTACATAATGGAGGTGAAGCACCTTAGCAAGCTGTGCAGTGTTGTATCCTGTGGGGAGGTGCCTCTCTGTTTTTCTTCTCCTGGTGCTTCTTTACAAAATTCTGGGTTCCAACCATGTGGAACTACTGAGACTCCCAAATGCATTATGTTCCCCACATTCCATCTGAGTGTCACATTCTCTCCATTGTTTAAGAGCCAGCTTAAGTGCATTCCTTCAATAATCTTCCTCTATATAGCATTCCCCCTTCCATCACGTTGGTTCTCCTTTCTTCTTCGGGCTCTCCACTAAAACCACACACCACCTTCATTATTCCTTATCACTTAATAACACATATATTTGCTTATATTCCTTCCTCTCCAACAAGAGTGAGTTCACCCAGGACAGGAACTTTGATTTATCTGGGATCTCCAGTGCTTAGCATATAATTGGAATTCTAGAATTATGTCTTGAGTCAATAAATGTGATTATTATTACTATTATTATCAAATAAGAATTTTCTCTAAACTCAAGAAAAAAGAAAGCAATATCTCAGTCAAATCAATACAAAAGAAGCCTGAGTGTTATCATAAAATCCTTTGGAGAGTGGACCAGTCCTTGACCATATCCTAAGAACAATGGCGTTAAATGTAGCTATTACTTTGCCTTCTTCTGTTAAAATTACTTATTCTCTCCTAAACTATTTTGCCTATCCATATTCTCTCTGTAGACACCCAGCATTCTTAAGTGAACCAATAGGGTTTATATGGACCCCTATGGTCAACAAAATAGTCACACAGAGATAATTTTTTTTTTAAAAAGTCATAGGTTGACTGCAAAACCTAGTAAGGTGGATAATTCCACATCATAACTTTATGCCCAGTGCACTCAGAGAAATTAATCATTCCATCTTGGTCCAGCACAGTCTGGCTTTCATGTCCATCATTTCAGTAGAAGCACTCCCACCAAGCCACCAATGCCTTCCTTGTTGAAAAGAGCATGGGTACTGTCATTCTCCTTCTTTTTAAAAAAAAAAAATATTTTAGTAGTTTTTGGGGAACAGGTGGTTTTTGGTTATATGGAAAAGTTCTTTAGTGGTGATTTCTGAGATTTTGGTTCACCTCTCACCCAAGCAGTGTACACGATATCCAGTGTGTAGTCTTTTATTCCCCACCCTACTCCCTGCCTTCCCCCTGAGTCCCCAAAGTCCATCGTATCATTCTTATGCCTTTGCATCCTCATAGTTTAGCTCTCACTTATGAGAACGTATGATACTTGATTTTCCATTCCTGAATTGCTTCACTTAGAATAACAATCTCCAACTTCATCCAAGGTACTGCAAGTGTCAATATTTCGTTTATTTTTATGGTTGAGTAGTATTCCATGGTGTATATATACCGCATTTTTTTTATCCATTCATTGGTTGATGTGCATTTAGGTTGGTTCCATATTTTTGCAATTGCAAATCGTGCTGCTATAAACATGCGTGTGCAAGTGTCTTTTTTCATATGACTTATTTTCTTTTGGGTAGATACCCAGTAGTGGGATTGCTGGATTAAATGGTAGTCCTTCCTCTTTGCAGAATTTTCCAGATTTGACCATTCTTTCCTTCCTGAAGAACTCCCCATCATCTTGACTTCTGTATAGCAGTAAATTAGAGTGGTTGAGGCCATTTGATATGGAGTCAGAAAGTCTGAGAGCAACGCCTTGCACCCCTCCTACTGAGTGTGCAATCCTGAGCAAATTACTCCAGCAGTGTAAGCCTCAGTTTCTCCAACTGTAAGGAGAAGACAGGAGTTACACCCACTTCAAATAATATAAAAATAATCTTTGCAAGTCTCATTGCATAGTGACCAGCACAAAGAGCATTCCGTGAAAGCGCCATTATCAGCACATTCTCCTGGTGTTTGACTGACAGGCTTATGTTTCTCAGCCTGTTTTCCTGGCTTCCACTCTTCTGCTCTTTACTTAAAAACTGTTTCTTGGCTAGGTGTGGTGACTTTTGCCTGTAATCTTAGCACTTTGAGAGGCGGAGGTGGGAGGATTGCTTGAGAACAGGAGTTCGAGACCAGCCTAGGCAACATAGAGAGGCCTCATCTCTACTAAAAATCACAAAAATTAGCCAGGTGTGGTGGCATGCACCTGTGGTGCCAGCTACTCAGGAGGCTAAGGTGGGAGGATTGCTTGAGCCTGGGAGGTCAAGGCTGCAGTAAGCCATAATTGTGCCACTGCACTCCAGCCTGGGTGACAGAGCAAGACCTTGTCTCAGAAACACAAAAGACTGTGTTTCTCCAGGGCTCTTTCACATACCCTCTTTCGTTTTCGAGCTATGCATTCTGACTAGGAAGACTCCATAGCCTCAGGTATTATTTTTGAGCTGGAGAGTTTCCTCCTTTTGTACCTCCAGTCTCAATTTTTCTTTTGAGTGCCACACTCAAATGATGCCGTATCTCCTCTGGGATATCTCCCAGGGAACTCAGACTCACTCTGCCTCACGTTGAGTGCACAGCCTTCTCCTGAAACCCAAACTTCATTTGGCATCCACTATCTCATGATCCATTAGGTGCTCAAGCCAGAGTCTTCCTCACCTTCCCAGCCAGTTATTCATTGTGTCCTGCTGTTTTAAACTATCCACTTCGTCTGTTTCCACTGCATCCCCATCCTTCTGGTTGAGATGTCTCCAATAGCCTCCTAATTGGTCTCCCTGCTGCCATGTTTGCTCACCCCCACTTCATCACCCAGCGGGAGTGATGCTTTCACAGTGTTGGTCAGACCATGCAACTCCCCTGCCTAAATCACTGCAATAAATTCCCCTTATTCCGAGAATAAAATCTCAATTCCTTCCTTTGGCGCAGTGGATGTTGTGGTGTGCTGCCCTGACCTTCCTACAAGACTAAGACATTTATTTCCCCAGTGCCTGGGAGTGTAGGTGAAGCCGTCCCTGTGAACTTTATAGAATTAATCAGGGAAGAAAGAAAGGGAGAAACATAGTAGATGAAGTTTGCAGCACACTCAGCTTTAATCATGAGGTTAGTTTGCCCTCTGACCTGCTTCCTCATAGTTTGGTGCTTATTGTCCTGGAATCATGTAGACCCTGTTACAAGATTATAGCTCTCCTTAACTACTCTGCAGGTAACAACTTGAACATTATAAAATGTTATGTTTTCCCTTTGAGATATTCTTTCAGGTCCTACATACCAGTGAAACTACTGTTTTCAGCTGGTCTGGAGGAACCCATGAGAAGCTGATTCACCAAGGAATGCAGTTGCCATGTCCTGATGATTTCCTTCTATTTGCCCCAACCAATCAATGACCCCAAATTTCCAGCCCCTCAGCCTCCATAATCCCCTTAAAACCTCCAGCCCAGAATTCCTTGGGGAGATGGATTTGAGAGTCTCCTTCCATCTCCTTTCTTGGCACCCTGTGATCATTGAACTCTTTCTCTGCTGCAAACCCTGGTGTCTCAGTGCGTTGGTCTGTTACTATGCAGCAGGCATATATACCTTTTGGTCCATTGACTGCTGATAACTCATAGCTGACTGCCTCCCTAGAAAGAGTGTTGCCCCATCCAAGGTCATGTCTCTTCATTCTGTGCAACAACTGGTCAGAGTTGAGGCACACAAGACTGCCTCCCTTGCTTCCATTTGGAACATCTTTGAGGGTCCACCCCAGTTCCAGTGCCCCCACATAAGACCACCTGCAGCTTCTATTGTCACTGCAGTTTTCCCTACTTCCTCCCTTTGTCCAGCTTGCTTCCTTCCCATCCTTATATCTGTTGTTCTCAAAACCACTCCCCAACAAAATCCCTGCATGTGAATCTCTGCTCAGAATCTTTTCCCCTGGGAGCCTGACTCACAACATAAGTCTTACAAGGTTCTCCATGACCTGGCTCCAGCTCAATGCCCAGTACAAAGTGGATGCTCAGTGAGTACCTTGGATTGATTGGCTCATTGGCTGGTTGCTTGGTTGGTTGGGGTAAAATGCATAGAACATGAGAATTCAGGTGAAGAATATCTCTTTCACGTGGTCAGCACTGGGCATTTGTTCAGGGGGCTTCAGGGGCATGATCAGTGGACATCCAGGGTAGCAAATGGGCAATGCAGACCCCAGGCAGCTGCTGGTATCAGTAATGAAGGGTATCTGTAATCCAGGTAGCACAGGGGTGAGTAGAAAGGCCCTGCCAGTGACCTACTTTTATCGTTAATGCTTTTCTATTAGCAGAGCATTTACCTCTGAATCGATTTTCGTGTATTCTCTCTCTGCCAAACCAGGAACAAAAAGAAAAGGCAAAATTTCCGAATGTCTTTCCTCTTGCAACTGATGTAGCTGTGGCTGAATTTCACCTTTTTAAATGATTTCCTGTGGAAACAGCAAGGGAAGATTTCTGGCGGGATTTATTATGCAATTTGGTTCTAACCTGATCCCGTCAAGCAAAGAGAAATGGTAAAAAGCAAACAGAACCCCAAGCTTTGCTCACAAGCTTGGGGCCTGCTATGCTCTACCTTGTCTCTAGGCCTTTGAGTATGCTATAAAGTTCACCTATATTACCCACCCCTGCCTTATTGATGTGCATAGCTCCTGCTTGTACTTTGAGATTCATCTCAGACATGACCTTGTATAGGATGTCTTCCCCGACTCTCCTCTTCCTTCCCTACTGACTATACCAAATTGTCCTGTAACTTCTTTCTCTTTTCACATTGGCAACTAGGAAGCTCAGTGCTCAATTTACAGGCTACGAGTAACCTGTTAAACATGTATGTTGTGAACACTAATTTTTTGATTTCCTCTTATTTTGCTTACACTTATTTTTCTTTTCCTTAATTTCCTTATTAGCATAAATTTGCAATCCTGTACTGACTTCATTGTTTTTCATACAAGAAAGAAAAAACATTAGAAAGTGAAGCTTTAAAAAATGACCACGATGTATTATAATTGACCACCTACTTATCTATTTTCCCCATTGCTTTGTGAGTTTATAAGGAGAAGACAGTAATATCTTTTCATCCATCTAACTCAAATGCCTGGCACTTAGTAGGTTCTCAGAAATATTTACTGAGTGAATGGAGCAGACCTAAGGGGAGATGAGGTGAGAATGGTGATTTTGGGACTTTTTACTTTGAACCGATTACAGTATATAAGACAAAGAAGATAGAAGAACTCAAATATTTTCTACATTTCTATGCTTAAAAGATCATGGATGATTTCTTAACCAGAGACACTGAGAAAGAAAGAAGGAGCAAGACAACTAGAGGGAAATTGTCTCATTTGGGCATCGGCCCTTCAGAATTAACAGTGAATAGGCCATTTATTGAATTGGTGGGGCCTTGTCTAAATTTCTAAAATACATAAAATACTGAACATGATCCAGTAACTTTTTTTTTTTTTTTTTTTTTAGGATTAGAATACACACTTTGTGAGGCTGAGGCGGAGGCTGAGGCAGGAGAATCACTTGAGTCCAGGAGTTTGAGACTAGCCTGGGCAATATAGCAAGACCCTATCTCTACCAAAAAGAAATTAACTGGGCATAGTGGCATGTGCCTGTTGTCCCAGCTACTTGGGAGGCTGAGGTGGGAGGATCAATTGAACATAGGAGGTTGAGGCTGCAGTGAGCTGTGATCACACCATTGCACTCTTGCCTGGGCAAAAGGGCGAGACCTTGTCTCAAAAAAGAAAATCAGGGTGAATTTTTATCTTTCTCATAAAATAATAATTATTTCTGTTTATTTAGCAGAACTGTATAATGCTGTGATATTTAGATTCCTGACATTATCACAGTTAATATGAAAAATATCCCTGGGAGGAGGGTTTCATAATCCTCATTTTACAGGGGAAACATTTGAAACTCAGAGAAGTGAGGTATTTTGCTTCAAGCAATTCATCTGAGGGTGAACCAGAATTTGAATCCTTGTCAGCTGATCCCAAAACCCACTCTCTGTATTTTTTTTTTCCTGAAGTTTTTTTACAGAATGCTCTTATACTTCTGGTTGTTTTCTCTTAATTTTATTACAGGGAGGGTTCCAGAATCAGGGATATCCCCAAGGAGTAGCAGGGAAGGGATGGATTTAGAGTAGGGGTCCTCAGTGGGACAAGTTTGTCTCCACAGGACATTTGTCAATATCTGGAGATAGTTTTGATGGCCAGAACTGGTGTGTAGCGGGGGCAGGGGCAGTGTATGCACTACTGGTATTTAGTGAGTGGAAGTAAAAAAATGCTCCTGAACATCTTACAACACACAGGACAGCCCCCACAATAACAAGTTCTCTGGCCCCATGTCAACAATGCTGAGGTTGAGTGCTGAACTCTGACTTAGAGATATTTCTTACCTTTCCTGACCCAGGAGCAGCCTCTCCTCTGCTGTCCTGACCTGTGTTTGCAGAGAAAATTGGACAAAGCCTAGGGGAACTGCCTCTGCTTTCTAGCTGTCTAGCTCACGTACTTTCTATTTCTGCTTCCTGAGAGAAGTCAGTGAAGATGGTGACAAAGATGAGTGAAAACATAGAGAAGTTTGTCTGAGGAAATGCAGGATTCACTGGGAGTTTTTTCAAACTATCCCATTACTAACCCATTTCTTCCTGTTATCTCAAAATGGAGGGAAAGATATAAACCACATTTATTGCTATGGACTCGGTTGCATTTGAGTTGGGAAGAGATCATTTTTCATGTGTAGCTCTTGGGGAAAAGCCTGGCTTGGAATTCCTGCCAACTTGGAGATATATGGACAAAATTACTAAGAAATAAAATGGGACAGTCCATAATTAATCATTGTGTAAGGGCTGGAAAGGTTAACTTTGCCTGATATTCTTCAATTCTGTCCCCACATTTTGATGCACCAATGACTTCCTAAACAAGTGTTAATTCAATTTTATGTGCCAGGCATTACGCTTAGGGCTTTGTGAGTGTAATTCCAATTAATCTGAATGGCAAATGAAGTAGGTACCATCATTAACTTCATTTTGCAGGTGAGGAGACTGAACCCTTCCCAAGGTCACCCAGACACTAAGGTGCAGAGCCAAGACTTGATCCCAGTTCTGACTAACTCCAGTGACTAAGCTCTTAACTGGCTGTCTAAAGGCTGATTTTGGCCCTTAAATGTGTTTGTTGACCTCTACAGTATTTTTAAAAAGTTGGCCAGGTGCAGTGGCTCATGCCTGTAATCCTATCACTTTGGGAGGCCAAGGTGGGAGGGTCACTTGAGCCCAGGAGTACAAGGACATCTTGGGCAACATAGCAAACATAGCAAGACCCTGTCTCTATAATAAATAAATAAATCAATCAACAAACAAATATTTATTAGCCAAGGATGGTGGTGCACGTCTGTGGTCCCAGTTATTTGGGAGGCTGAGGTAGGAGGATTGCTCTAGCTGGGGAGATTGAGGCTGCAGTGAGCTGTGATCTCGCCACTGCACTCCAGCCCAACAGACAGAGTGAGACCCTGTCTCAAAAAAAAAAAAAGAAAAAAAAGAAAAATTATTTGCCAATAGTTGAAAAATTGAAGATTTTACAGAAATCTCATCTTCTAAGTCATCCTGTAAAATAAGACTACTGGGAACACTGCACACCTCTATCTGGCAACAATCAGCTGGCACTGAGAAGTACTGCTCTTTTCAGATAGTGCTGTCATTCATCCAGGTAATCTGCTTGGGCGGTGTGGGTACCCGAGATTTTGGTCTTTGGTTCAAACCACTCTGGCATGTGAGTGGGTTGAGAGAGGAGAGAACAATACTTGCATGTGTTATGAGCATGATTTCCTTTCAATCCTCTCCTCTTGGGCAATATGACCCAATCAGTGTCCTTGAACTTGACCAACTCCTCCTTGAGCCAGAAGGATGGGACGCTTCATTGCCCATCACTGTGACTTGAAATGCATAGCAGTCGCAGGAACCAGAACCTCCTTAGAAGCCAGCATAAACGCTCAGGCATTCTCTTCAGAGCTATTATTCGTTTTTTTAAAAGCCCATAGATTCAGAATTCCTACAGGTATTGTTAAACTAGATGTCAGTTCCAGGTCAACCCCTCTGACTATTACAGTCATAATTCTGATACCGAGAGGGAGCAAAATCAGGTAAAGAGTCACCCCCCGCCCCTTGCAGAATCTGATTTAACAAGGCTTATTTATGTCTCAGCATACCACAGGTTACAATATAATCATCTTTCACCTACATAAATAATGCATAAATTTGTGTTTAGTCATTGTGTCTGCTTTTCAGTCCTTGGGGAAGCAGAAGGACAAAAGATTCAGCCTTGCACAGAGATTTAGAGGATACCACCTCTACCCTTCTTGCATTAAACGTAGGATCTGGCTGACTCTTACAGAGAAGTCCCAAGAGAATGTTTTTACATAGTGTCACAGGTTCAATCTGCTTGCAAGTAAAAGGTCACAAACTCTCTGCTGAATGATGATGATGATGATGATGATGATAAGTTAGCACTTTTATTTAGAGCACACATTACGTACCAGGTTGGTGCTTTATCATCTCTAATCTTCGTAACAGCTCCTTCAGTTGGTCTTATTATTTACATTTTGCAGGTGAGGAAACTGAGACTCCCAGAGGATACACGTTCCAGGTCACAAGCTAGAAAAAGTCATAGCTGGTATTAAAATGTAGTTTTATTGGCTTCCAAAGCCTTTTACCCTGCCACATATGTAAATTCTTTAGCAATTTAAATGAAGCCATTTGGGTTACCCAAGAGTACAATTTGGAAGAGATTCACTACCCCATTTCCTAATTATCCAGTGAAAATCTATGTGTCTAGGAGACTTCAAGCATTCATCATTGTAAAGGCTGGAGCAACTTCAAGAAGCACAGGTTTAAGACTTAATTTAGAATGAACATGGTGTATTAAGGAGCTAGGGAGTGATATTAGGCCACTTCCATCTTCCCAAAATCATCCCTGACAACTCACAAGCCCCTCTCCTCAATGTTCCTTTAATTAGGCAAAGCACAGGGAACATATTCTGCAAATTGCTAAGTGGTTAGTGGCTGCTTTGTACTAAGAAATGTTAACTTTTCATTCAGAGGAGCTCAATTAGCAAGAGTCAACCAGTGGTTAATAATAATAATAATACAATAGAATGATCACTGAATGAAAGGTTTTTATTTTTATTCACAGGAATCATTTGTTAAATATGAAGAGACATTCCCTTATGTTTAATTGAAGAGGGAAGGGATGCCCTGAGTATCTCTCTGAGGCTTTAATGACGAGATGATAGGGAAGAGGCATGGAGGAAGGTATCTTCTGAAATCTTTTCTTTGAGGCTTAGGATGGAAACAGATGCTAAGTGTATCCTCCTTTCTCTCTTTTTTTATTCTCCTTGTGTATTTCTCCATCAGCACACATCGTACACTCTCCCCAGGGATTGGGGTCTGATCACACATCAGGGCTCTTGGCTCCTAAACATTCAAAGAACATCAGAGACCTGAGTAGCAAGATCTATAGAGAGGGGACAAAAGATCACAGGGCTTCTGGCAGTCCCAAGTGAGTCAGAAGCAGAGTTCAGAGTGGGCACAGAGGTGCAGACCTCATGCATGCGATGTGCCTTCTGACCTCAGACCTCGTGGAGGAAAAGAACTCTTGTTTCCTGACCACTTACTCTATTCTGTGCACTGTTCTGGGACACTTACACTTTAGACACTTACTTGATTTGACTTACCACGCGACCCCATGGGGCAAGGTATTTTTCTCTACAATTTACAGATAAGAAAACTAAGATTTATTTGTCCCCAGTGCCATACTAATAAGTGAAGCTCAATTAAAATTTAGGTCTTTTTTTCTGTGAGTCGGTTCTCCTGATCTCTTCAAAGCATACCTTTGACTAGGGCGTATCCCCTGTTCTAAGAAAAAATTCTGATTTTCTACAGGGGCATGAAGAAGGAGGAAAAGGATGCAGGAAAGAATTTAAGAGGCAAAGTGGATGTGATAAAGGAACGAGAAGATCATGAGAAAAGATGAAAAAGAGAACAGTGACTGACCCATGTCATGAAGCATCAGTTTCTAAACTTTGCTGTATGCAGGCTCAATGGTAAGCATTGTTCAGTGCATTTCCTCATTTTGTCCTTGGGACACATGAGAAAATGGAAGCTCAAGAAACTTAAATGGCTTGCCCAGATCACATAGCTAACTAAGTGGCAGAGGTGGGAATTGGACCCAGATATTCCATCTCCAAAGCCCAGAACCTTCTCATTGCATCATGTATTCTTCTCTGAGAGAAAGAAATCTGGTTTTTCCATTTGAGGTCTTTCCAACAGAGTTCCAGGAATAGTCAGTTCAAGACTCAGGAACAATCCACATCTTTATTCATTCATGAAACACTTAATGTGACAGCCTCAGATGTTGGCAAGGACATGCAGAACTCTTCTGCATTATTGGTAAGGATGTAAAATGGTGCAACCACATTGGAAACATTTCAGGCCATTTCTTATAAAACGAAACACACACCTGCCATATGATCCGATCATTCCATTCCTAGATATTTCTCCAAAAGAAATAAAAACATGCTTAGGAAAAGACTTGTACAGGAATATTCACAGCAGTTTTATTTATAATTTTCATAAATCAGAACCTATTCCCAGCACAGTGTCTATCCATACAATAATGTATAAGTAAACTGTGGTACATCCGTACAATGGAATGCTACTTAGCAATGAAAAGAATAAACTGTTGCTTCATGGAAAAGCATGAATGTATTTCAAAAACATTCAGCAAAATAAGCCTTGCGTAAAAGAGTGTATAGCACATAATTCTATTTTTATGAAGTTCAAGAATGGACAAAACAAACCTAGAGTATAAAAATTCAGAGTAGTGTCTTGGTTGGAAATTGCTTGAGCAAGAACATGAGAGAACATTCTGGAGGGTACTAATGTTTTGTATATTGACAGATGTTTGAGTCACACAGGTGAATGCATTTGTCAAAACCCAGTGTATTAGTTTGCTATGGCTGCCATAACAAAATGCTACAGACTGGGTGGCTTAAACAAGATGGATTTATTTTCATAAAATTCTGGGGGCTAAAAGTCAACAATCAATCAAGATATGGACAGGGTTGGTTCCTTCTTAGGGCTGTGAGGGCAGGTTCTGTTCCAGTCCTCTCTCCTTGGCTTATAGGGGAGGTCTTTTCCCTGTGTTTCCTCGCTTTGTGTGTGTCTGTCCTAACCACCTCTTCTTTTAAGGGCACCAATCATACTGGATTAACGTCCTCCCTAATAAACTCATTTAACCTTAATGACCTTTTTAATTTTTTAAAGACCCTATATCCAAATATAGTCACATTCTGCAGTACTGGGGTTAAGACTTCAACATAGAAATTTTAGCGGGGATGCAACTCAATTCATAATGTCCAGTAAATTTGCTCTTAAGATTTATATATTAAGCTGTAAGTAAATTTGCATCAAAAGAAAAAACTGCAAAACAATATTGAACAGAAGTTAATGTTATGCGTGCTGAAATACCTAGGGGGAAGTGTATTGATGTTGGCAGTTTACTTTAAAATGCTTTGGAAAATGAAGTGGATTAATAGATGGGTATATATATATATAATTTTATTATATATATTATATATATTACATAGCAAATATCATAACATTTAAATGGTAGAATGTAGGTGGTGAGTGTATGAGCTTTCCCTGAAAAATTCTTTCAACTTTGCTATGTTTCAAATCTTTTATAATAAAATGTTGGAAAAAATATTAGTAGAGCATCTATGGTCCGCCAGGCATGGAGCCAGGTGATAGGGCTTGAATGGTGAAGAAGACAGACAAGGCCCCCACCTTCATGAAGCTTGCATTTTGTGATACTTTATTAGCATCTGTGGTTTCCCGTGATGCATCCAGTGGGCACATTCATTTATGAATTAATCAGACCTAACCTGACCTCTGTACCTACAACGCAATTCACATTTAGCTGCTCAATGAACATGGGCCCATTAGCTTTCTGCCTCCACTCGGATGATAAATTTGACAGTAGCCCCTAGTTGTGCAGAGATAAATCACTCCAGGTCTAAGTGGTAAACCACAGAAATAACAGCAATTTATATATACCCCAGGAGTCCCTGGTGAGAACTCCTACACTATTTATGATGTGTAGTGACGAAAGTTAAAAGCTAGAACGGGAATGGCAGCTTTATTTTATTACCATCTGCACACCACAAAAGAAACCCGAATGGAAATGCTTATTGGAAAGCCACTTAGGAAATCCTCACGACACAAAATTTATCATGAAGAAAAACAAACAAAAAAACGCAAATCACACAGAGCTGCAGTAATATTTTTAATACTGGCTGAATGCTTCCGAATTGGAACAAAGAGAGATTTTTCAGTCTTCTCAAATAACTTCTAGGCTTATGGTCAGAATCTCGATGAGCAAAATGTTACACGGACTCCAGTCACAATAATAGCAAATAAATAATTCCTTTGCAGTGTTTATATTTAGAGAGTTTGGGACACCTGGATGACACAGAAAATAATCTTTTCACATTACACATGAGTTTTTCTATGATGTCATAGCCTATGGGTTTGAATTTTAGTTTTCAAGAGGCAAACATAGGCAACTTACTTTGACTCTTTAAATCTCAGTTTCTTTATCTCTAAAATGGAGATAAAGTACTACTCATTCAGACAGTCCTAAAAATTTGAAACAAACATGGAAAATATTTAATACCTCCTTAGTATCTAGTCTGAATTTTATTTTTATTTTTATTATTTATTTATTTATTTATTGAGACAGAGTCTTACTTACTCTGTCTCCCAGGCTGGAGTGCATTGGTGTGATCTCAGCTCACTGGAACCTCCAAATCCGGGGTTCAAGTGATTCTCCTGCCTCAGCCTCCAGAGTAGCTGGGATTACAGGCACCCACTACCATGCCCAGCTAATTTTTTTATTTTTTTTTATTTTTAGTAGAGACAGGGTTTCACCATGTTGGCCAGGCTGGTCTCGAACTCCTGTCCTCAGGCAATCCGCCTGCCTTGGCCTCCCAAAGTGCTGGGATTACAGGTGTGAGCCACTGTGCCTGGCCTAGTCTCAATTTTTGTATTTAGTCTGGTTCATAGTTAGTGTTCAGAAAATGATACTGATCATGATGTTGATGATGATGGCAACGTTATTGGATGATATTGGAGGATGGAGAAGGGCAGAAGGGCATGCAGGGGGCAATTGTTGTGAAAAGCATACCAGGAGGCAAATATTCTGTCTCTCAAAGAACTAAATGGCACGAAATCAACTAAGATACTTTGGACATGGGAACTGTTCAAAGACTTGAGTTTTGGTGGATGAAAACCATCAGAAGGGAATAATCTAATAGCCAGGGTGAAATGGTTTCTCCTTAATCAATTGTCAGTCTGGCTTATCCGTTGAGTGTCCCTATCAATTAGCAATGCCTGCCATGAGTCAGACCACAGGCACAGCAACATACATGTTGTTACTCTATGGACTCTAGTGAAGGGATCCCAGGCTAAGTTTTAATATTTCATACCTATGATACTCCCAAAGTTTAATATTACTCAGATGAGGCTGTCTCATTAGTTTTGAGAATAAGAACCATCTGTTTCTGTTTTATCTCTCATTCCTCTAGCACGTTGACAATTATTTGGTGTTCAGTGGATTTTTTATATATATATACATGCAATATCCACCCTACTGACAGAAGTGAATATTTGTTAAATCAAATTTAAAATGTCTTTCAGCTACTGATTAATTAGTATTTAATATTGTACTCTGGACTGCAGCATGTTAAAAAGATCACTGGAAAACTTTCGTCCCCATGCAACTCTCTTTTAAAAAAGTGAATGATGGAAAACAAATGACTTACACTTAAAAAATTACCTTGAGCTTATCACTTGCTCTATAGACATAGATTTTTGTAAAATCCTGGTTAAAGTTGTTCCAGGTATGACTTAATGACTGGGTTTGTGATTCTCCTTCCAAAACTGTTTATTTGCTTCTCAAAAAACCAGTCTTTGTTCTAGGCTAAGCCTGGCCCAAGACAGAAATTCTCCACTAGGAACTTATATGCAATAATGCTACAATATCCCCCAACTTTTTCCCCACAATTATTGTGGCAATTTATGTTGCAAGAAAAAAGGGAAATATTTAGGATGCGGTTTCGTCTAGGGGACTTACCTTTGCCCCTTACTGTTCTAAGATTTACAACATTACCAGTGCTGAGGCAAGACCTTTCTAAAGAACTTTGGCCAGTGCCCAGGGAATCATGAGTTTTTCTAGTCTGACCAGTAGGAACAGGTACTGTTTCTGACCCTGTGTGAGTCTCAGGTAGTGTTTCTTCTAATCCTTTTGGACGTTCTTTCCACGGGCTTGGGTAGTTTCCTCACATCCAGATGCTGTTCAGTGTTCTGCTCAATACACCAGGGGAGCCTCTACAGGTCTCTCTCCTTTACATCCTGCAAACTCTGTTTACTTCAGATTTCCTGGTCTTATAGCTCCATCTCCTCAACTCCAAGAGTCCATGGAGTTGAGGAAGCTCTTCCTGGCTTCCCTCTCTTTGGGCTGCTCCTGGAAATTCTGTCAAGGCAGTAAGAATCATAGGATTTAACTCGTTTGTTTCTCACCTCATAGGGGTCACTGTCTCCATTGTCTGCCGTCCACTGGCTTTAAAACCATTACTTTGGCTGGGTGCGGTGGCTCAAGCCTGCCTGTAATCCCAGCACCTTGGGAGGCCGAGGTGGGCGGATCATGAGGTCAAGAGTTCGAGACCACCCTGGACAACATAGTGAAACCCTGTCTGTACTAAAAATACAAAAAAATTAGCCACGTGTGGTGGTGGGTGCCTATAATCCCAGCTACTCAGGAGGCTGAGGCAGGAGAATCACTTGAACCCGGGAGGTGGAGGTTGCAGTGAGCCGAGATCATGCCATTGCACTTCAGCCTGGGTGACAGAGCAAAACTCCATCTCAAAAACAAAAACAAAAGAAAACAACAATAACAACAAACCATTCCTTCTTGTATTTTTTTGTGTCTTCATAGTTATTTCAGGTGCAAGGGCAAATCTGATCTGTTACTCCAGCTTAGCCAGAAGCAGACTCCAGAAGTAGAGTATATGAATCCTTACTAACTGATAAATCCTGGCACATCAAGGTGTCAATAAATATTTGTTGATTTGGTTCAGTTTTCAGTCTTATTTAAACAACCTGCTTTGTGGGTCTTTTCAGAAATGATCACAGAAACAGAATCTCTCAACTTAAAAGCCAGAAGCGAGCATCAGGGTCAACTTGTCCTGCTCTCTGAGGTCACATAGACAGAGACTGTGATGTCAGAACCTACCTTCTGTGACAAAAGTTTTTTTTTAAAAAACACATAGAGGCATCTGGTTTAAAGCAATTTCTTCTGCATTCTTACCTTTACTGTCTTCGTCTCTCAGGTGGGGGAAAAGGGATATAGAAGCATATAGTCTAAGCTGGGAGTTAAAAACACTAGGTTAAAATCCTAGCTTTGCTACTGAATAGCTGTGTGACCTTAGGCAATTTACTTAACCTCTCTGAGTCTCTGTAAAATGGAGGGAAAAAATGCTTCTCTGGAAGAGTGGTTAAATACTTGAAAGAGGCAATGTAACTGTCTTATGCCTAGAGCATAGTAGGTGCTTAACAAACAGTAGCTTATTTCTGGCATTATAATTAGATGAGGGGAAGGTCCCTCCTAGCACAGACCCTGGAAGATTCTATGACTCAGGGAGTGGGCAGATTGCATCCATGGTCCCTGCCCTCATTTGTAGCTACCTGAAGGGCCTGTCTCAGCAATAAAAACAGCCAAGTGAGCACAGGCAGAGAAACATCATTTCCTCCTCCTCTTGAGGGCAGGAGTCCAGGCGCAGCCCCAGCAGCAGGTAATGCCCTAAAGCCAGGTAAGGATGCTCCCTCCTCACTAACCTTCATAACCACATCAGCAAGCTGGGAAGTTTTAATAAGCTCAGCTGGATCAAATCGCTCTGCTCCTGAGTCAGCTGTCCCAGGCCTGGGGGGGTGGTGTTGGTGGCCTGGTTAGAACTTTCCTCTGGCTTCAGGGAAGTGAGCCCTTTTAGCAGTGTCTTTTGCTCAGGACAAGGCCATATGGCTACAACCATGAGAGGCATGACAGCTACGACTTACTGAGTTTTTACTTTGTGCATTTCCACCTCCAGCAGCCGCACTCGTTACTTTAGTAAGCATTGTAGATCCAATTCGTCCATGGCTAGTCTGGGATGAGCCAAGTTATGTTATTCTCTCACTTTAAAATCCTCTAAAAACCATCCTTTACACTTGGAATAAAACACAACGTTTTTACCATCTCCTAAAATTCCTACATGATCTGACCCTGCTTTCAGCTGATTTTCTCTCCCTTTTTCCTGCTTTCTGTGTTTCAGCAACACTGTCCTTCTCTTTCTTGAGCACATACATCCTTTCCTGCCCTAGGACCTCTGCACTTGCTGTTCCGCTGATGCTTCCTGACCCTTCCTGGGATATTCTTTTATGTGATTTTTGTATGTCTGTCCTGGTCTCATCCTTCAGGTCTTGTTCAAGTGTTAATTGCTTCAGAAGATCTCCCTTCAGCATTAAAGCCACTGGTTTATTTGACAGATACTGTCTTATTAGTGCCATTATTATTTTCATTTTTATAAATGACAAAATTGAGGCTTGGAAAAGTGAAATAACCTGCCTAAGGACCCACAGCTAGTAAGTAGTACAGTTGCAATGGAATAGAAAGGCAAGTAACTGTGCTGTTGTTTTCTATGAGGCTTGCTTACTTATCAGGGGAATCTTCTTTTGGGAAGTCATTTTAGGTTCAGATTGATTCATGTTGCGTCTCTTTCTCTGACGCATACTCAGACCGTGTTTGATTACTGGTGTAAGCAAACTTCCCTGATCAGAATGCTAGCCTTCCTCTTTTCCTGTGGGCCAGCACCTTTATCATTTATCTTATTACAAACCCAATTGGAAACAGCTCATGCTGAGGAGAGACCAAAATTGCCAACACTAAACTTTTCTACTTTCCAAAGCAGTTTGTGAAATAAAAGGGGTAACAATTTTTCCCCCTCAGGCCAATTCAGTATAGTGATAAGAATAGGTCTCAACACCAGGCACAAACAATATTTCCCTGTCGGTGTGGGATCTACCCTTGTAGGACCCCCATTCATCTACACCCTCACCCAAGCCCAAGCACTTCTTATCCACTTCTTTCCCCTTCCTGCTGCTGAGATATGTCCCTGGTTGAGACCATCAATGCCAGATGTTGATGGACAAAATAGCCATGAAATGTTTTTTCTCTTTTCACTGAATTCCCTGGGGACTCCTGGACTTTTTCCATGGGAGGCCAGAGAAAGAGCATTGGATTGGAATCAGATAAAACCGGGTTCAAAGCTCAGAGCTCCTACTCATCAGGTAAAGGACTTTGGGTAAAGTAATTATCCCTTTCTGAGCCTCAGCTTTCTCATCTGTAAATTACTGGCCTTACTGAGTAGTTAAGAAAATTAAAAGAGATAATACATCTCAGATTGCTTGGTATACATCGTACTGAGTGGGAGGGTAGAATGATCGTCAAAGGTGCAAGGTTCCATTTTTACTAGTTAAGCTGGTTTACCATGGGGAAGGTACTTATTTTCTTAGCACGTTGGTTAAGCTCATCTAAAATATCAGGATAGTTACAGAACATTTGTCATTAGGCTTTTGTATAAATTACGTAAGTTAGTTCATGGAGAGTTCTCTTTAGCCATGGCTGGAATGTAGTTAGTGTTCAACCAATACTATTATTACAATTGATATCAACTTTCTTCAAAAATGTCAGCAAATGGGAATTTTTGGTTATTGTGCACTCTCTCAATCTTTCTAGGATTTTAAGCTCTGTCCACATTACTGGAATGGAAGGAGATATGAGTAATGGAGACTCATTCCTCTTCACCAACCCCTGGACCACTTCTCTTAGGAGCTCTTTTCTGTTAGGATGAGTATAGGCCCTAAAGTGGCCTACCCCACAGACCCTCTGGACATGCCCTGACATAATCAGATACCAGAAGAAGCACAGTGGGGGCTTTTGACCCACAATGCTACTGCTCAAAGCAACTTGGAATGAGAGGAAGTGGGTTCTTTATGAAGAGGACCGTCCTTCCCCCAAATCAAAATGCCAGAAATCATACCACTTCCAGCCTTGACAAAGCAGCTGGCTTTGGGTTAGCCTCCCTGCTTTAAAAAAGTATAAAACTAAACAAAATTTATGCTTCTAGTCACTGGGTAGTAAGCAGCCCAAGACTGTGATCCTGGAGTGTGGGAAACTCATGAAGTAAGACCCACATCAGTGTGGTATTGGCTGGGACAATCTTTGGATCACGGTGCAGAGAGTTGGAGCCTGGGTAGGAAGTAGCAGTGCTACTGATCTGATGAGGCAGAGATCAGAGATCAGGACTGCTGAAGTGGCTGGAAGCTATAAGGCAGGGCACTGGAAAGGAGGGAGCTGAACAGAGAAATCTCAGTAAGTCTCTGTAGGGATTCTAAAGGATTCCTTGGCTGAGGGATGCACATGTGCAGAGCAAAATTATGCAAGACTTACCAGTGAGTCACTGTCATGGGCTGACAGAAGATAATACTGCAGGTTAATGAGTACTAGGAGATGTGAGAGTTGTGGTCTACCCACAGTTGAGAAACCTTGTTAACATGTTGGTCATCCAGATGAGAAACCAGGAAAAATACTCCTATGATGTGGGAATATATTATAGAGCAAGGTCTTCTCTGGATCTTCTCTAACAAAGCTTAAAATCTAGCCTGGCAAAATCTGCAGAGACATCAACATTTGGAGTTTGAGGGGCTTAGGAAAAACCTTGGGGATTCTATAGATCTACTTTAACAAAGCATAATGCCAAGACTACACATGTTAAAGGTGATTCCTCAGTAACTGATCCTCCTTAGAGAATAAAAATCAACATTCTTTAGAGTGAAAGAACCCAGAGTCTCTATAATGTTCCTTTATTGATGTCCAGTATACACTAAAAAATCACTAGACATGCAAAGAGTCAGGAAAATGTTAACCATTCATTGTCAAGAACAAAAGTGAGTTTATAGAAATCAATACCAAGATGATGGATATTATGAAAAAGAATATAAAGCATCAACTTATTGGTTGATTTTTAAATTTATTTAAAATAAATTTTATTGTGTATATTTAACGTATACAATATAATGCTATGGGTAACATACAGATAATAAAATGGCTGTTATAGTGAAACAAATTAACATATCCATCATCTCACAAATTATCTTTTTTTTGTTTTTTGTTGCAAAAACAACTAAAATCTACTTATTTAGCAGAAATTCCAAATACAGTACAATTTTATTACCTATAGTCTTCATGTTGTACATTAGACCTTCAGACTTCTTAGTCCTATATATGTACTATCTCATATCAGCTGACTTACATTTCCTTATTTCTTCACTACTCCTTTTTCTTGTCCCTGGTAATCAATATTTTAATCTCTACCTCTATATATTTGACTTTAGAAAAAATAATTTTATAATATTTTTCTTTCTGTGCCTGGTTTATTTCACTTAGCATAATGTTCTTCAGGTTTATCCATGTTGTGCAAATGGCAGGCTCTCCTTGTTTTTAAAGCTAACTAGTATTTCATCATGAAATAAGTTTCTTTATCCATTTGTCCACTGATGGACATTTAGTTGTTTCATACTTGGCTATTATGAATATAAAGCATCTAATTAGATATATTCAAGAACTTAAAGGGAAATATGGCCCTTCTGGGTAAACAGATAAGGAATATCAACAAAAAATGGAAATTACATAAAAAACATGAAAATTATGAATTGAAAAGTATTGTAATTTAAATTAAAAATTCACTAAATGGATTTGATAACAGATTGGAAACCCATTTGTGATGAAAAACTCTTAGGAAATTGAAACAGAAGGGAACATCTTCTATTTGATAAGCAGCATCTATAAAAGCTGTACAGTTAACATACTGTTTAGTGAATGCTTTTGCCCCCACCCTCCACAATATTAGAAACAAGGCAAGAATATCTTACCACTATTAAATTTTTTGCTAGATGGGGGAACTAGTTAGTGCAACAAGGCATCAAAAGTAAGAACAAAGGTATGGAAATTTGAAAGGCATAGTAAAATTTTTCTCTATTTTCAGATGACATGATTGTCTACATAGAAAATTCTACATAAAATTCTAGACATAATAAATGAAATTAGCAAAGTCAAAAAATTCAAGGTCAATATAAAAATCACTTGTGTTTAAATTTGTTGATCATAAGGAACTAAAAAATGAAATTTAAATATCATTTAGAAGAAGATCAAAAATAAAATATTTAGGAATGAATTTAATGAAAGATATGCAAAACTTTAATAGTAAAACCAATTAACATTGCTAAGAGCAATTGAAAAGGAAAAAGAGGGGAGATTGAGAGAGATACCATGTTCTTGGATTGGCATATTCAATATGATTGTGGTAGGTAGACCTCTAATATGGCTTCCAATGATCAGCATCTCCTGGTATTCACGTCTTACGTAATCCTCTCCCTTTAGTATGTGCTGAGTCTAGTGACTTGCCTCTAATGAATAGAATATGGCAAAGATGATAGAATGATTCTTCTGAGATTAGGTTCTAGAAGACTGACTACTGTCTTCTTCTAACTCTCTCTTGCTTACTTTGATGAGGCCAGCTGCCATGGTGTAAGCTTCCTTATGGAAGGATCCACATAGCAAGGATTTGAGGGTAGCCTCCAGCTCACAACCAATAAGGGTGAGACTGTCAGTTCAACAACCTGTGAGGAACTAAATCCTGCCAATAACCACTGAGTGAGCTTGGAAATGGATCCAGTCAAACCCTCAGATGACTGCAGTCTAGGCCACCTAATTGCATCCTTGAGTGAGACCCTGAGCTGGAAGACCTAGCTAAGTCATGTCCATGTTACTGACCCACAGATAATCTTCTGAGATACTAAATGCTGTCATTTTGTGTTTGGAGATTTTTTTTTATGTAGCAGTAGATAACTAATAACATTGTTATTGTATTGTTCTCTCCAAACTTACCTATAGTCATAATCCCAGTCAAAACCCAAGCAGGCTTTGTAGAGTACAAAAGATGTAGAATAGCCAAAACCATTTGAAAAACAAGAGAGAAATTAGGGAAACTGCACTACTCAATTTCAAAGCTACCATATCAAGACTGTAAAAGTTTTGAAATAAAGCTACAGTATCAAGACAGTGTAGTATCGGTGTAAAGACAGAGTCTAGAAATAACCCACACATATGATCAACTCATTTTAGACAAAGACTTTAAGAATTCACTTGGATAAATGGGGTGTTTTTTTAACAAATGGTGATAGAAAAAGAGGATATTTAGAGAGGAAAATGTGAGCCTTGGTCTCTGCTTTACACTATACACGAAATTTCATTTACAATGTATCACAGACCTAAATATAAATGCTTAAATCTGTAAGAAGAAAACATAGGAGAAAAATCTTATGATTAAGACTTATGACATAAGACTTACATCTTATGACTTCAGACTTATGACATGAGACTTATGCCTTATGACTTAAGATGTCTAAAATTAAAAAGAATGACTATGTCAAGTGTTGTTGAGGGTATGAAACAACAGGAACTTTCTAATGGTACGACCACTTTGGAAAAGAGTATGTCAGTGAAAACGTTAAATACACACTCATAAGTTAAATACACACTCATAAGACTCAGCAGTTCTGCTCTTGGCTATTTATCCAAGGTGAAATAAAAATGTACATTCACAAACAGACTTGTACCTGAACGTTCACTGCAGCTTTATTTCTAACAGTCAAAAACTGGAAAAAACCCAAATGTCTATCAACAAGTGAGTGAAAAACAATTTTGGAATAGTACTGTACAGTTAAAATGAACATCCTACTGTTACATGCAAGAACCATGACTGGATCTCGAAAACAGCCTGGGTTAAAGAAGCCTTACATTGAAGAGTAAATACTGTATGATTTCACTTTAAAAAGTTCTCGAATCAGCAAAAATTATCTATGGCAATAGAAATAACATCAATAGTTGCCTAGGGTGGAGAGTTGAGGATTTATTTCAAAGGGGCAGATGGTAACTTCTGGGGTGATGAAAGTTTTCAGTGTCTTTTTTCTTTTCTTTTCTTTCCTTTTTTATTTTTTTTTTTGAGACGGAGTCTCGCTCTGTCACCCAGGCTGGAGTGCAGAGGTGCAATCTTGGTTCACTGCAGCCTGCGCCTCCAGGGTTCAAGCGATTCTCCTGCCTCAACTTCCTGAGTAGCTGGGATTACAGGTGCACACCACCGTGCCTGGCTAAGTTTTGTATTTTTAGTAGAGATAGGGTTTCACCATGTTGCCCAGGCTGGTGTCGAACGCCTGACCTCAAGTGATCCGCCCGCCTTTGCCTTCCAAAGTGCTGGGATTACAGGTGTGAGCCACAGCGCCTGACCCATTTTCAGTATCTCGATCAGGGTAGTGGTGACTGTTAGAGAAATACCATATAGTTCAAAAGAAAATCCCCTCTCAACTCAGAAAGGTAGAAGAGAAGGCAGACGATTTCATTACTGAATAAGCATTAGTCCAGAATGTGATGTACATCACAGGCAATCTGCCGCACAATTGCAAAGATAGAAAGAAATCTCACCCTTTTATACAGTCAAGCAGATACAACCCATTACCTGCAGATTCTCAAGATAAACAATAAATAGTCCTCAAGTCAGAGAATTTGACAGCAACATTTGTCATACATAGTTCACCCTAGATTCACTTAGTAATTGGGATGGCCATCTGTGCTTGCTAATTGGCTTTATCCTAAGGAAAAATAGACTTCTCACATCTTTATGACAGGAGACAGTTTTGTAACTTGCAGTGAGGTGCCCACTCCAGCTTGGATTAGACTCCTATTCTCCCACAGGAATTGGGAGATAGAGGCGCCATCTTTCTTGATGATTACATTTCTAAGAGATGGTACCCAGGTCCCTGAGAAAGCCATTTCTGGCTCCTAAAGCTGGCAAGAGACTTAGTTCACTTTTAAAAAGATTTACATACATTTTAAAGAGACAGAGAAAGAGCCTACAATTAGAGGTTTTCTAAAGTAAATGCTCTAACAAAAGAGAGGGAGAAGTCTCTTTCATTATTTTCAACAGGGAAAATTAGGCCTCTTGTTTTTAATTTGTCTTTGCCACTACATGATGTAAGGGTATATCTTTGTCCAAATTATTAAACTGTACACTGAAAATGTGTGCATCTTAGTGTATGATAATATACCTTAAAAAAGGTGATTTAAAATATGCCACGAGTCCTCTGGAACACTTCTGCAGACAAAAAAGATAACAAGTGTTGGTGAGGATATGGAGAAAAGGGAATCCTTGCACACTATTGGTGGGAATGTAAGATAGCACAGCCATTATGGAAAACAGTATAGAGAGGTGCCTTAAAAAGTTAAAAATAGAACTACCATGTGAGCCAACAATCCTACTACTGCATACATATCCAAAGGAAATAAAATCACCATGTCAAAGAGACATCTGCACACCCATGTTTATTAGAGCACTATTCACAATAGCCAAGACATGGAAGCAACCTACGTGTCCATCAATGGATGAATGAATAAAGAAAATGCAAGGCCGGGCACGGTGGCTCACGCCCGTAATCCCAGCACTTTGGGAGGCTGAGGCGGGAGGATCACGAGGTCAGGAGATCGAGACCATCCTGGCTAACACGGTGAAACCCCATCTCTACTAAAAATACAAAAAATTAGCCAGGCATGGTGGCGGGTGCCTGTAGTCCCAGCTACTCGGGAGGCTGAGGCAGGAGAATGGTGTGAACCTGGGAGGCGGAGCTTGCAGTGAGCCGAGATCATGCCACTGCACTCCAGCCTGGGTGACAGAGCAAGACTCCATCTCAAAAAGAAATAAATAAATAAATAAGAAAATGCAGTATATATACACAGCAGAAAAACTGTTCAGCCACAAAAAGGAATAAAATTCTACCATTTGTGACAGCATGGACGAACCTGGAGGACATTATATGAAGTGAAATAAGCCAGGCATTGAAAGACAAATACTGCATGATCTCACTTATATGTGAAACCTTAAAAAGCTGATCTCACAGAAATATAGAGTATAGTGTTAGAGGGGTGGGGAGAATGGGAGACGTTGGTCGAAGGATACATAATGAGAGGAAGAATAAATTTCAAGACATCTATTGTGCAGCAAGGTGACTGTAGTTAATGATGTTATGCTGTATTCTTGAAAAATGTAGAGTGGATATTATGTGCTCTCCCCACAAAAATAATAACCGTGTGAAGAAATGCATTTGGTAACTTTTGGGTTGGTGCAAAAGTAATCGTGGTTTTTGCCATTACTTTCAATGGCAAAATGTATATATACTTTAAGACATCGTGTGATACATAATAAAACATACTATGTTATCTGTCAATCAAAAAAAAAATAGGCTGGGCATGGTGGCTCATGCCTGTAATCCCAGCACTTTGGGAGGCCGAGGTGGGCAGATCCTCTGAGGTCAGGAGTTAGAGACCAGCCTGGCCAACATGGTGAAACTCTGTCTCTACTAAAAATGCAAAAATTAGCCGGGTGTGGTGGCAGGCACCTGTAATCCCAGCTACTCAGGAGGCTGAGGCAGGAGAATCGCTTGAACCCAGGAAGCGGAGGTTGCAGTGAGCCAGGATCATGCCATTGCACTCCAGCCTGGGCAACAAGAGTGAAACTCTGTCAAAAAAAAAAAAAAAAAAAAAAAAAGAACAGGGGAGAGAAAAGCACGGAAATGGCCTTTCGGCAATGGTCAAACTGTGATTTCAGGAAGTAACCTCGGGCTCTCATGCTGTGGTTTCTGTGGGAAACAGCTCTGCCAGTCTCCCATTAGGAAAAAAAATTATCCCTACATAATACTTAATGTGTGTCAAATGAGCATTTCTCTCTCACAGACGAGAAACCCAAAGCTCAGAGAGTTTTAGGGGTTTATCTGGGATCTCATGGCAGGGAAGTGGGCTGCGTCCACATGCAATTCCTGTTCTGTCTGATACTAGAACTTCCTTCTTTTTACTATACAGTTTCTTTTGAAGCTGTATTTTAAAATTACTATTTCTTTTAAGAGTCAAATTGAGCTGGGGGTGGTGGCTCATGCCTGTAATCCCAGCACTTTCAGAGGCCAAGGTGGATGGATCACCTGAGGTTGGGAGTTTGAGACCAGCCTGATCAACATGGAGAAACCCCATCTCTACTAAAAATGCAAAATTAGCCAGGCATGGTGGTGGTGCATGCCTGTAATCCCAGCTACTGGGGAGGCTGAGGCAGGAGAATTACTTGAACTTGGGAGGCGGAGGTTGCGGTGAGCCAAGATCGCGCCATTGCACTCCAGCCTGGGCAACAAGAGTGAAACTCCATTTCAAAAAAAAAAGAGAGTCAAACTGATGAAGGTCTTGATCCTCTTGGAAACAAATATCTGGAAAACATCTCTACAGTGATCTCTGAAAGGTGGCCTGGAACAGTATCAGAATTCCCACTTAAACCCCAGCTGATGGCTTTGGAAAAGTCACTCCATCCATCCAGTCTCAAAATTCCTTATCCGTAAAATGAGACTGCCAGTATCTATTTCAAGATTTGGAAATAGTAAATGGAAACGCAGGTCAATCATTAGGCACAGAGCAGGCTTTGCAAGGTAACAGTTATTGCTGGTTATCATTAACTGTATAGTCATTAGCAGAATCTCTTAACCAATATGCTGGGCTCAGGGAACCCCAGGGCCATGAGTCAATGGGGAGAACAACCAAGGACACCTGAGTCTCACTAGCTGGTTCTGAATTGTGAGATGTCTCAGTTCCTGTTTTCCCTTGGTTACCAGATGGCGACCCCTAAGATGAGGCAGCTATACAAATCGATTGTGATGCTCTTGTGTTACTTTTGTAAGACTCTGATCATTTCTGGCCCTGTAGACACCACCACAATCTGTCTAACTGAACTCTTCAGCAAAAGGGTGATTTGTTCCCATCTTTACCATCTGAACCAGAGGCATCCATGAGTTAACCTGGCATTGTCTCAGGAGAAGCAGGGATGATTTATAAAGACAGCGACGACATAACCGTCTCCATGACCCGACATGTCTCACACCTCTTTTCATTGGTCAAACAAATTAATCTGGATATGTCATTTAAACACAACAGCTACAGTGACTCAAAGAGCTGAGGCTGGGCAAGATGGAAGATGTGTCCATTCTCCAAGCTGGGATAGGAAAGCTTTGCCAAGCCTCATTCCATCCTAGCTTTTTTTTAGCCCTTGATTGCTTTATGATAAAAGATGCTCATTTTCTTGTAACCCCTTAAAATTTGGAAGGATAGGGTGGTGATGTCTATTCTTAAAAAAAACATGGATGATAGTAAAAATAAGAAAAATCCTCTATGTTTCCCTTTAGTTACCCATCAATTCATACTAAGTCTGTCTCAGATGGGTCAAAGAGAATCCTTGTACTATGGTATGGTTGAAAACTGAATGTGGCTTGTCAATATTTTACTTGGTCTATGTAGTGGGGGTTTTAATTTTGTCCATGTTTCTTTTTTCTTACTTAAAAAATAGAGAAAAGTAACAATGCCTATGTGCCTATCAACCAAAAATAATCAACTGCATATATATATATACATATATATGTATATATATATATATTTTTTTTTTTTGAGACAGGGTCTGGCTCAGTCACCTAGGATGGAGTGCAGTGGTACAATCTCAGCTCAATGCAACCTCTGCCTCCTGGGCTCAAGCAATTTTCCCACCTTAGCCTCCCTAGGTGCTGGAACTACAGGTGGATGCCACTCTATTCAGCTATTTTTGTTTGTTTGTTTGTTTTGGTAGAGGCAGGGTTTTACCATGCTGTCCAGGCTGATCTCAAACTCCTGGGCTCAAGTGATTGATCAGTGTCAATTTCCTAAAGTGCTGAGATTACAGATGTGAGCCACTATGCCTGGCCTCAACGCCTGCTATTTTCATGATACTGATATTTTTTTAATGGAGTGTAAATCTTTATTTGCCAATATTTTATAAGGTGAGGGTTTTGCATAAAAATATGGATTTCTGGATTGGAAAATTGAAAAAGCCTGAAAAAAACTGGGTTTGCATGTGGTAACATTTACCTGGAACTGACTTAACTGTTCCCCATTAAATAGAGTAGAAACCTTCCAGTTTGCCACAGTCCCCACCATTCCCCTTTTGCTTCTTTCTCTCTCTTTCTTTCCTTCTCTTTCTTTCTTTCTTTCTTTCTTCTTTCTTCTTTCTTTCTTTCTTTTTCTTTTCTTTTCTTCTCTTTCTTTCTTTTCTTTTCTTTTTTTTTTGAGTCCCTCTCTCTTGCCTAGGCTGGAGTGCAATGGCATGATCACGGCTCACCGCAACCTCCGCCTCCTGGGTTTAAGTGATTCTTCCACATCAGCCTCCTGAGTAGCTGGGATTACAGGCACCCACCATCATGCCCAGCTATTATTATTTTTTTTTGTATTTTTGTAGAGACAGGGTTTCACCATGTTGGCCAGGCTGGTCTCGAACTCCTGACTTCAGGTGATCTGCCGGCCTTGGCCTCCCAAAGTGCTGGGATTACAGGCGTGAGACACTGCACCTGGCCTCCCTTTTGCTTCTTACAGACAGCTTGGTTATCTATTTGACCCTTGTAGATGGGTGGGTTTCTGATTTTTTTTTTTTTTTCCGTGGTTTTCTTTCCAGTTTTCCTCCTCCCTGATGGTTCCTTTGGTTTCTTAATTTCCCTGATCTTTCTAGTACCCCACTTCTCTTCCTCTCAACCTTTAGCCAGAATGTCAGTTTTTAAGTCCCTACCCTGGCTGGGCTTTGAGGAAAGTGGAAGCCAGATCCTTTAGGTGTTGTGCTAGGAAGGAAAGGATGCAGGAGCATACTTTTTCAGTTAAGCCTGGAGAAACAACTTTCAGACAAAGCTTTCTTTTTGGCCGTCTTTTAGCATAGTTTCAGTTTATCATAACTTTAAATAAGTATAGCTTTTCTTCATCTTTCCCAACATGACTCTCTTATGTCAGAACAGCAGGGGGCACAAAATTATTTCCTGGGAATAGAATGAGGTGGAGACAGTCCCCATCAGGCCACTTTGGAAAACATGAAAAATATTACAAAGCAGAAGAAATAATTTTTAAACCGAGAGTTAGCCACTCTGGTATATTTCCTCCAGTATTTTAAAATTTATTTTATCTCCATAGTTGAGACTGAAATAATACAATTTTGCATTTTCATTTTTTTGCTTGTCATTATTGAGTAAATATTTTCCTATGACATTAAAAATGCTCATAAACATACTTTTAATGACTACATAAGTCCATCATAGTAATGTACCCTCATTTGTTTAACCAGTGCCATACTAGGAGACAGTTGGACTGTTTCCTGTTTCCTGTTCACTGTGTTGTAAATAACAGTGTACACGAAACATTGTGTTTCAGAATATTTCCATATGATATTTTCTTTCTTTTTTCTTTTCTTTTCTTTTTTTTTTTTTTTTTGAGATAGAGTCTTGCTCTGTCTCCCAGGCTAGAATGCAGTGGCACGCCATCTCGGCTCACTGCGAGCTCCGCCTCCCGGCTTCACGCCATTCTCCTGCCAACTACAGGCGCCCGTCACCATGCCCGGCTAATTTTGTTTTTTCATTTTTAGTAGAGACGGGGTTTCACTGTGTTAGCCAGGATGGTCTTGATCTCCTGACCTCGTGATCCACCCGCCTCGGCCTCCCAAAGTGCTGGGATTACAGGCGTGAGCCACCGCACCCAGCCCCATGTGATATTTTCTAAAAGGAGGATTTCTGCCTTGAAGAGTTGGACATTTTTAATGTTCTTGATATATTTGCCAAGTCGAAACTCACATTTTGGTATTTGCGGGTAGTATCTTCATTGTACAGATATTGTGAAATGTTGGTGCAATGCCCCCAAAGGACTGGGTGACCCAAAGTGATGGGGAGGGAGGGTGAGCACTGGGGTGATGGATGAGAGATGTTTTGAGCCTTCTTGAGTGGAAAGTTGATATGGTTTGGCTGTGTCTCCACCCAAGTCTCATTCTGAATTGTAGTTCCCATAATCCCCATGTGTCGTGGGACTGATCAGTGGGAAGTAATTGAACCATGGGGGTGGTTACCTTCATGCTGTTCTCATGACAGTGAGTGAGTTCTTGTGGGATCTGATGGTTTTATAAAGGACTTTCCCCACTTTCTGCTGGGCATTTCATCTTGCTGCCACTCTGTGAAGAAGGACGTGTTTGCTTCCCCTTCCACCATGATTGTAAGTTTCCAGAGGCCTCCTCTGCCATGCTGAACGGTGAGTCAATTAAACTTCTTACCTTTATAATTTACCCAGTCTCAGGTATGTCTTTATTAGCAGTGTGAGAACAGACTAATACAAAAGCACACCCAGATTCTGAGGTTTCCCACAGAAGTGCATTTTAATCCCAGCTAAACGATTTTTCTGAAATTGGCTTCTCAGTTTCCACCACCACAGAGATTTAGTCAAACCAGGCATGTCAGCTCACTTTTACAGTCATTCCGTTTTTCTACCTGAATCATCATTTTTTAAAATTTTTCTTTCTCTCTCTCTCTTTTTTTTAAATACAGAGGGAGTCTCACTACATTGCCCAGGCTGGTCTTGAACTCCAGGGCTTAAGTGATCCTCCTGCCTTGGCCTCCCAAAATGGTGGGATTACAGGTGTGGACCACCATGCCCAACCTTTAATTATATTTTTATCGATAAATAATAATCGCATATATTGATGGAGTACAGTGTGATGCTTTGATACATGTATATATTGTGGATGAGGAAATCTGGCTAATTGACATATCTATTACCTCACATACTTACCATTTCTTTGTGGTGAAAACATTTGAAATTAACTGTTTTAGCAATTTTGGAATATACAATACATTACTATTAACTAGAGGCACCTTGCTGTGCAATAGATCACCAGAATTTATTCCTCCTGTGTAACTGAAATGTTTTACCCTTTACCCATGATTTTATTTTCTCACTCCAACGCTCCTGCTAGCACATTCTTATGCATAATGTAGGGAGATGACAAATAAACAAATATTTAGATTATATAATCTTTTTGTTTTTATGAGATGGTGTCTCACTGTCACCCAGGCCGGAGTGCAGTCGTGCAACCTCAACGCACTGCAGCCTTCTCTTCCTGGGTTCAAGCGATTCTCCTGCCTCAGCCTCCAGAGTAGCTGGGACTGCAGGCATGTAACCACAACGCCTGGCTAATTTTTGTATTTTTGGTAGAGACAGGGTTTCACCATGTTGGCCAGGCTGGTCTTGAACTGCTGACCTCAAGTGATCTGCCCACCTTGACCTTTCAAATTGCTGGGATTACAGGTGTGAAGCACCATGCCCGACCTAGATTATATAATGATGACAGCTGATGATGTTATGGAAGAAAAATCAAAGTGTAGGGATGAAGAAGACTGAGGGTAGTGTTTCATTAGAGTGCTTATGGGAGGCTTCTCAGAGGAGGCAGCATTTGAACGGAGACTTGAGTGAAGTGAGGAAGCAAACCATGTGGACATTTGCTGCAGCATGTTCTGGGCTGAGGCATAGCAGCACAGAGGTGCTGAGGCAGGAGTGGGGTTGGCGGGTTCCAGAAATGTCCAGGAGGCAAGGTGGCTGGAGTGGAGTGAGTAATTCAAGGCAATGTCAGAAAAGTGGGCAGGAGCCAGATCAGTTAGGGCCCTGTTAGGGTTCAGTTAGGGTCGGCCGTGGTGAGGACTTAATCCACACGTGAGGGACAGGCAGGGGGCTCTGAGCGGTGGGGGGATGTGATTCGAATTTTCTTTTATTAGCAGCATGTTAGCTGCTGAATGGAGGCCAGATGGGGAGAAAGGGGGCGGGGAGCAGAGGAGAAACGTAGAGCCCAAAAGGAGATTGTCACCGTGGTCCAGATAAAAGATGACAGTGGCTTATATTACATTATTATGGTGGCAATGGTAAGAGATGATTAGGTTGAGTTATGTGGTGGTGGTTTTGTGTGAGTATGTTTGTGTGCATGAGTGTGTGTGTGTGCGTGTGTGTGTGTGAGAGAGTTTTATGGTATGATTTGCTGCTGCTGCTTCTGCTGTTAGCGAGGGTGTGTGTGTGTGTGAAAGAGAGAGAGAAATGTGGCTCAACTCAGAATTATGTCATAGGAAAAAGTAGGAACGTAGCAACGGTTCAGCCAGGGCTCAGTCAGTCTAGGTAGATTTGATGTTAATGAATCCAGACAAATGAAAAAAGTCATCAAACAGCATCTTCCCCAAAATGCAATATAAATTCAGCAAATGGATAAGCTGATGCTACTTCTGTTTCTACTCAACATGAGGACAATTACAGCTAAACACCTTGGAGAAAGTTATCCAGTGTATAAGTTTTGCTAATTCCATTTCTAAAATAGCTGTAAAGTCTTTGCCTGCTCGTGGTGGGGATAATTAAAACTAATGAAGTGAATTTAGGGGTGCGCATCAGAGACTGAGCAGAGAGAATCTGACGGTGATTACAGACAGGCTGCTGCTGCTTTGAAGGTAATCGTTGAGCGACCCTTCTTCATTTGTATTCATGAAGATAAGGAACCGTTTTTGGGAGGCTGGTAAACATTTCAGAGGAACCATCCACATGTCACATTTTACAATTTAGAATTCTCCATTACAATTCGGGAGTTCTAGGGTTTTAGCTACTGTTTACAAATGACTAAGCATGAGACATTATAAGTCTTCTATTCTCATTCTGAATAATAAATTTAAGAGATGAAAAGCTAGAGATAGGAGGGGCAGAAGGGAGAGAGGAAAAGAAAGAAACACACTCATTTATGTATTTATGGTATATAAATATTTATTGAGTACCTATTATGTACGAGACCCTGTTGTGTGCCAGATTGTGTTCAAGATATAGAAGATACATAAACAAAATAGACAAGGCCTCTCTTCCCACGTCTAGTGGGGAGAAGCAAAAACAGAAAAAATATTAGTTGGTGATAATTCTTGCTATGCAAGAATAAAAACAGAAGATGAGTCAGAGGGAGACTGAGTGGTCAAGTTGTCTCAAAGATTGTGATTTTTAAGTTGAGATCCAGTGATGAGAAGGAAACAGACACCTAAAAATCAAAAAGAGAACATTTGAAGCTAAGTACTTGATGGGGCAAAGGAACAGAGGGAGACCACATGGCTGATGCAGAGTGTGTAAGTTCAGTTTTCAAAACTCACTTTGATATTGCATGGAGTGTGCTGTGGAGGGGCAAGAGTGAGACAGGAAGACCCCTAAGGAGGCTCCAGCAACTGTCCCGTTGAGACAGGGTGATGCCTTGGGCCAGGAGAGTGGTGGAGGAGGTGGAGAGCTGTGAATAGAGTCAGTCACTGGTTTGAAGGTGGGATTGCTGAGTTTTGCTAATGAGAAGAAGAGGAATCAAGATAGCTTGAGAGTTTTTGGTTGACTGGTGGAGAGATGACGGTGCCATGTACCAGGATGGAGAAGAGCTGGGGGAGAAGCAGCATGGGAAGGGTGGTTAGACTTCCTGAGTCTGGGTTTGGGTATCTTAACACTGAGATGCCATTTAGATATTCAAGTGGAGAAATTGAATGCATTTAATTAGAAGTTGAATTAGACATTCAAGTGGAGAAGTTGAAACAGAGATTCATGATGACACAGAGGAATAGAGACTAAGGGAGCAGAGAGGAAGAAGAGTAACAGAGTAGAGATGCTAAGGTCTCTTCTTGCAGCCCTGGGAACTCTTCTTGTCTTCACGTCATAGGACCCCGGATAGAGGATCAAGCTGTCCCCTCAAATTCTCTGTCCTTACGATCCTCAAAAACATTAGTTTCTTCCTACTGAACTCTAGTTCAAACCCTGGCTGTGGCATCATCATACAGACCTGGGTTCAAATTGCAGGATTGCCACTTACTATGTGTAAAATCTTGGGCAACTCATACAATGTATCTGAGCCTTATTTTCTTGATCTTTAAAATGAGAATAATACGACTGGCCTCATGGATTATAGAGATAGTAATAGCGAGACTTTGTGGAGTATTTATCGCATTATACATCTTATTTCATTTTATCCTGAACACAGTCCTAAGAGGTAAGGAATACAATTGCTCCCATTCTACAGATGAAAAAATTGAGGCTCAGAGAGGTTACATGACTGGTTCAAAACACCACATCTACAAGCCAGGAGAGAGAAAGTGACTTCTCCAAGTTTATATCGTTCGTCAGTGCCCACAATGGTATTCAAACTGGGGCAGCTTGGCTTCAGAGCCTGGACTCCATTCCTTCTTTTTTTTTTTTTTTTTTTACCATAGAACTTGACACATAGTAAGTGCCCCAGAAAACGAGAGATGCTTGCTTTTCATTGCTTTTGTTCTTATTACCACATCATATTTTAATACCTATTTACCAGTTTGCTTCCACATTAGGCTCTCGAATTCCTCAAGGGCAGGGACTGTGACTTAGCCACAGCTGTGTCACCCTTGCCTGGCACGAAATGTGGTACTCAGCAGGTGTGCAGTAGATGTTGCTTAAATAGAAAGCACAACTGCAGGACAGGCAGCCAGAATTCCTTTATCTGCAATTCTTCCAGTGAATTCCTTTATTGTAATCCTTCCAATAAAGTATACTTCCTCTGTGTTTGAAAGAAGACACTCTCTTTTCCCAAATGGAAGAAACTTTACCAGTCCACAGGAGATGAGGTAGATGACGGAAGAAATACTTCAGCAAGTTCTTTCACCCTTGAGGTTCACCCTCAGCAAACAGAGTGTCTCATCAAAACAGGAATTAAAGCAATAAGTTGTATCTGGCATCAGCCAAGTGCCCACACAAAGGCTAAACATAGCATAAGGGAAAGAAAAGACTCCATGAGGCAGAACAGGAAACTTCTTCTAATTCATTCTGTTTCCAGCATGTGAGACAGTCAGTGTGTCGTGGGCAAGACAATCAAATTGAAATATGGCCCAGCTAAACACAAGCGCTGTTCACATGGGAAGGTCAAGAAATGCAACGACAAACTTTTCGGGGAGGTAGGCGGAATGAGGTCCTTAAGGGGAGTTCTAATTATCTAGGCTGTGTCCATTTCAGAGCTTGGGGCTGGCCTAAAGAAACACAAAGTCCCCAGGCTCCAGTGAGATGGTTATTTAATAATAAGAGAAATAAATCAGGAGGGGTTTATGATAGCTTTGCCGTCAGTCTGTGCCTCTGAGACTGCAAATCATTTCATATGAAAATGATGAAGTGTGTCAGTCTGCACCCTTGATCTTGGAATGTGAATGTCCATGAGGATTGTGCTGGCTGTGGGGGTCTCAGGGAAGAAGTACGGTGATGCTATGGCAGTCCCCCTTTCCCACATCTCCTGAGATCCCTCGAGCACTGCAGCAAGGAGGTTACTCTTGGTACTTAGGGATGTGGGAGCACAGAGCTGCTGGGGATATGGTGTAAAACTTGGAAGGCTCAGCTGGGTGTGGTGGCTCATTCCTGTAATCCCAGCACTTTGGAAGGCCGAGGCGGGCAGATCACTTGAGGTCAGGAGTTGGAGACCAGCCTGGTCAACATGGTGAAACCCCATCTCTACTAAAAATACAAAAATTAGCTGGATGTGGTGGGACGGCACCTGTCATCCCAGCTACTTGGGAGATT
Source organism: Homo sapiens (assembly GCF_000001405.40). Classification (NCBI taxonomy): domain Eukaryota; kingdom Metazoa; phylum Chordata; class Mammalia; order Primates; family Hominidae; genus Homo; species Homo sapiens. The sequence goes on from NC_000016.10 coordinate 9,485,802, forward strand.
GAGGCATGAGAATAGCTTGAACCGGGAGGCAGAGGTTGCAGTGAGCCAAGATCGTGCCACTGCACTCTAGCCTGGGTGACAAAGTGAGACTCTGTCTGGAAAACAAACAAACAAACTTGGAAGACTCACCACATTCTGAAAGCATTGTCTGTTGGTATAAATCTCCTAACTCCTGAGTGAGCATCTCACCTCTCCTGCTTCATCTACTGCCCCCCTGCAGGGATTGGCTGTGGGAGGGAGAGAGATAGTGGGAACACTCTCAGATGATCTCGGAGTGGACCCCAAGTCCATTGGACCCAGATTCTAAATTTCCCCCATTCCTGCCCCATTCCTCTCTCTGCTTCACCCCATCAACACCACTGACATAAAAACCATTTTATGCTATTGTAGCACTGTAGAATTTCCATGGAGTTTAAAATCTGGTTCAAGCTCCCACCCAGCACAGGAATCTTCCTGCTGTAACCCCCTTGAAGGGGGTATTGTTGTTCTTCTTGACTACTTCTGAAACAGGATTCCCAACCAGAGATGATTTTGCCCCTCAGGAGACACGTGGTGATATCTGGCGACATTTTTGGTTGTCGCGACCTGGGGAGAGTTGCTACTGGCATCTGGTAGGTTGAGACGAGGGGTGCTGCTAATCACCCCACAATGCACAGGGTGACCCGTCGTGACAAGGCATTATCGAGCCCCAAGTGTCAATAGTGCCAAAATTGAGAAGTGCTGCTTTAGAGGTAGGAAGCTCATCACCTATTCTCAGGACGGTGAGCCGTCCTTTATTTTCAGATAATTCTAGTCAGTATAAGAAAGGCAGATGTTTAAGAGGCAGGTGGCTTTGGTACAAACTTACATGGAGAAAGTTGAGATTACAAAATTCTGGGTATTGCCAATGGGACTGAAGAAATTCCTACTAGTGACACCAAAAGGGTTGAAACAAGGTTGCCCAAAGTTATTTCCAATGCAGGTATCCAGATTTCACTGAATGTCTCAGACCACAGTGGGTCCAAGAGTTGGAAGTCTATATCTAAAATCAGAAATGCAGTGGGCATTATAATTTTAAAAAGGTAGACATGGAGAAATGCAGCCCCTCCCTGAAAATGCACAGTGAAAGAAATTGAAAATGAAATGAAATTGAAGTGAAATGACAATCATGGAAAACCAGGATTTTCGAAGTGAGGACTAATGAATAAGAAATAGCAAATGGAAATGAGTTGTATAGTAGCTATAATTACTGATTTATTATGTGCTGACAGTCCCTGATACTCTTTCATTCTATCTCTCGATGCTGTCTTTATTGTTGTGTTTAGGTGAGTGTAAACATGTATAGTAGCTGGATGAGATTCCCTTCTCTATTATTGGCAGACTGGCAGTCTTTAGTAAGACAGAATAAAGAGACTGAGGTTTCATTAGTAGAACAGTGACAACTACATTACACTCAGAGAAAAAGTCAGTATTAACAGGAAAAGGGTGTGTTCTGAAAAATACTATTGTGCAAATTACATTTTTTTTTCTAAAAAGTAAGGGTTGGTTGGCTATAGATCAATGGCCTCTAAACTTTTTTGGTTGTGCACTGAATTAGAATTTTTCGAACATTTCCACGCAATATATATGTTTACTTATTTTTAAGTTGTCAACACATACTATTGTGTTTGTATATTGTGTATCTTATAAAACACATATTAAAATAGACATTAAAAAGATAATGATAACAGATATTTTCTTTATGCACCCCAGTAAATTGTTCTGCCCAACCTCAGCCACTAGTATGAATGCTCACCTCTCAGGAAAAGCAGTTAACATGTGTTGCACCTACTGTGTACAGGCACTGTCCTCACACTTTATGCATGTTAGCTCATTTAACCCTCCTAACAGCCCCAGTAGGGAGAAACAATTGCAATTCCCACTTCACAGATAAACGAATGGAGGCATAGAGAGGTTAAGTAACTTTCCCAGTAACAGATCCAGCTGATCGGTGGGAGATCAGGAATTCAAAACTAATGAGACTGGCTCCAGAATGCCTGTCTTAACCACTGCACTCTGCCATCTCTCACCCGAGGAAAGTGAAGAGCTTGATGCTTTTTCCTACAAAAGAGGAAGGAATCAGAGGTGATGTTCAGGAGCCAAGGGCTGTAAGGAGTTTCTTCATTGATAGAGCCAGACCCTGGCAGAGAAATAGAAAATACCAAGGGTATGAGGGTAAGGAGAGGAGAAAGAGGCAAGAGGCTGGAGAAAGGAAAGACTCCCAGGGACGACTCCCAGGGACGACTCCCAGAGGTGGACCCTGATTAGGTTGAAATGCATTTTGAAGGGAATTATTTGCACTACCTGCTGCACTTCATGAGTGGTCAAGATTCAGTGTTAGGTTTTCTTTCTGGTAATAATTGGACCCATCTTTTGGATGCCAGGCAAGCTGGAGGCGTTACTATGATAAAGCCCTTCATGAGTTTGCTCCTAACCTTGATTCCCTGAGCTTTTTCCCATTTTTCTCCCAAAGTTTAGTGTCCTCTACCACATGCTTACTACAGTGGAGAGCTCCAGAAGCTAAACTTTCAATATAGAGGTGGGAACACTCTTATTTTTTATATGAACTCATACTTTCTGTACAAGCCTTTGCAGATCCTTTCAGCATCTGAGCAATCATATAGCTAGAATTATAGCAGATGAAATCTTAGGGACCCCATGGTCCAACCTATTCCTCCTAGATTAGGACTAGAGAGGGCAAGAGCCTTGGCTGAGGTGTCCTGTGCTGCATGCATTAGTCCTATATCGCTGGTATGCTGGCTAGATCTTTGCATGCTGGCAGGTCAGATTTGAAAAATATTTTTTAGCTTGAGGATTTACAAGGGTGAACTCAGCTCAGTGCCAGTCGGAAGGCAAATTTTTGTTTTCTCTTAAACTATTGAGAAGTATGATTATACTTAAGGTCCCTGCTATGGGCTGGGTTTTGTCCCCGCAAAGTTCATATGTTGAAGCCCTAACCCACAGCACTACAGAATGTAACTTTTTGGAGATAGGGTCTTTAAAGAGACGATTAAGTTAATATCATGGCTGTTGGGGTGGGTTCTAATCCAATGTGACTAGCATCCTTATGAGAAGAGGAAATCTGGACATAGAGATACACCAGGGGTGTGTGTGCACGGAGGAAAGATCATGTGAGGATACAGCAAGAAGATGGCCATCCAGAAGCCAAGGAGAGAGACCTCCTAATGAAACCAATGCTGCGGACACCTTCATCTTGGACTTCCAGCCTCCAAAACTGTTGGAAAATAATTTTCAGTTGTTTAAGCCACCCACTCTGAGGTATTTTGTTATGGCGGCCCTAGCAAACTAATATGGTCCTCTTTACTCCTTATAGTAATGATACTAGTAGCTAATATTTATCTTCAAATGCATTTATCACTTAATCTCCATAAATTGTGTGACGTCAATGAAAGAATTAGCTTCATTTTACACATGAAAAAACTGAGACTAATAGAAGTTAGGATAGAGCTGGGCCTGTTGATGTTCCAAAGCCATGCTCTTACTATGGGGGTTGTTAGAGTAATAATGGGGTCACAGTAGTCAGGAATTCTCAGACAGGGGGATGATGCCACTGTGTCACTTCCTGTTTCACAGGAAGTAGGACAGAGCAATGGAGGGAAGCCAGATTTAATGTCAGAAGTCTGGACCATCAATTTTATCCCTTCCCATTGCCTCCTTTTAAATTTTAGTCAATTCAATAAATATTTTCAACTCCTCGTCTGTACCAGGCACCAAGCCACAGAATGGAGTTCTGGCAATGAACACTGCAGACATGGCCGCCTTTAGCCTCATGGAGCTTAGGGTCTGGGAGCATTGTCAGTTTCTGAATCCTCCAAGTGCTAAACTATCTTCTCTCTTCAAATTAGAGAAAAGAAATGAGACAGCAGGCCTGCTTCTTTGAGTGTTTTTTTCTTTTTTGTTTCCGTTTTCTGACAACCATACTTCACGTCTGACAGAGGAAATGATTCTTTTTGTCAGTGATAAATTTATGAGTTTTGACTGTTTGTGAAGTTCCCTAATTAATTCTTTATAGACTTCTATTGGCAACTGAATTTGTGTTTTGAGTTAAAAATGGGAGTTCAGATGAATTACAGTTGAACATTCTGCTCCCTTTGAAGAGCTCATACTCCACATTCTACGCTGTTAATCTCTCTGCTTACTGAGAGGCACCGTTTGTCTTGCAGTGACGCACGGTGGGTGGTTACCATGGCATAGGAAAACATTGCCAGCGCTGGCCCTGTCGTCATGGAACCCCTGGGCCATCTCCTGAGAAACTTGGTAAGGGCTCCCAAGCCGCCCATACCTCCTTGGCACCACAAGTGTAGCTTTTTATTTTGTGTGTGGGCAGCTTGACATCTGCACCTGACCAAGAGATTGATGTGGCTAAACAAATTTAGGAAATGAGCAGCAGTGGATCTCTGTTCAGAGAGGGAGGAGGAGAGAGAAGGAGGGAGGGAAGAAAGGAGAGAGGGAGAGAGCCAGAAAACAGAGCAAGATAAAGGAAGAGAATGCACCTGAAATAGACACAAGGATAAATGGATCAAGGAGAGAGGAGAAACAGATAATCACAACAGCGAATATTTGTTAAATGCATGCTCTTTGCCAGGTATGATGGTCGGGGCTCTGGCCGCATTATTGTATTTCTTCTTCATGATGACCCTGTGCAGTAGAAACTTTGTTATTTTCCTTACTTTCAAAGTGTAAAAACAAGCTCAGAGAGACTAAATAAATTACCCAAGTTCACACAGTTCTTCAAGTATGGAGCCAGTCTGCAAATTCAGGCAGATGAATTTAGAGGATACACTTTAAATGACTATGGTTGGGAGTCAGAGTGGGTAAGAGAATTATAAAGAAAGAGGTTGAGAGAATTGACACGCACATACACAGAGAGAGAAAGGGAGAGAGAGAGAGAGAGAGAGTGATTTACAGAAAGAGACAGTGTGAGACATGGGAGAGTGAGAAAAATACAAAGAATTTAAAGAAGTGTGTAGAAAGAGTCTGAGATAGTTGACATGCACACAGAGAAAAACAGAGAGGCAGAAACAGACAGACGGAGAGAGAAGACTTTTGCAAAAACAACAGAAAAACAACCCTTCCTTTATGTAAGACTAAAATATCTGAGAAAATAACAGCATGGATTCTGTGATTTTCATGGCAAGGCATTTTTGTTTTACTTAGTTTACATTATCATTCACACTGTGGAAACGCTGAAATGGAAGAAATAATTTGCAGTGGGATACAGCCAGTCTTTGGAGACACAGGTCTCTGAATTCAGAGCTCTGACTCCAGAGCATGTGTGTTTTTCCCGGAGTGTGGTGACGGCAGCATGAAAATTTTCAGGGGTGCGTGATAGGTGAAGGAAGGAAGCAGAAATGGAAGGGCTGAGATCATCTGAGTTTCTTTTACCCTCACAGAGGCCAACCTGAGTTGCACATTTTTCTTGGTCCTTCCTAGTGACATTTTTCAAGGTCCTTCCCTTGGTGATGAGCTCAGGGGAGCATTGACTGCCTGGGAGCCAAGGCTGTTAGCTATATTACACATGGCATCCCATTAACTCCTTACAACAGGCTATGTTTGAGGGATATAATCCTTATTATGTACATAAAGGAAAAGGGCACAGAGAGATTAACTATTTCAAGTTCACACAGCTTGCAGGTGGTAAAACTAGAACTAGAATCCTAGCAACCTATATCAAGAGCCCTTGACCCTAGGCTCACATTGAAGGCAAAATGCTCAGAGTACACAGACCCTGGAGGAGCAGCAGTTTTTCTAGGTATCCTTTACGGCGATCCTTATTTGCAAGGAGACTGTGGAGGGCATGTGCATCTATCATATGAGTAGGTCAAACCTCCATGAGTTTTAGTAAGGAAAACAAGTCTAAATTAGCTTGGACACAAACGCTAGGGGACTTCTAATTCCTTACTACGTGCAACCAGGCAAGGATGATGCCATCAAGAGTTTTATCCACCATCATCTTTGGTGCCAAATGCAACAGATTAGGCATTGCCAAACAGTTTCTGGTTCAGTCCTGCTACACTGAATCTGTAATGCTAGGGCTCAGAGAAGGGCAAGAATCCATCCTCTGTGTGTACTTGACATTGATTTGAGCTGTGATCAGTCAAAAGACCCTTATCACACAGATCAACATGGAATTTGGAAAAACAACAACAACAAGAATATTGGTGACAACAACAACAACGAGTGGGTCCCAAGAGCAGAGCACTAAGCTTAATTAACAGATAAGTACCTACTAGGGAGGAGAGGTGAAGTAGAAGTAAAATGCTTGGGCTGTGGAATAGCACAGACCTATATTTTAGCTTAGTGAACTCTTACAGTTATAAGCTATGTAACCTTAAGAAAATGATCGAACTTCTCTGAAATACAATTGCACTGCAAATCTTGTACTTTCACTATTACATGAAACACAGAAGCTAATTGAAACACAGTTCTTACTCTTGAGTAAAACAGGTAATTATCTACTTAACTATAGATCATTGATGAGATAATTATAGGTAACTATAGATACAGGTAATTGATGAGAACTACATCAGAGCTATCCCCAAAGGTTAGAAAAATTGATCAGGGATAGAGACGTCAGGAAGAGGTTCTAGATGGGACAAGACTTGAGCTGTAATCATCATCACTGTCATCATCGTCACTGTTGACAATATTGTTATAGGACCAACAGATGCATATCCTCACTGCAATTTAACAGACCAATACAGTGACACAGCAGGGTTTACAGCAGAGAAAGGCACTGAGTGAGGAAATTGGAGGAGACTCTGAAATCCATCTCCCCAAGGAGTTCTGGGCTAGGGTTTTTAAGGGGATCATGGAGGGCAAGGGGCTGGAAATTTGGGTCATTGGTTGGTTGGGGTAAGGAGTATGAAATCATCAGGACTTGGAAACCGCATTTCTTGATGAGTCAGTTTCTCATGGAGGCCTTCAGACCAGATGATGTCAATAGTTTCACTGATATGTAGGACCTAAAAGAATATCTCAATTGAAAAACTGAATATTTTATAATGTTCAAGTTATTATCTCTAGAGCAGTTAAGGGGAACTATAATCTTATAAGAGGGTGCGCATGATTCTAAAACAATAGACACCAAACAGCTATGAGCGAGCAAGCTGACCTAATGATGAATGCTGCGTGTACTGCAAACTTGGTTTGTTTTTGTTTTTCTCCCTTTCTTCTTTACTGATAGACTTTTATGCAGTATATAGGGACAATTTCAACATTAACTATCATCTTTTGAATATTAGTGGTGAGCCAGGATGCCACTATAGGATCCACGCATTCTACATTTACTTCTCAGAGTCACCCTGAATTATTTATCTCAGGTTACAGAAGAGGAGCCTAAAGCTAGCTTCAAGATGTATCTGGCACATGGCTGGTACTTGCTTAAGGTCACGGAGCTAGGAAAGAGCTGAGATTCAGGCTCATATCCACCTGACTGCAAGTTCAGGTAGACCTCAGAAAAGATACTTATTTATGGCTTTACTCTCTAGCTGAATTTCTAAAATGTTGTTTGTAAGTCTTTTCCCTTTAAAATTGAACTACATTTTATTATGGGCTTCTGTTATAATTTCAGGGATAATAAATCGTCATCACTGATCTCTTCCATTGCCCCCAGCTTTTCTAACCTCAGTTTATGTTATTTACGGTCACAGCGTTCTCTCAGTCACTCTGCCAAGTAGCTAATGGTGTATAAACACATGCTTAAGTCCACCCAGGAATGTTGTTGCTAGACTTCCCTTTGGTAGATTGAAAATTTCTATTGTTCTGAGAGTACAGGTCCCTGCATTTTCAGAAGAGCATGTCTGTCTATCGAAGCTGCATTTAATTGACATCAACACGTTGCTGCTGCTCTGCTGAATAATATTTTCCTGATTCCAATGGAGACGTCCCTCTGCATTAGTTATTAAGAATCTTTTGCCTTTCAATAACAAAGCTCATTTTGACTCAGCTTGGTCAAGAAGCAATTTATTGGAAGGATATTGTTGGAAGGATATTGTTGGAAGGATATTGCGTTTTAGAGAATCCAAGGAAATGCTGAACAACCAGTTCTAAAAATTGGGGTGGGCTCAGCGAGGGTAAAGGGAAATGGGCTACTCCAGGGGCCTATGGGAAAGGAGCTTATGGCTCATTCATCTTTAATTCTACAGCAAAATTCCTAAAGGTGAGTTAGGTGAGTTTCTTCTCTGTATCCACCAGCAATTTGTACTTAGTCATATGCTGAAGCCTGATTTGCACCCGTTAGCAAAACCAATTATTAAATTTTCAGAAATTTTGTGAATTAGTTGTTATACCATTGGTAACGTCAAACTAACCACAGTGGGACTATTTACACCAAAGGCAATGGAAAATGTTACAAACTGGTGCTTTATTTTTTTCTTTCTTAGAGAGCTGGTTTACAAGCACACCTCCACTATAGAATATACATGCTTTAACCATCCAAAGTCATGTTTAAGAATATGAACTTCGAATCAGACTGTGGATTTGATGTCTAGCTCCACTACTTCCTTGCTCCGTGATATTGCAAGTTCCCTAGACTGTCTGAGCCTCAACTTCCTCACCTGTGAGATAAAGATAATCGTTCTAAAAACAAAGAGAGTTTGTTGTGAGGATTCATTGACATTCATTGACTTAATCCAGGGTGTTTGGCCAATAGAAAGTACTCTATACAGGTTAGCTATTTTCTTTTTTTCTTTGTTGTCATGCTAAGTCTTTATTTATTTATTTATTTGTTTTAGTATTTTTTTTTTCAGTAGGTTTTTGGGAAACAGGTAGTGTTTGGTTACATGTATAAGTTCTTTAGTGGTGATCGCTGAGATTGTGGTGCACCCATCACCCGAACAGTATATACTGCACCCAATGTGTAGTCTTTGATCTCTCATTCCCCTCAGGTTAGCTATTCTTCATACTGATGAGCAATTGTTCATCTATTTGTTGACTATTTTCTGGAGCCTCAGTATCTGCACAGTTCTTGGCACTAGTAAGCACTAATGTTTTGATTAAGGAAGGAAGGAAAAAAGAGACAAAAGAAGGAGAGTGGGACCATGGAAATACACCCGTTTTCGCTCACTGGTATGTCCCCAGCATCCAGAACTTTGTCTGACACATGGCTGGTACTCAGTGAATATTTTTTTTTTTTGCATGAATTAATAGGTACATAAACCCTAAATTCTCTTTTGGACCACTTTGTTATATTCTTCTCTCCAGTGTCAAACTAACGTCTTCCTCTCATGTAAATTTCATTCCATATTCATGTTTCCACTCTTTAAATAACAGTGATCAGGTCATCTCTGGCCTTTACATGATGATTTTAAAAATATTTTATGTAAGATACTGTATCTCTTCATGTTTTTATTTCTCTGGGATGAGATTTCCAAAGGGTCAATGCAGAGGGTGTGTGGTGGTTAATTTTTTATGTCAATTCACTGTGCTAAGGGATGCCTAGATAGCTGGTAAAACACTATTTCTGAGTGTGTCCCAGAGGGTGTTTCTGCAAGAGGTTAGCATCTGAATCAGTAAACGGAGTAAAGAACACTTGCCCTGAATGATGTGATGGGCACCATTCAGTCCAATGAGGGTACTGATAGAGCAAAAAGGCAGAGGAAGGGTGAATTCTCTCTCTCTTCTTGAGCTGGGACATCCATCTTCTCCTACTCTTGGACATCAGAGCTCCTGGTTCTTGGGCCTTCAGACTCAGACTCACACCAACAGCCCCCTCCTGGTTCTCGGCCCTTCAGACTTGGACTGAATTTTCTAGCTTGCAGATGGACGATCGTGGGACTTCTTGGCTTCCATAATTGTGTGAGACAATTCCCATAATAAATCTCCTTTTATATCTCTCTGTATTGTATTGGTTTTGTTTCTCTGGAGAGTCCTGGCTAATACAGGGGGAAAGGAAGAGTCTTTTAGGTTCAGAGTTAGTGATGGTGTCCTAATTCATGGCCCCGTAGACCTGGGCTTCGAATCTTTTATTTTATTTAGCCTTTATTTTTTAAAAAATTCTTATTTCAAGTTCAGGGGTACATGTGCAGGTTTGTTACATAGGTAAACTTGTGTCATGGGTTGTTGTTTTTTTTTATATACAGATTATTTCATCACCCAGGTATTAAGCCTAGTACCCCTTAGTTCTTCTTCCTGATCCTCTCCCTCCTCCTCCTCCTCCCTCTTTGGCAGGCTCTGGTGTGGGTTGTTCCCCTTTATGTGTGCATGCGTTCTTATCATTCACTTCCCACTTAGAAGTGAGAACATGTGGTATTTGGTTTTCTGTTCCTGCATTAGTTTGCTAAGGATAATGGCCTCTAGCTCCACGGGCTTCCAATGCTACATCTCTGGATACTTAGCTCTTATATTTTCCCATGTGCATCGTTTTTCCCAAAGCCCTCTCATGGAGCCAAGGTGAACCAGCCTATAGAGGTTTCTGATCCTAGCCACTCTCAGTGCCTGGAACCAGACCTACAACCACTCCATCCTCTGTATCCCAGCAAGAAGAGCTAAGGAGTAGTTCTTGACAAAGCTTTATAGGGGAGATTTCACATAAATTAATTGATTAGAAACCAGAAAGGATGAGAGTAAGATAATAAATGTGAGGCTCATGGGGTGTAAGGTTGCCAGCTCTCAGACTTTGATAAGCCAATACCTTTCCTTTTTATAGAGTTGTTCTCCAAGGGTTCCTTAGAAACTTTGAAAAGGCCGAGACAGAGCAGTTTCACGATACCCTTGAGAGCTTTAATATCCTCATTGAGTCTCTGCAGAGAACCTCTTGATAGCTTAGATAGTGTCTTAAAGAACATTTTGAGTCAGGCTTACATGGATTTAGAAGCCACTTCCCTATACAAGCACAACATCGGGAGGATTTGGGGTCATTCTCAGCAGAGTCATATTTTCTTTATGTCATCCATGGTGGACAGAACCATTCCTAATGGTTTCTATTCTTCCGGGGCCAGGAGAAGCATCTGGTTTTGAAGATCCCATTTAAAAAAAAGTCTTTTATAAACCAGGAAGCAAACTAGGTCCTTATCAGGGCCATAAAATAGTACAGACAGAAAGAATAGTGAAGATTATTAGAGACATTCTGAAGTCATTAGAATGGAACAAAAGGAAAGTCTGTCTCCAGACCTCTGTGACTTCAAATGAATCCCTGTTTTATTTAAAAGATTCTAATCCCTAATTAGAAAATTAGATGATTTCTAATCCCTAGTGGAGTGTACTCACCAGATGCCTCCAGGTGGGCTAGAAACATCTACTCCTATTGTTTTATGTGTCTAGTTACAGGAACCCTATGAAGTTAATATTACTGTCTCCATCTTACAGATCAGGAAATTGAGGCACATAGAGTTTAAGTAACTTTTCAAGGACATAGAGCACGCACATGGCAGAATTTGAACCCAGGCTTGTGTCTGACTCTAAAATCCATGTTCTTACCCCTCTTCCTGGTTGTTTTTATGTAATCTATACATCACCCATGTCCTGGAGAATTCTTGTTTGATGAAGACCTAGTGGCAGAATCTATAAAAAAAATTAAGTATCCTTTGCATTCAGAATATTAAACTCCAGTGAATCCTCTTGGTGCTTGTGGCTAATTTTTTTTTTTTTTTTTTATGAAGGGGATTGCTGGGGATAATTGAGAAACAAAGATCTGTGGCATTGTACAAAACTAAGCTGGTCTGATGACCTTATGGGAAATGGTGGTGTTTTGGTGTTAAGCCCTAGGCTTTCTAGAAGTGTTTTCCAGGGAAGCCATCTTCGCTTTCCAGAATGCAACCTGGGTCACAAAAGCTGCTCAGATGTGTTTCTGCCCAGCATTAGAGATGGCAAAACGGTCGAGCATATTTGCTTGAGTGTTGACAGAGCTTTTGGGGGTGCGCCAGGATGGAAGAAAAGCTGCCTGACAGGGACAAGATGGAATCATTCATCTTTGCCTTCTGGGTGGGGAACTGAGTTGAAGAGAAAGACTGGGGAAAGCCTCTGCTTGCTTAGGAGCAGAACGAGCACACAGTTAATGCTCATTATGTTAACTAAGCTTAGAACTTCTATACTAACTATATAAGAGCTGCACATCTTCCACATAGCCCAGTGAGATGGATCCCCGATGCTGCCTGTGCTGGCCTGGAGCTACATTGGCTAATTGAAGCACATCTTGCTGTGTGTCTCTGGAGGGGAAATCGTCTGCAAATACTACATTGGTCTAGACTTTCCATCCTGCTGCTAATATTTATTCCTGAGTTGTTTGCTAGAAACAATCAGCCTAAGGAGGGAGGATTTTTTTTTTTTTCCAAAAAAGAACTCATGGGCAATTAGTGAGGCTATAAAGTTAATGTCAGCCTGAACGAATTTTCTGGACATTGTATCTAGCATTTACTGTGTTAGGTTATGTAAGCCCAGCTGTAGAATTCAAACCCAAACATGAGTTTGTGTGTGCATGTACATCAAACTTTAGGGATGGAAAGTGAAACAGTCTCTGCCTTAGCTAGTTCATCTGTTGCTTTTGCTATCTTAAGATTTCCTGGGATTTACTTATTTATTGATACACTGCCTTGTTCCAAAATGGACTGGAAGCCACTCGGATGCACTGGAAACTGCTTGCACCAGCCTTCAAAAACCAATTGTTACATCATTAGGAATTTTGTGAGTCAGTTTTAAAATCATCCCTAGTTTCAAATCAGCTATAGTGAGAGTATTTACACTGTGGGAATTGGCAAACGCTACACATTAGGGCTTTTACCTTTTCCTTGGAGAGGTGGTTCACCAGTGCAGCCCAACTGGAGAATCCTGCATTAACTATCCAGAGTCATTCTTAAGAATATGAGCTGTGAAATCAGACTCTTGGGGATTTGATATCTAGCTTTGGGGATAGCCAAAAAATGGGCTTTGGGGTTTACGTCTGCTGCTGTCATTTAGTAGCCACATGACCTTAGGCCAAGCCTTGCTAAGGCTCAGTTTCTTCAACTGCTAAGTGGGTATAGAGACTTCATAGGGCTATCCTGAGGTTGGAATAAAGTAAGTGCCCAGAGCTGCTTCTTGGTGTCAGGTTCAGCTCCTAGGTCTCGAAGAATTCCCAAAGAGCATCCGGATCTTGAAAGATGGCTGCTGTGTTGAGAAGGATTTACAGATCATACCCAAGGGTGTCAGGAACAGAGTTACCATTGATTAGCAATGTGTACCATAAATATGGGTGTCTTAGTCTGTTCTCATGCTGCTAATAAAGACATACCCCAAAACTGGGCAATTTCTAAAGGAAAAAGGTTTAATGGACTCACAATTTCACATGGCTGGGGAGACCTCGCAATCGTGGGGGAAAGCAAAGGAGAAGCAAAGGTGCCCGTCTTCCATGGTGGCAAGCAAAGAGCTTGTGCAGGGGAACTCCCCTTTATAAAACCATCAGATCTTGTGAGACTTAGTCACTACCACGAGAACAGTATGGGGGAACCACCCCCATGATTCAATTATCTCCACCTGGTCCTGCCCTTGAGACACAGGGATTATTACAATTCAAGGTGAGATTTGGATGGAGACATAGCCAAGCCATATCAATGGGTGTGAAATGTGTGAGAAGGAATGGTCTGGGACATGGACAGAGACATGGCAATAATAACTAACATTTAGCAAGCTCTTTTGATGTGCCAGACACTCTTCTAAATGATTTACAACATATAATATTAACTTGGTTAATTTTTCTAAGAACCCAATTAGCCAGTGGTTCGAAGTCAAGGGTGATTCCCACCTCCCTCCACCCCAGATATTTGGCAATTTCTGGAGACTTTTTTGGTTGACATGACTGGGGGTGGGTGGATAAGTGCTATTGACACCCAATGAATAGGCACTAGGGATACTGCTAAACAAATTACAATGCATAGGACAGGCCCCCCGAAAACAAGTATTATCTGGCTCCAAGTGTCAATAGTGCCAAGATTGAGAAACTCTGTAATAAAGTATCAAATACTATTATCTCCATTATATTGATGGGGCAACTGAGGCATAGAGAAGCTGAAGCGCTTTCTCTAGGTTATTCAAGCAGCAAATTACTGGTACTGGATTCAGACTGGTAGTGCATTCTCTTATCTACTACACAGCTTCTTGTATTAAGAAAGATGTCAGGGAGGAGGTAGAGGAAGAACAGGAATTCAGAGCAATATTTGGGAAATAAAGGGCAGTTGCAGCTACAGTGAGTTATTTCATCTTATTTCATTTTGCTTTGCTTGTACTGAAAGTGAGCTTTCCCTCCTTCTTTCCCTCCCCTAGGCTGGATGCTCTGACCCCTGCTGTGAGAGTTCAATCCCCTCTCAAATTTCATCTGGCATCGGGGTCCTCCTTCCAGCTGCTTCCTACTCTCTGCCCTCCCTCACTGCTGGCAGGTTGGGCCTGCCAGTATGATTTGCTCTGACATGCTGCTGTTGTCTACTTTGTCTGGGAAAGGGAAGGTGAAAGTTGCTACAGTTTCATGGATTCAAAATATCATTCTTGCTCTTCCTAATGAGGAAGGCAGGGCTGATGCCAGCTCTGGTGCCACTTGTAAAACTACAGCACTCAGGAGTAGCTCCTACTGGCCTCCAGTGCTCCTCAGTGGTAGTGTGGCTGGCTGTCAAGTGCCAAGTGGGTGAGGCAGCTGGCACCTTCAGAAACAGGGAGTGGGAGCCAGCCATTTCTGAGGGATGCTGTGAAACTCTGAGCCCTTGCTCTGGCCTGGGCTGCTGGGTGAACAGGGATTTATGAACAGTTTGATGTTTTCATTATGAATAGATGAGGATGAGGAAGAATGGTGTAAAAATTAAGCTGTGGAATCAGACTGCTTTGAAAGCTGTGTGATAGTTACCAAGGTGCCATGCCTCTCTGAGCCTCACATCTCACCTGTAAAATGGAGAGGGTTGTGAGGATTACAACTTATTAGATACAGACACGAACCTAGACATTGCCAAGATCTGAGAGGGCAGATAGTTTCCTTTCTTATGAATGAAACCAACTTCATTCTTTTCATAATAGCTGCTATGTTGGGGAGGATTCAGAGATCAGACCCAGGTTCATCAGGAGAGTGCCTAACTGATTAGTGATGTCTGTCATGGATGTAGGCATGGGGAGGGGAGGCTGATGCTTGATTGATTAGCGATGTCTGTCATGGATGTAGGTATGGGGAGGAGAGGCCTATGCTTGATTGATTAATGATGTCTGCTATGGATTTAGGCATGAGGAGGGGAGGTATGTGCATGACTGATTAGTGATGTCTGTCATGGATGTAGGCATAAGGGGTGGCTTGTTGTCTGATTAGTGATGTCTGTCACAGATGTAAGAATGGGGAGGGGAGGCATGTGCCTCATTGATTAGTGATGTCTGTCGTGGTTATAGGCATGGGAAGGGGAGGCAGGGGCAACCTGCTCTTTCCTCCCTAGGCTTGGCTGCATAGTAAATAGTCAGTGGAAACTGTATTTTTATTGCTGGTTATTTAAGTCACTGTTAAGTCAAAGTAAGAAATATTTCTTTGTTTGAAGGAGGCTAGAAATAAGTGAAGAAAGAAAAGTGGCTGATTTCTTTTAAATTGGTGGTTCCTAGTGCTCAAATGACTGTGCTGTCGAGGGGCTTTAACATGTTTTGAAAGCAGGTGATTGGAAGCCAAATGATTGGCTACAATTATCTCCATTGCTGATGCTTATTCTTGCTGCACAGGTTGGAATAAATGCAGATGCTGCAAATTGATGGAGGCCTGGTGTCTTCCAGAGTGGAGGTAAAGGCTGGCTGAGGAATCAGTGAGGCCAGGAAGAGGGCTCAGCTGAGCAACTGATCAAAGTGAGCTTCTTCTGTCAACAATTGATTTATGGGGAAGAGAGTTAAGATTAAGAGGAAAAAGTGAAAAATGCCTATAGTTACTGAATCTGAATTGGTTTTGTCTGCATTCCAGGCATCCCTCTTCAGGAAGGAGCTTCCTGTGTTTTCTCTGGGAACTCACCTGTTTTCCACTCCAGGTATGGGCCCCTGACTCAGGCAGGACTGGCAACAGAGATAGGTTAAAGGTGGTCACATGATTAAAGTCAATCAGAATTAGGTCCAGGAATTTTTCTGAAACTACTTGAAAAATAGTTATTTTCTTTTCATCAGCTTTGCTAAACTACAGCTATATCAGCGTAGAGTTGCTGAAGGCCATTTCTGTTAGTATGAGGGAGAGCCCACCTGAAAATGAAGCCAAAATAGAGCCAAGTGCAGATGGGAGATGGCAGGAAGCAGATCCCTGAGAACATAATTTGAGCATCTAGATCCAGCCATGCCTGCAGCTAATAACACCTGGGCTTTTGTGCATTTTTTGCCATGAGCAATTTATGATGAATTTTTTGGTCACTGAAAAAGGAGAGTCCTAATGGGTAGGTAATACCATATTCATGGTCAAAACAGTATTTTCTCAAAGTCAAATAAACTTTATTACATTTCTTACATTTGCTGGGAGGAAGAAGGTGAAAATTCGTGACAAATAAACAAAACTGAGGATAATTCTAGCATGAGAATGATAACTTCTGTAAACTGGATATCTGTTACTGAATAGGCTGGGGTCAGGAGATTTTTGGGGTGGGGGGGTTATCACTGGTTTTAACAATAACCTCACAGTGTGGTTGCTGTTTTACAACTGAAGAAATGAAGAATTACAGAATAAATTTCTTAGCAGAGAAAAAGAAAAGTATATAAATGAAGAATTAGTGTGTCATGCCCAAGATATGACAGCTGGTTAGGTTATCGGGCTTGGATTTGAGTCCAGGTCTGTCTGATGCTAGGACCCATGCTGTAATTACATGGTGTCTGGCTCCTTGGCAAACATGATAAGATGGAAGAGGAAGAGCAGAATCTGGGCTTACTATGAGCCAGGCACAGTGTTGGATGCCACACATGTATTATCTCTTGAGCAAAGTTGCACTCAGGCCACAGAGACTGAGGAAACAAAAGATTAAGAAAAGACAAATTTCACACCTGTAATCCCAGCACTTTAAGAGGCCGAGGCAGGTGGATCACAAGGTCAAGAGTTTGAGACCAGCCTGGCCATCCTAGTGAAACTTCGTCTCTACTAAAAAATACAAAGGTTAGCCAGGGGTGGTGGCGGGCACCCGTAGTCCCAGCTACTCAGGAGGCTGAGGCAGGAGAATTGCTTGAACCCAGGAGACGGAGGTTGCAGTGAGCCAAGATTGAGCCACTGCACTCCAGCCTGGGTGAAAGAGTGGGTCTCCATCTCAAAAAAAAAAAAAAAAAGAAAAAGAAAAATTAGTACAGAGGAAGCAGCAAAGCTGCTCACCCTGATGCATGGAGCTCCTTTTGCAACTTATATTAAAATAATTGATCAAATGCATATTATCAGCTGCTGGAATATACAGTGATAATGGCTGTCTCTACTTCACCACTTAATCTTGAGCCACCAAAGGGAGCTCCAAGGAAATCGATGGAGGATATTATTGCATGTTGTCACTCAAGCCATTCCTGTAGAGACTGAGGGGGAGGTGGGACAGGTAGTCACATTTCAAGCACATTTCAATATCAGTGGAGCAACTATCAACGTGCCAGAACTACTGATAATCTCCTGAGGTGCAGGCTGGCTAGAAAAACTCTGTTTTGTACTCTAGAAAGAGTCTGTCTCAGCAGTCACTCAAGATATATCCTTGACGATTAACATGCCACTCTTTAGTGTGCTGTTTGTCCTGGGCTTGAATGAAAGCTGGCATTTCTTCCTTGAGACCTTCATTAAGTACAAAGTAGTAGTCTTAAACTGCATGCAGGGACATTTTCACCTTTAACATCATCAATATTTAAAAATGTTTAACAATGAGAACATATCTGGCTCAATTAATCTCTTCAATTTCTATTTCTCACCTCTCTGTAGATTTAATTCAGAAGAGGGCTGCTGCTGCTGCTGACAGTAACGAACTATTAAGCACACTCACACTGCACTCTAAACCTTGCTAGGTCATCCATATACATTATTGCCTCATCTCTCAGGACCTTTGTTTATATATGTCCCTTGGCCTGGGCCTCCCTTGTCACTCCACTTCCTTCTAATTTCCCTTCCTCTGCATTTTCAGTGAATTTGTTTCTGTTCCTTCAAATTCCAGCCTGTTCTTCCCAGGTGAGCTCTTCTATTACACACTTTCTTAGTTCCTGGTTTTTCTCTTACAGACAGCCATGATCACCAGACATTCTAGCAGTATATCATTTTGTAATTACACAATTGCAATTATGTACATATTTTTATAATTGCTCATATGGTTACTTGACTAATGTCTAACCCTCCTCTTTAGGAGGTAAATTCCATGAGAATAAACATTTTGTGTTTTTTTTTTACTATTTTATTTCTAGGGCTTATCAAAGAGGCTGACACCTAGTAAGTTCTCTGTAAATATTTTACAACAGCCCTATGAAATAATCAGATATTAGTAGCCAAATATTAGAGATGTGGAAACTGAAGCCCCCAAAGTGTTAAATATTCTGCCAGGACCTGAATCCAGGCTGTTTCACACAAACTCTGCCTTAATTGTTATGCTATTCTGATGCCTTCTAGAAGTTGGTTTTCTCTTTAGCAGGGTTCAAAGAGATAAATGAGGATTGATGGTCCTGGAGAACTATTTAAATACATCTGAAAGTGTAATGCTTTTTCTCAGGTCTAATGATCATTATAGTATTAGGAGACTTTTCCTTTTATAATTCAAAGTCTGAACTCCTTAGATTAGTAACAAGACACTTCATAATTTAGTCCAGATTTCTCAAACTGACAGTTCACCAGAATCAACTGGAGATATTTAAAAAAATACAAAAGAAATTATGTCTGAGTTTTACCACGAATATATTCTGATTTAATTCGTCTTGGGTGGAAACAGGGCATTTTTATTTTTCTTAATGCTCCCCAGGTGATTCTAGTCTTCAGCAACCTCACCAGCCTCCTCTCCTGACCTGCCTGCCTCTACATTCACTTTTCCATTTTCCTTTCAACCTCTCTCCCGCCTACAAATAGTTTCCTTTTTTTTTTTTCCTTTTCTTTTCAAGACAGAGTCTTGCTTTGTCACCGAGGCTGGAGTGCGGTGGTGCAGTCTCAGCTTACCACAGCTTCCTCCTCCGAAGTTCAAGGGATTCTCCTGCCTCAGCCTTCCAAGTAGCTGGGATTACAGGCGCATGCCAACACGCCCAGCTAATTTTTGTATTTTTAGTAGAGATGGGGTTTCACCATGTTGGCCAGGCTGGTATCGAACTCCTGACCTTGGGATCTGCCCGCCTCAGCCTCCCAAAGTGCTGGGATTACAGGCGTGAGCCACCATGCCCGGCCTCCTACTAGTAGTTTCCTAAGAAGCTGTGTTTGCTTTTTCTCCCTCCATGGCTGCTAGTTTTCTCTCACAGTGTCCCCATGAACTCTCTGTGCCTATTTTCTTCATGGCACTCATCATACTGTATTTTTTTAAATTTAAATTTGGAGAAGAGGAGACTTTACTTATTATAAAGAGTTAGGGCCTGCAGAGTGGCCATTCTGACTGGCTGGGAAACATAGCCTCTAGCCAGAAGCCAGAAACAAACACTTCAAGGAAGGAGCAAAGGGAACAGGAATTGATGCCAAGTAGGATGGCCAAATAAACATATTCAATAAGCTGTAGAAGGAGTCATTCATGTTTATGAAAGGAGAAATGTGCACATAGGCAATTGAGCTTCTTGCTTCTCCATGTTCAAAACATGGCGGCAATCTGAAGGTGGAGTTTTGGCCCTCTGATGTCAGAAGATGAAACAAAGTCCATGAAAACCCTTACTGTGCATTCTCTGTAGACTGGCCAGGAAGTGCTACACACTTTTAAACAACCAGATCTCATGAGAACCCATTCACTCTCCCAAGAACAGCAAGGGGGATGTCCACCTCCATGATTCAATCACCTCTTACTAGGCCCTTCCTTCAACACATGGGGATTACAATTTTACATGAGATTTGGGTGGAGACACAGAGCCAAACCATAACAGGGTATAACAAGTGTGTCTGACCTTCCCATCCTATCATGGCTGATAACTCAGTTTTCAAATGGGGTCTCCTTGTCCAAGAGAAGATACACTCAGTTAGTTGAGGAGCTTAGAATTTTATTTTTAGTTCCTATTCTCCCCCTTTTGTCCAAGATCTGCCGGAGGCAGCATCAATGACTAAACTTCTATTTTCTTCCCTATCTTTGTGGGGTAGTGTGGCTGCTTGCCCTGGGTCCATCTTGTTCTTCAATGAGACTCCTATGGCCAAGGGAATTAGAGCCAAAGACTTACGGCCAATTAAACTTTCTACGACAGGCAGGAATGGAGGTGGGCAGAAACCCATCAACTCTTAAAACCTTTTAAGCAACATAAGAGCAAAAAAAACAAAGCCAAAAAGCCAGATTATGGAATTGACATATCCATAAATTCTATGTGTTGAGCTACTGTAATCTTGGTTTTAGTAACAGACTTGTAGTAATTAGGTATATGAAACATAAGCATTTTGCTAAAACCATTTAAGCTAAGGAATGTAGAGTTTTTTGTTGTGCCACGATGCATTTTACAGTCTCTTTAGCAATTTTTCCTAAGGTGGCCAAATTTTTAAAAATCATATCTCTATTTGCATAAACCCTATAACTGGGAACAACTGGTGACGAGAAGACTCTGTCACCAGGTATCTTAATATCCTGTTGGTAATTCTCTTTTAAGTTTATGGGAAATTTGTAGTTGGCATGGATGAAAATGGGCCACATAATGACCCAGGAGGCAAAGTACTTGAGTCTATTAGCTCTTTAGGCATCTGTGTGTCTGTCCTTGATTTGGAGGGTCTGAAGTAATTCTGTCCTTCAAAACCAACCCTTACAATGTCACCTGCCCACCTCTTCTGCAATAGCCCATGGTCCTAGAGAGAGGCACATTATATTTTAACCCAACACTTTATTATTCCAATTAAATGTTCTTAGTGTTGCCCAAGTGGACTGTGATCTACTTGAGGTCATGGTCTGGGTCTTATCCAATGTCGTACCCAAAAATGTCTACTATATAACAAATATTTGACACATGATAAGAAAAAGGAGTTGGTGATTTAATAAATAAATAAAATGTAAGGATGATTTTACACATTTTATATTTCTTACCATTTTCCCATTTGAAGTACATTTTCCAGAAGTCAAGAAATATCCTTATGTCCACTGAGACAAAAGATTTTAGTAAAGCAGCTCTGTCTAATCATTCAGTCAAACATGAGCCTCAATGCTAAGATCATCATCAATTTTTGGAAAGACTATTTTGGACTATGTGAAATTTTAAGAAGTACCTAACCTGGAGACATAATCAAGTCCAGTGGTTCTCGAACCAGCTGCCTATTGGAGTCATCTGGCAATGAGAGTGGTTACCATCTAACCAACTGGCATATACATTCACTGTAAGCCTACTATGTAGCATGGACTAAGAAATTTACTGTATTGTATAAGTTAACAGAGGAATTTCTCATTGTATAAACTCAGAAGTTCATTGTGTTCTGAGCTCTGAATATAACCTCTCCTCCTTTTTCTTACTTATCACGCATCATTCCACAGACTCATCCTAAAAACTGCAAATCACTCTCTTTGCAAAAGTTGGGGCAAACCCCATCACTATAAAATACTGTATTTTCTATTTTTTTCCTAATTGAGTATATCTCATCTCCTTATGGTAAGCCTATTCATTATGCCTTTTAATAAAGACCAAGAAAGAGAATAATAACTTTTTAAATTGACTTTTTCAATTACCATTTGGCATGCATGTTTTCATGCTGTTGTTTTGAGGATAAAAATGTTGATAGTGGAAATATATTATTGATTCCTGCCTGTTCTTCAGGCTCATGCACTATTGATTAAAGCCCTTCACAGCCTCAACCTTTGCTCCTGCATCCCAAGAGAGCAAATTTGTAGAGCTCCCAAGAACTAAAACTCTGGCTTGGAGATTTTGATATTTGGTGAGCCAGGAAGACTGGAGAAGATTAGAAAGTTCTTATCAGTAAATATGAGAGGCCTCAGTTGGGAGATGGAAGGAGAGCAGATTGAGCTGATGGTAAGGTCTTGGATACTAATGCAGTTAACTCCAGTTCAAAGATTGCCATTTTTTTTTCCTGCATGCATTTCTGTATATGGCTCTGGAGTGGTGGTGTGGATGCACAACTTAGCCCTCTCTGTTGCAAGTGGCAGAAACTCCACTCCAGCCAGCATAGGCAAAGCAATGGGGGCTTTCTTAGCTTAAGTGACTAGGGATAGCAGAGGTAGAGTAATTGGCTTTAGGGACAACTGGATCTGGAAATTTGAAGACACTTATCACTCTTCATTTTCTCCTTTCTTCTGTATTTTGATTTCACTTTCCATTTGAAATACATTTTCCAAAAACAGGTAGGCTTCTCCTAGTGGGCATTCTTCTTTCACAAGACTTTTAGATTCAATCCCTTCCTCTTCTTTCTTGTAATTGTATCCCTCACTCAAATCCCCAGGACCTCATGACTTATTGATTACATGAGCTTTTAAATTGGTGGCTTTGGGCCCAATTTCTTCCCCTTGCAAGATCACGTAGAAAGAACAATGCGAGGCTCAAGTTCTGGCATTGCTCACTAGTAGCTCTGAACTACTAAGAACCATTTAACCTCAGTGAGTTTTAGTTCTCCTCTCTGTCTTTGTCCACTTTATATGGCTCAGATGAGGATCAAATGGGAACACGTGTGTTGTAGACAGTACGTGGTGATGAAAACAAGGTGACTTTCTCACCCCTCCCAACAACTAGCCTGGATATTAGAAAAGAGTCAGCAAACCATGAAATTAATACACAATGGGTCAGGGTTAAGATAGAAAAAACAAATGAGCTCAAGTTCCTAGGCTGAGAGAGACTTAGTTGTAGTTGTTCATAGCTAAAGACAATGTGGTCTATAAAAAGAAGCACTGGTCAGGAAGAAACATGTGAAATAAAGAGTGTCCGAGAGATAATAAATTGTAGCACTGCTAATTCAGGGTAGAGTGTGTCTTTGTTGATGGACTTTGAGTATTAGGGCCCTGTGGGAAGGCTCTTATGGTGTGCAAATGGATGCAGTCAGTCTATCAGAGCCTGATCCCGTTACACATGGGGAATAATCCAATGGACCCATCCATGCTTGTTAATACTCAGTCCTGGTGAGGCTGAGATACAAGGAGTCTCACTTTCATGGGTAGCTGGTATGCAAGCACTGGTACATCTTTTCTGGAGGGACAATTTGCAGTGTGTATCAAGAGACTTGAAATGTTCATGCTTATGACCCAATGATGCCACTGCTGGGAATATGGTCACAAATGGGTGATACAGTTTTATATAGGGAATATTAATCACAGGGTCATTTGTAATAGCAAAAGGTTGACCATAGGGGAATAAGTAAATTTTTTGACCATAGGAGAATGAGTAAATTTTTTGGCCATAGGGGAATGAGTAAATTCATCATGGGGCCATCGTAAGAACAAATAATATTAATTTGGAGGATACAAAATGGCATGAGGAAATACTCATAAGTTACATCATCTAAAGATACCTTGCATAATTTTCGTCTAAAAACCCAAGTAGCCGTAATGTCAAGTGAGTAGGAGTAAGATATAGTACTTTGATATAATGTGATCCAAGATTTAATAGGTGACTTTCACTGTGGGTATTTAAACTGTTTGGTTCTGAAGATGACCCTCACCCAGGGCCAGATGCAGTGTGTTTGTGGACGTGTGTATGTGTAAAAATGGAAGGAAACAATAACTTATAAAAGTGAGTCAGATGTTTCCTGTTTTCTTGCCTTATGATCTCAGGCAGATTATCTAACAATACTGAGTCTCTGCTTTTTGTGTTTTAAATCTAAAATAGGGCTAGTAATACCTTCTCTCCAAGGTATCTAAGAATGGAATGAAATCGTGTATTTTTGAGTAACACAGTCCTTACAGATGTGGGTTCTGGAGTCAGACTATCTGGGTTGAAATTCTACCCCCACCACTTATTAGCCGTGGGATCTTAGAGAGGTGACATCACTTCTCTGTGGTGGATTGCTGCAGTAATGGCCTCAATACATCCAGACTTCTCTCTGCCCACACTCCTGGAAAGTACTTTTCTGCAATGTCTATGGAATGAGTCATGTGACTTGCTTTGCCAATGGGACAATGGCAAATGTGATGCAATGGAGACTGGAGAGGTGCTGTGCACTTGTCCCCTTGCTGCTTTGGGACCCTACTGCCATGTGAAGAAGCTCAGGTGAGCTGGCTGGAGGTGGAGAGAGACAGGTGTCTTGTCCTTGAGCCAACAGCCTATCCACAAGCTGAACACAGTTGCATGAGAGAGCCTGACTGAGATCAGCTGAGCTGGCCCCAGATCAGGAAAAACCCTCAATGGATTCACAGAATCATGAGTTAAATAAATGCTTGATTCTTTAAAATGTTATTTTAATTGACAAAAAGTAATTGTATATATTTATGGGGTATAATGTGATATTTTGATATGTGTATACATTATGGAATACTTAAGCTAATTAACATATCCACCACCTCATACTTATCCATTTTTTTTGTGGTGAGAACATTTTAAATCTACTCTTTTCACAATTTTGAAATATACAATACATTATTATTAACTATAGTCACCATGTTGTGCAATAGATCTTTAAAACGTATTCCTCCTGTCTAACTGAAATTTGTGCCCTTAGAGAGAGGAACAGTGATTGCCAGAGGCTAGGAGGCTGGGGTGGGAAATGGGGAAATGCTTGATTTGTTTTGAGCCACTATAGTCTGGGGGTGTTTGTTACTCGGAATAGATAACTGATACACTGTCTATGCCCCATTTTTTCTCATATAAAAAATGGCACCTACTCTACAAGATCGCTGTTAGAGTTAAATGAGATAGTATGTGCACAGTACCTAGAAGAGGGCTGACACATGGTGCATAAAATATTCTACCATGGCATGAAGCACGTAGTGTTTGGGGTGTTTAGTAGGCACTCAATGAGTGTTAATTATTTCCCTCTTCTCTAGAATGTGCTCATTGATGAATTGAACAGAAGTTCCAGTTAACGAGGAGGTGGAGGTTGCAGTGATCCAAGATCACTCCATTGTACTCATGTCTAAGCAATAAGCGTGAAACTCCGTCTCAAAAAAAAAAAAAAAAAAGTTCAAGTTAAATCACAGACTGATTTTCTACTAAGAGAAATCCATGGGATTTCCACCAACTATGTTTAACTCAATCTGAAAGTGTCCCTCGTCTTCTGGCAAGACCCTTGAATCAAGCTGTTGAAGAGACTCTGGTGTGATCAATGCCCACCCAGCTCTTTCTGATCCCACCCTCAGAGACAGCTGAATGATTTGTGTACAATCACTTTGAACATCTGGGCAGGAGGACTCTGAGATGCACAAGGGGACATGTTTGTCTTTTTCTAAAAGCTAAGTTGTTCTGGGAGGGCATTGACAATGAGCAAGAAAGATATTTTTCAACAACAGAAGATAAGGCAAGATACCTATCTCAAGTTTAGGGGTAGTTGATAGGCAAGATGCACAGTTCTCTTTGTCTGAGCATGTCTTGGTGTAGGCAGAGGGAAAGAATGACCACTGAGAAGACCTGACAGATGCGTAACTACTTGGCTAGCACACAAGGGAAAATTTACAACATCTTCTGTTTATTTGGTGGTTGTAAAATCCCCCGTTTCAGTGATTTAGAGTCATTGTTTTGCCGAGAGGTTCTTTTTTCCAGTCAGGTATGATGAAGTCTCCCAAGGAAAAAAAGATTGTTCATAAACCTGGCCTACAAAGGGCGGTGTGAGGAAGAGGACAAAAGCCACCGTCCTCCCTCATGAAAGATGGTCTCTGATCAAATTCAGCTGGACAGCTGGGAGGGCAAAGAGCCTGGAGGTTAAGAGCATTTTCTTCGAAGTCTGCCAAATCTGCATTGGAGGGCTGGCTCTGCCCTTCACTGGCTTTATGACCTTGGGCGAATTATTTAACAATTCTAAGCCTTAGTCTCCACCTTTGTAGAGTGGGGAAAGCAGTCATTTCAGTCAACCTGGATGTTGTGAAGACGAAATAAGATAAAAAATGAGAAGTGTTTAGCATGGCTCCTAACAAAGAGTTAGTGCTCAATAAATGACATCTAATGCTATTGCTATTATATCAAACAACTATTGCTTGTCTATGGTATACCAGCCCTGTGCTAGACATTGAGGGATGAAAAACAGAAATAAGGTGCAACATTTGTCTTAGGAGGTTGGCAAACTTTCTATAAAGGGTCAGAGAGCAAATATTGTAGGCTTTGTGTACCCAAAGTTTTCTGTTACAACTACTTCACTCTGCCATTGCAGGAGAAAAGCAGCCTTAAACAATAAAGAAATGAGCATGGCTGTATTTCAGTAAAACTTGATTTATAAAAGCAGGTGGTAGGCTAGATTTGTCCTGTTCACTGTAGTTTGTGTCAACCCCTGTCCTAGCGAATTGCACAGTTGGGAGTGTCTCTGGCTATACCTCATGGAAAATCTTACTACATGAAGTCTTGATAGGCAGATACTGGTGTTGGTTCGGTGGACCAAAGATGTCAACCAGCATTTTCATGGTTCTCTCTGTATTTCTTTCATGCTTGTCAACCTAATCACATCCACGTTAAAGGTAAGAAGAAGGAGAGAAGGGGTAGGGCCAATGGAGGAATACTGTTTTGTTAAGAGAGAAAAGACTTTCTTGAGACCTCTTTGTAGATTTCTGCTTGTGCCTCAGTAGCTGAGCTGTGTTATGTGGTCACTCCTAGCTGCAATGGAAGCTGCGGGGGAGAACATTTGTCATCTGTGTCGTTTATAGTGTAAATGAGCAGAAAAGAAGGGGATGAGAATGAGTGCTAGGTCAGATAACCATAGTATCTGTCACACCATTAAGTAATGTTACACTATTGAAAGAGACACACATGGAGAATTACAATACAGAGTGCTAAATAATTTCATATACACCCACAAATGTAATAGGGACTGAAAAGGGAAAATTTAATTCCCTGTTAGAGTTCAGAATATCATTACAATGCATTCATTATTAAGGCTATTTGAGCATGGAAATGCAGGTGTGTAAATACAGACTAACACACTTGACAAGCAAAATGAATCATAGAAAGATTTGAGAATTATCATGGTGGATCAATTACTGCTTAAAAGTATCCACTCTCTCCCTCCCACCTTCATGCTCGCTGCTCACTAGACTGATGGGACCAATGTTGAGTTTGACCATGTGGCTTGCTGACATCATGATAGGCTATGTGCACTTTTCTGCTTCTTGACTTTGGACTCAGCATGTGGCTTGGCCAATGAGATCGTAGCCGTAATGATGTAAGCAGAGAAGCTTGAAATGCATTTGGAAGAGGCGCTTCCTTTCAGTCACTGCTGGACCTTCCACTTGGGCTCCAGAATGGACACACCTGGAGCAGATTTGCACCAAACCTACAGTGAGCAGCCAAGCCCAGCTGGTCCCAGGCTGGAATACAAGCTGCTCGGCTGAGCTTAGCTAACTCCCATCCAACCTAACAGAAACATGAGTGAGAATAAATGATTGTTATTTTAAATTACTGAGTTCAGGATGGCTTGTTACACAGCAATAGCTAACTGATACAAACACATACTGTAAAAGTGCATGTGTTCAAAACCCACAAATTCAGAACCTATGTTGACAGGATGGGTTATTCATTTTTAAATAAAATATGATAAATTTCAACACAATGTAGTATGTTTAAAAATGCAAGTGAAGACAAAATATGGAGCTATAATAAGGGAGAGGACTATTGATTCTATGGAGGAAGGGAGGAAGAACTAGCAGGGACATAAGGCTTCTTGGAGGAGAGGAGCATCTGAATTGCCATTTTAAAGTTCAGTAGAAGATCACCGACAGAGAGAAATAGGGAGAGAGTGGGAACAGAAGGATTAATATTATGTACAGTTTCGAGGCAAAAAGGGGCACACTAAATGTGGGGAACCATTAGCAATTCAATATTACCAGAAGGTTAGTGGTGAGGGACAATGTGTCTAAAATCTCTTGAGAGGGTCTGCTATGCGAGGCCAAGGCACTTTTCTTTTGCCTAACCATAAGGACAATGGAGAGCAATGTAGATCACTGGCATGTTTTAATGTATTCAAATTAGTAATAATTCTATTGGTAACAGCTAACATTTATTGAGTGCTTACTAGGTGCAAAACACTGGGTCACGTATATGTATTCTTCACAACACTAAAAGACAGGTATTATTATTATTCCCATTTAACAGATGAGGAAACTGAGGCCTAGAGAGGTAAAACAACTTGTCCAAAGTCACAGAGTAACTGTCAGAGTGAGGATTTGACCAAAACTGCTCAACTCCGGATTCTTCCTCCCCAACCACTGCTGTTCCTGATTCTCTATATAGCAGATTGAGGAGTTGGCCAAGTCACTCAGGAAATTATTCAACAAACATATTGGAACGCATATTCCTAATGTTACAATTTCAACATACTTTATAGACTCTTGTTACATGGAAGTCACTGCGCCAGTCAATGAAGACTTCAAGTATGAAGAGGACTTGATCTTTGCCGTTAAGAAATTTGAGTGACAGAAAATCAATGCTTAGTGCCAACAACTTTTGTCTGTTCATTAAAGTAGGTTCTATGAGGCAGTGGCTCTATGAGGCAGTGGCTCCTGAGCTTGGCTCTGGGTCAAAGTACCTGAGTAACGGAGTTAAAAAAATTTTTTTTAATACAAAGCTTCCAGGTACCATCCCAGATCAACTGGAAAAAGATCTCTAGGGTGGGGATCTTGGAAACCCCTCTCCCTTCCTCTCTCCTGTTCTTTCTCTCTCTTTCTTTGCACTTCCTAGGTCATTCCATAGTCTCTGTGAAAGTGATATTATCCCTGTTGGTCCTCCTCAGACTCTCCAAGATATGCAGAGCTTTGGGCCAGGATCCTACAGCCACGGGTCATGCAGAGCCAGTTGGCCACATCCTTTGGGGTGAGTGATGCCTAGAAGCTAATTATAATTCCAAAAGGTCTCCACTGAATTCTAAGAACTGCCCATCTGTACCCTCTTTCCTGGACTTTATTTCTTTGAAGACATCCACTTGCCTTAGGCCACTGTAAAATTTACGTTGTAACCTTCAGTGTAATACTCTTCCCAGACTCATTTGTGGCATCTTCAGCCATTTCGAGTCAAAAGTGTTCACCAGAGGAGCGATAGTGGCAGAAGTTACATCTATAGTGAAATGAACAAATAGACTGAGCTGTACTCAAATTGAGGTTTACCAAAGCTTGTTGGCCAATGGAGAACCAGCTCTCTCTGGAAGGGAGTGAGAGATAGTCACTCTGCCATTCTCTGGTTGAACATAGAGAGGGGAAAAAAATCACTTGTGCACACTTTCTGTTCAGGACTGTAGTGGGCGTGAAAGTATATTCTTTTTTTAATACTGAAACATTTCTGGTGTAAGAAGCTTTGTAATCAATCAGTATTGTCTAAGATAGTTCTAAATGAGGCAAGTCAGTCCATAAAAATAAATTGTGTTTTCTTAAGAACGGTCTTAACTCACCTGTCAGTTTAGATAAACCTCTGCTCAAAAAGTTGAAGTTGAGAAAATTTTCCTGTTATTTTACCAGCTTTGTGATTGTAGATACTGTAGTGGGCTGACTGGGGTTCCCCTGCTCCCCTTCCAAATATGTCCATGAGCTAATTCCTTGAATCTGGAACCCCTGAATAGGACTTTATTTGAAAAAAAGTGTCTTTGCAGATGTCGTGCAATTCAGGATTGTGAGAGGGAGTTTATTCTGCATCCTAGACCATTTTGTGATGATATAACAGAATACTTGAGACTGGGTAATTTATAAGGAATAGAGATTTATTTCTTACAGTTCTCAGACTTCTCAAAGTCCGAAGTTGAGAGGCCCACATCTGCTGAGGTTATTTTTGCTGTGTTATCCCATGGCAAAAAGAAGAAGAGCAAGAGAGTATGAGAGACAGACAGAGAGAGAAAGGAAAGAGAACTGAACTCATCCTTTTTATTAGGAACCCACTTTCTTGATAATAACTAACTCACTCCTGTGATAATTGCATTAATTCATCCATGAGGACAGAGCCCTCATAAACTCATCATCTCTTAAACGTCCTCTTTCTCAACACTGCTGCATTGGGGATTGAGTTTCCAACACATGAACTTTGGGGGACATGTTCAAACCATAGTATCCTGAATTTTCTGGGTGGTACCTAAATCTAATAATCGGTGTCCTTGTAAGAGTGAGGCAGAGGGAGATTAGACACACAGAAAGAGATCATGTGACCACGGAGGCAGAGATTGGAGTAATGTAGCCACAAGCCAAGGAACTCTGACGGCTTCCAGAAGCCAGAAAAGGTAAAGAATGGATTATTCCCTAGAGCCCCTGGAGGAAGTGTGGCCTTGCCAACACCTCAATTCTGGCTTCCAGGACTATGAGGAGACAAATTTCCTGTTGTTTTAAGCCACCCAGTCTGTAGTAATGTGTTATAGTCGTCGCAAAAGACAAATAGAAGAACTAAAGTTTTTCTCTCATGTACAGACCAGAAAGGGCTGATTTTAGACAAATAAAGCATGTTTGGGAAATCTTGGCGGGGAGTGGGGACCCACCTGTGGGGGTGATCAGTGCTTGTTGGCTAGGGTTCTGAGCCTCAATGGCTGGAGTGGGCCCCCACGTGGGGTGCAGGCTCATTAGCTCTTCTGGGCTCCCCCTTTTTTGTAGCCATCAATTTTGGAGCCCTGGGAGCATTTTTGCTGCTTTCTCAAATAGGAATGCAAGTAAGGCAATTTGATTTTGCCTTGATATTTACATCCACAGTTAGGCCTGATTTCTGCTGATGCAATGAAAAAACCTCTGAACTCACATCTGTATCCATGGGAGGACGGTTTTAGCTCAGGTCCAACTGTGTGAGCCTGTACTCAGTAAAGTTTAACACAACTTTGCTGAATGTCTATTCTATTCCAGTCCCCGTACTGAGCCCTGGGGCTACCAAGGTGAGTAAGTCACTGTTTCCCAACCTCAAGAACTCACAATCCAGTGACTGGAATAATAATTCAGTGTAATATGGTACATTTTAAGCACTTTTGTGGATATATGGTATGTAGGTAATTGCACTTGTGGTTGTGTATGTGTGTCTGTGTGCCCATGTGCGTGTGTACTTGTTAATGTGGTAGTGCATATCTGCTTGTTTGTGTATGAATGTGTGCCCACTTGGTGTGCAGATGTATGTGTGTTTGGTTTTGTCCACACAAGTGTGTCTATATCTATGTACAATTTGCATGTGCATTTTCAAGGTTGAATGTTTTATTTATCTTTAAGAAAGGTTTTGCAGTCTGCCCAAAAGTGATTGCATTTCTTTTTTTTTTTTCCTTTAGCCAAATTTGGTCCTAACCAGGTCTTACCACGGTAACTGCTAACCAGTCCATCTTCAGTTAATATTTCATGCGTAAGATGTTTCATGAAGTAACTGAATGGGCTAATGGGTTGTTCACTGGATAAGACTCCCAGATACTCCCTTTCATGCCATTCCCCAGAATTCCTTCACCTCCCAGTGCTGTCTGTAAGGGTGAAGATACTCCATTTTGCCCCATGCTCTTTGCTGTGCCCCAGATAGGCTCAAACATTTTTCCCTTTTGGGGATTTTGCAGGTAGGAATTGTTGAACATCTTACCATTTAATCCAGAAGTTATGTCCTTTAAGGAATCGACCCTGAGCCTGTGAGTTTTACTTTGGGTTGGGGGTGAAGGAGTGGACCTTGCAGCATTCAAGGTCATCCAAGATCATCCAGTTAAGGCCCCTAAGGTCACTACGGGGGGAAAAGCCTGGTGAGGGAAGAGAAAGCATTAGGGGGAGCTGCACCGTGCTGAGAAATAACACCACACAGAAGTCTGTGTTCTAATCTCAGCTCTGCTTTGCATTACTGTGTGACCTGGAGCTGATCACAGCCCTCTGAGTCTTAAAGGGGTTGGACAAGGCCAACTAAACATTAGAAACACCTGAAAGTGCTGGTTAAAAGGAAGAATGCATGAGCTTCACTCCAGATTTACTATATCAGAATTTCCAGGGTCAGGGTCCAAGAATCTGCATGTTTAATACGCTTTCCACATGATTTTTCCCCCCTCTGGACTTAAGAAAACAATGGGCAAGTCAGCTCATGAAGAACTTTTCAGATATTCAGACTATTATTCTGAGAGAGAAAATATTGGCAGAGAACAGATGGGATTTTTCTCAAGGAAAAGAAATGGAAATCCTACATCTTGCAAGAAATAGAAAAAAATAAATAAACTGTTTGAAGAAGAATCACATCAGGCTGGCAGGAGAGAGCCTGCGGCTCGGTGTCTGACCCAGAATGTTAAAGCCAGCCTGGCTTGGCTCCAGGATAAAGGACACTCTGTCAGCCTCTCCACATTGATTCATCTCCCCAGCCCCAAGATCAGGAGAGCATTCTGTTCCTTGAAGCATTTTATGACTGTAAGTCAGAAGTGCTGCAGTTTTAATAAAAAGCTGTATTGTCCTGATCTTGTGCAATATACTGAACTATCATTTTCCAACTGTTGGCTTGCATACTGGTTTGTGTGAGTAAGCCCGTCCATCCACATCACTAAAAGATAGTAGTAGTAACAACAATGACATTTATTGAGCATTTATCATATGCCAGATGCTAGGTCTAGCCTTTTATAGGAATTAACCCTATTAATCCTTGCAGCAATTCTTTGAGATAGATGCGATTGTTTTCCCCATTTCAAGGATAAGAAAGCTGAGGCCCAGAGAGGTTAAGCAACTTGACCAAGGTGACACAGCATAGGGCCCCTGCTAGCCTGTAAGAGCCTGTGTGCAAATTGAAACTGGTGTCCCCTTTTGAATTAGAACAAGATGCCCTTTCTGGCAGATACAGCTATACCAGCATACAACTTGGCAAGTGGTTTTCATAGTTATACAAGGAAGAAGCAGCCCCTTCCTCCAGATTGGCTTGCATAGCTTAGCAAATACAAGGCAATCTGTATTTCAGCTCCAACTCATCTCCTTAAATGGTGGGAGGGAAATGTATGCAGTGCAAAACCTGCAAAACCATACCAAGTAGCTCTACTACCACTACTAGGTGATGCGGCTGGGATTTTATCCTAAGCGGTCTGACTCCAGAACCTACATTCTGCCCATAACTAATTACATTCCTTGGCAATATGTAAAAATAATACATACTTTTCTTTCTTTTTATAAAAGAAAGATGTATGAGAGCCCACTGAGTGATCAGATGGGAGTACTCATAGCTCAGTCCCGGGTGATGGATCACTCAGCAGCACACTGCTGGCTGCTAGAGAGTTTTTGATTATTGTCATTTAAAATTATTTTTTTCTCAATCACATATTTTCAAAGGCATACCCACAATGGACTGTTGGTTTAAAATTGGGTAGAAAAGGAATCCTGAAGTTGAACTACACATCACAGAGAAGCATGATAATTGTTCAAAAGAGGCTCAAGATAGTCCTTCCCCATTTCCATAGACAGTGTCCTTCTGATCAGAATTCTTATTTGGTGCATCTGGCATTCCAAAATGAAAGTTAAAAAGATAAACTTGTTAAGACCTCTTGAAACTCAACAGTAAAGAAACAAAAACTCCAATTAAAAAATAGGCAAAAGACATGCAGAGATATTTCACCTAAGAGGATGTACAGATGGCATATAAGCACATGACAAAATGCTAACATCATAAGACAGTGGGAAAATGCAAATTAAAACCATAATGATATTTCACTACACACTTGTCAGAATGGCTAAAATAAAAAATAGTGATAACATCAAATGCTGGTAAGGATGCAGAGAAACTGGATGGCTCATATGTTGCCAATGGGAATGCAAAATGGATTGGAAAATAGCTTGGCACTTTCTTATAAATGAAACATATGCTCACCATAGAACCCTGCCAGTGTAACATAAGCAATTGTTACATAGAAATAAGAACTTAGGTGTATAGAAAAGCCTGTCCACCAGTGTTCCTAGAAGCTTTATTTATGATATTCCCAAACCGGAAACAACTCAAGTGTTCGTCAATGAATGAATGACTGGGTGACTAACGGACTGTGGTACATCCATAGCATGGAATATTACTCCACAATAAAAACGAAGGAACTGTGGAAATGCTCAGCAAATTAAATGGATCACTAGAGGATAAAGTTGAGTGAAAAAAAGCCAGTCTCAAAAGGTTCCATATTGTATGGCTCCATTTATATAATATTCTTGAAATAAAATTATAGAGGTGGAAAACAGATTGGGGATTGGCAGGGGGCGGGGATCACAGGCAGCTATAGAGGGAGAACACTAGGGAGACTTGTGGTGAAGAAGCAATGCTGGGTTTCGATTGTAGTCGTCATTAAGCAAATCTACACACGTGATGAAATTACACAGAAACACAGGAACACATGCAAATGAGTGCATATAAAATAGGCGAAACCTGTATAGGCTCTGTGGATTGCATCAATGTCAGTTTCTTGGCTAAGAATTGTGCTAAGTTTATGCAAGATGCTTGTGGGAGAAACTAGGCGAAGGATGCCTGGATATCTATCTGTCTGTCTGTCTGTCTATCTATCTATCTATCTATCTATCTATCTATCTATCTATCTATCTATGTGTCAATCTATCTGTCATCTATCTGTCTGACTGTTTTTCTTTTCCTTTTTCTCTTTTTTTGAGACGGAGTCTTGCTCTATCGCCCAGGCTGGAGTGCAGTGGTGCAATCTTGGCTCGCTGCAACCTCTGCCTCCTGGGTTCAAGCAATTCTTTTGCCTCAGCCTCCTGAGTAGCTGGGATTACAGGTGCCCACCACCACACCTGGCTAATTTTTGTATTTTTAGTAGAGACGGGGTTTCACCATCTTGGCCAGGCTGGTCTTGAACTCCTGACCTTGTGATCCATTGGCCTAAGCCTCCCAAAGTGCTGGGATTACAGGCGTGAGCCACTGTGCCCAGCTATCTATCTATCTATCTATCTATCTATCTATCTATCTATCTATCTGTCTATCATCATCTGACTATCTATCATCTGTCTATCTGTCTATCTATCTATCTATCTATCTATATCATCTATCTGTCTAACTGTTTATCTATCTGTTAACATCTATCTATATTTGGTTATTTCCCATTAACCTATAACTATGTCAGAATACAAAAATTTAAAAATACAATTATTTTAAAATAAATGTTTATGTATTATTAGGCTACAAGGAATTTGTAATGCAATATACAAATTGTGCAAATACTGTAATAATAATAACAAATAATGTTGGGAAGTGAGAAAAAGGGAAATTGTAATCACAATTTTATCTGATTCAGTTTTCCATATGCTAAGAACAAATATGGTCCACACCCAAATGTGGGAAGAGGGGTCCAAGTCCTTGTCTCATGTCTCTTTGTTTAGAAATGACACCTGTGCTGGAGAAATCCTCACACATATGCATAAGAAAACATGTATGAAGATGCTAGTAGCTACACAGTTTACAGGAGTGAAAAATCGGGAGCAAACTAAATGTCCATCAACCTTTTATGGGGTTCCAATTTGTGGACTACTAGGTAGCAGTTAGAAAGGATAAAGAAGATATTCGTATATGTGCATAAGCTTATATATGAGCTTGTGTGTAAGCATGTGGAAGACCTCTTTGAGTGAAATAGAAGCATTATATTTTTGAGTAAACAAAAGTAATTTACAAAATAATACGTTCTTCTTTGCCACTGTATGATGAAAGAAAAAAAACCCTGAAATAATACATTCTACATGTAAAGATATGCATATATAATTGTATATTTTTATATAATACAGCATTATATATGCATAGTTTTTATATAAGAAAAAGAGGAAAGACACACAAATATGTATATGTTTTTGTAAATGAAGAGGAAAATGATGTAGAAGGATGTACTCCAAACTGACAGTACATGTGCAATGATTTGGTTAACTGCTTCCCAAGTATTGAGCTACCCGCCTTACCAACTATGTTATTCAGTCCTTAGAACAACCCAGGAAGTAAGCACTGCTACTGTAAAATTCCATTTTCCAATATGGCATCATAAGTTGGGAAGTAGCTTCTGTAAAATTCCATTTTCCAATATGGCGTCATAAGCTGGGAAGTAGCTTGCCCAAGGCCACAGGTCTGAGCTGGGAGTTTACTCCATCTGTCTGATTTCCAAGCCAGTGCAAAGATCTCTCCATGCTGACCTTGGATTCTTCCATTGAATCCACCAGGAATGATCAGTCCAGGCATCTGAGAGAAAATGACTCATTGCTGGAGACTGTGGCTAACAGTAAAGCAGAGCTGAAAGAATGGCCCCAGTGGAGGAGCTAAGTGGGAGTCAGGCCTGCGAGCCTCCAAGGCCTTCCTTTCACTGTGAACTTAGCTCAAGGCTATTATACATCAGGCGACTGTCTGCTCAGTGAAAGCAAATGACAGCACAGAGCTATCACTGTCTAGCTTCCCTGCTGTGGCTGTGACATTGATGATAATCCCTTAGCGGGGAGACGGAACCCCATTCATCTCCTCTCTGAAGCATGGCTCTCCCGATGGAAGGGAAGTGTCTGGTGATGGGAAGAAGACAGTTTGGAGGGAGGCAAAAAAGGAGAGGTCTCTGCTGAATGCTGCAGTGGAAGTGGCACCCACTCCTAACCTGGGAATTAGGTGGGAACATGTGTGTGGGAGAGGAAAGGAAACTAACACTGGCTGGGTGCCCCTCCCACATTGTGAGCACAAACTCAGCCATTATTTTTCTCTACGGTTGAGGAGCCAGAACATCAAAGAGCTTAGGTGATTTTGATTTTTAAATTAAAATAACAAAACCTTGCACTTTTCTTTTTTATCTCAGCGTCACTATCTCCTCACATGGAAGCCTTCCCAGATCTCTCTGCCCCGGGACATGTTTCTCTGTGATAGGCTTTCTCGGCATTGTGGACTCTTTGTTGCACTTTCCCCACCTGGAATGATAATTGAATAATTAGCAATGCAGCTTGTGATTTGATCTCTTTTTCCCTCTCTGGAATGTGAGCTTCACGAAGGCAGAGGCCAAGTTTGTGCCAATTAGCAAGTCTGTGTTATCCAACACACTGCATGTAGCAGGTGCCCAAAAAACATGGATACATGCATTGCATATTAAAAATAAAACAAAGTTTTCACGGTATTACAGCTATAATGAATATAATAGAATATTTAGTGATTCAGGATCTTGCTGCATTTATTCACTTAACTCCTTTTTATCTTATTTATCTCCTAAGATATACATGGTTCTTGGGAATACGGCATGACAAAGCAGACATCATTCTTCAAAGATAAAGTCTTCAAAGATAAAGCTCTCTGTCCAGGGTGGAAAGGCCTCACAATGGAGCTTTGTGAGCCAAAACCTGATACAAATGTTGTACAAGGGGCTGGGCACAGTAACTCGTGCCTGTAATCCCAGCACTTTGGGAGGCTGAGGCGGGCAGATTACCTGAGCTCAGGAGTTCGGACCAGCCTGGCCAACAGGGCGAAACCCCATCTCTACTAAAAATACAAAAGATTAGCTGGGCATGCTGGTGCATGCCTGTAGTCCCAGCTACTGAGGCAGGAGAATTGCTTGAACCCGGGAGGTGGAGGTTGCAGTGAGCTGAGAGATTGCACCATTGCACTCCAGCCTTGGGCAACAGAGCAAGACTCCATCTCAAAAAAAAAAAAAAAAAAAAAGTTGTACAAGGTAGGTCTATTGGTCGCTGAGGCTGGCGCCGGGATCAGCATCCATTTGTAGCCATTCTAAAGGCTTCCAGGGAAGCCAGGTGTATATTCTACTACTCTCTTGATACCTAATTATCAGGATATTTCACTAGCACCTCAAAGTCCCCTTCAAGGGATCCTGTCTGGCACCATGAAAAAATCCTCAAGTTGAACTCAGAAAAGAATTGGGTTTCTGTCCAGCCTCCCCATCTTAGTGCTACGTGACCTTGGGGAAGTCACTCAGAACCTCTAAGCCTTACTTTTTTCATTAGGAAGGAGTTGATTCCCACTTCACAGAGTTTTTGTGATGATTGGCTAAGATAATACCCATTATGCACTGCGTGGTGAGCCCATGAGACCTGCTCTGTAGAACTGGGATTGCCTTCTCCTCTCTTTTCTCATTGTGTTCTCCCATTAAGGGCCCTTGTGCATTTTTGGGCCTCAGGGAAAACCTTGGGCATTCTGTTGCCTCCAAGGCAGATAAGTAAACTCAACTCTAACGAAACTTCTGGGATTTCTAATAGAATTCATTCCTTGATCAACACTCGCTTCGGCTTGGAGAAACCGACAAACCCAATACATTAATCTGGCTGTTATTCTACTTTCTCCACCCCAAGGAGACCACTTTTTCCTTAAAGATAAAGAATCGCTTTGCAACTTGAATACTTGAATGCGTACAAACGGTGTTTGCCTCCCTCCCTCCCTCTCTCCGTTCCTCCCCACCTTCCTTCATTCCTCCCTCCCTCCCTCCCCTCCCTCCCTTCCTCCCCACCTTCCTTCATTCCTCCCTCCCTTCCTCCCTTCCTTCCTTCCTTTTCCTTCCTTCCTTCCATTCCTTCCTCTCCTCCTTTTTATTGTCTCTCTCTGAGCTTGTTCCTTATATTCTGGCTTTACATTATCTTCATAATCATCATCATTACCATTGTCATCATCATCATTTGCCTTTCCATTAGATACATTTTTCAGGGAGTTGCATGACCTGACTTAATACTCTTTTCAAAAGGCTCATCCAGATGAACCTGCTGGTGCATTTTAAATTTCCTCCCTTTGTATTCCTAAGTGTTTATAAGAAGAAAACAAGTTACCGCTAAGAAGAAAAAGAAAAGAAGAATATGCCTTTTACAGACTCATGGACAGAAAAGCCTACTTGGCCTCTCCCCTGGGATGTCTGACAGGCATCTCAAGACCAGAGGGCCCCAAACTATACCACTGTATACCTGCTTTCCTGTATCCTTTCCATCTTTGATGGTAAGCTGTCATTCCAGTTGCTTGGACTCATTCTCGATTTCACTGTTTCTTTCTACCCATATCCAGTCTATCAGCTGTTGGCTCTACTTTGAAACATACCCAGAATCCAACCAGTTTTCACTATTTCCACCACTCCCACTGTGTTTTCATCCACCATTATCTGCCATCCATTCCTACAAATTCTCCCAAATGGTTTCCCTCCTTCTTTCTCAGCCTTCCCCTTTGTGGTCTGTTTTCAACACAGCAACCTGAGCATAAGTCAAATCACATCTTCCTTAATATCTTTCCTTTGCATAAAACCTTTTAATGTTGCCCCGATTCACTCAGTGTAAAAATCTAGTTTCTTACAACATCTGGCACCTCATTCTCACCTTGACCCCATTTCCCAGTCTCTCCCACTCATCTTCTCTGCTCCAACCGCACTGGCTTCCTTGTTATTCCTCGAACGTACCAGATATGCTTTCACTGTAAGACCTTGGCCAGACTGTCTGGAATGCTCTTCCTCCAAGTACCACTTGGCTCACTCCTTCCTCCCTCAGGTTGCTGTGCAAATGTCATCTTCTGAATGAAATCCACCTCACTACCCTGTTTCATATTGCAAACTGCCTCTGTGGCTGGCACTGCTTATCACCCACATCCTGCTGCACCTCTTCTTGCTTCTACAGCACTTATCCCACTACTAAGTGATTGATTTATTTACCTATGATGTGATTGTCAACTGTGTGTCTCCCCCTGCTAGAATGTAAGCTTTCCAAGGGCAGGGATCTTTGTTTTGCTTTCCATGTACACAAAGCACTTTAGGACAACGTCTGGCACATAGTAGGCACTCAATGCACATTTTTTAAAATGAACAAATGAAAAAATCATGTCTCATCAGATGCAGGAGTTGGGAGACTAGAAATGCATCATTCATTCATTCATTTATTCAACACATATCTATGAATCTCTACTGTGTGTTAGGCACTATGACGGTTGCTGGGATTTTAATGGTTGACAACACCAGATGTGTTTCATGTTCTCGTGGAAACAGAAGTAACAAAATACTCCCTGGGGAATTTTAATTGTGATCAGTGCTATTAAGGAGAGGCCCATGTGTTGGAGGCCATCCTAGGGGATTTGGGCTTGTTATAAAGAGTCAGAAGTTTTCACTACGGAAAGGATACTTGAGCTGAATTATGAAGGGTGAGGAGAGCTTAACTAGAGGACGGGTGGGGGTTGGGGGCAAGGAGACATTCCATGCAGAGGGAATGGCAATGACCGTGTAGTGCAAAGGAACATGCAGGTTGGAAGAAGTAAGAGAAGATCAGAATGGCTGGAGTGGGATGAGGTGTCTAAAGTGAGACTGGACATGTGGGTAGGGTCCAAATTGTGCACGGTCTTCCAAGCCATAATCACAAATATGTCCTTTATTATGGAAACAATGGAAATAATTGAAGGGTTTTAAGAAAGTTGGATGGAATGATGAAAATTGTGTGTTGCCAAGACCCCTGTGATTGTGGAAGAGAAGGAATTGGGCATGGATACAAGTGGGTGCAGAGTCCAGTCGGGAGACTTTTGGAACCACCTAAACGAGATGTTGGAGGCCTGGGCTGTTTGTGACGGTGATGTGGTGATGGTGATGAAGAGATGTAGATGATTTTTTTTTTTTTTGAGACGGAGTCTCGCTCTGT
Organism: Homo sapiens; assembly: GCF_000001405.40. Classification (NCBI taxonomy): domain Eukaryota; kingdom Metazoa; phylum Chordata; class Mammalia; order Primates; family Hominidae; genus Homo; species Homo sapiens. Next base: position 9,526,451 of record NC_000016.10, read on the forward strand.
TGCCCAGGCTGGAGTGCAGTGGCACGATCTCGGCTCCCTGCAAGCTCCACCTCCCGGGTTCACGCCATTCTCCTGCCTCAGCTTCCCAAGTAGCTGAGACTACAGGCGCCCGCCACCACGCCCGGCTAATTTTTGTATTTTTAGTAGAGACAGGGTTTCACCATGTTAGCCAGGATGGTCTCCATCTCCTGACCTTGTCATCTGCCTGCCTTGGCCTCCCAAAGTGCCGGGATTACAGTCATGAGCCACCACGCCTGGCTGAGATGTAGATGGTTTTACTTGAAAAATGGCTTAGAGAAGTCAGATAGCTCATTCTGTGCCACGCAGCTAAGCCTTCTTCAAAAAACAGGCAAAAGCCAAAAGGTAACCTCAGGACTTTTGGGGAGACTCTGATGTTGCTGCATCGGGAGGGTGCAAAGAGGTATTGGCGGAGAGCAGGGGAGGTGTGTTGCATCTGCGTTGGCTACAGAGTCCTTCATCTTTACTACCTCCCTGCTCCCTGACCAGCAGTGTAATCTCTGCTGCCACTATGCTAAAATTCCTGCTCTCCCCAGGGCACATCCTCAGGCTTTTGTGTAGGCTGTAACCCCCACCTGGCACGCCTTTCCCCCTTTCTCCACTTGACAAACAAACTCTTACTTATCAAAACCCTTTAAAATCAACACTGTTATCAAGCATCTCTAATATCCCTGGGAAGAATTTCTCTTTGTTCTTTGTGTTCCTGTGAGTTTTGATAAATTTAAAATTATTGTTACCCTGTAGTACAACAATTCATTTATATGTTTGTCTGTCAGACTGTTTGATGTCTAACTCAGTCTCTTGCACAAAGTAGTCATAATAACAATATCTAAAGTTTATCATATGCTCATATGCTGATATGATATCATATCGTATCAGGTGCTAAGGTGTTTTGTTTGTTTTTGTTTTTTGATAGAGTCTCACTCTGCCACCCAGGCTGGAGTGCAATGGCACAATCATAGCTCACTGCAGCCTCAACCTCCCAGGCTCAGGTGATCCTCCCACCTCAGCCTCCCAAGTAGCTGGGACTACAGATGCATCACCACCATGCCCAGGTAGTTTTATGTATCTTTTTGTAGAGACACGGTTTCACCATGTTACCCAGGCTGGTCTCAAACTCCTTGGCTCAAATGATCCACCTGCGTTGGCCTCCCAAAGTGCTGGGATTCCAGGTGTGAGCCACCATGCCCAGCCTAAGGTTTTATATGTTATCACTCATGAGGTAGGTACCATCATCATCCCAATTTTACAGATGAGGAAACTGAGTCACAGAGTGATTAAGTGGCTTGCTTACAATCTCCTTCTCTGAATGATGGGCCAGGATTCACATCCACGCATTCTTTTGTCACCCACTACTTGTAGCATTCATTAATGAACCTTGCCCACAACAATTATTGCTGTGGTATAGAAAGAATAGGTTTTGAACTTCAGCTTTTTTATTCACTCATTGTATGACCTTGGGAATGTCACTTTACCTTTCTGCATCCTAGTTCTTCATGCATAATAAAATAGGATTCATTATAGGACTGATATTGTCATGAGGGTTAAATGAAATTAGCATGGAAAAATACTTGCCTAATCACATATTAGATACTCCACTAATAGTAGATCTCTCTTAACTTCATCTTCTCCTCCAAAGAAGGGTATGTTCATCCAAAAGACAAAATACTGAAAACAACATTCTTTGGATACCAGCTGCCAGAATGCAGAGATTTCAAGAATTTCAGCAATGCTGAGCACTCCAAAGTTGCCAATAGCTGCAGGATTCTTCTTACATCTTCGACAGAAGGACATTTGGAGCTTTCTGTACATGCACTGTAATACACATATTCTATGGGGCATATCAGTTATGCATTCACTTGCCTCCGTTAATATTTTAGGCTTCATAAGCATAAATAAAACATACCTTAATTAGAAGTTTACAATCAGATTTCTATCTTGATCTTCTCTCCCCACCAGCCTTGTTTCTAAAGACAAGCATTAGGGTATATGTCCCACAGTCATAAATCATTCAGGACCATCCTTTTGGACAGAGGTGTGCTCCCCCTGCCAGGTTGGAACGATTGGTTCAAACAGCCTCGGCATGCAGTCACTGATGCGACAAGCGATGAAGTTCTATTGTTTTTTCCTTTTTAGAAGAAATTGAAATTATTCATGAGGTGCCGCTCAGCTGAACACTTGGATCCTTTCCCCTACTTCAGGGACAGATTTCCTGGCCAGAACTTGCTGCCGAAGAATCTAACATTGGTTAAAAATGAACGTGTTCTCCAAAGGAGGACATTAATATACTTAATGTTCAAGGAGTCTTGGCATCCCCTGTTGAGAGGCTGCCAAACAAATTGCATTAGGCAGGTACTTTTGCTCCTGATGAGATGAACAGGTGGCCCAAGTACATCATGCATCATTATTTGCTTGGATCAAGTGCAAACAGGTGTGCCCCATTCATATCTCCAAAACATGGATTGACCACCACCTTCAATAGGTCCTTTGCCAGAACACTTGCAAGTCACCCAGGTGCAGTAGAACTGGGACATTGTAGGCTGGGCGCCCTGGCTCACACCTGTAATCCTAGCACTTTGGGAGGCTGAGGCAGGCGGATCATCTGAGGTCAGGAATTCGTGACCAGCCTGGCCAATGTGGCGAAACCCCATCTCTACTAAAAATACAAAAATTAGCCAGACTTGGTGATGAGCGCCTGTAATCCCAGCAACTCAGGAGGCTGAGGCAGGAGAATCGCTTGAACCTGGGAGTCGGAGGCTGCAGTGAGCCTCTGCACTCCAGCCTGGGCAACAGAGTGAGACTTGGTCTCAAAACAAAACAAAACAAAAAACAAAACAAAACAAAAAAAGAATTGGGACATTGTTCTTGTTTATACCAGCAAGCTGGGGGCCTGGGGGCCTATAATAGTTTTCTCCCAATTGGTGGACTTGGCAGAGGACAGAAAGGAGCCTGATTGTCACATTGCTCTCAGAGTACCCTGATGGAACAGTCGCTAACTCAGTCTTAACAGGCACACAATGTGAACAGGCAAAACAGGCTGATGGGAAATCTGAGAATGAGAAATCCGACTAAGGCAGAGTGGCCAGGATGCACAGATAGTACATAGTAAAGCTAGAATTTGAACACAGGTCTCTGTGGCTTCAAAGTTTTTAAAAGCCCTTTTGTGAATGACCCAGATCATGAGAAAAAGCCAGAAGAACTTCACAAATCAACACATGGCCAGAGGTTTCTGTTGTGAATGATTTCATGTTTTCAAATTGCAATGGGTAGATGAAGGGTTGTCCTCTCTATTCTAGCAGGAAAAGTCAGGATTTCTGTGACTGCAGTATTCATCCCATGTTCTTTTATTTCTATTTTTCTTGTTTCTCTAAAGCATTTTGTTCTGGGAATTCACACAAAGGCAACTTCACCACCTGCCATGTACTCTCCCTAAAGTCACTGTCTTTCAAATATTTGGATTCCTTGGCTTCAGTAATCCCTACACTAAGGGGATGTTGGATCAGCCTGCCAGATCCCTTGCAACTTTAAGAGTTATGATCTGTTAGTCAGGCATGGTGGTGCATGCCTGTAGTCCCAGCTACTTGGGAGGCTGAGGCTGGAGGATTGCTTGAGCTCAGGAGTTTGAGGATGCCGTGAGGATTGCACCACTGCACTTCAGCATGGGCAACAGAGTGAGACCCTGTCTCTTTAAAAAAAAAGTTATGATCTAAGTTCAGATGCACAATAATGTGCATGCTCCTTTTGCTCCAAATATGCTCCTTTTGTATACCTTTGAAGGCAGAGTCTTTTGACAATTGTCCTTTGGTTGGCAGGACAACTCTGGTTGAAGGTGATCTATAGGTGAACTCTTTGTCCATCCAGAAACCACTCAAGTTCGTTTGCCATGCCATCCATGTTTCTGGTTCTTGTTGCTTAGCATCGCTCATCAATTGGCAAAGATCTGGTTAAAATCTTTTACAAAATAGGTGCCTTTATAAATTGTCAGTGGCTGTGAAACTTGGTACAACCCTCTAGGAAAAAAAGTGGGAATCTAAATGAAGAACACTGAAGACCGTTTCATGCAGTTTTACTCGGTCATTTGACTTCTGGGAATGTATCCTAAGGCTGTTCTTCTTATACTACTTACCCAGCACCTTCTCTGGGCCAGACCATGTGCTAAATAGTTTACATAAGTATTTCATGTATCCCCGCAACATTGCCATGAAGCGGATACAAATACACCCATTTAAAGACAAGGAAACTGTAGTTCAGAAAGGTTGAGTCACTTGCCCAAGTCCTTCAGCCACTGGGCAAGAAAGGATTCAGGTTTCAGACCAATGTGTTTTTTCTTTAGACATATTACCCATGCAATTGGCCACACTCCATAGCAATGCTATTTTGGAAGCTCCATTTAATAAGTTAAAATGAATTTTATGGGCAGCTGAGTAATTATCTGACTTGAACCCAATTAAAAATTGAGTCAATTCTGCCTGAGTTTGAAGGCTTCTTTTGATTAATGCTGGACAAATGGATTTCTCCTTTTAACCAGAACCCTGAGTTCCAGATGGCCAGGCTGGCCTCTGTACAGAGTGTCCCCAAAAAAGCTTGTGTGATGCACCCATACGTGCCCACTTGTCCAGATCTCTACGTGACATGTATGTGCACCAACCAGGGGAAAGATTGTTGACTAGAACCAGACATTCAATTAGCATCTTCTGCAGCCACATGGTTTAATGACAGACTATTTCTTTTTAGAAGCTCAGTGAAGATGGGCATGGCCTTTAGAATCTCTAGACCTAGGATTGTTATTTTTTTTTTTTTTTAGAGGAACATACAGATTTATTTAATTTTAAGTTTTATGTGAGTTGAGAGACTTTATAAAGAAATGGCAGCCCAAAGAAGTTGCAAAATCTCAATGCTTTCCTACTATGCTGGACAAAGTGAGGCAATTGTGAAAAAGTAATTAAGATATACAGGAAAGCTAAAGAAAGATAAGAGTTGTTTTAACAAAATTCGATTGTTTGCAGAGAATTGTCTCTGTCTCTGGTGATAAAGATATTTTTTTTTATTATTGTACTTTAAATTTTAGGGTACATGTGCACAATGTGCAGGTTAGTTACATATGTATACATGTGCCATGCTGGTGCGCTGCACCCACTAACTCGTCATCTAGCATTAGGTATATCTCCCAGTGCTATCCCTCCTCCCCCACCCCACCCCACAACAATCCCCAGAGTGTGATGTTCCCCTTCCTGTGTCCATGTGTTCTCGTTGTTCAGTTCTCACCTATGAGTGAGAATATGCGGCGTTTGGTTTTTTGTCCTTGCGATAGTTTACTGAGAATGATGATTTCCAATTTCATCCATGTCCCTACAAAGGACATGAACTCATCATTTTTTATGGCTGCATAGTATTCCATGGTGTATATTTGCCACATTTTCTTAATCTAGTCTATCATTGTTGGACATTTGGGTTGGTTCCAAGTCTTTGCTATTGTGAATAGTGCCGCAGTAAACATACGTGTGCATGTGTCTTTATAGCAGCATGATTTATAGTCCTTTGGGTATATACCCAGTAATGGGATGGCTGGGTCAAATGCTATTTCTAGTTCTAGATCCCTGAGGAATCGCCACACTGACTTCCACAATGGTTGAACTAGTTTACAGTCCCACCAACAGTGTAAAAGTGTTCCTATTTCTCCACATCCTCTCCAGCACTTGTTGTTACCTGACTTTTTAATGATTGCCATTCTAACTGGTGTGAGATGGTATCTCATTGTGGTTTTGATTGTTAACTGGCTCCGCCACTTAATAGCTGTGACCTTGGGGAAACGACAGAATGAATGGTTGGGGACATTGGTTGTAGGCAACAAGCTAAGCCTCAGTGTTTGTAAGGAAGCTCTCCCTCAGAGGGTCAGGGAGTAGACTCTGAGCTATGCAAGCATCATCAGCTCCCAAAATCTCCCAGCAGAACAGGCTGCCATCTCTCCCAGCTTCACTCATACTGTTAGCCCAGCAGCCCTTTGTGTCCAGGGAAATCAGAAAAGTTGCCACCACCACCAGCATCTATTTTAAACATGGATTTCACTTGTCCCTCATTTTTTAGGGCTCATAGCTCCAATTTCACTCTGGAGCAGGCACAGCTGATTGGTAGAGTGTGGTGGCTGCTAAGGCCCAAGAAAGTGGGTATTTGGCATCTTTACCTTCAACAGTGGAAAGTGAGCTCTGCCTGGAATGCCCCAGGCAAAGGAAGGAACATTTTTCAGGTTCTGGGTAGCCAAAAAGAAAAGCGCTGGGATTACAGATGTGAGCCACTGTGCCCAGCTAAAGGCAGTCTTTTGACAGTTGCCCTGTGCTTGGTCCTCTGGTTGAAAGTGATCTATATGTGAACCTTTATCCATTCATGAAGCACTCAAGTTCATTTGCAAAACCATCTACGTTTCTGGTTCCTGACATGCTGTGGCAAACACACTACACACTACAAATGACAAATACTGCAAATGGGAATTATAATACTCATCTGCTTGGCTTTATTCATTCATCATTCATTCATTCCATCTACAGGTATTTATTGAACATCTATTATGTACCAGGCACTGTGCTAAGTCTGGGGATACAGCTGTGAAACAAGGGTTTATTGAAAAGGTTTACATTATTGCTTGTAAAAACAATAACATTGACAGAGTCTCTCATGTTTTGAGTTGAGTTCTGTGCCAGAAACTGTGCTAGGTACTTAATGCCCGTCCTTCTCACCCCGCCCGTGAATGAAACTTTCTTACCAAAAAATCATTGCAGAGTGCTATTGTGCAATAATCCCCAATAGCAGGTGGCCAATAAAACTAAACACTCTCTCTGCTCAACAGGTTCAAACTTTGATCCTGAGAGATTTGATTTTCTTGCTTTTCTTTTAGACATCAATAAACTTAAAAATCAAAACATAGGAACCTGATGATTTTGCCTAAATGCATGATGTCAGCTCATTCAGCTCAATCAAGGGGTTGATGGCTGCCAAGCAGGTGACAAATGGAATTAAGTGCACTCGCGGCATTGATGCACAGCTTGAAAAGGCTTGCTTGTTTGGAGACACCGATCATCTGTCTCCAGACCCCCTCGCTGTGCTGAGCTAACCGATATAATTAAAGACATGTTTCTGTTTGCGAAGTGATAGACTGAGCTGGCTTTTGGGGCTGCAACATCTGTCATCCCAGCCTGTTGCTGTCTTGTGGCTCCTTCTGAGTTCAGGGTTCCTTGGGGTTGCTGTCACCAGCCTTGAGAGCAGAGTGGGTGCCCATGGTTCACAACTGGATTCCAACTCTCTTATAAGGTGAGACGTGGGAAAGGTGTATTTATCAAAGTGGACAGGAAAATAAAAGCCACATGTGTCCCAGTGAAGTAGTAAAGAGACACAGGCAGGCACATAGGCAGGATGGCCTAGTGACAAAGGATGTGGGTTTGGGCCCTGGGTTCTGAGCATGGTCTTCCCTAACTCCTTAATCTTCCAGAGAGCCAACTTGTTTACACAATCATCACAAAAATGATGCCCAATCCTAGGGCCGTTGAACAATTTAAATGAGAGAATGGTAACAAAGAGCCTGGCTGATAATATTGTTGGTAATAAGTAGTATCTGCTGATGATTAGTGTTATTAAGACAATTTCCCCAGCATGGCCAGTTGCTGTAGAATCTTAAGAGAGTTGCTTATCCCTTCTGTGCCTCGGTTTCCTCATCATTAAGCATCTCTTCCAGTCCATTTCATGGGAACACGATGAAGAGAAGTAGGGAAGGTAGATATGTCAACATTTAAAAAATGACTTGACACCAGGCGTGGTGGCTCATGCCTGGAATCCCAGCACTTTGGGGGGCCAAGGTGGGTGGATCACTTGAGGTTAGGAGTTTAAGACCAGTCTGGCCAACATGGGAAACCCCATCTGTAGTAAAAACACACAAAATTAGCCAGGTATGGTGGCACGCACCTGTAGTCCCAGCTACTCAGGAGGTTGAGGCAGGAGACTTGCTGGAACCTGGAGGCTGCAGTAAGCCGAGATTGTGCCACTGAACTCCAGGCTGGGCGACAGAGCAAGACTCCATCTCAAAAATATGTAAATAAATAAAAATATGTAAAATAAAAAAAGTAAAGTAAATAAAAAATTTAAAAAGACATGACAATTACGGAGCAACTCCTCTCCTTGATCAGATATGGAGGAAAATGCCTTTTTATTTTTATTTTTTTTACTGCGTATCCACTCTAAAGCCTGCCATGTGGTAACTTGGGTCACTCATTTTCTTTGCACCCTTTGCTAGTCTGTAAAACAGGGCTCCTTGCTTGCCTCTTAGAGTTCCACGAAGATCACTTCAGGGAATGCATAAGAAAGTTCTGTAACTATTGAATATTATCCCCATGAGAGGCAGGGGGAGGTCTGTAGGGGGAGGTCTGCAGCAGCTCCCTGCAGCAAAAGTGAGCAGCTTCGTCATCTTTGCAGGCTGCCAAGCACCGGGCTTGCTGACCTTCTGAATCTGGCCACTGGCCACCTGTAGAGCTTCATTCATTCCTTCCCACTGCTCCTGCTCAGCTGTTTTCCCAAACTCTGTGAGCCCCTGTTCCAGGCACAGTGGACTTGCCTGAACACATTGTGTTTATCTCCTTGCACTAGAAAATATTTGCTCTTGGTGAATCCTAGGCCTTGGTGAGTGTGGGGTTGCCATAGCACCCCCACCTGTCGTCACAGCATCTAGCTTTCTGCATCAACATTTCTGGTTTTCTTCCTTGTCTCCACTGTGAGGCTGTCCATAATTTGAGGGCCAAGATCCTTGCCTGTTTATCTCACTAAGGCACTTCATGCATGTCAGTCAGCACAGTAGAGGGATCAAGCTCTCAGTCTGCAATCAGACGGGATGGGTTCTAGCCTCACCTTGTTCCTTTATTAGCCATGTTCTTAGGAAGTTCCATAAGCAGCCTCAGTCTCAGAGCAGAGGTGTCTGATTGGCCTAGACTTGAGACTCCTTAAACTTTAATAAACATTTGAAACACCTAGGAGTCTTACATAGAATTAAGATTTTGGTTCAGGAGGTTTGGAATGGGACCTGAGATTCTGCGTTTCTGACAAGTTCCAGGTTGTTGTCACTGCTGCGCGTCTCCGGACCACACTGTGAGTAGTGGGGTGCAGGCTACGATTGGTTCAAACACTGGATCGTGGGGAGGATTTGGTTTTCTATAACAAGTTGACAAATAGGCTGACATGAGAGTCAAAGGACATCATGCATTTAAAGCCCTGAATCCACAAATCTTGGCTAATCAAAGCATGCCTCATATCAACTGTCATTTACTGAGCTCTTCCTATGAGAATCAATAGCAAACGTTGAGTGAGCACTTTCTATATGTCAGTCAAGGTGCTAAGTACTTTGACACACAGGGTCTCAAGTGGGGAAACTGAGGCTCAGATAAGTTAAATGTGTTGAATTATCAGTGTGATAATACTTTTGATTGACTTGCCTTTCCCACCCTCTTCTCTTTTAATAAAATCACCAAGGATCTGAGAAGATCAAATCTGCCTCCAGCCCCTGCCACCTAAGAGCGGATGTAATGATACTAGCAGTATTTTCCCTTCTTTTTGTTCATTCCTGCAGCCATTGTTTATTGAGCATCTACTATGTGAAAGGCACTGTGGATACACTAATGGAGACAAACGTAGCCCTTATGGAGCTTCCAGTCTAGTGAGAGACACAGATATTAGTTAAGTAATTCCACAGATAAATATGATTCCAATCTGTTGAAAGGAGCTATCAGGAGAAAAGGATTTGGGAGCGACAAAAATGGGGAATTTGATCATTGGACTCTGCAAAGGCTTCCATGTGTGGATACGACCCTGAAATCACAGTGAAAGGTGGGTAGGAGTTGGCTAAAGAGAACATCTTGTGCAAAGGCCCTGGGGCGGGTTGCTGGGAGAGAGCACAGGACACTCAGGAGACAAAAGAAGACAAGTGCGGCTGGGGGCGGAGAGGTGTGAGCTGAAACTGGAGAGGCAGGCAGGGTCAAATCACAGAGGGCTTTCCAGTGCACATCAAGGATTCTGGGCTTTATCCTAAGAGCAGTGGAAAGCCACTGAACAGTTTTAAGCAAGGGAGGAGTGATAACATCTGGCATCAATTTTGAGATCACTCAAAGAGATGAATCAAACAGATTTGGTGGGAGTTGCTTGAGTGAAAATGTAAAGAGGAATAAGCAAGTCCAGGCAAGAAATGACAGTGACCAAGGATGGGTGTGGAGGTGGCAGTGGCAATGGGGAGAAGGGGAACTCTGTAGAATGTATGTGAGAAATAAAACAACAACAACAACAACTGTATATTAGGGCTTGGTGATGGGGTCACTGTAAGGGGTGCAACAGCAAAGTGAGGGTGAGGGAGGCTTCCTGAGTATTCTCCAGTATTAGGACGCGAATACTTTAGTCATCCTCTTCATCCATATCTTCTATTTATACCTGGGCAAATAGTCCCAGAGAGAAAGGAGAAAAGGGTTTGGGAGCTACAAAAATGGGGAATTCGATGAATGCAAAGGCTTCCATGTGTGGATATGACCCTGAAATGACAGGCAGAAGGTGAGTAGTTGACTAGTTAAAGATAACAGTTTGTGCAAAGGTCCTGGGGCAGGGTTGGTGGGGGAGAGCTTGAAACACTCAGGACTGCCTTTCACATAGTAGATGCTCAATAAACAATGGCTGCAGGAATGAATAAAAAGAAGGGAAAAAACTGCTGGTATCGTTATGTCGGTTCCCAGGTGGCAGGGGCTGGAGGCAGGTTTGATTGTCTCAGATCCTTGGTGATTTTTTTAAAGGAAGAGAGGATGGGAAAGGCATGTCAATCAAAAGCATTATCAGACTTATCCAAGGTCACACAGCTGGATGAGCAGAGGCTGGGCCAGTGTGGACCAGTTTTGAAGCTCTAGTGGCCAGTCCTGCTTAGTCCTAAGGAAGGGACCCTCTACCTTCTGCCTCTTGTATTGCTAAACAACAAAGTAGCAAGTGAGAAGAGGGTGTAACAGTGAAAAGATGAATGAGCTGAAACTCTTTCTCCCTTTAATGATTCTCTTAGACCTGTCAGATTCTCTGTCTTCAGGATTCCAGGTGATTCATCTGCCTTCAAAGCTACCCCAGTCCTGCTTGACCCTTCCAGGACTCTCAACTGTGATTTTTGGCTAGAACAAGAAGCAGAAGCTTGACACTATAGAAAGAGTTTTCAATCAGGAAGACCTGGGTTCAAATCCCAGCAGTACTTCTAAGTATCTACTCAAGAGAAGCACTTACCTGCATGCAGTATGGGTCGTGCATGCAAATTTTCACTGCAAAACTGCCTTTTATAATTAAAGACAATTGAAGTCAACCTCAGGGTGTATCAATAGGGGAAAGAATAAATAGGATATGGTTTATATGATGGAGTAAAACACAGCCCTCAAAGGAATGAATTGACATCAGTTGGAGAGGTGGATCTCAAAGACACATATTGTTGAATAAAAAATATGAGTTGTTGAGAAATCCATTTAAAAGGATACCATTTCTGTAAAAAAATCACAGCAAATGCCATGTATTTTATGGATACATTTATGTGCATGTAAAGTAATAAAAAGAGGTCTAGAAGAACAGGAATGACATTCATAATGCTATCTGAGGCGGAAGTCAAAGGGACTTTATCTGCACTGTTCTAATTTTCTAAAAGGCAAATGAACTGATTTATTATAAGAAGAAAAACTCTGCCAGTGTGACCTTTGAAAAATAATATACACTTTTCTGGCCAGGCACGGTGGCTCACGCCTGTAATCTTAGCACTTTGGGAGGCCGAGGTGGGTGGATCACGAGGTCAAGAGATCGAGACAATCCTGGCCGACATGGTGAAACCCCGTCTCTACTAAAAATACAAAAATTAGCTGGGCATGGTGGTGTGCGCCTGTAGTCCGAGCTACTCGGGGGGCTGAGGCCGGAGAATCGCTTGAACCCGGGATGTGGAGGTTGCATTGAGCCGAGACTGCACCACTGTACTCCAGCCTGGTGACAGAGCACGACTCCATCTCAATAAATAAATAAATAAACAAATAAATAAAATAATATAAACTTTTCTGAGTCTCAATCTCATTACTTTATTCATTCCATAGTTATTAACTACTGTGCTTTACCTGTGCAAGTTGTGGGGTACCCCAAGTCGAGATGGGCTCTCTGACCTTAGAGAAGCTGTGTGGTCTTTTGGGACAGAGAGGAAGCAACACAGTGATCAGAGAGCACAGAATAAGCCAGGGGCCCCGAAGAAAGGTCATTGCCTAGCCTAGGGTGCAGGAAAGCCCCCCAAGGATATTGGCACCGAGCTGAGGTTTTGAAAAACAAGAAGGTGTTAGCCAGTCGTAGGACAAGGGTACAGGTGATGCAGTTGGAAAAGCAGCCTGTGCTCTGTGTTGGGCTGATTAATTACCATTTAATCTACAATCAAAAACAAAAACTAATGTTGCTGCTGTTGTCAGCTTCATTTTCTAAAAACACTGTCACCATCCATGTGATGGAAATTATGATATTTTGCACACGAACTTGTTTTGAGGAAAGGATCTAGCACATAGCAGGTATTCGACAGACATGACTTCCCATCTCACTTGTTGCCTCATTTAACCCACCTTAGAGGACTGAATAATGGCCCCCTAAAATATCAGGTCCTAATCCCTGGATCCTGTAAATGTGACTTATTTGGGAAAAGGGTCTTTGCAGAGGCGATTAAGTTAGGGATTAAGTTAGGGATCTTGTGACAGGGAGATTACAGGATCTTTTGTCCTAAATATAATCACAAGCGTCCTTAAAAGAGAGAGGCAAAGGGACCTAACACAGACATACAGGAGAGAAGGAGGCAATGGAGACAGATCTGAAGACAATGACATTGAAGATTTGAATGATGCAGCCACAAGCCAAGGAATGCCGGTGCCATCAGAAGCTGGGAAAAGCAAGGAAAGCTCTCCCTTGGAGCCTCTGGAGGGGGTGTGCCTGCTCAGCCCAGTGAGGGTGGTTTTGCCCTTCTGGCCACCTAAGTTGTGAAAGATTATATTTCTGTTGTTTTAAGCCACTCAGTTTGTAGTAATTTGTTACAGCAAATACAGAAAACAAATATACCCAAGTCCATTGTCCATAGCCCTCTTCAATCTTTACTGCATTGCAGCAAAAGATATCTGATAAATGCACTTGTAAAAGGAATGAGATTTCATGGCTTCCTAGGAGCATATGCATGGGGAAAAAGGGCAATGCTTACTCCAAAGAGGGAAGACTTTCTAACTGAGCCTTTCAGACATCAGAGGGCTGTGGGGTTGTGGCCAGAAGGCCAGTTTGAAACAGGACTGGCATGCTAGAGGGAGCTGGCAGCCGTGGGAAGCTTCCTGGGGTCTTATCCAGGCAACACAGTCATCTGAGCTGGGTTGCAGAGGCCAAGCCATAACCAAGAGGAAGCTAAAATAGTCTGGAATCTAGCAGTGAGTGGCAAATCTGAGCTGTAAAGCTCGGATGGAAGAGAACAAGTCACAACAAAAAAGTGACTGCCACCCCATGTGGGCTATTCAGTTAGCAGGTGTGGGCACCATAGTAAGAAGTATTGAACACCAGATCATCTCATTCTTAACATTCTAAGGGAAGCCTGTTTTACAATTTTGGAGTCTTAGGCTTAGTGAATCTACCCAGGGTCACAGAGCTGGGAGGAACAGGTCCACAATTTAAACCCAAATCTTTTGGATTTCAACCAGTTCTCTGAAAGTTGGCTGAAGACTGGGGAAGGTGTTCCAGGTATACCTGTCTCGTGTCCTCTTACCTTATACCTTGCAGACCTGTTAGCTACATACAAGGCTGAGGCTAAGGCTAATGTCTTCCAGTTTTTTCTCATGGACTCATGCCAACCTAGAGACCCATTTTTTTTTTTTTCTGGAATCCCATTTGTTTTAATTGACTAGACTTTGAGCTGAGGAGGGTGAGTGAGTGTGTGTGTATGTGTGTGTGTGTGTGTGCGCATGTGCATCTGGTCTTATCAGCTCACTTAGACTGTGCTAAAATAATGTGTTTTGGTAAAAAAACAACATTGCCACTTGGTATCAAGCTGATTAATTCCTACAGAAGCTGTAATGAAAACGAAACCACATTTGTGTCCCAACCTTGCTACCATTCAGCATCTTCTGTGATTTTGTTTTTCTTAATCTAGTTTCAGAATCTTAACAGCTTCTGTAATCTTCCAAAGATTCTACAGGACTTTCTTATATGACTTGCTTAGAGCAAATGAAAATAAAATTATATTTCTCTGGCTTCTCACAAATTCTTGGAGGTTGTCCATATTTCCTCAAATGATGGGCCACCGGAAAGGTAATCTCATGTTACGGTGATTTACTGAATCTTTTATTTATTTATTTATTGAGACGTAGTCTCGCTCTGTCGCCCAGGCTGGAGTGCAGTGGCGCAATCTTGGCTCACTGCAACCTCTGCCTCTCGGGTTCAAGAGATTTTCTTGCCTCAGCCTCCCGAGTAGCTGGGATTACAGGCACGTGCCACCACACCCGGCTAATTTTTTTATATTTTCGGTAGAGATGGGTTTGCACCATGTTGGCCAGGCTGGTCTTGAACTCCTGACCTCAAGTGGTCTGCCTGCTTCAGCCTCCCAAAGTACTGGGATTGCAGGCATGAGCTACCAAGCCCAGCCAGAATCTTGAGTCTAATTTTGGCAACCCCCAGTGCATTTCATGGAAGGGATAGTTAGAGCTAACACACAATTTTCCCTGTGTCATTTGCTAGTTACTGTTTATGTGCATTTTTACACATATTAATTCTTTTAAACTATACAAGAGCTCTATGAGATAGGTACTATTATTATCTTCATATTAAAAGTTTGTAGAGGTTAAAAAGACTTCCCCCAAACCACACAGCTATTAATGCTAGCCTTTGAATTCAGGAGGTCTGGCCCAAGAGTCCACTCTTTTAACCACTCCACTAGTGTCCTTTATGTATCCCGAGGCTATTTCAAGAAATCTTAAAGCAGCTCACGTTATTGAGCCCATATTATGTGCCGAATATTTTGTAGGGTGTTTTACATGCATTTTTGGGTAGTTCCCAAACATGGTGACTGCCGTAATTATTAGGGAACTTAAAAAATGTTTCTTTTCTCTAGGAGCCACCTATAGCCTCCTCAATCAGTTATTAGGAGTAGAAGTGAAAACAGGGATCAGCATTTGAGTTGTAGTTTGACCCATGTGCTAGGGGGGTCCCAGGAAACTTGGGAAGGGGAAGGAGATATTCCCTTCTTCTATTCTCAGGAACCATGATCACATTTTTCTGGCTTCTCAGAAATTCTTGGAGGTTGTGTGTATTTCCTCAAATGATGGGCCACTGGAAAGCTAACCTCACGTTATCATGATTTACTGAATGTTGAGTCTAATTCTGGCAACTCCCAATGCATTTCACGGAAAGGATCGTTACGGTAAACACAGAATGTGTCACATATTTTGCACAATATTTTCCCCAGTAGCCTTCAATTGGCTCAATTTGGAGAGGTCGTTCTCCAGTGGGGAAGAAGGAATAACAAAAGGAGCATTTTTGGAGCATTTATTAACAGTATAGGCTAGGCTTTTTTTCTATGTATTTTATATGTGTCTATTCATTTAATGCCCTTGATAATCCACTGAAAGAGGTGTCATTATTATCATCCCATTTTACAGAAGAAGAAACTGAAACAAGAAGGTAAGTGATTTGCGTCAATGTTACACTGCAGGGGAAAGGAAACCGGGGAAGAGAGAGACAGGATAATAGCTGCCTGAGTTAGGTGTAAATGTCCTTCATAGAGATTCAGAAACCTTCCCAAGACCACACAGCTATGAATGCCAGGATTTGGACTCAGGCTGTCTGGCTCAAGAGTCCATACACTTACACACTCTGCTGGTGTTCTGTGTGTACTCCTGGGCTGTTTTGTTCAATCACAAATTGGATAACATTATTGAGTCCTTATGACATGAGAAATGTTTTGTTGAGTGGACTCGAGCCCCAAGGCCTGCAGTGTTTCAGTCTGTTTTCCCACATTACCACAGCAAGGCTGTTTACTCATCAACCTTCCATCCCCGTTGAGAATGGAGGGGGAGGACGTGCAGAGGATTCATGTTTACGGAGCACACTGCACCAGGGTCTGGGATACGGTGCTAGATAGTTATATACGTCACTTTATTTCATCTTTACTGTCCCATGAAACTGTTGGTGCTCATAAGGAGGCCAGATACTGAAACAAAGTGGAAATGAACTGCCCAGAAAACTGAGATCTGTCTATTTTTCTTCATATTCTTTTTTCTTTTTTGCTTGGATAATTGCAGTAGCCTGCTACACCCTCTACCTGCAGTTCAAGCCTGCCACTAATCCGTTCTCCATGGGGTGGCCAGAGCGATTACAAATATAAATGAACTCAAGTTCTGCAGTCTAGTTAATAGTATCATGCCAATGTCAATTTGCCACTTCTGTAAGTCCTACAAGATGTCACCATTGGGGAAAATGAGTGAAGGGCTGATGGGACTCTATGTACTATTTTGTGACTTGCTGTGAATCTATAATTATTTCAAAATTAAAAGTAAATCAGGCCGGGTGCCGTGGCTCATGCCTGTAATCCCAGCACTTTTGGAGGCTGAGGCAGGTGGATCACTTGAGGTCAGGAGTTCGGGACCAGCCCGGCCAACATGGTGAAACCCTGTCTCTACTAAAAATACAAAAAATTAGCTGGGTGTGTGGCACGCACCTATAATTCCAGTTACAGGGGAGGCTGAGACACGAGAATCACTTGAACCCGGGAGGCAGAGGTTGCAGTGACCCGAGGTTGCACCACTGCACTCCAGTGACAGAGAAAGACTCTGAGTCAACAACAACAACAACAACAACAACAACAAAAAGTAAATCAATCTATCTCTCTATTGTCTATCTAAATATTGCTTCATTGCAGTGAGAGATACGTATAGATAGATGTCTACAGATGGCGAGGCAGACACACAGGCAGACATCTCCAGAGCTCAGAGCTCACCGCTTCCTATTGCTACTCGCCGCAGCCTGCATGCTGTGGCCCCCTGGTTACTCCCCTGGTTCCCTGCACCTCGCACCACCCATCTCCTCCACTATAATGTTCCAGCCACACTTGCCTCCTCCCTGCCTCAGGACCTTAGCACTTGATGACTCTCTTTCTGGACCATGTGGGCTATTCCCGTGACTGGGTCCTGCTTGGTCAGGTTTCAGCTTGTGTTGCATCCTCAGAGAGGTTCTTCTGACCTCTCTGCCTTTACATGTCCTCTCCCTGTGTCCTTTTTGATTTTTCCAAGCATCAGCAAACTTTCAGCAAAGGGCCAGAGTAAATACTTCAGGCTTTATGAGGCACCAAAAGTCCCTATTACATATTATCCTGTTTGTTTACAACCCTTTAAAAATGTAAAAAAATCGTTATTAGTTTGTGATTTACTGACTCTTGATTTAGACTATCTCAGTGTCTGATTTATATTCTACTCAGCACTGCCCATCTAAGATTAGTTTTGCAAAGCCTTACTATACGTTTACTGCCCGCCTTCCCCTCTAGATTGTGGGCTCCATGAGGACAGGTGTTTTTTTCTGGATCACATCCAAGCCTTGATCTAGTGTCTGCCCTGCAGTAGATGCCTAACACGTACTAATTAATAAAGGAATAAATGAGGGAAATTCATCAGCCTTTTTCCTCGACACCGCCAGGAAGTTTCAGCCTGGCATGGCTTGGAGTGACCAGAAATCTCTGTGCCCTCTCTTTTGCCCACTTGCCTCTGTGCTAAGGGGGTTAGAATACTTCTGTTCAACAAACAGACTGCCAGCATTTGGACCCCCATCAAGTTGCTCACTTCTACAAATACAGGTAGAAGTGGGAAAGATGAGAGTCAGCACTGCCCCACGTGGCACATCAGTTTAGGACTTTTAGATGCCATTGACAAATGCCCAAATAACTTGCAACCTCCATTCATTAGGAAACCAACAGTCAACTCATTGGCCTCCCAGTTGGCCTTCTTTTTTTCTTTTTGAGACGGAGTCTCGCTCTGTCGCCAGGCTGGAGTGCAGTGGCACGATCTTGGCTCACTGCAACCTCCGCCTCCACAGTTCAAGCCATTCTCCTGTCTCAGCCTCCTGAGTAGCTGGGACTACAGGCACATGCCATCATGCCCAGCTAATTTTTGTATTTTTAGTAGAGACGGGGTTTCACTATGTTGGCCAGGATGGTCTTGATCTGTTGACCTCGTGATCTACCTGCCTCGGCCTCCCAAAGTGCTGGGATTACAGGCATGAGCCATCATGCCCGACCCCCAGTTGGCCTTCTTAGAATGGGCACCACTAGGTACCAGACCCCAGCTCTGCCACAAATACGGGAAAATTCAAGCATGGTAACTGGCCACGGTCCAATGTTGTTTGTGATGATGATGATCACGATAATGATGATGATGGTAATGATGGTGATGACTTTTTTCCTTTGGAAATGAACATAGCTTTATTGTTTCTTTTCTATTACACAGATAATTTGCAGAAATTTTAGAAACTTCAAATAATACAAGGAAGATTAAAACAACAAAAAACCCCTCAACTCATCCAAATTCCCATCAGCCCTAAATAGCCATTTAACCACGTTCTATTTTAAAGAGCATCTTTCCAGATATCTTTCCAGTGCTTAAAGAAACACACATCTATATAATTTACATAAGTGGGATTACAAGATACCGAATGTTCCACACTTTGCCTTTTTGCTCAGATGATGGTGATTTTAATGAACAAGTAAAGCAGAATCAGCATAGGAGAAATACGTCCTCTATCACAGTGACACATGCAAGCTTGGGGGTCTCTGCCTAAATGTAAAAGCTAACCCCAGGGGACCCAAGAGAGAAGTAAATGATCTGTGCTAATTCTCAGGACCTTACTCATAGGACTATTGGACCAGAGTTCTTCCAACCAAATACCTGTGCCTCAAACAAACGTGCTCCCTGCTGCCTTCTTTCTGTGACCATTCAAGCCCAAATACTACTTATGTACGGCATACGTGCTGATCATTTTCTTATCCGGAAAAATAGCTTCCAGAATTACTGCAGGCCATCAAAGTCTGGAATCAGAGATTAAAATGTGGAGGTAATTGGTGTCTGGGTATCTCAGGTGGAGCGTCCGTGTATTGCATCATTTCAAAGTTTAAATAGCAAAGGTCAAAAATGATATGAGGGAGGAATGTTTATTTAGGTCAGTTCTTGGATTTTTCTATCTGGTGGAATTCCTCTCTGCACTCTGATTACCTCACATCTGAAAAAAAATAAATTTGAAAGTCCTGATTGTACTTCAGGGAAGAGGCACTTTTACTGTCTCAGGGAGGTCAGCTGATGTAAAAATTTGAATAGCTAATATTTATTGCCACTTCTCAGGCATCAGGCACTTGGAATGCATTTTGTATCTCCTACCTAGGACATCCTTGGTGGCAGGTGATCTCAGTATCCACATTGCGTAGGTGAGGGGGCTGAGCTTAGAGCAGGCAGGTAATTTTCCCAGGTCACCCAGCTAGCAAGAGGCAAAGTCAGGAATCTGGATCTAGCCCTGTCTGAGTCAGAGCTGCCCTCCTAACTGCCATGTTGACACAGTGTAGGTGCACTATAAACACATTTTCCTTTCTCTTACCCTTACAATAGGGGGCCTTTGATAAGGGAAAGCCTCATGTCCTCATGTCTGATTTTTTCTATCCCGAGCATTTATTTATTCACGCATTCATTTAATAAATATTTCTTGCCCTCCTTCTCTGCACCAGACATTGTCCTAGGTACTGTGCATACAGCAGCAGACCAAACAAAGCCACTTCCCTCTCTTGCTTCATGGCGCTTACTTTGCAGTGTGGAAGGTAGGTTATTTGAAAACACAAACAAACAAACAAAAAACAGAGATAAATATGTGCTATGTCAGGGGTCACAGGGGAAAAGTAAAGCAGAGTATGGAAGGTAGAGAGGGACATGGGTGTGTCCTACAGGGTGGTCAGGGAAGAATTTTGGAAGAGATGGTAGTTGAGTAGGAGCCTGAAAGAGATGTGAAGGTGAAGCCTGCAGGTATTTGAAGAAAGAGCATTCCAGGGAAGGGCACGTGCAAAGGCCCTGGGGCAGGAGCATGCCTGAGGGCCAGAGAGAGTGCAGAGGGAAAAGAGAGGATTAGAGAGAGAAGATGAGCTGGAAGAGAAAATAGGAGGTGTTGATCAGATCACATGGGGCTTTGTAGGCCATTGTGAAGGATGTGGGATTTACCTTGAGTGAGCTGAGGTTTGAGCAGATGAGTGCTCTGACCCGACTACATCTTAACAGAACCGTTCTGACACTCATGTGAGGGGGCAGATAGGTGGGGAGCGAGGATGGATGCAGACAGGCTGATCAGGAGGCCATTGTGATAATCTAGGTGAGAGACCACGGGGTCTTGGGGCAAAGTATGAGCACTGAAGGTGGCTAGAAGTGATTGGATCCTCTGCACTTTGAAAAAAGAGTGCATGGTTTTTTATTTTTATTTTTTTTTATAAATTGGATGTGCAGAGAGAAAGAAACAAGAACAATACATTCCATAACAGTTATGCCACTCTTCAGTATCAATGTGAAAATAATAAAAGAGCAGCTTGATGTCTTCAATCATGTTACCTATGCACTATGACCTGTCTCCTCCCAGGCAGAACAAATAGTGCAGACTCAAATCCACCCAACCGTCTGTGTTCCCTGGACAAGTAACTTTACCTCTCAGAGCCATTTATTCATCTACTGAGTAGGAGTATTAATATCAACAGTGCCTCCGTCAGAGCGTCTTAGCGTGCGATGACCCCCGTGCGTGGCTTGGAGACATGCATATGGAGGGTGGGGACTAGGTGTTAGTCCTTATTTCTCTTAGGAGTCACATAGGCCTTTGTTTTAGTCATGAGATTAGGGCCCTTCTTTTGAGGTTGCTGCAACCCTGGGGAGAGTGATTATCTAGCACTGTGGCTAAGGTCAGAAACTCAGGAATCAGTTACAAGGAAACCATAGTCAAGATGGCTCCATCACTTGGTCAAGGCATTCGGTCCCTTCGTGGAGCATGGTGGCTCATGTCTGTAGTCCCAGCTACTCAGGAGGCTGAGGTGGGAGGATTGCTTGAGCCCAGGAATTCCAGGCTTCAGTGAGCTAGGATGGTGCCACTGTACTCCAGCCTGGGCAATAGAGCAAGACCCTGTCTATAAATCAAAAAGGGATTCAGGCCCTCTATGCCTCAGTTTGCTCACCTAGGAAATGGGGAGAGTAAACTCTCCCTTGCAGGGTGGCTGGGAGGATTAAATGAGGGGATAGAGGAACAATGAGCAGAGAACAGCTCCTCAATTACTCCTGCTTCCGTTCTCTTTCTTCCAAGTCTCTGTTCTCGGTCACCAAATACCTGCATTGGGATTTGTCTTCACATTTCACGTCCGCTCTGGGTTATGGAAAATTATGCTTCTGTCCTGTAGCATACAGACCTGCAGCTAGGTCTGGGGCTGGGGATTTAATGTCTTTGCAAATTGTCTGATTCTGACATTTACTGTTCTCCGCTTGTCCTGGGCTGGAATCTGCAAGATGAGGCAGCTCTAGGCTTTGTTCTGAGCAGAGGCAGTACACGCCCCAGTCTGTTTGTGAGGCATAAATGAGAGGTGGAATTAGACTTTATTGTTATTATTAAGTCATATAAGTATCAGTAGTGATTTCCATCACTACCTCTCATCTGGGATGCTGCCCCTGCTGTCCCAGGTCCATGCTCACTCCTTTCAACCTTTTCTCCATGTGGCTTCCAGAGGCCAGAGGGATCATTTAAAATGCCCTATCACATCATAGTTGTCTTAAAACATTCTCCTTCCGCCTCACACTAGTCTAGCCACACTGGCCTGCCATTTGCAACTTGACTTTCCATCCTTTCTTCTGCCAAAGGGCCTTTCCACATGCTATTCTGTTTCCTGGTTGGGGGGTGGTGGGGTGCATTGGTGCATATAGGGTTACATAACAAGGTAAAATCAATAAGGTACAGTTGGAGTATTTAGAGGCCCAGCGCTCTGAAAATATCAATCACACTGCTGCCATATGCAATTTAGAACAAAATAACAGTAAGCAGTAACATATAATTTTGTTTTTCAAAATACACACATTTATATAGTTGTGCTGAAATACATTTATTCTTGTTTGCTTGCTCTTGCTTTCTCCTTTCAGATGTTCTTATTAATTCTCTTTTAGGCTCAGTCTCTCTGGGGCTCTGCTTTACTGATACCCTAAACTGTACTTAATTTCCCAATTGAGAATTCCAGAAACTGGAGTCAAGAATGGGAGTTTTTTGCTTGTTTGTTTTTTTGAGACGGAGTTTCCCTCTCGTTGCCAAGGCTGGAGTGCAGTGGTGCAATCTCGGCTCACTGCAACCTCTGCCTTCTGGGTTCAAGAGATTCTCCTGCCTCAGCCTCCCAAGTAGCTGGGATTACAGGTGCCCACCACCATTCCTGGCTAATTTTTTTTATTTTTTATTTTTTATTTTTAGTAGAGATGGGGTTTTACCATATTGGCCAGGTTGGTCTCGAACTCCTGACCTCAGGTCATCCACCTGCCTCAGCCTCCGAAAGTGTTGGGATTACAGGTGTGATCCACCATGCCTGGCCAAGAATGGGATTTTTAGAAAAGAAATAATTAAAAGAGGGCAGAGTAAGGAGTATTCAAAGATAGGCACTCTCCAGAACAGCAGAATTATCATCATCCTCATTATCAGTATTTTTTTTTTTTTTTTTTGAGATGGAGTCTCACTCTGTCGCCAGGCTTGAGTGCAGTGGTACGAACTTGGCTCACTGCAACCTCTACCTCCTGGGATCAAGCAGTTATCTTGCTTCAGCTTCCCAAGTAGCTGGAACTACAGGCGCACACCACCACTCCCAGCTAATTTTTTTTTTTGTATTTTTAGTAGAGGCGGGGTTTCACCATGTTGGCCAGGATGGTCTCAATCTCCTGACCTTGTGATCTGCCCGCCTTGGCCTCTCGAAGTGCAGGGATTATAGGCGTGAGCCACCATGCCTGGCCCTCATTATTGTTTTTAAAATAATGATGACAATAATGGTAAAAATTTGCCATATAATTGTCATTCACATGAAGGAGGGACTTCACTGAATCCTTCCCAGAACTCTTTAAGGAAGTATTATCAACTTCATTTTACAAGAAAAGCTAAGGCTCTGAGAAGTTGTGTTGCTGCCCGTTGTGGACTGAATTTCCTGTCCCTCCCCTCCTCGATTCCTGTGTTGAAGCCCTAACCCCCCATGGGATCGTATTTGGAGACAGGAACTGCAAGGAGGTGATAAAGGTTAAATGAGGTCAGAGGGGTAAGGCTCTGATCTGATAGGACTGATGCCCTTATAAGAAAAGGAAGAGACGCCAGAGCATTTTCTCTCTGTACCATATGAGGACAAAGTGAGAAGGTGAACGTCTACAAGACAGAAAAAGAGCCCTCACCAGGAACTCAATCAGCCAGTGCCTTGATTTTGGACTTCTCAGTTTCTAAAATTATGAGAAAACAGATTTCTGTTATTTAAGCTACCCAGTCTATAATAGTATTTTGTTATGGCAGCCCAAGTGGACTAATACACTCCCCAAGCTGCTCTAACCACGAACAGCTGAAGACAGAATTCACATTCAGGTCACCTGACCCCAAAGCCTGGGCTCTCAACCCAAAGCCTGACTCATCATGAACATTTGGGCTCCTAAGTCCAGGGAGTTCCTCTAATATCACACTATACAGAAAGATCTCATGTAGAAGCAAGTCAAATGAGACCTGATAACGCCCAGGCATGATAATTTTATTCCCTATACCCAAAAAGCAGGAGAGATTCTCTGACCTGCAGCCTCAGTTTGCAAGACTAGGAGAATCCTGGCCACCATGTCTGAGTTGATGGCCTTGTGTGTGGCTGTGAGACATGTGGAGGAGCCCAGGACAAGGCCAGCATCCACAGAGGTGTGTGAGTTTCCTAGGGATACTATTACTGCAAACTGAGTGGCTCACAACAACAGAAATTGATTCTCTCACAGTTCTGGAGATTAGAAGTCTGAAATCTAGGTGTCGGCAGGATTGATCCTTCTGGAGGCACCGAGAGAATCTGTTCCATGCCTCTCTCTTAGATTTTGGTGACCTCTAGCAATCCTTGGTGTTCCTTGGCTTGTAGATGCTCCACTTTAATCTTTGCCTCTGTCATCCCAGGACATTCTCTGGTGTGTCTCTGCATCCAAATTTCTTCTTCTTATAAGGATACCAGTCATTGGGTTAGGACGAGTAGGCCCTCTTCTTGATTACATCTGCAAAGACCCTATTTCTAAATAAGGTCATATTTGCAAATATTGGGGATCAAGACTGCAATATTATCTTCTTGGGAAACACAATTCAACAGAAAACAAGGTTCATAGGGGTGGTTTTAGCATCCACCCTAAGCCATGTGGAGTGACCATGCAACCCATGTAAAACAGCAGCCATGACTGCTATGCAAATGCAGCTTCGAAACAATGCCCCATCTCTTTGCAGTAAGATGACCAACTGAAGTCCTCCTGCATAGAACTTCCAGAGGCTCAGGATTTCACATAGTTTTGGTATGATAAAGGATGAGGTAAGCGAAGGTATAGGAGAGGGACTGAAATTGCAGCCACAGAGGTCCCTTGCTTACATATGCCTTTAAGGAAACCTGCTGTAATTAGGGCGGTTGGCTGATCGTCTCCAGCTGCTGCATGGTCAAATCCACTACAGCGTTTTTATGAGGCCATATTCTCCTGGCCGCACTGAGCCAGTAACTAAGTAGGGTGAGGGTGCCAGTGCCAGCCCATCCTGCCTGATGAAGATTCTTCTAGTAGACAACACGTGCTTGGAGGCTAATCAGGCAGCTTCAGCATCTCCCTCCCACATCCTCTTTCCTTCCCTTTCTCCTTTCCCAGGTGTCAGACCCGCATCGTGGTCTAAAGCCTCTCCCCACCTCCTCCTCTTCCCTTCTCCTTTATCCTTCATAGGCATTTCCCCCAATAAATCTCTTGCATGTCAAATTCCTTCTTGGCATCCACTTCTGAGAGAACCCAGAAGAAGAATTGAGAATAGAGACATACAAATCCAGCCATCTTGGAAGCCCTGATACTCTGAAACTCAAGAACTTCAGCCTTCATGCTTACCATATTCACATGGATAGGCAGATTTCACCCATGTGGAAGGTGTGTCAAAGATGGCCTGGAGGCTAGCTAGCCGAGTAGACATTCTGTAACTATTCTCACCCCATGCCCTGGCTTCTTTCCTCTATAGTGCCTGGAAAGCCAAATATTTATTTTCTAGCCTCTTTGCACTGAAGATTACTTTCTCAATTGAAAAAAGGACAAGATGAAGCTGGCACCACCCTTTCCTCCCTTTGTCCTGCCTTGAATATGAACATCATGCTTAGATCCTGAGTAGCCAATTGAGAACATGAGATAACAATCATGAAGGAAAGATTCAGAGAAACATAGAGGCACCACCCCTGACATCACCAAGCTTCTGAATGAACACAGCAGCTGTTTACCTCTAGACATATTGTTATGTAAGAAAAATAGACCCTTATCTGTGTAAGGTACCATGTGCCACTTGCAGGTAAAAACATGCCTAGATGATACAGAAGGCTTGATTTTGAATACATGCTCTGTGGATTTTGAGCAAAGGTCTCAGGAAATACTAGCAGCATCTTTGGGTGCAGGCAGAACATCATAGGCAGAGGGTCAGAAAGTAGTACCCGCATCCCTCTCTACTTGGCATCCCATGCAGAGGTGGACATGTGCTAGGAGCTTCTGGATTAACTGTGGGGCTGAGAAGTGCCCCTGCTCCCTGTTGCTCTCTGTTTTGTTTTGATGGGGTAGGCATGACAGATATGGGCTTTAGTCTTTTCCCTAGTTTATTTGATTAACAGAAATAGGTTATAACAGTGAGAGTTTGTGGAAGAGAACATCAAACTTTTTTTTAGTGAAATCTTTTTTTAACTTTTAAATTCATGGGCCCATGTGCAGATTTCTTACATAGTTAAACTTGTGTCACTGGGGTTTGTTGTAAAGATTATTTCATCACCCAGGTTTTAAGCCTAGTACCTATTAGTTATTTTTCCTGATCCTCTCCCTCCTCCCACTCTCTGCCCTCTAATAGGCCCCATTGTGTATTGTTCCCCTCTCTGTGTCCATGTATTCTCTTCATTTAGCTCCTACTTAGAAGTGAGAAGATGTGTTATTTGATTTTTTGTTCCTGCATTAGTTTACTAAGGATAATGGCCTTCAGCTCCATCCCAGTCCCTGCAAAGGACATGATCTCATTTTTTTTTATGACTGCATAGTGTCCCATGGTGTATAAGTACCACATTTTCTTTATCCATTATATTACTGATGGACATTTGGGTTGATTCCATGTCTTCGCTATTGTGAACAGTGCTGCAGTGAACATATATATGCACGTGTCTTTATAATAGAACATCTTTATAAAGGATTTATACTTTTGCTTATCCAAGTGACAATGACTAGAACACAGAAGAAAGTGGTCTTGGGAAGACTTCCACAATGGAAGACTTAGGAAAAAATTGCAACCACTCACTCATGTGTTTTTCAGGAGTTAATCTTTTTTATTTTATTAAAAAAAATTCAAGTCCACTTTCAACTTCCCCCAAAAACCCACATCTCCACCAGCTGAAAGTGAATCAACCCCATACTCAGAGCACAATCGGGCGTCATGTTCTTTACTTAATATCCGCAGTAGTAACACTCGAGCACCAAAAAAGCCCAACTAATTATATGTCTGTTTTTTCCGCTGTTATTATTTGCTTGTAACAAAAGGCACCTGCGCTGTTAATTATGCCCTTTTCATAAACTTCTTCTCCAACCAACCAACCAAAAATGAGTTTTGGGGTAAAGGGTTGTGAGTTAGAAAGGGAGGTCTTTACATCAGATCTTTACATTTTTCCTTGAGTCTATACAATGACATTCTCATTCATATGAGGCCTCCATAACCCTCACTCTGGCCATCAGGGAAGACGATTCACTGAAATTTTAAGAAAAGAGATAAAAATGATAAAATAGAAAATCTCGGAGAAGGGGAATCTAGAGGGAAGTGAGCCAAACCTCCCTTCTTTAAAAGTCATAGCCTCATTTTGAGGATGAGATTTCCTGGAGAAAAGTACACATCACAGCTATATCACGTACATATTGTAAAATATTCTCTGACAGTTTTTTTGCTATTTATATCCAGAGGCATAACATACAGGAAAGGGCACACATCTGAAGCATACACCTTGGTTACTTCTTTTTCTTTTGAACATTTTTTATTGTGGTAATAGATATGCAACCTAAAATTTGCCATTTGAACGTGTGTGTGTGTGTGTGTGCGCGCGCGTGTGTGTGTGTGTCAGGGTCTGACTCTGTCGACCAGGCTGGAGTGCAGCAGTGCAATCTCGGCTCACTGCAACCTCTGCCTCTCAGGCTCAGGTGATCCTTCCACCATAGCCTCCCAAGCAGCTGGGACCACAGGCACATGTCACCACACCTGGGTAATTTTTATATCTTTTGTAGAGACGAGGTTTCGCCATGTTGCCCAGGCTAGTCTCAAACTCCTGAGCTCAAGCGATCCACCTGCTTCAGCCTCCCAAAGTGCTGGGATTAGAGGCATGAGCCACTGCCCCCGGCCCATTTGAACCATTTTAGACTATAACATTCAGTGGCATGAACTGCAGTCACAGTTTTGTACAACTATTACCACTACTACTTCCAAATTTTTTTATCATCCCACACAGAGACTCTGCAACAATTACAGCTTGACTGATTTTTACACATATTTACAATGTGTAGCCAAACCCCAGATCGAGATATAGAACATTTCTAGCTTGCTCTCTTATACTCCTTTCCAGTTAATAACCTCCCAGAGGCAACCACTGTTCTGACTTCTAGCACCACATGTTAGTTTTGCCTAAACATCCACATACATGGAAGCAAACAAGATGTACTCTTTGTGTCTGGTTTCTTTTACTCAACAATGCCTGTGAGATTCACCCATATGGTTGCATATATCCAATTTGTTCTTTCTTTACTGCTACATCATATACTATCATATGAACATATCACAGGTCTTTCAGTGAGCAGGAGGAGCACTTCTTTCTCTTGGCCACTGTGCTAGTTTCTAGGGCTACCGTGACAAAGAACCACAGATTGGGTGCCTGAAACAACAGAAATTTGTTTTCTTAGTTGCGGAGGCTAGAAGTCCAAGATCAAGGTGTTGGTAGCTTTGGTTTCTTCTGAGGTCTCTCTCTTTAGCTTATAAATGGCCCTGTGCCTTCACATAAATTTTTTCCCCTCTGTAGATGTCTGTGTCCTGATTTCCTCTTCTTATAGGTACACCAGTCATATGGGGATTAGGGCTTACTCCAGTAACCTCATTAATCTTTGATCACCTCTTTAAAGACCCTACTGAGAGGACTTCAACATACAAATTTTGGGTGGGACACAATTCAGTACAAAACAGCCATGTACGTAGGAGTGACATTCCTCAGTCATAGGATGGGCAGGTGTTTAGTGTTAATGATTATATTGCTGGTTTTCCAAAGTGATGTACCGAGTGAAAGTCCTACCAGCACTGCAAGAGTTCCTGTTCCTCCACATCTTTGACAACACTTGATGTTGTCAGTTTTATTTTCATTTTAGTCATTCCGGTGAGTGACTGGCAGTATTTATTGGTATTTTCCCAGGCACTTCTTGAAAAACAGCTCAGTGTCTGATTCGACATTTGCCCTCTAGCCCATATGTTGTCACAACATATTTTGTGGTCATACCTGGGAAGTTGTTTAGCTCACAAAGGTTCCTGTGGTATGTTTGTTTCCACAAGTCTGGGAAGTGGTCTTTACCCCTATGTGGATAGAGAAAGTGTGGGTAATCCACAGTTACATATTTATTTGTATATGAAATTTCTCAAATACTCTTCTATTAGTGTGTACTACTTTTCTAAAACAAACAAACAAAGACTCATTTAAGAAAGGAGGTTGGGCATGGTGGCTCACATCTGTAATCCCAGCACTTTGGGATGCCAAGGCAGACAGATTACCTGAGGTCAGGAATTTGAGACCAGTGTAGCCAACATGGCGAAACCTCATCTCTACTAAAAATACAAAAATTAGCCAGGCATGGTGGTGCGCGCCTGTATTCCCAGCTACTCCGGAGACTGAGGCAGGAGAATTGCTTGAAACCAGGAGGCCGAGGTTGCAGTGAGCTGAGATCATGCCACTGCACTCCAGGCTGGGCAGCAGAGTGAGACTTTGTCTCAAAAAAAAAAAAAAAATTCATTGTGGGAGCGCTAGAGAGATGATTCTGGGGTGCAATTGTAAGTGTGCTTTTTGATTGGTTTCCATTTTCAAAGAGCTCACTCATCAGCAAGCAGTGGGAACACCCACTTGCTCTTGGGAAGGCTTCTAAAGAAGATGGAAGGCTGGTCCTGATTACAATACAAATGTGTACAAATATGTGCTTGCCTGTTTGTGTAAATACATACATGTCATTATTTTTTTAAAGACCTGCACCAGGTGCTGTGCTAAGGGTGCTTAGCAATCTCTATAGCATCTTTATTAGATTTATAGTGACATAATAACAACAACACTGATAACAATAATAATGATGATGATGATGATTTTTTGATGTTCAGAGAGGCTCAATGACTCACCCAAGGCCACATAAATAGCTTGTAAATGGCAGACCTAGGACTCTGAACTCTGTTCTACCTGACTCTTTTTTTTGAGATGGAGTCTAACTCTGTTGCCCTGGCTGGAGTGCAGTGGCACAATCTCAGCTCCCTGCAACCTCTGCCTCCCAGGTTCAAGTAATTCTCCTGCCTCAGCCACCCGAGTAGCTGGGTTTACAGGCACATTCCACCACGCCCAGCTGATTTTTGTATTTTTAGTAGAAACAGGGTTTTGCCAGGTTGGCCAGGCTGGTCTCGAACTCCTGACCTCAAGTGATCTGACTGCCTCAGCCTCCCAAAGTGCTGGGAGTACAGGCATAAGCCACCACACCCTGTCCACCGGACTCTCATCTGTTGACATTTTGCTGCTTTTGTTCTGAGTTTGGGTCTTTCACAAACCTTACCTGCAGGATTTCTAAAGCTCATGATGCTGCAAGGTGGGCGATATTTAGACCCGCTTTATAGATGAAGAAACAAAGGCATTTGGCCAAAGTCACATGGTTTGTTGACAGAGCCAGTACTGAAACCCATTTGGTATGATTCCCAGCTCCATGATTACTATCATTATTCTTATTATTTCAAATCTGTATCAAGCTCTGGTAAGATGGAAACTGGGTTTGTACTACCCTTGAGTGACAGGTTCGTCCACCAGAAAGTTCTGCCTTGCATTGAGCTGAAATTGGCATCCTTGCAACTTCACCCAATTGCTTCCAGTTTGCAGCCCAGCATTTAGCACTTAATTACATCTTGTCTTCTCTTATGCACTAATTGTGTCTTGTGGTTCCTCCCTTCTCCCTGGCTTACTTGCCAACTCCTCGAGGGCAGAGACCAAGTCTTGTAGGCTGAACACCTTTCAGAGAGGCAGAGTAAGAGCTTATTAAATAAATACATGTTGATTGAAAGTCCCACCAGTGTTTCCCCCTGGGGCCTCATCCCAGGTGTGTAGAACACAGTGTAGGAAGGTCACAAGGGATTTGCAATTTAAATATGCATACAGTTTGCATATAATTTGCATACCCTCTTAACAAACTGTGCAGTCAACACTCAGCAACTTTAAATTTTAAATGATATCGCTCCTTGAAGGCTGTCATTTCTTCATCTCTTCTTTCTTTCCTTCTTCAATATTGTGCATGTCAAATCAGGAACTAGGGCATTTGCACCTTAACTAGAAAATGAGTAGAGCCTAGCTTGTGGCAAAAGAAGGTCAGGGTGAGGCTGCCTGGTTAAAATTTTATTTGCCCTTTCAAGGGTAATTATTGCCTGTGTTTGCCAGTGTTCTCAGACACAATTACTAAGTCCTGCGTTACTTAGTTCATGCCACCAACTGTGTCCTTTACGTATTTTAGCTAGAAATTACTCAGCATTCTTTCAGTTGCAAGTGATAGAAACCTCACTCAAAGCAGTGTAAGCGAAGAGAGAGAACTTGAATTCACTGGCTTCTGTAACCGAACAGTCTGAGATCTGGACTCGAAATACAGTGACATATTAATAACAATGACACTAATTGTTGTTGGCTGGATCTAGAGATTGAAATGTCATCAAGAGTTAATATGACTGACTCTTCTCTTTTTCCTACTCTGCTTACAGTCCCAGTAGAAAGAGCCTTCCTGGCCCAATAGATGAAGTAAAAATCCCAAGACTGTGTCTCATTGGTCTGATATGGGTCACATGGCTATCCCTAAAACAATCACTGTGGTTGGAAGAAAAATATGCTGATTAGCTAGTTCTTGGATGAGCCTCACCAAGTCACGTGGTCCCAGAGAGAGGAGATGGAGTTTCCTAAAGAGACGTCAGGTTGGGGGGCGGTGAAGGGAGAGAGTTTGGGGATCCTGTCATTAGAGAATGGGCAGACACAAACCACAGATGTCCATCACCAGCCCTGTACCTGTATAGTAAGTCAGTCCATCTTCCTAGCCTGGGGTTCCTTGAAGGCAAAGAGTTAGGTGACTCCTCATGGAATGGAACGTCTAAAGGAAACTGCCAAGGTACAAGGCATTTCCCAGCTGTTCCCTGAGTGCCAAGTGTTGAAATGACAGTGTTGAGCAAATGCAGACACAGTCTCTGCCCACCACAAGACTTACATATTTTTGGTGGGCAGACTACACACAATAGACTGTGATAGAGAATGATGCCCATTATACAGAAGTATGAACAAAGATTTCTGCTCTCAGCCTAGAACACTCGAGACAACAGAAGGGTGATAACAGGCTGGATGTGATGGCTCACACCTGTAATCCTAGCATTTTAGGAGGCCAAGGTGGGAGGATCACTTGAGCTCAGCAGTTCAAGACCAGCCTGGTTAACATAGTGAGATCTTATCTCTACTAAAAGTAAAAAAAAAAAAAAAAAAAAAAAAAGCCAAGTTTGGTGGTGTGAACCTGTAGTCCCAGCTACTCGGGAAGCTGAGGCAGGAGGATCACTTGAGCCCAGGAGGTTGAGGCTGCAGTGAGCTGTGATCACGCCACTGCACTCCAGCCTGGGCAACAGAGTAAGAACCTGTCTCAAAAAGAAAAATAAGGAAGGATGATAATAACAGCTTACATCCTCTTATACACATTCACAGCAACTTCTAGGATAATAGATGTGATGTTGCCCCAATTTAATGGGTAAGGGAGTGGAGGCTTTGAAAGGGAAACACCCCACCTGCCAGTCAGCCGTGCACTTTCATATAATAAACCTTTCACTAATCTTTCCAATAGCCCTGAGATGTGCAAAAGTAATTGCGGTTTTGCCATTAAAGTAATTGCAAAGACTGCAATTACTTTTGCACCAACCTAATACTTATCTTCTTTTGTAGATGAGCATCTCAGCATCTCAGAGGTGAAGAAACTGGCCTAGCCACCACGTGGTGGCACTTGCAGCCTGAGTCAGCAGATCCCCAGGTAAATGACCGAATGTCATACAAAACCTGAGGCTGGGACAGGACTCCCTGCTTGAGCTCATGGCTCCAAGCCCAGTGCCTGTTCCTCAGCCCCACTGATGCCACCCTCTGCCCTCAAGCCATGCGCCCATGAAGGCGTCACTCTGATGGGTCATTAGGCGGTGACTCTTGCAACTGGGCAAATAGGTGTGAGCAGCCCAGGCCCAGAAAGAAGAACAAGGTGCCCTTGCTGTTCTCCTTGCCAGAGCTTTGAGGCCCTGCCCCAGAAATGTCAACCTCCTGTTCCGAGAGGTATTTCTGTCCTCTCCATCACTCATCACTAACCCCGTTCCAGACGCTGGGTGGTGATGGTGGCAGTGGTATGCAGCCAGCCCTACTGGGGCTTGGCTGGGTGTGGGTGGCAGCCGAGATCTGGCCTATTTTGCTCACAGGATGAGCAAAGACCTGCTCGCTATTCTGCAGGTAACATCCTGGCCATTCTCATAAAAGTAAAGGATTCTCTTGTGGTTCCAACTGTACAAAATGTCAGACCCAGAGAGTAAGCATGGTGCCCAGTGCCTGATGGATGTCCAGCAACTGTTTCTTAAATTTATTAAATAACTCAAAGGCCAAATCTGATCAGCTGAGGTTTCTTCAATGCCACAGGAAGTTTTGGGGACACAGCTCTCCCTGTTGCCCTCATGATAAAGGGTAATGAATAATTGAATCCCAGCATCCAAACCCATGGTGAATTTCTTCTCTGTCATTGACAGCAAAACTATAATAGCACTTACTTTTTTTAGTGCTTTTGTTGCCCATATTACTCTGGCCTTACTCTGACACTTACATATATTGTTGATAAACTTTATGACAGTCCTCAAAGGTAGATGCCCTCATCTCCATTTCATAGTTAAAAAAACTGAGGCTCAGAAAAGAAGATACACATGACCAAGGTCACACAGCTATTATGTGCCACAGTCAGAATTCAAACTCTGTCTGACTTTTATTCACTTATTCAAAAATATTTAATTGAGTGCCTACTGCATGCATTCACTATATTGGGCTCTGGGGATACAGCAGTGAACAAAATAGAAAAATTCCTGTTCTCCTGAAGCGTCACAGTCTAGAAGGGGTGAACCACAACATGCAAATAAATATATACATATATAGTATGTCAGATGGTGGTAGGTGCTTTAAAAAATTAAGCAGACTTGAGGAGCCTAGTGGGGGCCAATTTGATTTGTGGTGATTGGAGAAGACCTCTCTTATGACGTGACATTTGAGCAGAGACCTGGGGGGAACAAGGGAGTGGCAAGTCATGAAAATATCTGGAGGAACCACATTCCAGGCAGAGGGAACAGCCTAATGTGAAGGCTTTGCCGTGGGACGTCTTCACCAAGGAGGGAAAGTGGCATCAGAGGGGTGAAGAGGGGCCATATCATAGGATGTTTTATAGTTACTACACAGATTTTGGATTATGTATTCAATTCAGAGGGAGATGGGGAGTTGCAGGAGTGTTTTGAGGAGAGTTATGCCTTATCTGACTTACATTTTGTATTACCTAGGTTTTTTGCAGAGAACAAACTGTAGGGGGACAAAGGTAGGACCCAGAGCCCACTTAGGAAGCCACTGCAGTGAACCAGGGAAAGAAGGTGGAGTCTTCGTCTAGAGTAGAAGACGTAGATTGATTTTGAATGCATTTTGAGGGAAGTGGTGTGGGACTTGCTGATGGCTTAGATGTGTGTGGTGAGTGGGGGGCAGAACAAAAATGACTTCAACATTTTTTTTTTTTTGTCTGCACAACCAGAAGATGCCATTTACTAAGATGGGGAGATATTGGTCAAAGCTGATTTGAGCAGAGTGGGGTCAAGGGTTTGGTTTTGTACCTGTTATGTTCAAGATACTTATTGGATACTCAAGGGGAGATATTAAGAGACAGTTGTATATGGAAAGGATGGAGCTGGAGATGAAAATAAGGGATTTGTTGCCACAGAGGCAGTATTAAATGTTACGGGATGGTTAAAACCGCTAGGGAGTGCAGCCCTGGAGCACTCCAATATCGGAGGCCAGGAAGATAAGACCCAGCAAAGAACACTGAGAAGGCATAGTTAGTGGGACAGACGATACAAAAATTAGACTGTGGAGGCCAAGGGAAAAAGGTATCTCAAGAAGACAGGAGCAATTAATTGCATCAAATGCTGCTGCTTGGTTGAGTTAGATGAGGACTGAGGATTCATCATTTGTTGTAGGACATTAGATATCATTGTTGACTTTGACAAAAGTCTCTTTCTGGGGTAGAAATCAAGAGAGAGTGGGAAGAACACAAGTGGAGACAATTATTTTTATGTGTGTGCACAATAAAGGAAAGCAAAGAAATGGAACAGTAGCCAAACAGATCAGGGATGATTTTTCTTAAGATGAGAAATATTGCGGCATGTTTGTGTTCTGATAGGAATGATAGAGCAGAGAGGGAAAATTTTATGATACAAGAAAACAGTGGGTTGTTGCAAGAATAGTACCCCTGAACTGGCTAGAGGGGAGGGGCTTCAGTGGACAACTGGAGTGTTTGGCCTTAGAGCCCGCACCTATGCTCTCTCTGCTGTGCCAGGAAGCCTGTCCAGCATGATGCATTCATTCTTCGCCTCTTTCCTCAGAACACTCCTGTTCGCAAGAACAAAGCCTAGGACAGACGCTTGCTATTTCTGCTACCTATAACCATGAAGTAGCGAGAAAAGAGAAATAGGAGGTGACAGAAGACTTTGAGCTGCTGAATTTAGGTGTGGGAACTGTGAGCTTGCAAAATCACCTTGCTGGGGATGTTTTCAAGGTTGGGAGGCAGTTTCAAGAGGAAGTTGACACAAAATTAACACGCACCACTAAAATACAAGTTGGGAAGTGATCTAAGGTGTTTACCAAGGAGGTGGCAGTTGCCATTGTCTCTCCAATTTCCACAGTTGGAATCAATAGGTTCCTTTTAAGGTCATTCATACAACAAATGGAGATCCTGGGAGAGACTTTGGAGACAGAACAAAGACAGGGCTTTTGTCCTCAGGGATCTGGAGGTCCAGGAAGGTTTTTTGTGAACACCGGATGTTCACAGTACAGCATCCCATGTTATGTGTTTGGAGAGAGTTACACGTGTGGACAGACACACAGAGCAGGGTTGGGTAAACCAGGTAAGTTTCGAGGAGGCAAGGCTTGGGCTTGTCTTCAAGAAGGAGTGGACTCTGTACAAGGAGATGTAAGGAGACGTGTTTCTGAGACAGGGAACAAAACCTCAGTGGTATGAAACACATTCAGGAAACATCAAATACCGAGTTGGCTGGAGTTGGGACTTTATCCAGAGCACTCTGAAGATCCAGTGAAAGATTTCACTAGAGGGACTATTGGGATGGGCATGTTTAGAATTCAGAGCACGAAAGAAATATAAAAGAAGTGGCCAGGTTGAAAGGCATTTCATCAATACATAAACAGGATCATCTATTTATCTTGTACTATAGTTGAATTATATGCACTCTCTAGGGTTTGGGGGGTCTGGAGGCAGGCATGGAAAGAAGATTAAGAGTTTCCTGTTTCATGATTATTTACCAAGCCAGGGTCTTGCGCATAATTATTGAATGACTGTTCCCTAAGATGTAGAGTTGAGAACTAAAGTTTTCTAAGCATACAGCTCTAATTCCAGTGACACCCATTTAAGCACCTACTAATAGCAAAGCTATTACGATAAATAGGTGAGCCTATTTATGTATTGACGGAATGCCTCTCAAAACCAGGCCACTTCTATTTCGTTTGTGCTCTGAATTCTAAACATGCCCACCCTAAATGTGCCCAAAGTTGCTCAGATGTCAGTAACTAGCTAAATAACAGTTTTATTTATTTATCTTTTTATGGAGACACAATTCATGACAGTATTTTATTTTGTTTCTATTTATTTTGCAGTTACTTTCCATTATACTGTAAGTAATATTGGTTTTCCCTTGGTAGTCCTAATGTTTTTAGCACAGCTTTTTAAAAAGTGATTGACTTTAGATAGTTATACTCTTCTAAGAAAGGAATAATATATGTGGCACTTGAATGTGACAAAAATTGTGAGGGCAGCCAATATAAAGAAATGAAGTAGTGATGCATGATGGATAAATCTTAAAAACAGCATGCTACGGGAAGGCCACCACTTACAAAATGCCATTCTTTGAGTCCATTTATATGACATGACCAGAAAAGACAAATCTAAAGAAATAGATTAGTAATTCCCTGGGGCTGGGGATGGGAAAAGGGAGAGAACAAATAGGGCATGAGGGTTTTTTAGGGGTGATGAAAATGTTCTAAAATTAGTTCGGGGTGATGGTTGCACAATTCTGCAAATCTACTAAAAATCACTACATTGTACACTTAAAATGATCTTATGGCATCTACATTGTAGCTCAATAAAGCTGTTTAAAAACTGTGAGGGTGGTCGGTGCTCACACTTATAATCCCTGCATTTTGGGAGGCCAAGGCGGGAGTATTGCTCAAGGTCAGGAGTTTGAGAGCAGCCTGGGCAACATGGCGAAACCTTGTCTCTACAAAAAACACAAAAATTAGCCAGGCATGGTGGTGCATGCCTGTGGTCCCAGCTACTTGGGAGCCTGAGGTGGGAGGATCGCTTGAGCCTGGGAAGTGGAGGGTGCAGTGAGCTGAGACTGCACCACTACACTCCAGCCTGGGTGACAGCATGAGACCCTACCTCAAAAAAGAAAATAAAAACTGTGAGAGTAATGTGTGAATGCCTGAAATTTTGAAACCATCGGGCAGTAACAATAGGATGGGTTTCAATTGTGTTTGTCAGAGCTGGCTCAGGGGCTACTTTGAAGGAAAAGATAGAAGCACACCCAATCAGGGCTAGTTCAAGACCATTCTAATCTGTCCTTAATTGTATATAAAGAGTTCAACTTAGAAACACTGCTAGAGACAAATGAAGCTACCGCCAGAGCAAAAGTAGGTCCACTCTGCCCAGCACCAGCTGATGGCATAAGCATTGTGTAGGGCCACTTAACATCTAGGTGTCATGGTTTATTTATAAAGGTGGCTCATGCCTTATTTATGATATAAAGAAGGTCACCATGTAAACATCTTTGAATAAAACTTCTATGAGCACAAAACAGAACAAGAGGTGTCAGCATACAGAGCCTGGCTTTATTTAGATGGGTGTGCATCTGTCACTTGTCCAGAGTCTTGGGACCTGGGTACAGCGAGCTTGATGAAACCTAACCCGTTTGCAGGTTGAGGCTTGTGTGTCTGTGGCTTCCACAGACGATTTCGGTGGAGGACAAGATTCCTCCTATCCAAGTACTAACCAGGCCCCAAGACAAGATTCCTCCCATCCAAGTACTAATCAGGCCCGACCCTGCTTAGCTTCTGAGATCAGATGAGATCGGGAGCGTTCAAGGTGGTATGGCCATAGACTGGAGGACAAGATTCCTAAGCTAAAAATGCCTGTTAGTGCTATCTAGGGAGGATAGTACCATCACAGAGTTTGGTCTGGTTTTGTATGCTTTGTACAAATTGAAGTAATTACCACTTGTGATTTCCTTTATGCGTAGGCAAATGAAGACTCTGAGATGAAGACAGCTGAGCGCATGATGGGGTAGGTCAGCCTCCCTCATGGAAATTCTGTGTGCCTGAGGCCCACCCTTCCAGTGCAGATGGAGGGATGGGATGGAAATGAATCTAGGGGAACGCATCCCAGCTGTGATCCAGCCACCTCTGCGTTTGAAGGCTGGGGGTTATTCCCTCCTCATGGTTGCCACGTAAGTGTAGCCTTTTAAACTGGTCTGTCTACGTCCACCCCTGATGCCTGTAGGAGAAAATCTCCCGTCAAAGCCACCTCAATCCTTTTTAGAACAAATTCAGTAAAATCACATTCCCACTCAAACTCTCCAGTGGCTTCCCATCTTATTAACAACAAAGCCCAGGCAGGGCGCAGTGGTTCACACCTGTAATCGCAGCACTTTGAGGGCCGAGGTGGGTGGGTCATCTGAGGTCAGGAGTTCGAGACCAGCCTGGCCAACATGGCGGAACCCTGTCTCTACTAAAAATACAAAAATTTGCCAGGTGTGGTGGCAGGCACCTGTAATCCCACCTACTTGGGAGGCTGAAACATGAGAATCACTTGAACCTGGGAGGTGGAGGGTTGCAGTGAGCAGAGATCACGCCATTGCACTCCGGCCTGGGTGACAGAGCGAGACTCCATCTCAAAAACAAAACAAAACAAAAAGCCCAAAGAATAAAAACCTGACAGCCAAGTTCAGCTGATCTCAGTCTGTGCTGTCCATATGCAGTTACTGAGTCCTTAAAACATGGCTACCTGGAACTCAGATACACTGTGGGTGCGAAACCCACCATTGTGGACATTCTTGTGCTTGCAATATTTGAAGGGAATATGAAAAAGTAATGAGAACTAGTTCATTAATACTTTTTCATATTATCACTGTTAAAATAGTAATATTTTGATTCTATTGGCTTACTAAAATAAATTTTGCCTGATTTTTAAAAATGTGGCTAAGAAGAGAAAAAATTTAAGTTACACTGGGGACCACACTCTGTTGCTATGAGGCAGCACTCCACTCATCCCCGCTTATTTCCTACACTGGCTTTCTTATTTCTCCTTGAACAAGGCAATCATGCCCTGGGTTCATGCACTTAGCATACCATGTGGCTTTTTCCTTTGTCTCCCCTAGACCTCTGTTCAAATGTAACTTTATCAGAGAGGCTTTCCCTGAGCAGATTCTAAAGATGCACCCTAATCCCCCCTAATCACCTTCTCTTGCTTTATTTCTGTTCATAGGACTCACCACCACTGATGTTATACTACCCGTTGGCTTTGTCTGTTTATTGTTGTCTCTTTTACCAGAATGTAAACTTCAAAGGGTGGGGGCTTTGTTTTATTCATCATCTGCTCTCCCAGTGCCTAGAATGGCGCCTGGCATCAAGTAGGAAAAGTCCCTGCTTGCATAAAGCTCTGTCTCATGAGGGAGACTGAGGGGGAAGCAGATTTCTTCACTGCATTATAATAGGTGCTCTTATGGGGAGTATGGCCTGCTAGGGACGCAGAGAAAGAAGGTGATGCTGTTCTTGGTGATTTTCCTTCCATCCATTCACCCTATTCTTTACTAACATAATCCCAATGTTATTCAGGTATCCACACCTTCCCTTAGCCAAGTTCCTCACAGGAAGACGACGTCCCCATCCCCACGTGGGCCTCATTCTCTTAGCCAGTGATTGGTTTAGAAAGTGGTCATGTGACCCAACTCTGGCCAATGAGATTATGAGGGCTTACCGGGGGGAGATTCTGGGAAAAATATGTGCTTTCCTGTAAGAAGAGACATTCTCTCTTTTTCTTCTAGGCATTCTTATGTTTGCATGTCATGCTTGGAACTGCCGCAGCCACTTTGTGACAGCCTGAGAATGAATCCAGCGCTAAAATCAGTCTAGCAAAAGGAGGAGAAACACCTGGGTCTCCATGATGTCACTGAGCAAGTGAATTGACCAGCTGTGAGGTCTGTACTATTTTTTAGGAATCTTCATGGGAGATAATACATATCTTTATTTTTAAGTAATATAGAGTTAGGGCTTTGGTGATTTTCAAATTAAAGTTTCCTGGACTTCCTATCTGACCTAACCTTATGAAGTGTCAAGGGTAGCATCTGTCTTAAATCAGATTCTCCAGGACATAGGCTCTGAGATGGAGATTTTCATGCAAGACGTTCCTCAGGGAGTAGCCTTGAGATCAACACTTGCTGGGGAGTGAAGGAAATGGGATCCAGCAAGAGAGAAGCTGAATGTGATGCAGCTGCAACGAAGGCCTCCACTCATACAGCAGCAAGCTCTGAAGCTGGGATGGCCCCAAGTCTTGTACTTTCTTGAGACAGCCACATGGGAGAGTCATGGGATGTGGCTTGTCCCCAGGTAGGTAGAGTGACTTTGGGAGGGGCAGTTCTTTTTGACTGAA
Source organism: Homo sapiens (assembly GCF_000001405.40). Taxonomy (NCBI): domain Eukaryota; kingdom Metazoa; phylum Chordata; class Mammalia; order Primates; family Hominidae; genus Homo; species Homo sapiens. The sequence goes on from NC_000016.10 coordinate 9,567,043, forward strand.
GGCGTTTTCTGGAGAGAGACGCTTAGGTGGGAGCTGTTAGCCACACACTTCCCAGTAGTTGGAGGTGAGTATGGGTGGTCACCTCAGCAGTAACTACAGCCTTATGAAGCAGGTGATAGCTAAGCTATGATTTAAAAAGATAAGGGGAGGATTGGGAAAACGGAGACCATTTCAAGGATAGGAAATAGTACTTGACAAACCTAAAATTAACAAAGAGCGTGAACTCAGAACTGAGAGGTGACAGAAAAATGGCGATCCTTTTTCTCCCCACCCTAAGTCAGTTTCAGTTGGGTTTTCTTTCACTTGCACCCAACAGGTCCTGATTGGTACACACAGGTTCTAGACGGCAGAGCCAAGATTTGAAGTCTGTTCTCTGTAACTCAAGAGTCCATGACCTTAATCGACATGCCATATTGTCTCTTGAGCTAAACAATATAACCCTGTATCTGAGTCACTTAAAGTGTTCTAGGCAAGATCTTCAGATGACTACACATTTGAAAATGAGGTTGTGTGAGTCAAAAGAGTTGAATCCCATATATTTTTGTCCCCATATGTTTGCAAAGAGACTTTCATTTTACCTCTTCTAAATTCAATTTCTGTTTATGAACCTTCCTTTGTCTCTCCCCTATGTGATGGGAGCCACAGGAAGGAGGAAAGGCGGGGCCATGGAAACAGAAATAACAGGCACTCAGTCATAGCAGGAGTCCCATAAACTAAGTCCTAAAGATCGAAAGAGATTATTTCATTCACTGTAAATCAGTCACTGGCAGGCAGGGCTTTTGTCACCGCGGAAGGCCAAATGTGCTTCTGAAGTGAGTTCATCACATAAAAGTAGCATCTGGAGAGCCATTGACATAATGTTGAGAGAAGCAAACAGCCTGGCTCCTGGGGCCCTGCCCCTGCAGCGAGTGTGTCACCAAGAGCTGCAGCATTTCCTGTAGGCTCATGAGCTGAGCGCCTCTCAAAGCAGCCATGCTCCCAGGTCAAAACAAATCAAGTTTTAACCGGGGAAAGAAAAAGCTGCCATCTTCAAGGTATGCCATGCTCTGATATTTCCCCACCCCTGGGCTTTTGCACATGCTATGTTATCCACTTAGGCTGCTTTTCCTTCTTTTATGCCTGGAAAACTCCTGGTCATCCTTTAAGACCCAGCTCAAATATCACGTGCTTGTGAAGCATTCCCCATGCCTTGCAAGGATAATGCAGCCGTCCCCTCCTCAGGGCCTACTCAGCAATTTGCACGGACCCTTCCTACATCATGTTTCTGTCGTAGGTAAGACAATGTATTGTAGTTCTTAGTGTTAGCATCAGATTCCCCTTTAGACTAAGGTTCTCCTTTAGGGGAGGAACATGGGCCATTTCTATCTACAGTCTCCTGGTGTCAGACATGTGATATGTACTCAGTAAGGGTTTGAAGGGTGAATACATGATTGCATGAGTGCATGACAGAGAGAATGAGTGTGAGTGTGGATAAGTGAGTGTGTGTTACCTGAATGGTGAGTGAATGAGACAGTGAGTGAATGATGTGTGTGTAAATGAGAGTGAATGTGGGTCATTAGAAAGACAAATGATGACTGAGTAAATGAAAAGCAAGTCTAGAAGTGACATGAGACTTTGGAAGTCTGTCTTTTGAACTTTGAAGGGTTTAATTCCTTTGCAACCAAACTTGGGCATCTCCTGTACCCACCATTCACTGCGTTGCTTAGCATAAGAAAGACAAAACTGATTACTTTCTCTAAGGGCTGGACAAGTTTGTTTCCAGGGGTAAAGCAGTAGGCAGGAGGTGCTGTAGCTGGAGAAAACCAAGAGGCTTGCGGATTTTGAGATAATAAAAATCCTGAAAATGCTCCTGAAGTCCTCAAAGTGATGGAAGATACACCATTACTCCTGGACTCGTTAATTCTTAAGCTTTTTTAAAAAATTTTTTTCTTTGTTTTTGGTTGTGGTGATGGGGGCGGAAGGGGTGGAATCTTTTACAATAGGATAAACACTATGGGCCTTCTCTCCAGAAAATATGTACAATCACACACAAACATGCACACATACATGCACAGTTGTGTGTGTAATTTTAGGGATTAATGGAATCTCTTGAATCCAACTACAAGATATGCAGACCCCAGGTTTCGAACCCTTTGAGATTTCACGTGTCTATTTTAGCTTACCACCATATTCACAGGATGCATCAGAGAGCTTAACATATAATATTAGGACTTCACACATTTCTGTTGAATTGAGTTGAATTTTTGTTGAACTAGTTTCAATTGAAATTGCCCAACTTGAGAAATAGGGGCATGGACCCGCTGACTTTCTCAAAATCTCATGTATCTTGGGAATGTTCAACTATACACAAGGTGGCTCCAGATATTGATTCTATAAGGATAAAATGATTTTTCCAGCACTTTCCATCTTCAGCCCTCACCAGGACGTGTGAGTCTTTCCTTCCATAAAGGATCATGGTGGAAAATATGAGAGTGTGAAGTATGGTTCACATCTGGATAAGCAAACAGAGCTCTGTGTTGAAACAGCTTAATTAATGGTGATGCCAAGCCCTTGGCCTTGTTTCCTCAGTGCCATATGCGGTGCAAATAACGCCCAGGTCTCCGCTCTGAGTGGGACACGTGAAACTCCGGTCTAGAAAGGGCAGCCTAGATTGGTGAAAAAAATTAACAGCTGAAGTGGAACAGAATTAAAATTTATCTTGAACCTGGCGTTTAATGAAGGGTGTTTAATTTCATTAATAGAGCTTAGAGAATCTCTCCTGTTGAGAAGGACTTATATAAGGGGCAAAATGAATAACTGTCCAACCACTATGGAGGCAGAATGGTAAAAATTGAAAATGTCAGTAATTGGAGGTTTGGCCAGGGTGTGAGAAAATCGGTGTTTTTATATACTGCTGGAAGGAGGGTGAAATGTGTAAATATTTTGGAGAGCTATTTGGTAATAATGATTAAAACAAACAGAAAAAGCATATAGTCTTTGACCCAAGTGTTCCAGTATTGAGATGTTTTCCTACAAATGTTCTCATTCCTATGCACAATGAAGATGTTCATTGTTTATAATAGGGTGGACTGGAGACAATCTAAGTGTCCAAGAATCCAAGAATAGGGAATTGGCTAATTAATTAATCCATTCGCTCAATGGTACCCATTTTGGCATTTGGGAAGGAGAAAATAGCTTAATATGCCCTGATAAGGAGTCATAGCCATGATATATGTTTTCAGTGGAAAAAAAAGCATGGGGCTTAAAGAATATTTCTAATGATAAGAACAGGGATGTGGAAATGCTTGGAATATCTGTGGAAGGCTGGGCATATGCACACACACATACTTTATAATAATAGATACTTCTAAAGAGAAGTTGGGGACGGTATCAGGGATGGGATTAATAATTTTAGTTAAATATACTTTGTACTGTTTGGATTTTTACTATATGCAGATGTTAATTTTTTAAATTAAAAATTTTTTTAAATAGAAGAAATCCATTTTAAAAACAAGTAATCATTTCTTAGGTTTATTTGTTCATTTATTCACTTAAATACTTACTGAGCACATGCAAAGAGCTGACATTTGATGACCCAGTCTTCAAAAATGTGACCTGCTATTTGTGCGTTGAGGGTATTGAACAAAGTGATATGCCTCTTACAGTGCTTCCCAACCATAACCTCATGGCAAGTTTGTTTCGGGAAGGAGGGAGAAAGAGAAAGGGTGAAATTCTTTGAGCCTCTGACGTTTTCCAGCCACTGTGCTGGGCACTGTCTATATGCTTATCTAATCTGGTCTTCTCTTTGCTGAATTCCTAGCACCTAGATCAGGGTTTGCATCTGATGAGCAAATGGATGATTGAATTAATAAATAAATAAAGGAATGAATTGTGGTGCCTGGGCCCTCTGTCAAGAGGGAGCAAGTGGCCTGAGGAAGGGCAGACTCTCAGCTGAGCCCAAGACCCAGGCTCCCTGCTGGGTGCTGCTGAGAGGAGGACTTACACACTGAGCTTTCCTGGTGCTCCCCCTGGGGAAGAGTGTGTGCGTAATAACCACTCAGCGTTTTTGCCCAGGAAGCAGCAGACAAGCCAGGAGGCTTGTTTAATATTTTAATAGTATGCATTTTTAAAATATATCATCTGGGTACACTAGTCAGTTTCTCTTCACTTCTATTATATTTTTTGATACCTGAGGGTTTTGTCTGCTTTCTGGAACAGTTGCCTCTGTGAGAAAAAGTCTCACTTGTTCCAACAAATATTTACTAAAAACTTTAAGAATATATTTGAGAGATCACTACTGACCCTTTCCTTCTTTGAGGAACAACTTCCCCCCAACTAAGGATCTCGGTGTTCATGCCGTGTAACATGTTTGTTTCTTATAGACACAGTGGACCATGTAAGACATTGGGTTCTCTTTTTGCATCTGCCACTAGGAAGCTCAGAACCCAACTGTGCCATCTATTTCTAGCATAGTTTCCATTTTGTCTATGAAAGTGGTGCTTACCTGTTCTACACTATTCTATATGGCGTTTTTCTTAAATGTATTTTATCTTGTATTATATGACCCCTATAAAGACTTTGGAACAAGGTAAGCGTATTAGTTTCCAAGGAGTTCTATAACAAGTTACCACTAACTAGGTAGCTTAAAATAACAGAAATTTATTCCTTCACAATTCTGGAGGACAGAAGTCTAAAATCAAGGTGTTGGAAGGGTTGGTTATTTCTGGAGGTTCTGAGAGAGAATTCATGTCTCATTCCTGGCTTCTGGTGGCTGTCAGCAATCCTTGGCATTCCTCAGCTTGTAGCTGCATCGCTACAGTCTCTGCATCACTCTAGTCTCTGCCTCTGTCTTCATATAGCCTTCTACTCTGTGTGTCCTCATCATTTTTATCTCTTATAAAGACACCCATCATTGGATTTGGGGCCCACCCTAATCCAGGGAAATCTCATATCAAGAGCCTTAACTTAATTATACCTGCAAAGGTCCTCATTCCAAATAACCTCATATTCTGAAGTTCGGACAGGGTGTGTCTTTTTTTTTTTTAGGGGGGTTGCACTATTTAACCCACTATAGAAGTAAATATGTAAGTACAGAAGTCAATTTAAAAAATAATAAAAGAGGCTGGGCATGGTGGCTCATGCCTGTAATCTCAGCACTCTGGGAGGCCAAGGTGGGTGAATCACCTGAGGTCAGGAGTTCGAGACCAGCCTGGCCAACATGGCAAAACCCTTTCTCTACTAAAAATGCAAAAATTAGCTGGGTGTGGTGGTGGATGCCTGTAATCCCAGCTACTCTGGAGGCTGAGGCAGGAGAATCGCTTGAACCCTGGAGGCGGAGGTGGCAGTGAGCCAAGATCGCGCCACTGCACTCCAGCCTCGGCGACAGAGTAAGACTTTGTCTCCAAAAATAAAGTAAAAAATAAAAATAAAAATAATGAAAGTGATGTGTACCAGGCATGGGGAAACTAAGGTAGACCTCATGAGAGCACAGCCCCAAAGGAATTCACAATCACATGCAGGAGTCCTGGCCAGCAGAATCCACTCTACGTTGTTAGCAAGAACATATCGTCACGTGGAGCTTTACTATTCTGCAACCCTTCTATTTGAAAAGATGCTGTATTGAGAGTGCCAGGACTGAAAGGACTCATCATGATTCAAAATTTCTCATGTTATAGCTGTAGATTAGAGCTCAGAGAAGACAAGCAAGGCTGCACAGCAAAGTTGCAGAATGTAGGTTTTCAGATCTGAGCCTGGGACTCTTCCTCCTGTTCTTTCTCATCAGTAAAGAGGATAGAGACTCGGTTCACCAACCAATTAAAATGAAAGTCATCATTCCAAAGGCGGGGGTAAGAGACACTGCAAATTAAAAGAGCTTTACATGAGAAGGAGGCAGAGGGCATGGGCTTAATGACCACAAATAAAAAGAAACAGCCGAGAAATGGGGCTGTCAGTTTCTGCTTTAGCTATCAGGATGCAGCCAAAAATGAAGATATGAACAGACTAAGCCCTTATCCCAAAGGGGAGAGGAGCAATGTCCATGTGGGTATCCCAGGATGCTCCATGCACGATCTCATTTAATCCTTCCTCTTAACATTTCTGGCAGGTACTTCTGTGATTCCTCCATCTCACAGGTGAGAAAACTGTAGCTTGGAATGGCTAAGTCATTTGGGTGAAGTTACATGGCCTATTAGATATGTGACCAAGGTTTGGCTCTGGTTCTTGGCTTACCTCTGGCCCTGCCTGGATTTTTAGCCCTGGATAATGCATTCTCCTAGTCTGGCCCTCAGTTTTCCCATCTGCAAATGCAAAGTGTGGATGGAATGACTCAGAATCTTCTGCTTCTGAAGTTTACTGGTTTTCACAATGTGGGAAGTGTAGCTGACTGTTATAGACTGAATTCTGTCACCCAAAATTCATGTGGAACATAATCCCCTATGAACTGTATTTGGAGATAGGGCCTTTAGGGAGATAATTAAGGTTAAAGGAGATTATAAGGGTGGGAAATACAGTTGACTGTTACGGACTGAATTCTGTTCCCTCCAAATTCATGTTGAACGTAATCCCTTATGGACTGTATTTGGAGATAGGGCCTTTAAGGAGATAACTAAGGTTAAAGGAGGTTATAATGGTGGGGTCCTAATCCACAGGACTGGTGTCCTTATAATGAAAGGAAGAGACACTGAGTTCTGTCTCCCAGCCTTGTGAGGACACGTTGAGATGACTGCAAGCTGGGAAGAGAGCCTTCACCAGGAGCTGAATTTGCTGGTAGTTTGATCTTGAACCACATTGAGATGACTGCAAGCTGGGAAGAGAGCCTTCACCAGGAGCTGAATTTGCTGGTACTTTGATCTTGAACCTCCAGCCTCCAGAATTGTGACAAAATAAATTTCTGTTGTTGAAGCCACTCAGTCAGATGTTTTGTTATGGCAGCCCAAGCTGAGCAATATACTGACCATCACTTGATTTTATGGATTCATGTATTGGAAGCACTGTCTAAAGGTGGATTGCAGAGGACTATTTGGATCAGATTCTGGATATGGGCCAGGGCAAGGTATTCTGGGTGGCCAAAGGATGGGGGTCATGAGGCCAAATGAGGGGACACAAGGCACAATAGCCATAAATAGCAATGCCCTTGACTTTTTTTTTTTTTTTTTTTTTTTTTTTTTTTGAGACGGAGTCTCGCTCTGTCGCCCAGGCTGGAGTGCAGTGGCTCGATCTCTGCTCACTGCAAGCTCCGCCTCCTGGGTTCACGCCATTCTCCTGCCTTCAGCGTCTCGAGTAGCTGGGACTACAGGCACCCACCACCACGCCCGGCCAATTTTTTGTATTTTTAGTAGAGACGGGGTTTCTCCATGTTAGCCAGGATGGTCTCGATCTCCTGCCCTCGTGATCCGCCTGCCTCAGCCTCCCAAAGTGCTGGGATTACAGACGTGAGCCACCGCGCCCGGCCAGCAATGCCGTTGACATTTTTATCCAAGGGGTTTGCATGCTAGAGGGAGTCCCAGCACAAAAGGTTAAAATCTCCAAGGACTGGGATGGTATCTGTCGTGTTTCTCATTGCCTAGCTCAGAGCCTGCCATGGAGCAGAATTTCAGCAAAATTCATTGACTGACTGGCTGGGCAAGCACTTACTAAACTGGTTTGAACTCTGGTTCTGTGTCTTAGGCAAGAGACTTTTTGATGCAAATGACACATCTATAAAATGGGTATCATGATAGCAGGACTGCTTAAGCCTCACATGTCGACTTTGGTGGCTGAGAGTCTGGGTTCTGAGGTTGGATGGCATGAGTTTAAATTTCACCTCTTGGAGTTCTGAGCCATTAGATTTCAAGCAACGTCCCTGAATTTTTTGTGCCTCAGTTTCCTTATCTTTAAAAAGGAGGTAATAATACCACCGCATGAGGTGCAGGGAGGGTAAAGTGAGATGCGAGTGCAATGTGCTTGGTGGGGGGTCTGGCACATAGTAAATGCTCAGTCAACAGTAAATGCCTTCTTCTCTTTAATATTCCTTCAAAGCTGCAGAGTGTGGCAGTAAGGGGCTTCCCTGCCAGTCCTACATTTAATGGAATCAGAGGGAATATTGCCCTCTTTCAGCCCCTGGATGCCTGCAGACTCAGGATTCCCCACTGCAGCCAGTAACCACGCTGCTGGATTGGGGCTGCTGGGTAACACCTTTTTTTATAAAAACAGAAAAGAAAGGTTTTTCTTAGATGGGCTCACTTGCGAAGAACTCTCAGAAATCCATTAACTCTAGTATTACTAAACATCTGAATGCAATTTGCGGGCTATAATAACATCTCTCAAGTTAGCAAATGTTTATGCCTCTCTATAATTTTCTTTTCCATATGGAAATAGACCTGTCATACTAACGTAGTGGGCCAGCTGCCTCTATAATATCGTTAATAGGCAGGAAGGATTGTAGCTCCTACAGTCTGATGGGCTTGAGATGCATTTCTATTCCAGAGTGGGCTCAAGGACGGATGGAGTTTCAGCTCTGGGGTCTACTTCATATGCGTCGCTTAACAGGTAGAAAATATATGATGTTAGAATAAAGGAATTAGGAGGCACCAGGCCTGCTGTCATCTGTCAGGGAAATGAGTGAGTAGAACAAACATTTTTAGAGTCCCTGCTTTGTGCCAAGCAATAGGCTGGGCTTCAAATATATTTCAGTTGTATTCTAACTTGGGTGTACATGTCAAGGTCCCCCATGGAGATTATCATAAATACAGATTCCTGGGCCTCACCCCATACTTGCTGAATTAGAATCCCTGTGGGTAGTGCCTGAACATCTGAATTTTTAATGCATTTCTTTGACCACCTAGTGGTTTCCATGCATTTCAGGGTATAGGGGGGCTAAATCCTTATAGCACAGAGGAAAATGAAACTATATTTCAGGGAAAATATTCCTTTTACATAACAGATATGGATCATTTAAGCTTCCCCTAAAAGGTTTATTTCCTTTTCAAATAATTGGATAATTTAGATCCTCCACCCAAACCAGCCTCCTAATTGAGTTGTCTGGTACATCAATTCAGCAAATATTTTCCGATATTTTCCGAGTGCCTACTAAGTGCACACGTGTTTGGGAATGAAATATTTGAAAGACAGAGACGCTACACTGTTCCTGTGGAGGTTAGTTTCTAGTGGAAGAGCTGGGCATGAGCACAGGTGACTATAACAGAATATAAATATTACAGCAAATTGGGAAGTGGGAACCCTGAGAAGAGCTACTGACTTACATCAAGAGGGACTGATAGCTCAGCTGAGATGAGAGAAACAGCAGAAGCCAGCCACGGGAAGGAAGCAGAGTGTGTGCTGGGCGGAGAGAACACCACGAGGCTGAGTCCTGGGGCAAGAAGGGGCTTGGAGAGGCAGAAGGACTCCAGAAGTTTCTGCCTGGCTGCAATGTAGAATGAGAGGTAGAAAATGCGGAAAAATGAGATCAGGCTGGAGAGGGCAGTTGTGTGCCATGCTGTGGAGTGGAGACTTTATGCTGAGGGCAGTGGTGAGCCATCGGAGGGGTAATGCAAGGGCATAACACAGTCATATTCACGTTATAAAGATCACTCTGGCTGCTACATAAGATGCAAAGTAGAGGCAGGGAGCGGACCTCAGGGCTGGAAGACCAGTTGGGAGAATGTTGCTGTTGTTCGGGTGAAAGGGGATGGTCGTTTGGACCAAGAGATTGGTAGTAGAGTTGGGGTCCAGTTGACAGGCTCAAGACTCTGTCCAATGAGTGATTGGATACCAGACAACCTAGAGAGTTATTAGGGTGCAGAATAAACAATTCGTCCCGAAGTCCAGCCCCAAGGAAATTACTATTACTACTACTTATTTGAGTTATTTATTTATTTATAGTTTACTTTATGTTCTGGGATACATGTGCAGAACGTGCAGGTTTGTTACATACGTATACGTGTGCCATGGTGGTTTGCTGCACCTATCAACCCATCATGTAGGTTTTAAGGCCCGCATGCATTAGCTTTTGTCCTAATGCTCTCCCTCCCCTTGCCCCCCACCTCCTGACAGGCCCCCTTGCCGCCCACCTCCGGACAGGCCCCAGTGTGTGATGTTCCCCTCTCTGCATCTGTGTGTTCTCATTGTTCAACTCCCACTTATGAGTGAGAACATGCGGTGTTTGGTTTTCTGTTCCTATGTTAGTTTGCTGAGAGTGACGGCTTCCAGCTTCATCCATGTCCCTGCAAAGGACATTAACTCATTCTTTTTTATGGCTGCATAGTATTCCAGTAGTTCTTCTTACTATTACTTTTTTTCAGATGGAGTCTTGCTCTGTCACCCAGGCTGGAGTGCAGTGGTGCGATCTTGGCTCATTGCAACCTCCACCTCCCAGGTTCAAGCGATTCACCTGCCTCAGCCTCCTGAGTAGCTGGGATTCCAGGCATGCACCACCACACCTGGCTAATTTTTGTATTTTTAGTAGAGCGAGGGTTTTACCATGTTGGCCACGCTGGTCTCTAACTCCTGACCTCAAGCGATCCACCTGCGTTGGCCTCCCAAAGTGCTGAGTGAGAGTGGCTACACAATGTGCTATTGTCTGGATGCACCATAATTTATTGAAACAATCCTTATTGCTGGACATTGAAGTTGTTCATATACATTTTTTACCATTATTAAGAATGCTAGTTATAATAGTTTGACTTAAAGCTTTTCCCATATTTTAGACCTTTTTAAGAATAATTGTTAGAGAATACTAGAGGATTTTCCAAAGAGAGGTAGCCCCAAAGGAAGACTCAGCACTGACTTCACTGAACAGGTGCCTTCTCCTTTCTGGTCAGTTTCCTTATCTGTGAAGTGGGCTCTACGTGTGATGATCTCTATCACTATCATCCTCTGAGTCTGCTCTGACTTTGAGCAGAGGGCAACTGCCCACCCTGACTCTGAGCTGAGCCTCTTGGGTGGTCATCCCAGCTAATCCTCTACTGCTTTGAAGGGAGCACTAACGGAGGAGAGCCTTTCTGGGATCCAAAATAGCAGCGTGGTTGCTAGCATGGGCTCGAACTCAGATAGGCATGGATCTGAATCCACTTACTAGCTGTAAACCTGGGTCAGGCTATTTATTCTCTGCATGCCTCTGTTTTCTCATCTGTAAAATGGTGATAATGATAGGGTATAGCTTATTGGGTTATAACAAGGACTAATGAGATAGAGCATGTGAGGCATTTGGCTGATCTTGAGCAGCAAGAGAATATTCAGCCTTCGTACTACTTTTCTATTCTTAGAGAACCTACGATTTTAAGTGGGAGAGTCAGTATGGTGTTGTATTGAAGAGTGTATACCCTGGGGTCTGATTGTCTGGGTTCCATCTATCATCGTTCTACAACTGCTAGTTCTATGACCTTGGACAACTTCTCTGAGCCTCAGTTTCCTCATTTGTGAAATGAAGATAATACTATGCCCATATTAAAGGGTTGTCGTGAGTATGTAAATGAATTAATATATGTGAAGGAACTGAGAACACTGCGTGGCACATGGTGAATGCCGGAGGAGTGTTAAAAAAGAATGTACATTTTATCCAGCTAATATGGAAGTCACCTCTGTAACCGCTAGTCTTTGCTGAGTGCCCACTACGTGTCAGGCGTATCTCAGGACACCTCACACGTGCAGTACTCAACAGCTCCCACAGCAATGAGTCAAGGCAGAAATGATGATTCATCCTACTTTACAGACTGGGAAGGTGAGGTTCAGGGTGGCTCCCTGACATGCCTGAGGTGCTGGTTTCTGCAGGAAGAGTTCTGTATCCTTATACACTCAATGCCCTGCCCACAACATCATGCAGTATGATCTTGATTATTTTGGACCATTGACTATGAAGGCGATTGGAAAGCTGCAAGAAAAATGGTGTCCTTGAAGCTGTGATGAAAAATGATCACTTTTCACAGTCCAAAGAGCTTCTAGTTAAATTACTAGCTCCCTTTGTCCAAGGCTGGCCCAAAGGTTATTGACTTGATAGGGCACCCTTTCTGATGGAGGGTCACTTTTAGGCTTGGAATCTGTTATATTTTTTTGAATCAGATCCAATGGTCTGATTTGCTGTCATGACCCTCCTAATAAATGAGCTGGTTTACTCAATTTCCCATGAGGTTGCCAGGATTGGGATAGGGGAGGAATTACAAAATGAGTCTCTGTCTCCTATGAAGTTAAAGTTGAGTTCCTTGATATGACTTTCCTAAACATAGGCAAGATAGCAAGAGGGAAACAGACAGGTGGAAACAAGGAAAGATGAGAGAGGGACAGGGAGAAGAGACATTGTGACATTGCTTATGATCATTTGAGTTTTTGTGTTTTTTTTTTTTTTTCAAATTTGCAACTGAAAAATTCCAGATGAAGTTGTCAATAAGGTAAAGAGTATGGAAAGTTTTTGTAGCTGGAGGTCTAGGTAGGAGTAGCATTTCATAATTAATGAGCTCAAAGCAGCCCCTCATTTGCCTGTCTCTATTTCAGCAAAAGTTAAGGCTGAAAATTAAGCAGATGAATGAATAAATAATTAGGTCAGCAGATGCCATGCAAAGAGTGCAGCTTTGGAGTTAGGCCGTTTGGAGGTGGGGGTTCAAATCCCAGCTATGTCACTTACCAGCTGTGTGGCACGGGACAAGTGTTTGCTTACATTTTCTCCTTTACAATCTGCAGATGTTAATGTCAATTATTATGGGTTGTTTTGAGAATTGCACAAGTTAATGTGAACGACATGCATGGCATAGGACTTCCCACACAACAGGTGAGCAGTAAATGTTAATAAATATCAAGGGTTGTGCAGACTTCCAGGTCCTAGTTTTAAGATGCAAGAATGGAACCAGAAGTTCTCTAAAGGCTGCATGTGTTTCATAACTCCAGAGCGTCCTAACACAATGACTTTCTGAAATATTTGTACAAAGGTGGTGGAGAGCCTATTTGTCTCCTGCCTGCCCATCCTCTAACCATTTCTCCATCTAACCATTTCTCCATCATCTGCCCGGCTAGGGTCTAGGGCTGAAAGGTCAGAGAATGGCTCTTTTTGCCCAAAGCAATGATGAGCAAACCTGTTCAGGAGGAGAGAACATCCCTGGTTAACTATTATTTGTCCCTCAGGACCCAGCTCACACCTCAGTGCTTGAAGGCATGGTTCACAGACCAACAGCATCAGCATCACCTCCAAGCTTGTTATAATTGCAGCATCTCAGCCCAGCCCAGACCTTTGAGTCAGAATTTGCATGTTAACAAGTCCCTGGAGACGCGTGCACACATTGACAGTGGAGAGGTAGTGCCCCAAGCCCTTGGCAGGGTCAAGCCCCCTCCTTTATTAAATTCTCAGTGATCCTTGCATCTCTTTTGTGGCATTCCTCTCTCTTGTAAACTGTTAACTATTGCTTATACCTCTTGCTTGATTTCTGACTTTCCCTGCTAGACAGCTGACTCCCCCAAACAATGTACACATTTATGTTGTTCACATCTATATCCCTAGATTGTCATGTAGTTTCTAGAACACAAAAGGAGTCACTTCATTAGTGTTGTAAAATGAATGAATGAATGAATGAAGAAATGATGGGGATTGAGCTTCTTGAAGGAAGAGAGTTATTCATGCTCGAGAGCTTCTCAGTCTTCATAAGTGGGTAAAGAGTAGCTGCTAAGACAAAAATAAAAAGGGTCAAAAAGTCAGTGTTGCAGGCCGGGCACAGTGGCTCACGCCTATAATCCCAGCACTTTGGGAGGCCAAGGTGGGTGGATCATTTGAGGTCAGGAGTTTGAGACCAGCTTGGCCAACATGGTGAAACCCTGTGTCTACTGAAAATACAAAAACTAGCTGGGCATGGTGGCACATGCCTGTAGTCCTAGCTACCTGGGAAGCTGAGGCAGGAAAATCGCTTGAACCTGGGATGCAGAGGTTGCAGTGAACCAACATTGCGCCACTGTACTCCAGCCTGGGCAACAGGGCGAGACTCTGTCTCAAAAAAAAAAAAAAAAAAAAAAATAGGTCAGTGCAGCTTGTAGTCCCAGCTACTCAGGAAGGTGATGTGGGAGGATCTCTGAGGCTAGGAGTTCGAGGCCAGTCTGGGCAGCAGAGCAAGACGCCATCTCCAGAAAAAGAAAAAAAAAGTCTAGCCCATCTCAGTCCCAACACATGCATTGCTAAGACCCTGGAGAGTCTGTCTGAGCTTTATGTGAGTGTTACTAACATAAAATAGAGGGAAGAAACAAAATAGAGGAAGAAACAAAAATAGAGGCAAGAAAACCCCCCAAATTGTAGGAAAAGTGTATTTGTTGAGTTTGGCTGAGGAAGGATCACGTGGTGGCAATACCATGGGCCTAGAGAAAGAGGAGACCAGATTTTGTGAGATTTGGAGCACATCCCTTGCTCTGAGTCTCTCACTGTCAAAACGCAAATACAAATCTGCAATGCCCCGCAACTTCACATGGCAGTTGTGAGGATTAGCGTTCAATGGCAATTCTCAAGACATATTGCACTGTCCAGCAATAAAAAAAGAATAAAGTACTGATTCACGTACAATGTGGATAAACCTCAAAAACATAATGCTAAGTGAAAGAAAACAGGCAGAAAAAGCCACCTGTGGAAGGATTCCATTTATAAGAAATGTACAGAATAAATAAATTCATAGAGACAGAAAGTAGATTAGTGGTTTCAGGGGAGAAAGGAAGGGGAGGTGACTGCTTAATGGGTATAGGGTCTTTTTGGAGGTGATTAAGGGGTTTTGGAATGTCTAGGCAGAGGTGGTGGTTACACAACACTCTGAATATAGTAAATGCCAATGAACTATTCATTTTTAAATTGCTTGATGGGTGAATTTTATCTCAATTAAAAAGAAAAATCATAGGAGGCCGAGGCGGGTGGATCAGTTGAGGTCAGGAGTTTGAGACCAGCCTGGTCAACATGGTGAAACCCCGTCTCTACTAAAAATATGAAAATTAGCCAGGCCTGGTGATGGGCACCTGTAGTCAGGAGAATCACTTGAATGGCAGGCGGAGGTTGCAGTGAGCCAAGATCATGCCACTGCCTGGCAGAGCAAGAGTCCGTCTCAAAAAAAAAAAAAAAAAAAAGAAAGATCAAGTGATGAGTTTTAAAAGTGCCAGGTGACCAGCCACACTCCTTCTCTACTGAATCTGATTCATTTGCTCTGAAAAGGGGCCTAAACGTTGGTTATTTTTAACAAGCTCTTTAGAGGGGTTATAGTCGGCTGGCAAGGTTGAGAACTATAGGCTTAAAGAAATGCATTGTGATGGACAGGGTGTGGCTTCAAAGTCCAGCTGACCTGCGTCTGGGTCCTGTCTCCACTTCCAGATTGCTAATTCCCTGAACCTGTTTCATCTGCAAAGATGCAAGTTATAATATTTACCACATCAGGGCTATTGTTAAAATCACATTAGGTCATGTAAGTGATGCACGTGGGCTTGACATTTATTAGGTGCTAAATAAACTACTATTATTATTATAAAGAGTAGATGTCAAAATTGACTGTAAATGTTTAAAAGAGCCATTAAATTATAAGGTAATGAGATTTTTCTGCCATTATTCCCAGACGCTGGGCTTTGTGGGAGTAGGAAGGGGAAAGAGAAAGGATGTGATGTTACCTAGATAATTATTTTCTCTACTTATCAATGTGTTTATATAATCAAGTCTAAAATAAAATTAGTTGGGATCACAGTAGGTGATAATTCCTCTCAACTACAAACCAAAAAAAAAAAAAAAAAAGAAAAAGAAATCTTCTTCTTTTATAAAGGCCCTCAAAGTTTTCTTTTGTGTCTTTGGGAAGTAAACAAACAACAACAACAAACAAGCAAAGTGGTCTAGTGGTCTAGGGCTCCTTGGCATATAGTTGGGTTTTATTTTATGGCCTTGAGATCTGGCTGTTGTTATTGTTGTTGTTGTTTTGGTCCACTCTGGCCTCTAAGGAGCTGAATTTAATTCATGGCCTTTCTCAAATCATTATATCCTATAGTCAGTGGCAATAAATCTGACAAATTAAGTTTACCCAATGGCTTTCAATTATTTTTTGTCTTTATTTTTCCTCCACCTCCATTTTCTCATCAATCCATGCATTCATTTGCATGTATTCATGTATTCATTCTCTTCTTTCGTTGCATGATTTCCCGTAAGCTGCTTTGATGTAACGTTGCTGCTATTACCTGGGGCTCTGGGGTCAGACCCAGACCCTGTGGATTTGTCACCAGTTCTGTCTTTTTCTGGACGTGTAGCATCAATTTTTTTTTTTAAATCTCTCTGTGCCTTGATTTCTTCATCTCTACAATGGGGATTTTAACAGTGTCTGCCTCATGGGATAGTCGGAGGATTCAGTGAGATAGTATATTTATGAAGAGTTTAGCATAGTCATGAAGTAAAATCTGAGAAGTGATAGCGTCTCATCCTCAGATCGGATGGGATCCTTTGGGCTCTGAGACTCTGTGATCACCTTTCCTGGGCATGCTTCTTCTTAGCCATTTGGGGACAACGCCTCTTTGGACAGTTGCCCTACAAAGCATCATTTCTTCCTCTGAGAAACTGGGTTTGGTGTCCTGAATTATTTGGCTGCTTTCAATCTCTCCCACCCAGTGGAGCACAGCAGTGTCCACACCACAGACCCTGTCCATGCCACCTGGGTGGGTAGTGCTGCAATTAGGGACCTCTCACCCTGACCTTTTGAACGTCACTCTCCCAATTTTAATTTTTTAAAGATCTTCTCCTTTTCCTTTTGCTTGAGTGGCAAATGCTTCTCTCCTACCACTTACTGCAAGTGCTCAGAACTTTTCTCCAAGTGGTGGCCAAGGCAGTCTGATGTGAGATTCATCTTCATGTAAAGCCAGTACTCAGACACACACACAGCACATGCAATGTCAGGAATGTCAGTGCTTTACACTTAGCATCTCACTTAAATCTTAAAACCACCCCCAAGAAATGGGCATTTTATTAATCCTGTTTTTTAAAGGGAAGAAAACAGGCTTAAGAAGTCAAGAAACTTTTCCAAAAGCCACAGAGCTAATAAGTTTTAGGTCGGATTTGAAGTAGACATCCCACCCCAGAACTGAGGTTCTTAACTATTGTGTTGAACTGCCTCTTTATAACAATTAGCTTTTTTTCAAACCTCCTAGTTTAACGAAGGAGGCAATAACTTTTCAGAGAGGGGCTGCGTCCTGCCCGTGTCACAGAGAGAGAGAGAGGTGGATACAGAACCAAGACTACAATCCAGGTCTCACAGTCTTGCATTTCCCCCCCATGACACAATTTTGTAGTTAAGTTCCAAAGTGACGCACCTTCTGCTTGCAGTCAACATCTTCCAGTATTTTCCTAGATTACTCCAGACCACAACAGGCCCCCTTCCTTCTGTGATCTACTCTCTGTATGCCCTAACAGGGCTAACCTCAGATCCATAATCTTTTTTTTTTTTTTTTTTTTTTTTTTTTTTTTTTTTTTTGTGTTTAACTCATCTGCATGTATTTTCTTTTTTGCATTTTTTTTTAATGTTTTTTTTTTTTTATTATACTCTAAGTTTTAGGGTACATGTGCACATTGTGCAGGTTAGTTACATATGTATACATGTGCCATGCTGGTGCGCTGCACCCACTAACGTGTCATCTAGCATTAGGTATATCTCCCAATGCTATCCCTCCCCCCTCCCCCGACCCCACCGCAGTCCCCAGAGTGTGATATTCCCCTTCCTGTGTCCATGTGATCTCATTGTTCAATTCCCACCTATGAGTGAGAATATGCGGTGTTTGGTTTTTTGTTCTTGCGATAGTTTACTGAGAATGATGGTTTCCAATTTCATCCATGTCCCTACAAAGGACATGAACTCATCATTTTTTATGGCTGCATAGTATTCCATGGTGTATATGTGCCACATTTTCTTAATCCAGTCTATCATTGTTGGACATTTGGGTTGGTTCCAAGTCTTTGCTATTGTGAATAGTGCCGCAATAAACATACGTGTGCATGTGTCTTTATAGCAGCATGATTTATAGTCCTTTGGGTATATACCCAGTAATGGGATGGCTGGGTCAAATGGTATTTCTAGTTCTAGATCCCTGAGGAATCGCCACACTGACTTCCACAATGGTTGAACTAGTTTACAGTCCCACCAACAGTGTAAAAGTGTTCCTATTTCTCCACATCCTCTCCAGCACCTGTTGTTCCCTGACTTTTTAATGATTGCCATTCTAACTGGTGTGAGATGATATCTCATAGTGGTTTTGATTTGCATTTCTCTGATGGCCAGTGATGATGAGCATTTTTTCATGTGTTTTTTGGCTGCATAAATGTCTTCTTTTGAGAAGTGTCTGTTCATGTCCTTCGCCCACTTTTTGATGGGGTTGTTTGATTTTTTCTTGTAAATTTGTTTGAGTTCATTGTAGATTCTGGATATTAGCCCTTTGTCAGATGAGTAGGTTGCGAAAATTTTCTCCCATGTTGTAGGTTGCCTGTTCACTCTGATGGTAGTTTCTTTTGCTGTGCAGAAGCTCTTTAGTTTAATTAGATCCCATTTGTCAATTTTGGCTTTTGTTGCCATTGCTTTTGGTGTTTTGGACATGAAGTCCTTGCCCACGCCTATGTCCTGAATGGTAATGCCTAGGTTTTCTTCTAGGGTTTTTATGGTTTTAGGTCTAACGTTTAAATCTTTAATCCATCTTGAATTGATTTTTGTATAAGGTGTAAGGAAGGGATCCAGTTTCAGCTTTCTACATATGGCTAGCCAGTTTTCCCAGCACCATTTGTTAAATAGGGAATCCTTTCCCCATTGCTTGTTTTTCTCAGGTTTGTCAAAGATCAGATAGTTGTAGATATGCGGCATTATTTCTGAGGGCTCTGTTCTGTTCCATTGATCTATATCTCTGTTTTGGTACCAGTACCATGCTGTTTTGGTTACTGTAGCCTTGTAGTATAGTTTGAAGTCAGGTAGTGTGATGCCTCCAGCTTTGTTCTTTTGGCTTAAGATTGACTTGGCGATGCGGGCTCTTTTTTGGTTCCATATGAACTTTAAAGTAGTTTTTTCCAATTCTGTGAAGAAAGTCATTGGTAGCTTGATGGGGATGGCATTGAATCTGTAAATTACCTTGGGCAGTATGGCCATTTTCACGATATTGATTCTTCCTACCCATGAGCATGGAATGTTCTTCCATTTGTTTGTGTCCTCTTTTATTTCCTTGAGCAGTGGTTTGTAGTTCTCCTTGAAGAGGTCCTTCACATCCCTTGTAAGTTGGATTCCTAGGTATTTGATTCTCTTTGAAGCAATTGTGAATGGGAGTTCACTCATGATTTGGCTCTCTGTTTGTCTGTTGTTGGTGTATAAGAATGCTTGTGATTTTTGTACATTGATTTTGTATCCTGAGACTTTGCTGAAGTTGCTTATCAGCTTAAGGAGATTTTGGGCTGAGACGATGGAGTTTTCTAGATAAACAATCATGTCGTCTGCAAACAGGGACAATTTGACTTCCTCTTTTCCTAATTGAATACCCTTTATTTCCTTCTCCTGCCTGATTGCCCTGGCCAGAACTTCCAACACTATGTTGAATAGGAGCGGTGAGAGAGGGCATCCCTGTCTTGTGCCAGTTTTCAAAGGGAATGCTTGCAGTTTTTGCCCATTCAGTATGATATTGGCTGTGGGTTTGTCATAGATAGCTCTTATTATTTTGAGATACGTCCCATCAATACCTAATTTATTGAGAGTTTTTAGCATGAAGGGTTGTTGAATTTTGTCAAAGGCTTTTTCTGCATCTATTGAGATAATCATGTGGTTTTTGTCTTTGGCTCTGTTTATATGCTGGATTACATTTATTGATTTGCGTATATTGAACCAGCCTTGCATCCCAGGGATGAAGCCCACTTGATCATGGTGGATAAGCTTTTTGATGTGCTGCTGGATTCGGTTTGCCAGTATTTTATTGAGGATTTTTGCATCAATGTTCATCAAGGATATTGGTCTAAAATTCTCTTTTTTGGTTGTGTCTCTGCCCGGCTTTGGTATCAGGATGATGCTGGCCTCATAAAATGAGTTAGGGAGGATTCCCTCTTTTTCTATTGATTGGAATAGTTTCAGAAGGAATGGTACCAGTTCCTCCTTGTACCTCTGGTAGAATTCGGCTGTGAATCCGTCTGGTCCTGGACTCTTTTTGGTTGGTAAACTATTGATTATTGCCACAACTTCAGAGCCTGTTATTGGTCTATTCAGAGATTCAACTTCTTCCTGGTTTAGTCTTGGGAGAGTGTATGTGTCGAGGAATGTATCCATTTCTTCTAGATTTTCTAGTTTATTTGCGTAGAGGTGTTTGTAGTATTCTCTGATGGTAGTTTGTATTTCTGTGGGATCGGTGGTGATATCCCCTTTATCATTTTTTATTGTGTCTATTTGATTCTTCTCTCTTTTTTTCTTTATTAGTCTTGCTAGCGGTCTATCAATTTTGTTGATCCTTTCAAAAAACCAGCTCCTGGATTCATTGATTTTTTGAAGGGTTTTTTGTGTCTCTATTTCCTTCAGTTCTGCTCTGATTTTAGTTATTTCTTGCCTTCTGCTAGCTTTTGAATGTGTTTGCTCTTGCTTTTCTAGTTCTTTTAATTGTGATGTTAGGGTGTCAATTTTGGATCTTTCCTGCTTTCTCTTGTAGGCATTTAGTGCTATAAATTTCCCTCTACACACTGCTTTGAATGCGTCCCAGAGATTCTGGTATGTGGTGTCTTTGTTCTCGTTGGTTTCAAAGAACATCTTTATTTCTGCCTTCATTTCGTTATGTACCCAGTAGTCATTCAGGAGCAGGTTGTTCAGTTTCCATGTAGTTGAGCGGCTTTGAGTGAGATTCTTAATCCTGAGTTCTAGTTTGATTGCACTGTGGTCTGAGAGATAGTTTGTTATCATTTCTGTTCTTTTACATTTGCTGAGGAGAGCTTTACTTCCAACTATGTGGTCAATTTTGGAATAGGTGTGGTGTGGTGCTGAAAAAAATGTATATTCTGTTGATTTGGGGTGGAGAGTTCTGTAGATGTCTATTAGGTCTGCTTGGTGCAGAGCGGAGTTCAATTCCTGGGTATCCTTGTTGACTTTCTGTCTCGTTGATCTGTCTAATGTTGACAGTGGGGTGTTAAAGTCTCCCATTATTAATGTGTGGGAGTCTAAGTCTCTTTGTAGGTCACTCAGGACTTGCTTTATGAATCTGGGTGCTCCTGTATTGGGTGCATAAATATTTAGGATAGTTAGCTCCTCTTGTTGAATTGATCCCTTTACCATTATGTAATGGCCTTCTTTGTCTCTTTTGATCTTTGTTGGTTTAAAGTCTGTTTTATCAGAGACTAGGATTGCAACCCCTGCCTTTTTTTGTTTTCCATTGGCTTGGTAGATCTTCCTCCATCCTTTTATTTTGAGCCTATGTGTGTCTCTGCACGTGAGATGGGTTACCTGAATACAGCACACCGATGGGTCTTGACTCTTTATCCAACTTGCCAGTCTGTGTCTTTTAATTGCAGAATTTAGTCCATTTATATTTAAAGTTAATATTGTTATGTGTGAATTTGATCCTGTCATTATGATGTTAGCTGGTGATTTTGCTCATTAGTTGATGCAGTTTCTTCCTAGTCTCGATGGTCTTTACATTTTGGCATGATTTTGCAGCGGCTGGTACCGGTTGTTCCTTTCCATGTTTAGCGCTTCCTTCAGGAGCTCTTTTAGGGCAGGCCTGGTGGTGACAAAATCTCTCAGCATTTGCTTGTCTGTAAAGTATTTTATTTCTCCTTCGCTTACGAAGCTTAGTTTGGCTGGATATGAAATTCTGGGTTGAAAATTCTTGTCTTTAAGAATGTTGAATATTGGCCCCCACTCTCTTCTGGCTTGTAGGGTTTCTGCCGAGAGATCCGCTGTTAGTCTGATGGGCTTTCCTTTGAGGGTAACCCGACCTTTCTCTCTGGCTGCCCTTAACATTTTTTCCTTCATTTCAACTTTGGTGAATCTGACAATTATGTGTCTTGGAGTTGCTCTTCTCGAGGAGTATCTTTGTGGCGTTCTCTGTATTTCCTGAATCTGAACGTTGGCCTGCCTTGCTAGATTGGGGAAGTTCTCCTGGATAATATCCTGCAGAGTGTTTTCCAACTTGGTTCCATTCTCCACATCACTTTCAGGTACACCAATCAGACGTAGATTTGGTCTTTTCACATAGTCCCATATTTCTTGGAGGCTTTGCTCATTTCTTTTTATTCTTTTTTCTCTAAACTTCCCTTCTCGCTTCATTTCATTCATTTCATCTTCCATTGCTGATACCCTTTCTTCCAGTTGATCGCATCGGCTCCTGAGGCTTCTGCATTCTTCACGTAGTTCTCGAGCCTTGGTTTTCAGCTCCATCAGCTCCTTTAAGCACTTCTCTGTATTGGTTATTCTAGTTATACATTCTTCTAAATTTTTTTCAAAGTTTTCAACTTCTTTGCCTTTGGTTTGAATGTCCTCCCGTAGCTCAGAGTAATTTGATCGTCTGAAGCCTTCTTCTCTCAGCTCGTCAAAATCATTCTCCATCCAGCTTTGTTCTGTTGCTGGTGAGGAACTGCGTTCCTTTGGAGGAGGAGAGGCGCTCTGCGTTTTAGAGTTTCCAGTTTTTCTGTTCTGTTTTTTCCCCATCTTTGTGGTTTTATCTACTTTTGGTCTTTGATGATGGTGATGTACAGATGGGTTTTCGGTGTAGATGTCCTTTCTGGTTGTTAGTTTTCCTTCTAACAGACAGGACCCTCAGCTGCAGGTCTGTTGGAATACCCTGCAGTGTGAGGTGTCAGTGTGCCCCTGCTGGGGGGTGCCTCCCAGTTAGGCTGCTCGGGGGTCAGGGGTCAGGGACCCACTTGAGGAGGCAGTCTGCCCGTTCTCAGATCTCCAGCTGCGTGCTGGGAGAACCACTGCTCTCTTCAAAGCTGTCAGACAGGGACACTTAAGTCTGCAGAGGTTACTGCTGTCTTTTTGTTTGTCTGTGCCCTGCCCCCAGAGGTGGAGCCTACAGAGGCAGGCAGGCCTCCTTGAGCTGTGGTGGGCTCCACCCAGTTCGAGCTTCCCGGCTGCTTTGTTTACCTAAGCAAGCCTGGGCAATGGCGGGCGCCCCTCCCCCAGCCTCGTTGCCGCCTTGCAGTTTGATCTCAGACTGCTGTGCTAGCAATCAGCGAGATTCCGTGGGCGTAGGACCCTCTGAGCCAGGTGTGGGATATAGTCTCGTGGTGCGCCGTTTCTTAGGCCGGTCTGAAAAGCGCAATATTCGGGTGGGAGCGACCCGATCTTCCAAGTGCGTCCGTCACCCCTTTCCTTGACTCGGAAAGGGAACTCCCTGACCCCTTGCGCTTCCCAGGTGAGGCAATGCCTCGCCCTGCTTCGGCTCGCGCACGGTGCGCACACACACTGGCCTGCGCCCACTGTCTGGCACTCCCTAGTGAGATGAACCCGGTACCTCAGATGGAAATGCAGAAATCACCCGTCTTCTGCGTCGCTCACGCTGGGAGCTGTAGACCGGAGCTGTTCCTATTCGGCCATCTTGGCTCCTCCCCCAGATCCATAATCTTATCTTTGGGATTCTAGCTCATCTTTCTAGAACTCCTTCTACATCGGAGTCAACCTCCACATGTATTGAGCACCTGTGGGATACAGGGCTCTAACCAGATGTCATTTAAGAGTTCTTTCTTCTGTGAGGCTTTCTCCTGGTTCCTCAGGAACAGAGTAGTATTCAGAGCAATGCTAGCTGTGATAACAAATAGATCTGAAGTATATATTAGTTGCAACTCAATATAAGTTTGTTCTCATTTAATAGTCCAAAGAGACTCCAGGTGAGTGAGGGAGGCTCTCTTTCATGCTGTCACTCAGAGACTCAGGCCAGTGGAAGTTCTGCTATCTTCAACATGGTATTCCAAAGTCATTATTGATAATAAAATTCAGCTGGTGGAAGGAAAAAACTACAGGGAATTATGCATGACAACTTTTGAAATAGGTAGAAAAAAAGGCACACATCCATCACTTCTGCTCACATTCCGTAGATCAAAACTCGGCCCCACAGCCACATGCATCTTCCAGAGAGGCTGGGAGACGTAATCTGTATACCTAGAAAGAAGAGAACGTAGGTTTTGATGGACAGGACTCTGTCTCTGCTGTAGAGAACTAACATCTTTCTTCTCTTCTGAATCCTAACTCCCTTCCTGATCTCTGAACATCCCCCTGTTTTAATATCCCCTATTCCCATCCCCAGGATCCTGGGTGGGTTTTCAGAATCAGGATCTTCTGCCTCATCTTTGCTGACTTTCTTCTTCTCATGAGCATTTCATTCTCTAGAAATTGACAGAAGCAAGATTCTGGCTTCAGGGTGGTGGTGGCTGGGAGACCGTCAAAAGCTTTTGGGCTAAGCCATGTGCTCAGGCTGTAATTACCAGAGGGAGACTATTGAGTACCTAAGAGAATCACCAGGCGCTCAGTGTTTTGGAGCAGGATTTGGGTATTCCATGTTCCCATCACTCACCACATCCTAGATAGTAATTAGTAGAGAGATTAGCAGCCTAGGCTCATGGATTCACCTGCCACCTCCATTGTTTGAGCGATGTGAGAACTTGGGTAAGACACTCACCTTTGTTGCACCTTGGCTTCCCTGTCTATAAATGGAGATAATAACAGTACCAACATTTAGACCTATGTTGAGGATTCAGTAAGAACATGCTTAGTAGGGGGATTGGAATGTAGTAAGTAATAAATGCTGGCTATTTATTTTTAGCAATAACATGAACAGTTTGCAGGCTTTGGAGGATAGAGACAGAAAAGCTCCTTGGAGGGCTGGGCTTGTGTCTTCCCTTGTATCATTCCAGCACCCAGGCCTTGACAGCATGCTGTCATGGAAAAATGTGATCATTCTTTCCTGTATTTAAAAAATAAATTTGTCTGAAGAGTAACTTTATGAGAAGTGTGTGCATCCTTACATTTTATGACTTGGATTTTCTTCTCCTGCCTGCTGCCTGGGTTTAATAAAAGCACAACTATAATAGGACAGCATCTGGACAAGTTGATGAGGGGTTTAACTTTTAAGAATAGACCTAGCATCTTTGAGCATCAGCCTTGGAGTACAAATGGGCAGCAATCTGCCACAGCCGCTGTAACTGTTTCTCTGCTTCCTACCAGACCTGCTCTTCTCCCTGGCTTTGAGGGGAGGAACACTCAGGTGTAGCACAACTTTCCAGGTACTCAAAGCCCCAGGGGAGAGAAACAATAATACAAATTCAAAGGATAGCTAAATACACAGAGACCTGTCATTAAAGCAGAATCAGACATGAACTCAGATGAAAACCTCAAATCCCCCAGAGTCCCCCAGTCTCTGGCAAGCCTGATACATTGAATGTCTGTGCCTTCCTGTGGTAGATTTCTTTCGTTCTTCCTACTGCCCAAATTAATTGTTTTAGAGTCCCCTGCTATGACGGGTATTCTGAAAAGACCCAATCCACTGATTTGTAAATTTTAGCTAATGCACCTCTTCAAAGACTATTCCAATCTTAAAAAATATCACAGGATGAGAAAAAGCCACTGGGCAAGAAGTTATCAGAAATTTGTCCCCTTACTCTCTGTGTTCTATGGTGACAGAAGGGGATGGGGTGAAGAAGTTGCTATAATTTTTGTGCTTATTCAACTTTGTTAAAGCTTTTCTGTCTCAGTGTAGAACATCTCATCCCTGCAGCATGGGAGATACCCTAAAGCCTCCTAAACCTCGCAAGTGTTCATTGTATAATTTGAAGCTACCGTAGGGCAGCAATAGGAGGGGGGTGTTCTGGCTACTGTAACATCCGGAAGCAAAGGTCACAGCATTGAAGGTCATGGACTACAATCTGTCATTTACAAAAATTACTTCCACAGGATTTTCTTATTTAAGGATGTCAGGTGCAAACCCCAGCCTCAACTTCCAACAGATAAGGCATTCGGGGTTTCATTAAACCCAAAGTACATTGTAGCCAGAGCCTTAAACACTGTCTTCTGTGCAGGAGATTGTATTGCTAGGAACAGGAGTGTCCATCTCCTCTTCTCCTAACTGGAACGTTCCTGATTCTTCATGATTGAGCTCAGGCCAAGAACATTATCTGAAATCCACAAATCATCCTCTAGTCTTGTTAGCTCATTCAGTTTACATCTTCCCATTGCCCAGAGAGTGATTATTACACAGAATTACATAAATCATAATAAAATGAAATTCTACAGAGTCATGCCTAGAAAAGTTTTCTTTGAAGTTATTTTATGTTTACTCGTATTTATTTATTGAAACACTTTGTTAAGAAGTAAAAATAGAGACAGCTTAAGTTTCAGGGCTTCATAAAGGATCCCGATTCCCACTCTGGGGCATTTCACGCAGGCTTTTCCCTATAGCACAAATCATGTTATGTTTGTATTTTTCCACTTCCATCTCCTCTACTGTTTGTGAACTTCAGTGCAGACCCTGAACTAATTGCTTTTCAAAGAGCAATTTATCTTAGCTACTCTCGTGAATAATTAGAGTGCTCAGATGAGAATCTTACTGATATCTGAGCTTCAGTGGAGGAGGAAACTGGGAGTGGTATAGCTTAGTATCCTTCCAACAAAAGCTACAGTTGGACTGCCTGATTCAAATCCTAGGGCCCTCACTTACCAGCTGTGTGATCTTGGGCAAGCTACCTTGCCTCTCTGAGCCTCAGTTCTCTCACTTGTAAAATAGGGATAATAATAGATGTACATTTTTGGTCTAGGAAATGTACAAGAAGATACAAGAAGTACATTAGCTAAAATGTACATCTTGCTCATGGTAAGTATTTATCTGCAAAATATTAGCTGTTATTGAAACACTTTATTAAGAAGTAAAAATAGAGACAGCTTAAGTTTCAGGGCTCCATAAAGGATCCCCTGATTCCCACTCTGGGGCATTTCATGCAATTGTCCCCATCAACCTTGGTGCATGGTAATACTGAGAGACACTCAACAGACATGAAGGAAAATCATGGAACCATCTTTAGATGGGACTCTAAAGGTCACTTGTTCCTGGTTCCTATCCTCTTTCCACATAAACTTGTTGTCTGCCCTCACTTTAACGATAGAAGCATCAAATGACTGCATTTTACTAGGTGAGAACTAAAATGTCCTGAGTATCTCCTCTGTGATAGGCACCCTACTGGGTAATTTTAAATTCACTGTCTCATTAAATATCCCCCAATACCATAAATGGTAGGCGTTATTATTCTCATATTTGCCAACAAGGAGACTGAGGCACAGAGAGGTTACACAGCTTTCCAAAGGTCACACAGCTTGTAAGCAGTACATCTGAGACCAAATCCCAGGCCTCTCTGCCTTCAAAGCCCTTGTGTCTTTCATTATATCCCATTGCCTTCAGAAAAATAAAATGAGTTTTGCCAAGCTGAATAATAGCCTTTCTTCCTTCTAGAAATGAAGGTACAGTAGTCAGAGCTTGGATTTCAGTAGAATGTCATTTTTAATGCCCTCTTCTGACCCCATTTAAAACCTCTCTCCTACACTCTCTACTTCCCAAAAGGCTAAAGGAGTAGTTAATAAAGCAGCATTACCCTGTGTGACACCTTCCTCAATGTAAGGATCAAAATCCTTGGTCCCTAGAAAATAACCTCATAAAGCAAGTCTCCCTCTGAAACCAAGTGGATAACAAATGACCTTTCATCCATCCATTCTTTTCAGCTCCTGCCTCAGTTTCAGTCAAATGGCAACTTCTCCTGGCAAGGGTCTTTCTGGAACCTGCTCTGAGCATACCCAATTCTTTCAGTAGGAGATAAGGATGCCCGGAGAAGAGAGTGTAGACATTTGAGTCAAGAGGACTTCAGTTCCAGCTTTACTGCTTTTGGTCTATGCAACCTCGGAAAAGTCACTTGTGTTCTCTGAGGCTTATCTGCAGCTTTAGGGATCACTTTATTTCCAGCATAGGCTTATTGAAACCTACCAGGTGTCAGTACTCTGCTGGGTATAGAGATTCGGTGGTGAGTGAATACAGTCCTTGTCCTACTGGAAAGATCCCCTTTGCTCATTACGGTAGAGTTAGGAAGAAGAGGAAGAAGAATCACACTATTGAGCAACTAAAATTACAACTGAGCTAAGTCCCACAGATAGAAGTCACATCATCCCTTGAGAATGCATAATAGGAAGACATGATTAGGTCTGGAGGATTAGTTAAGATCCTAAGGATGATTAAGAGCCAGAACAAGGTAGAAAGCATTCCAGGTCAAGGAAATGGCATGTGTAAAGGCCCTTTCTTGAAGGGTCATCTGTGAAAGAAATGAAATGACACACAGAGCACCTAGTACAGATTTTGAGAATAACACACTTTTATTTGTCTTATTTCCCTTTGTCCAAGGCCTTCCCTTCCTCCATATCAGAACAGACATAAGTCCTCTTGATGCTCTGCCATTGGGATGGCGTAATTCCAGCATGGGATGCCATGCATACATTTAGATAAATTAAGGTTTTGTTTTGTTTCTCTTTACTGTTATCCTCTCATCACACAAACATGGAGACATGCTTTTTTACCACGTAGTTTTGGAGGGTATGTTTGGAACGGATTTTACTTAAAGTATAGGTGATGTGGCATGTAGGGAATTTTCTGTGTAGGATATGATATGGGGGACATCTCAAAGAGAGAGTTAGTCAACCATCAGATAAACAGAGACTGACACATAGCCAGAGGACAACATGTCTGCTGATTAGGGGAGATCATCATATGTACTAAAATGCCAGGACCAAGGTCACAACTGTGGTTTCCAATATGAACATCCAATTGTAAGTATGTCAGAAGGGCAGGCATCTACAATTGCAGGGGCTAATTTGTGATTCAGCTGCTTCTCATTAGGGCAACTCTACACAGCAAATTTCAAGACGTGGAGCAGTAGGTATTTTTTTTTTTCATAATCATTTGCCGTAGGCATTGTAGCTAATTATGAATGTGTCATAGCCAAAAATATATTAACTTATTTATTCAACAAATATTTGACTGTCTAATATGGGCCAGTTCCTGTGTTGAATGTGAAGGATGCAGAGATAAAAAGATACTGTCCATATCCCCCAGGAGAACACAGTCTAGTAGATAATGAAAGCATTTATCACCTATAAAAAGTGGATGCCAGGCTGGAAAAAAATGCCTTTTCCACAATGGGAAAAAGGGATTTCATAGACAAGTGTGGTTCCCTGGGTCTGTGAATTGGTGCCAGGTTAGATCCAGTAGAATCAACCTGAGACTTTACTAAACACAAACAGTAGAGATTCCTTGACATTACCTCCTAGAAATTCTCATTCAGTAGTACTGAGATGAGGTCCAGCAATCCATATCTTTGACAACCTCTTTACACGTAGCTAGGTTTGGGAATCACAATTGAGCCTTGCTCCTATAGACTATTATGTTGAAAGACCAATGGATTTATGGTCAGATTGACCAGAGTTCAAATCTCACTCTACTCATGTGTGCAGTTAGAAAACAGTCCACAAGACTGCCCTCACTGTGATGCCAACTACAGCGTTTGGAAATCCCTAAGACCAACCTTCCTTCTGATACCAATTGCAATTTCCGAGATCTGCAATACTACTCTCAGGATAATTTTCCAGAAAGACTCAAAGGACTCTGAACGTTGTTATACTCACAATTATGATTTGTCATCGTGAAAGGATACGGATTAAAACTAGACAAGGGAAGAGATGCACAGCCCAGAGCGCAAGCAAGTTCCAAATGTGGAGTTTCCAGTTGTCCTCTCTCTGTAAGATCATGGACAGAATGACTTTTCCCAGCAACAATGCTTGACCATACACATGGAGTATTACCAGCCAGGTAAGCTCACTCAGGCTGCCATGTCCACAGTTTTTACTGAGGCTCGATAGCATGGGCCTGGTTGACTGCCCGTGTGACCAATCTCAGTCCCTAGCCACATCTGGAGGTTGAGCTGATACTGTGTGACTCAAAGCCCCTACACTAAATTACATTATTAGAATAATGGCTAGTCTCCACCCTAAACCGCATTGTGTGACTGAGGCCCCCAGGCAAAGAAAGACACTCCTATCATGCATGACATTCCAAGGGCCTAGAGGTCCTCTCCCAGAAGATAAGGGAAAAGGCCGTATCTCTTTTCAAGCAAGGGTAAATTCTATTTATTTTTAATTAATCAATTTTTTTTTGAGACAGGGTCTCACTTTGTCACCCAGGCTGGGGTACAGTGGCACCATCTTGGCTCGCTGTAACCTCTTCCTCCTGGGCTCCAACGATTCTCCCACCTCAGCCTTCTGGGTAGTTGGGACTATATGACCCGCTAATTTTTTTTTTTTTTTTTTTTTTTTGTAGAGATGGGGTTTCTCCAGGTTGCCCAGGCTGGTCTCGAACTCCTAGACTCGAGTAATCCACCCACCTTGGCCTCCAAAATTTTAATTAAAAAAAATAGAGACAGCCGGGCACGGTGGGTGGCTCATGCCTGTAATCCCAGCACTTTGGGAGGCCAAGGTGGGCGGATCACCTGAGGTCAGGAGTTCAAGACCAGCCTGACCAATATGGTGAAACCCCGTCTCTGCTAAAAATACAAAAATTATCTGGTCATGGTGGCAGGTGCCTGTAATCCCAGCTACTCAGGAGGCTGAGGCTGGAGAATCACTTGAACCTGAGAGGCAGAGGTTGCAGTGAGCCGAAATCATACCACTGCATTCCAGCCTGTGTGACAGAGTGAGACTTCGTCTCCAAAAAAAAAAAAAAAAAAAAAAAAAAAGAGGCAAGGTCTTACTATATTGCCCCTGAGTGGTCTCAAACTCCTGGGCTCAAGCAATCTGCCCTCCTCGGCCTCCCAAAGTGCTGGGATTACAGGCGTGAGCCACCACGCCTGGCCCAGGTAAGGTGAAATTCTTTACTACA
Source organism: Homo sapiens (assembly GCF_000001405.40). Lineage (NCBI taxonomy): Eukaryota > Metazoa > Chordata > Mammalia > Primates > Hominidae > Homo > Homo sapiens. The sequence goes on from NC_000016.10 coordinate 9,597,868, forward strand.
TACCATATGACTAATGATAACTTCCTTAGCTCCTTGGAGCTTCAGTTTACCTACCTATAAAATAAAAATAAAGATAGCACCTCACATGACTCTTAGAGTAATAACATGAGATAGTGGATTGGAAGTCCCAGCACATGACAATTGCTTCGAATGGTATCCATGACCATGGTGATGATGACAATGTTGAGGAGAAGGAAATGCTGAAGGTTTTAATGATGTTGCTTAGAAAGTTTTAGAGTGAGGAAGGATACTGGGTAGAAGGCACATTTTCGCCACTCCATCTCTATCCTTTTTTGTACAACATTCTAAAAATCCTCATAGCCACTGCCAGGAGGCTGCTCAGAAAGCTTCCCTCTTTATCTTCACTTCACATAACTGTCCCCAGAAACCATTTGCTTATCATGTTTCTCCTCCCCATATTTCAGTGACGGCTTATGCAACAAAGGCCATCTCAGAGAAACATCGTCGTCTTGCACTTCTCATAGAAATTTTGTTCCCTTTCACCAGCCTAGGCTATCACAGCCCATTATTCAGGCCTACACAAAGGAAGCCTTAATGGGACGCACTTGGCAGAGGGATTTTTTTCTGAATAGTGTCTTTCTGTTGTTTTAAATGGGTCTCAGGAACAGTTTCAAAGCTTCTCATTCACTGACATGAACAGGCTCGAAGACAGTCTCTGTCTCAGCTGTTTCCAGTCTTCTCTCCAATGAGAGTAAAACCCTATCAACTTCTAACACCCCTTCCTTGTGGCCCACAGGAGGCCCAGAACCCTGACCAGCGAGCAGAGCCCCAACTGAGACAAATGAACCCCCCCCCACACACAATGCCCTTACGCTGCAGAGAACAGCTCCACAAATAACAAGAAGCCCTCCAGAGAAAGGAGAAGGGCATAGAGGAGACACGACCAGCTTTGGAATTCAGACAGGGCTGGCTTCCTAACAAAGTTCTCCAAATAACTCACTGTGTGGTATGGCCAGATCCCTTCAGCTTTCTGAGACTCAGTTTCTCCATCTGTCAAACAGCATGGTTCATAGCATTGTGCTAAATGTTTTCCATGGAAGATCTCGTTTGATCCTCACACCAGATCTATGATGAGGCAGGTAGTATCACTACTCTCGTCTTCTAGATGAAGACTTTGGGGCTGAGAAGTTAAATGATTTTCCCAGAGTCACAGCTGGTTACTGGTGGAATCAACATTTGAACCCAGGACTGTGAGATTCAATACCCTTTAGTTCCCACCTTCACCCATTTTTTTTTCATAATCTATGACTTTTGTTAATTCTTAGAGATTATATAACAATATTGGGCCTGGCCATCAACTGGAATATGCTACCCAAACCCCATTTTAGGCTCTGAACCTACAGGGCTTTTGATCAAGGCCAGTAGGAATGCCGAAAAGAAGTCAAAGAAAAATGTTGTTATTAACCAACATGTCCAAATGGAAGATCCTCAAACTGACTTTATGTTTCTATATTAATCAGCATAATTAAAGTTAGCTGTTATATCAGATCAACCCTGAGATCTCAGTGGCTTAACACAATAAAATTTTATTTCTTATTGACAAAACAAGATGTTCCATGATCCACAGCCTCCATGGTTGCTGTGGCAGAGCAAGGGAGTGTTAGGAAGGTCACCTTGCTCTTAAGTGCCGCAGCCCACAAGTGATGTCTGTCAGAACTGCAACCTGGCAACATTCTCACATTTCATTGGCCAACACAAATCACATGGCCCACCCTGGCCACATGGGAGGATGGAAAATGCAGAAGGAGGCGCAGATATTTGGGGTCACTAACAGATCCGGCCCCGAGCTCCACGGAAGTCCTTTGATTCTGTCATAACCTGGCTTATCTTGAGCCTTCAACTCAGCTAGCATTTTTATTCTCTGTATTATTTGGAACCTGGTGGATGGAGCCCTTGGTGCTGAGATGCCCTTCAAAAGAGTTAAACTGCACATAAGAATACCACAGTAGGTTATACAAGGCCTCTAGCTCAGGAGGGACGTTCAGTCCAGGGCAGCGTAACTCAGCAGCTGGGATTTCTGGAAGACTGGTTCCTCTTGGATCAAGTCCCAGCAGCATGTGCTCCCATCCATATCCTTAGATACATGCCTGCCTGTCATCTGGCCCCTACATGCTCTCTAGGTGGTGGTAGCAGAATGGGGATCAGAATTGGGAAACAGGAAGAGAGGTGGACACTTTTATTAGAAATGAATTGCATGGCCCCACTGCCCTACCACCCCGAACACCTGAACACACCCGATCTTGTCTGATCTCAGAAGCCAAGCAGGGTCAGGCCTGGTTAGTACTTGGATGGGAGAAATGAGTTGCATGCATCTTTACTCACTGTGAGAACTGGAAGAGTCTTGTTTTCTTCAGAGGGTCCCAGGAAGAGGAGATTCCCATGGTCACAAACTCCTGGCCCTCTGTGGCTGATTGCGTGGCTTGCGCTAGGACTCACATACCATTCTGAAAGAAGCAGCCCAAAGCTGACAGCATTTCTTAAGGAAACAACAAGTCCAAGGTGACAGCTGGATAATTTCACCCCAAGTCCACCTTCAGAGTTTCTCCATTCTACAAGCAAAGACAGGCAGAGGGTCGAGCGAGGGCTGAAAATGCACTTGGAGACCTCGTCTGGGGACCTTGGTCTTGTTCTTTTGGAGATAAAAATCCAAGGAAAGAGGGGCATAAAAGCATGTCAGCTGAGCTTCTGTTGTCAGGAGACTGACAACTGGGAAGTCTTTCTGACTTCCCAAATTTTTAGGATTCTTTCTTTTAGCCAAGGGCAAATGATTTGCATTAAAAGAAGAAAAAATAAGAAAATATGATTTATAGAAACTATCAGACTCTCCATAGGGACATACATTTTTATAAAGTTTCTGGAAAGCAGTTTGAAATATATATCCAGAGGTCTAGAAATGTTCTTACCTGTTGATGTAGTAGTTTTACGTCCAAATATTTATCATAAGGAAATCATCACAAATGAAAACAAATTAGGCCTATCTAAGGATGTTCAAGAAAGAATTATTTGTATTAATAAGACTTTGGAAATAACCTACATGTCCAATAGGAGAATAAAACAGTAATTATGGCATATCCATATGACAGTATTATGTAGCTGTTGGAAATAATGCTTTGGATCCTTTTTATGATGTAGCCAATCCTTACCCGAGCCTTGCAACTTATGAGCTGTGTAAAAAGCACGTGCTAATGAAATAGGATGGCAATAACAGCATTCAAATGTTAACAGTAATACGTGGAAAGATTGTGGTTTATGTTGTATTTCATTCCTTCTGTTTGTCCTTATCTTCCAAGTTTCTTTTCCAATAAACATACATTGCTTTTATAATATTAAAAAATAGCCAATAAAAACCAAACTTTTTTGGATTGGATGAACCTCCTTAACTGAAAAAGACAAATTCTTATTTTGGATCTTTAAGTTTCAAAAGTAATGGATGCTTCTGCAACGAAGGGGCTGATTGCACAAAAGAAGCTTTCCTTTGAAAGTGATGCTGAGATGTTTTAGCAAGAATGTCTGGGAGCCATGGGCATAGGATTTTTCTCTTCTTCTCTTCTAAGTAACAGACTAGCCTAGCTGGGCTTAAGGACTGACATTGTGGCTCAGGTTTTCTTATATCCACTTACAAACTCAACAATATGTATTTAGCATCTGCTATGTGCCAGATTTGGCCTAAGCCCCTGAATTTCAAGTAAGCCATAGACAAGTTGCCTTTGTCCCTAATAATAAAGTGACTTGTGCATTCCCCATGAGGTTACTTAATCAATTATATGGCCCAGTACAATTATTTTTGTGCACTTCACTTAGTCAATTAATGTTAATTTTGGGGGTCGCTGTAGTACAGTGTTCTCAAACATTAGAGTACATAATGCTCACTTAGTAATTGCTAAAAATCTGTATCTCTGGGCCAGTTTTTTGAGATCTTGATTTAATGGTTATGGGTAGCTTGGAAAGCCCCTTTTAAACAAGCGCCCCAGATGAGTCATGTGAGTTGTCTTGAACCATACCTGAGAAACTCTACACTGAATAGGCTGAAAAAAGAAAAACAAAAACAAATAGAACCGTCCCTATAGAAGCTTGTAGTCTAGAGGGGCATATGAGCAACTGCTGATGCGTTAGAAAAATTTTAATAATATGAAAATAACCACAGCATAAAAACAATAAAATAATAGCTATCTTTAAGACTTACTATGAACCAGGGATTACATGAAACTCTTTAATTATTCCATTTAATCCTTGTAACTGCTCTGTAAGTTAGGTGTTATGACTCCCATTTTAAAAATGAAGCCCAAATTAATTTACCCACAGTACACAGTCGATATATGGTGTATCCAAGATACAGCCTCAAGGTTTCTAATGCAAAAGCTTGTGTTCCCGCCTGCACTGCAGATACAGTATGGTGATGAATGATTCTTATTAGCCATTCCAAGAGCATGGGAGAATCTGAGGGCCCTGGGGGAGACTTTAGGAGAATGTGTCAGATTCCTGGGCTGAGACTTGCAGATGAATGAAGGCCTAGAAGGGAGAGCCCGGGTATGAAACAGCCACAGAGCCTGGCCTATGTTTGGGAGGCTGCCAGAACTTGGAGATGGCTGTACAGCAATGAATGCAGTGTAGATGCAGAAAACAGAACCTAGAAGACGTGGCAGGATCACAAAGGGTTTTCAATTCCTTCTTAGAAGATTTGGATCTTGTACTACAGACAATGGGAGCAGGAGAGTGGAAATCGGTAGTTTTCAGTTTTTGAAGGATCACTTTATTTGGAAAGAAGACACAGAATTATCATTGTTTATAGGCAATATGATTATCTAGCTCATGAAAGGCACCTGAAGAAATCTTAGAACTAATGAAAAAGGGCAGCAAAATAGCTACACAAAAAATAAATACAAAAAATCAATATATTTCTTATATGCCAGCAATAAGCAGTTAGAAAATATAGTGGAAAAATAATCCTCTTCTCCCATAGCAGCAAAATAGTTTTTTAAACCCTTAGGGAATAAACTTAACTGCCTGAAAAAAAAAAAAACTACCAAATTTTACTGCAGAACATTAAAAAATACGTTGGTTTAATGTAGAAACATATTATGTCCTTAAAAGGCAAGGCACAATATTATAAATAGGTTCTCTCTCAATTAATTACTGGTTTAATGCAATTACATTATCAATCCCAGTAGGACATTGTTGGGAAACTTGACAAAATGATTCTAAAACACATATGGACAAATAAATAGGTGAAAAAAAGCCAAGAAAATTTAAGAAAGTTAACAAAGTGAGATTATAATATGTTTAATATCTGAGAGTGCTAGGGGAGCAATACATTTAAAAGTGTGGCACTATTTCAAAAAGAGACAGATTAATGGAACAGAAAAGAGACTAGTGACAGAGGCAATATCACACACACACACACACACACACACACACGAAGGTAGCAAATGCATGATAAAGGTGCCTTTTTAATTGGTGTGGAGCATACGGATTGTTTAATCTATAGTGCTTGAACAACTGGCTAAGTATTGGGAGAAAAAACAGATAGCTCCCTACTTTCAGCAAAACACCAAGCAAAATCGCTAGTGGCTGAGCTTGCTGTCCTCTCGTATAACTCGCTTCCTCCAGCCATCCGTGTTTAGTGCAACGGTCAACAGCATTCATTACAGTGACGTAATTTCCTGTTTATCTGTCTTCACAATTAGACCATGAACTCTTCAGAGACCAGCAACTTTGCCTTATTCTATATGCATCCCCTAAAATATAGTAAGTGCTCAAGAAATGCTGTTGTTTGAAAGGGCAAATGCACCTTTACACATTTGCCTCTTTATGGATCAGAAAGTCTATGAGGCCAGGATGGCTTCCTATTACCATTCTCAAATCCTGGGAATCATTCTTCAAATATAACCCTCAACAAATATTAGTGGAGTGCAATAATTACTATCACATTAACAGCTGTTTCCATTTTCCCCAACTTAAGCTTTTGTGTGTTTTTTAAAAAAATCTCAGCTATTGCTCTTTTGTTTCTTGGGTGCACTTTAATTAGGGTGCAAGAGGCACTGGAGGAGAAACCATTTCAGTATCTCAGAAACGTTCATTTATTCTTTTGTTCAGCAAATATACATTGAGCACCTATATGTGCTAAGCAGTGTTCTGAAGCCCAATGTTTGGGCCTACATTTGGGCAGCTTTCCGTGTATTATTTTAGGTCTTTCTCTATTTTCTGACTTCAGACAGTTGCTAGCATTCTTGAGTCATGTCTATGCTGTTGTTGTTGTTTCTTCTTGGGGCCATGAGAAAGAAGACAATCACTAGAGAAGTTCTCCAAGCAACAGTAATCTCCACTTGAAATGGCCTTGTCTAGAAATTGCCTTGGTGAGTCTGAAGAGACTTTCCTCCTTCAGCTGGACAAATGCTATTGATCAAAGCCTAAGACTCAGGTGGGAAATGCCAGTGCAGACAAAGTGAGATTGGTTCCTACTCTCTCTCCTTTCTCACTCTGTCACCCAGGCTGGCGTGCAGTGGCACAACCTCGGCTCACTGTAACCTCTGCTGTCAGGTTCAAGCTATTCTCTTGCCTCAGCCTCTCGAGTAGTTGGGATTACAGGTGCTCGCCACTATCCCTGGCTAATTTTTGTGTTTTTAGTAGAGACGGGATTTTACCATGTTGGCCAGGCTGGTCTCGAACTTCTGACCTCAGGTGATCTGCCCACCTCGGCCTCCCAAAGTGTTGGGATTATAGGTGTGAGCAACCACACTCAGCGATGCTACCTTTTAATCTGGTGAATATTTAACCTCTTCTCCCCATTCCCACCTGAAAATATTTTTTAAAATTTTGCTTTCTGGGGTATTTGACTCTACGTTTTAAATACAGACCTTTAATTATAATTATTCCCACATGATATATTTATATTGATATAGTACTTCTGATATGGATTCTATCGAATCAATTTATGTCATCAATTTCCAATATATTGCAGTTCTTTTTCTCTTTTATTTATTTATTGACACAGCTTGTTGCTCTGTCATGCAGACTGGAGTGCAGTGGCGAAATCACAGCTCACTGCGGCCTCGATCTTCTGGGCTCAAGCAATCCTCCAGCCTCAGCCTCTCTAGTAGCTGGGACAACAGGCATGCACCACCAAATCTGGCTGATTTTTTATTTTTTTGTAGAGATAGGGTCTTGCTGTGTTCCCCAGACTGGTCTTGAACGCCTGGCCTGAAGCAATCTTCCTTCCTCAGCCTCCCAAAGCTCTGGGATTACAGGCAGAAGCCATCGCTCTGGCCTTTTTTTCTCTTAAAATTAGTTTGTCTTCCTTTCCTTCCCTACTTTTTCTTTCTTCTTCTTCCCTCCTTCCTTTCGCCCTCTCTCCCTCCTTTCCTTCCTTCCTTTCCCCCTTCCTTCCTTCTCTCCTTCCGTTACTCTGTCTCTGCCTCTTTTCCTCCTCCCCTGCCTCTCATACTCCCTCTCTTCCTCAAGACATTAGTTTGGACTAAGCAAAGTGGGCAGGCAAGTGGTGAGGGGGCAGCAGCCCTTGTTTGGGTAGAGCCCAGAAAGGGAGGGAGACAGTAATGGCAGGAGATTGGTGATGGGACAGGGTTAAGACAATTGCAATATTTGAATTGATCCATGGATTAGACAGCAGAAAAGCATCAATGCTAATTTCCTGATTTTGATAGTTGTACTACAGTTATTTAGGAGAATATATTTGTTGTGGGAATTACCAAAATATTTGGGAATAATGGGGCATTGTGTCTTCAGTTCATTCACAAATGGTTCAAAAACTTTTATCAAACTATTTCTTCATTTTTCCTCTGTGTTAAAAATTATTTTGGCTAGGTGCAGTTTATGCCTCCAATCCCAGAACTTTGGGAAGCTGAGATGAGAAGGATCACTTGAGGCCAGGAGTTTGAGACCAGCTTGGGCAACATAGGGAGACTCCATCTGTACAAAAAATTTAAAGAGAAAATTATTTCAAAATACGAGGTTCAAAAATATTTCATTTTTCGGGAGGCTAAGGCAGGAAACACTTGAACCCAGGAGGTGGAGGTTGCAGTGAGCCGAGATCGTGCCACTGCACTCCAGCCTGGGCAACAGAGCAAGACTGTGTAACCAAATTTCCTGGGTTCAGTTTAACCATCTTTTTTTTTTTTTTTAAACAGAGTCTCACACTGTCGCCAGGGCTGGAGTGCAATGGCGCAATCTGGGCTCACTGCAACCTCCGTCTCCCGAGTTCAAGCTATTCTCCCGCTTCAGCCTCCCGTATAGCTGGGATTATAGATGCCCACCACTAGGCCCAGCTGATTTTTTATATTTTTTTAGTAGAGATGGGGTTTTACTATGTTGGCCAGGCTGGTCTTGAACTCCTGACCTCATGATCCTCCCACCTTGGCCTCCCAAAGTGCTGGGATTACAGGCATGAGCCAATGCGCCCGGCTTTAACCTCATTTTTATTAGCTGTCTGATCCATCTGGGCAAGTTCCATACCTTTCTTTCCTTCCGTTTTTTTCAACTATAAAGTGAGAGTAACATTAATGTCAATCTCCAAATCTTTCTTGAGTATTAATAAAATAAACCATAGGAAATGTTTATCATACTGGCTGATGCAGAGAAAGCTCTGATTAGTGGTAGCCAGTTAAAAGCTGTCATTACTAACGTTTTCTACCAAATCAAATTTTCCCAGGTAGAATTTTGCATGTCTAAACTTTGTCAAGAATATTTTATTCTTCCCACAATTTTTAGTCAACAATAGGCTTTACCATGTACCGTTTTAGCAGCTGTCAGTTTTATTTTCTGTTAATCATTATACCAAGTCTAATTTTTTCCTTGGGTGATTTTCTTTTTGTAGATTTCAGTATTGTCAAAATGCTGTGACTTTTTTCAGTCAGTTTTCCTGCTATAACAAATTTTACTCTGTGCAAATTTAACCGTTGTCAGTCTTAGTTTGTGGTTGTGTATTTCTATGCGTAGTAAGTATTATGAATTAGGTCAAAGACTAATAGGGTTTTAGCCATCTCTCTTGCATTGGAAAACACTCAGCTGAAAGCCAGTTATGTAGACATGGATTTACATAAGAGTCACAGTGGGCCGGGGCGCGGTGGCTCATGCCTGTAATCCTAGCACTTTGGGAGGCCGAGGCAGGTGGATCACCTGAGGTCAGGAGTTCAAGACCAGCCTGGCCAACATAGTGAAACCCCGTCTCTACTAAAAGTACGAAAATCAGCCAGACATAGTGGTGTGCGCCTGTAATCCCAGCTACTTGGGAGACTGAGGCAGGAGAATCGCTTGAACCCAGGAGGCAGAGGTTGCAGTGAGCCGAGATTGTGCCACTGCACTCCAGCCTATTCTACAGAGCAAAACTGTGTCTCAAAAAAAAAAAAAAAAAAAAAAAAAAAAGAAAAAGAAAGAGTCACATTGACAAGGCATCAAACTTGCCCTGAATCCAACTACTCACGTGTGTTGTAGAGTAGGGAACTGCAGCACTGGGTGAGTTACTTACCTTCAAGGCTCCTTCAATCCAAATATTTTAGATGCCTATAGTAAAGTCCACACAAATGTAGCAACGCTTCAGTGAGAGGAAATTGATTACTATGGAAACAGCCCTGGCTTAGAATCCAGTAGCCTTGGTCTTAGATCCCGGCTCTGTCTACAAAGCCCAAGCAAAATGGCAATGGGTAAGTTACTTGATCCTTCAAAGATCTAATACCCTCAGTTCCAAAATGGGAGCATTGAGGGAGATAATATATGAAATGTGTCCTTTCTGGTGCTGGGCAATAGGTGTTCAACAATTGAAAAGTCCTTGAATAAGAAAACACCCTGAACAGTCACAGTGATGGGGTTGAGTGACGTAATACTGATGACTAAAAGCCCTGGACTCACTCTCTTCAATAGCACTTTCTATGTCTAATATTGTTTCCACCAGCCACGTGAGGCTATTAAGCACTTGAAATGTGGCTAGTGTGATTGAGGAATTAACATTTTAATTTAAATTAAATTAATTCAAATTTAAGTAGTGCAATAGGTTTTGGCTTCAGCATCAAACCACATGGTCAAAGCTATTTACTTCCAAATCTCCCTCCAATACACTTATATCAATACCCCCATATTTACTCATGCTGAATCACATGGACCCTGCTAGTATGAATCAAAAGTGCTGGCCAGATGCCAAAACTCAGGACTCAAATGATTTCATAAAATAACCTACAATCTTACTTTTCTGTTTTCCATAAATGACAATATTTTGTTTTCTGATTGCCAGGCCTGGCACAATAGCCAGAGGATGGTAAAAATCAACTCCTAAATGGATGCTGTCCAGGGTATTACAGTAGATATCCCAGTTCCCAAGTCTTTGCAATTCCTAATGACTATGTCTTTCTCTCATCTCAGACAACACCCTTTTGCATTCCTGGTCTCAAGTATCATGCACTGATTGATTGGCTAGTTGATTTAGTCATTTATTGGTCAAACATTTATTGAGCGTCTACTATGTCTCAGGCAGAGCAACTGAGCATTGGAAATAAATCAGAAAAATCACAAAAAGACAGCCCCTCCATCATTAAACTTACAGTCTACTGCAGAACTTGGCTTTTACCAAGTGCCATTGATGCCTCAATTCTATGTGCTCAATGACACGTTCACTCTTTCAAAATCACCTTATTGAGCTATGGTTGACATACAAAAAGCTGAAGATGTTTACTGTATACAGTTGATGTGTTGAAGATAAGTATATATCCATGAAACCATCATCACAATCAATGCCATAAACATCTCCACCACCTCCAAAAGTTTCCTCCTGTCCCCCTTCTTTGTGTATCGTTTTCTTTTTGAGGTGACAGCACTTGACGTAAGATCTGCCCTCCTAGCAAATATTTAAGTATACAATACAGCATTGTTAACCATATGTCCCATGTTATAAAGTAAATATCTGGAACTTATTTATGTTGTATAACATTCTTATATTTTCCTCCTTTGCCATCCCAAATAAGCCAGCTGTAGTCAGGCTCTGATTTTAAGGGAACCCATACAAAGACACAGCCATTAAACGAATAATTGCTGAAATAATAATTAATTAAACTTGTGGGGTGGACTCACAAGAAAATATGCATGGCCCCCTGGAAATGTGTGACAGGGAGTCAGAGAAGTGGGGAAAACTGAAACCTGAAGGATGAGGAGGCAGGGGAGCATGTTCCAGGGTGAGGACACAACATGGGCAAAGGCCCTGGGGTGAAGTCAGTAAGAACTTGCTGTTTTCTAAAACTGGGGAACGTGATGGAGCCCTTTATGATGGAGGAGAGTGGCCAAGGTAAGAATGGAAAGGACGGTAGGGCCAAGGTTTGTCCTTCACTGAATGGGCCATGGGAAGCCATGGATAAGCAGAAAAATGACATGAATGTATTTTTATATGAAAACATGATTTCAAAGAGAGATCTAGACTTGACCCTGGGATATCATGCAGAATTGTTTCCCAAATGGGACAATTTTTAACTAATAGAGCCATGACAAATTTGGCACACAAAAAAAATGTTTGTTGAATGAATGGATGGATGAATTATGGTCAAAGTCACCCTACCAAAGTGAGCAGACAGTGTCATGGGAGCCAAGTAAACCTCCAAAGTTCTTCCCATTGAATCCAGAATGGATCCCATTCAGATGGTATCCAGTGGGCAAAGATGTGGGTGAAGAACAGGGCACACATGACAAGAGTCACTTTCTCCATAATGCTTGCAACAGCAGGCAGACCATGCCAGGGGTCAGGGGGATTCCTGTCACTTCCAGGGTCCTGAAGCGGAGCTCAGCCATGAAAGGGAAGCGAAGCCACTGATCCACTCAGTCTGGGTGTTGGGAAGCCCATGGACATCATCAGGTTGCCCAGAAGTGTTTAGGAGCTATTCAGCTCACTGTCATTCCAGAAGGCCAGCAGCAGGAGCTTCAGTAGAGCACTTTAAAAGAAATCCCACTAATCTTATCAAAACATTACATCAGCAGACCCCTTACAGTGGCAGGATGGATTCCCTGTAGTTTATAGTAATAATAGCTGGTACTTATTGAGCACTTATTATACACCCAACACTGTGCCGAGCATGATACATAGATTAATTTAATCATCAAAACAAACCTGTAAGTGAGCTAATTTTCTTGCCCTCATTTTACAGATAAGACAGGCTCAGATTCGTGATAGTAGCTTGCCCAAGGCCACAGAGCTGGTCAGAGTAGAGCTGAAATTAAAAGTAGGGTCTTGGGAGTTAGGCAGACCTGGGTTCGGATTCCAGTTTTGTCATTTTCTAGCTGGGTAACCATCACCAAGCCATGTTACCTCTTTAAGCCTCGGTCTCCTCATCTGTTAAATGGAGATGGTAAGATTATCTACTTCATTGGGTTGCTGGCAGATCAAATGGGATGCTGCTTGAAAAGTCCTTTGCACAATTCTTGGCCCATAATAGTTTTACAAATGGCTGCTGCTGTGATATTGATCATCCCTGCCATTGTCTCTTGCAGTAAGTCAAGGTCAGCATGCAAGACCACTAGAAAAAAAGCAAACTCTCTTTCCTGGCTCCCAGAGCTCAGAGAGGCAGGAAGGGAGTGGCTAGCTCACAGGAACGACCCCTAAATCAAATTGGAAACTTGAGGTGGCAACATCAGCCCTCCACCCTACTGCCCTTCTGCTTGCTGAGAAGGAAAAACATTTCTGTAAAGAGAAGAGAAAGAGAATTTAGTATCCACTCTGATATGCTCACTCTCATGGTTTTATAAATACATTCTTTTATGGTAAGCAGTAGTTTATCACAATGCCTGGATTTAACAAACTCTAAGTAGCTGTTTTATCAGATGATGCCTTCTGCATGAGCAACATTTAATATTCTGCTGTAAGAACGGCGAGTCTTCCTTTCAAGCATTCATATAACTTGAGCAGATTTTAAAACCCCATATTTTAAAAGGCCTTGCTATAGGCCAAACTGAAGTGGGTTGGGGGCTGGTGGCCAGTGTTGCATCCAAATCCCAGACGCTCTCTGAGCTCTGTGACCTCGGGTAAATCACATGGCAGCTAAGTCACATGATTTAGTGAAATGACCAACATACGCTTTGGAAACAGGAAGGGCCAGTTCAAATCTTGAATTTACCACATTCCAACTGTATGACCCTGGGCAAATTATACAGCTCTCTTTGAACCTCACATTTGTCATTGGTCAGTGGAGAATAAGAAAACCAGCCTAGTAAGTCATAATCTAGGTAAAGTGCTATAGCTTCAATTACCTTTCCCTTTCTCCTTGTCTCTCAGTTTCTTCGTCTTAAAAGTGTGGTCATTGAATTTATTGGTTTCCAAGTTTCCTTTCAGCCCAAAATAATTCTGGTTAATGCCTGGGACTAAGCACTAGGGTTTGAGTCCTGTAGATGGAAGGCCACCTAGAAACCTATACAGCTGAACAGGTATCAGGTGTGAAGGTGAAAGATGGCAGTGAAATCAGAGGAATGGCTTATAAGTGAATAGGATTAAAGATACGCTAAAATAGCGACCGTTCTTTTATGGTATATATTAGCTGAGGAATTTCAGAGCTAGAGAAATCAGGTAAAGTAGTGAGTCCAGTGGATTCATAATTACAGGTTGAATGAAGGCTTTGTGACTAGTGAGACATGAAATGTACTAAACACAGTCAGAGCTGGGCAACATCTACATCCTTCCCCTGTAGAGTGCTGCAAAGGCAGACTTGTTAATACAAGGACTACAAGGGTAGGGAGGCGTAAGAACAGCTGGCTTTCTCGTGTGCTTGTGCGAGGCCATGTTCTAAGCGCATTATATGTGTTAACTCATTCCTGAAAGTCACCTTATAATGCAAGCACCAGTATTATCTAGGGTATAGGAAACTCTAGAGTTTCCTATGTCACAGAGCTAATAAAAGGCAGGGTGGGGACTCACATGGTTTGTCTCCAGGGACCTAGCTCTTAGTCCATGCTTCTGCAAGGCATGGGGAAGGACTTGTGTGACTTACATAGGTACCCAGCGGTATTCAGTAACTGGCTCAGGAAAGTTGCTGCTGACTGCACAAAGATCTGAGCAGTGACCTTCTTGCTTAAGTTGGCCTGGGAGACCAACGAACTGAAAGTCTGTAAACCTATCTTGCCTCTGACTACATTCTAGGGAGGGGGAAGCTATTCATGGTACCCAGTTCATGGTAGGTAGTCCTAGGTAGGGGGTAATCTCTAACAAAATCAGAGATAGCAATTTGCTCCCCATGTGAGTCCAGTTTGCAAAGAAACAGCCATTACTGTGAGACCATAAATTACACCAATATCTGGATGCGAATCCTACTCCCAATAAAACTCAAAATTCCCACCAGTGATTAAAGAGGATGATCTTCCTGTAAGTTTTACATCCTGTCTGAGAAAGATTTTATGGGATTAGAGGAAAAAAGAAAAATGCAATTTTAAAAAGTGAAACGAATTTGGGTCCTAAGCAGCGGGTTTGAGTTCTAGTTTCATTTTTTTTTTTTTTTAGCACCACGACCTTGCTTACATGACAGGAGCAGTTCATGACTCAACCGATCACACACACAAGTTGTTATAGAACTCAGCAGGCACTGCAGGGGCTGAGGTCGGCAGCAAGAAGCCAAGCAAGCCACTCTCAGCCTCTCCCATCAACCCCCTGACTCTAGCAGAGCTGAATCACTTCCCTCCGTTTAGTGAGATTTCCTTTGAAAACCAAGTCTTAAGCTAAACCCTTAAAACAGATTGAAAAAGTGATAGATTTCAACATAGATTGTAAATGCTCCAGCGGTGCTTCCTAAATTTTAATATGCATTTGGATCACCTGGGAATTTGTTAAAATGCAGACTCTGATTCAGCACGTGTGTTAATTTCCTAGGGCTGCCATAACAAATTGCCTCAAAGGAGGTGGCTTAAAAAAACAAAAATTTATTCTCTGTTAGTTCTGGAGGTCAGGAGTCTAAAATAAAAGCGTCTGCCAGGTTGGTTCCTTCTGTGGGCTCCAGGGGAGAATCTATTCTGTGCCTTTCTTCTGGCTTCTGGTAGATGTCAGCCTCTGCTTGTAAACACCTTACTCCCATCTCTGCCTCTATCTTCACTTGTGTCTCTTCCCCCTGTATGTCTCTGTGTCCTCTTCTCTGCTATAAGGACAGCAGTATGCGTGAATTCATCCCTAGATCCTTACATTAATTACATCTGCAAAGGTTCTTATTCTAAATAAAGTCACCTTCTAAGGTACTAAGTGAATGTATCTTTTGGGAGACACAGTTCTACCCAGTAGAGTAAGCCTAGGGTAGGGCCTGAGACTGCATTTCTAATAAGCCCTCAGGTGCTGCTGGGCCACAGACCACGCTTTAAGAATCAAGGCTCTAAAAGGCCCATAGGATTAACTATTTGCAGCATTTCAGGTGGATTGTATACTATACTGATGCATGCCAAGACTTACTATAGATGGCATGGATTATTAGCCAAAAATTTGAAACTTTTAATTTTTTTAGACAGGGTCTCTCTCTGTCACCCAGGCTGGAGTGCAGTGGTGTGAACGTGGCTCACTGCAATTGCTTGAGACTGCTTGAGTCCCAGTCTCAAGCGATTCTCCCACCTCAGCCTCTTGAGTATCTGGGACTACAGGCTTGTACCACTACACGTGGCTAAATTTTTATTTTTATTTTTTGAAGAAACAGGGTCTCACTATGTTGTCTAGGCTGGTCTCAAATTCCTGAGCTCAAGTGATTCTCCCATCTTGGCCTTCCAAAATTGCTGGGATTACAGGTGTGAGCCACCGTGCACGGCCTGAAACTTTTCAAGAGTGCAATGTGACCAGATAAGGAGGAACAGTCATAATAAGGCCCAGACAGAAGTTTACCGGGTCCCTGATCCCCTAACATGACATTTGTCTGTTAATGAGAATGTCTGGGCAGGTAGGTCACTGCCAGAATATGAAAACAGCACGGTCATTTCTGTGCTATTGTCTGGTTATTCTTGGGGCTTACACAACTCCCCCCACTTCCCAGAATAACTTACACTAATAATGCATGTGCTTCTATTTTAGGGAATGTTTATAAATATCAGAGTCTCCTTGCTCTTTAAACTCCTATCCGCAAGGCTGAGTTTTCGTCCGCGAGAGAGGTCAGAATCAGTGCACCGCTGTCTCTATGCTAGCGTTCACTGCCTGGCTCTGAATCCTGGCTCTGATACTTATTAGCTGTGTGACCTTGGGCACGTTTTTTGCCTTCTCTATTTTGGTTTCCTCATCTGGAAAAAAATCTAGAAAATAATAGTACTTATTTCACAGAATTATTTTGAAGATTTAAGAGCTCATATATAGAAAGCATTCGGAGTCATATCTAGTGCAGAGTAAACCTTCCAAAACCATAGCCACTGTTAATATTACATTTACCAATATTATTATGTCCCTGTAGTCCACTCATGACTCTGATTTAATACCACTTTCCTATCTGGCTGTTTTTTAATGGAGAGTTTGGTCAAGGGAGCATGATAATAGAATCCATTTCCTCATACCCTTTAAAATTTCATTTTACTTTTCATCCGTTGATTTAATTCTATCCCTCAATTTAGCCTCAGAAGTATAGGAGACAAACAAGACTGACTATTTAGGGCCTTCTCTTGATTGTTTTCTGACCTTATTTCTTTGCATGTGTGAAATGCCCATAGACGTTTCATCTTGGAAAGTGCTACACAGACGAGATGATAATGTCTCTGAGTCCTCGGGCTGACAGTGAGAAATGGAAGAAAAATGACCACTGATCCCCCGAGAGCTGGTAGAGATGAGGATGCAATGACAGGCCTTCCCTGGAAATCTGTCTTCAGAGGAGTATGTTGTAAGTGACAACGAGGAAGAAATCTTTCTGCAACAAGAAGTATCTAGAAAACATCCCCATGTCTAGCCAAAATCTCTCCTTCCCTCTTTGGTAAAGACTACCTTAAAAGTGTAGTTTTCTGTTTACTCCTAATTCTTGCTTCCAGATACAACTCTTTTGGGGGGGATAAAGCAATGACCCATTTATTAAACGTTAACAATTTATAAACAGAATCATTTTTATAATAATAAAATCTCACTTTAGGAGGCCAAGGCAGGTGGATCACATGAGGCCAGGAGTTCAAGACCCGCCTGGCCAACCTCGTGAAACCCTGTATCTACTAAAAATACAAAAATTAGCTGGGCGTGGTGGTGCGCCTGTAGTCCCAGCTACTCAGGAGGCTGAGACAGGAGAATTGCTTGAACCCAGGAGGTGGAGGTTGCAGTGAGCCGAGATTGTGCCACTGCACTCCAGCCTGGGCAGCAGAGTGAGACTCTGTCTAAAATAATAATAATAATAATAATAATAATAATAATAATAATAATAATAATATCCTATATTTATGGAGCACACATTGTCTGTTAGGCACAATACCAGGACATCTCATATATAGTTTCACATTTAATCCTCATAATAACCCTGTGAATTTGACATCATTGTCCTCATTTTACAAGATAAATACATTTGAGAGAGGATACATAAATTTTCCAAGATCACAGAATTAGCATACAGCCAAATTTGTTTTAACCGATGCTGTCTGACTCAAAAACCTTTACATGGTAATATGTAATAAAATATATAATTTTCAATATTTACTGTATAATATATAAAATGCTGTATTTATATAGTGTTTTTGAGGGTAGAGGAACTACAAATAATTTTATACACTTTATATGATTGTGAATATTTCACATTTACAACAGTGTACATTTTCTGATTAAACTGTATATTAAGTATTATATATTCATAGATATAATTACTTTTTTAAATACTTTAAACAACTAACACAAGGCCAACTTGACATGAGATGATGATAAAAGATCTAGTTTTTAATAAAATTCAGAGCAAATGAATCTGAACTCATTTATGGATTCCAGAAATAACCTGAACAGACCATTGAGTTTCATGGTCTGCATAAAGTCAGCATCACAATGTATGATGGATGCTTTTAGATATTTCTTGCATATAAGAAATCAGTACCTAACTGGTAAGAAAATTACCTCTCAGTTTCCTGAAAGAACAGATGTCGATAAGCAAATCATACTGTTATACAAATTGTACCACCTACAACTTACTGGACCTATTTTGGACAGTTACCTTCCCCTGAAGCTAGAAGTTTTTATTCAAGCAATTTTTTGTTCGCTTAATTAGGTGAACAAGAAGGAAGGAAAGAAACATGGTAACTACTTTTTCTGAGTTTTTATGCTGGACGCTGCATTTACTTCCCACAGAAGATCCATTAGTGTGGGTATCATTCTAATCTGTGTTTTATATATGAGAACACTGAGGCATACTGAGTATACTGAATATTCCATTTTTGTCCCTCCAGATTTATTTCCACCCTTCTCCACTCTGCTCTGTGACCTGGAGACTGGACTCTATGGCTGCTTCAACCAGGTTTCCTGGCCACTTGGCTTCTGGTTGGGTTCAGCCAATGAGAGGACCAGCAAGAGATTGGGTTATGGGAGGGAAGAGCGATCTAGGTACTTCTTCTTCTGCCTCCATCACTGGTGGGTTGTGAGTTGCGGGGACTGGGTTCTGCTACTTAAACTCATTTATGCCTAGTGTTCCATTATTGGAACACTAAGCATGTGGGTGTTATTTATATCCTACTGCTAAAGGTCATTGCCAAGGTCTGATTGCAAAAATTCAACAAATTGCAACCTCCAGCATAAATGAGTTAAGAGTATACCGCCTGTTAGGTGGTTCTGTCTTATAGCTCTTGCTGAAGTCTGGTAAATTCTCCATCTTCCTGCACTTGGGAGTTATGTTAACTCTGTGGTTCCTAGCCCAGGGGGCTTCAACCTTCCTCATCAGTTTTCCTAAGCCTGCCCATACCTTTGCACAGAATTCCATCAATAAACTCTTTGCAAAGGCTATCTTTTTCTGGCCATGACCCTGACAGGTAATGTTGGCTTCAGAAACCTTCCCAAAGTAACACAGTTAGTAAAGTAGGGAATACTGTAGGATTCCAGGGAAAGCTGGAGGATGAGCAGATTTGGAGGAGGTGGGAGGAATGTTCAGTTAGGTTTTGGACATGTTGAACTTGAGATGCTTTCTAGATAACCTTGTAGGGGGCCCAAGAGACAGCTAGCATAAGGATCTAGAGCTCCCAAGAGTGGGTGGGCAAAAGATGCATATGGAAATAGAAAATAAGCCACGGGATTGGGTGAGAGATCCGAAAGAATGTGCTCAGTGTAATAACAATAAGAAGAATAGAACTATTTCCCAAGGAAAACCAACATTAAGGGCTAGGGAGATGAATCAGAAAGTCAGCGGAGCTTTGGAAAGGATATTAAAATGATGGGCACCTACAGGGTCCTGAAAGCCTTGAGAAGAGAAGATGTCAAAGAAGGAATGAGTGATTGAGTATAATTGCCCTAAGAAGTTAAGTACAATAGAGATTGAAAAGTTGTATTAGATTTTCTTTTTATTGTGGTAAAATACACATAGCAAGACATTTATCATTTTAGCCATTTTAAAGAGTACAATTCAGTGGCATTAAGTATATTCATGATGTTGTGCAACCCTCACCACTATCGTGTTCCAGAACATTTTTATCACCCTAAGCAGAATTCTGTACCCATTAAGCAGTTACTCCTAATTCTCCTCTCTCCCTAGGCCCTTCCAACCACTCATCTGCTTTCTGTCTCTACAAATTCACCTATTCTGGAAAATTCATATGAATGAAATTATGCAATATGTGGTTTTCCATTATATTTCATAACAAGGAAAATTAAATCTAATTCTAAATAACTTGACTCATTACTATATTTGTGAAGTCAAGAACTTCCATTGGGGAAGGCAATGTGATATCCTGGGCTAGTCTCAGAGGAACTATTTTGACCCAAGCTTGTATTGATCATGGAAATAACAAGGAGGCTGTCAGTGGGGAATGTTAACAAATCTCAAGTTTAGTTACAGATAGCAAAAAAAAAAAAAAAAAAAAAAAAAGAGAGAGAGAGAGAGACAGAGAGAGACAATTTATAACTTTCTCTCAGACTCCATCTTCCCTAGGGGATTAGCAGCTGACTTAAGGCAGAAGCATTTAACTGCCCAAGTATCTCAGTACACCTTCTTTTTGTTCCTCCCATTCATGGAGCTAATTGCTTCAGGACATCTTCATATGGGTCCTTCTTGTCTCTAACCTCTTATTTCTCTGCAGGAATCTAGAATCCCCTCAGGTTGAAAAAGCTAGAAAATGTAAGATCTTTAAAGTCAGCGATGCAGGTGTTGGACCAGGAAAGAAGAAAAATTGAGTGACCCATGGAGATTCTGAGCACCAAACAAATGTATCCTAAAACAGTGTTTCTTAAGCTATCTTTGGAAAAGGAGCATTTTCCTCTAATACTTCACAGACCAATACTTGCAAAAAAATTTACAAAACAGTGAATTACTAGAAAAATGAAATCAAGACAAGTCCTTTTTTTAGATTTATTAGACTCAAAATTATTTTGCGAAATTGCCATAAAAGCTTTTAAGCACTGGCTCTCAATTTCTGCGGTCACCTCATTGTGGTGCAATATTTTATGTTTAATGTCTTAATGACTTCAACATTCTAGGACTGTATGAAATACAGTTATCCAAGCCTACCTTCTTGATATAACCTGGATTTCCATGATCAGTACAAGCTTGGGTCAAAATAGTTCCTCTGAGACTAGCCCAAGACATCACATTGCTTTCCCGGATGGAAGTTCTTGACTTCACAAATATAGTAACAAGCCAAGTTATTTAGAATTAGATTTAATTTTCTCTGTTTAAGGTCACAACAGGACCAGAAGAGTTTTTCTGGGGGGAGGATCCCTGAACTATAGAAAATGACGGAATTTCACAGAAGTAATGGAGCAGAAGCCAGATTATCAGAAGTAGGTGAGTGAACAGGTGTGGGAAATTACAGACCCTGAGATTGCTACAGGCTACCATCGGGCAATAAGAGAAGAGACAAATGAGATGTTCAGGGAATTTGACATTTTATTTTTGTTTGCTTACTTGTTTTGTTTATTTTGGTATTCCTGTTTTAAGATGGGAGAGACTTGAACCTTGCTTTTAAAATGATACAATGGACCAAAAAAGAGAGAGAGAGAGAAGCTTAAGGGAAAGAAGAAAGGGTTACTAGTGGATGCAGGTGGGAGATAATGAGATTCTGAGCATAGGGATGTGTGTTAGTCCATTTTCACACTGCTGTAAAGAACTACCTGAGACTGGGTAATTTATGAAGAAAAGAGGCTTAATTGACTCACAGTTCTGCAGGCTTAACAGAAAACATGACTGGGAGGCCTCAGGAAACTTACAACCATGGGAGGCAAAGGGGAACAAGGACCTTCTTCACATGGTGGAAGGAGAAAGAGACAGGGGAAGTGCCACACTTTTAAACCATCAAATGTCGTGAGAACTCACTCACTATCATGAGAACAGCAAGGGGAAAATCTGCCCCTCCCATCACCTCCCTCCAAGCCCCTCCGCCAATTTGACATGAGATTTGACGTGAGATTTGGGTAGGGACACAAATCCAAACCATATCATATATTGGAAGATAGATAAGACAGGAGGAGGAAAGGATGCAGAAGTGCACCAGTCGGGGATCAGTCGGGAGCTAGGCACTTTATGTTGGAACCTGAAGTTCATAGCAGAAGAAATAAGAAAGGGAAGATGGGTGTAAAGTAGAGGAAATAAAAAACAAGCTGGAACCCAAAGCTGTGAGTGGAGCCACACTCCAGACGGAGGACAGATGGAGACTTGCATTAGGGTTTTTGTTTTTTGTTTGTTTGTTTTGGTCCCTGATATTAATGATATGAGTGTCCTGCAAAAGCCAGGGGCCCTTAGGCAAACATAGGCACCTGACCCAAGAGCCAAAGGCAATGAAAGAGGATTCAGGGGAAGGAACTGTTGCAAGTCCAGCTGCTGCCACTTGCCAGGACAAGTCAACAGATCAACAACATGTGTGAGCCGCATGACGGCCCATGCTCCAGCTCTTCCTTCAGGTCTCTCCTGAGGCCCAACTGGGAGCAGCCAGGGAAGGGGATTCTAGGAAATTCAGTTCCACTTAGCTTAATTATGAAGCCACCAGAGTGTGAATGCCGGTCAGTTTTAGAAAAAAAAACTTGAGGTTTTTCTCACCTGCTTCTAATTTCTCTTTAGGGGATAAGGTAATGTGCTGGGAGTGAGGAGGCTATGGGTGGTGATGGTGATGTCACTAGTGGTTGAAATAGCAATAGTGAATAATGGAGCTAGCTCCATTCACTCCTATTCAACCTTGAACTGGAGTTTCTGGCCAGTGCAATAAGACAAGTAAAATAAATGAAATGCATAAGTTCAGAAGGAAAGAAGTAAAACTGTATCTATTTTCAGATGGCATGATTAGTTAAGAGAAAAATCCAAAGGCATCAATAAAACAACTAGTGGAACTAACAAATGAATTTAGCATGATCATATGATCAATGTCAGTACACAAAAAAATTAATTATAATTTTACATTCTAGCAGCAATTAGAAACTGAAATAAGAATCTTCCACTTACAGTGACACCTAAAATATAAACTATCCCAGGCTAAATTTAATGAAAACAATGTGCAAGACCTCTACTGAAAACCATAAGCTACTGCTGATTAAAATTAAAAATCACCTAAATAAATGTAGAAATGTATCATGTTCATAGATTGGAGGAGTTTACGTTATTAAAATGTCAGTGATTCCTAATTTGATCTATAGATTCAATTCACTTCCAATCATAATTCCAGAAGCCTTTATTAAACAAATAAATGGATAAAATCTGCTTTTAATATGTAAATGGGGGCCAGGTGTGGTGGTTCACACCTGTAATCTCAGCAATTTGGTAGGCTGAGGCAGGTAGATTGCTTGAGCCCAGGAGTTGGAGACCAGCTTGGGCAATGTGTTGAAACTTAATCTCTACAAAAAATATCTTAAATGTTAGCCAGGCATGGTGGTGTACACTCAGGAGGCTGAGGTGGGAGGATCACCTGGGCCTGGGAAGTTGAAGCTGAAGTGAGCCAAGATCACACCACTGCACTCCAGCCTGGGCAACAGACAGAGAGGCTGAAAAAAAAGAAAGAGAGAGGAAAGAAAGAAAGAAAGAGAGAGAGAGAGAGAGAGACAAAGAAAGAAAGAAAGAAAGAAAGAAAGAAAGAAAGAAAGAAAGAAAGAAAGAAAGAAAAGAAAGAAACGAAGGAAGGAAGGAAGGAAAGGAAGGAAAGGAGAAAGAAAGAAAGGAAAATTGAAAGTGGCAGCGCAAAGACGATAGAATATGTAAGCAATTTTGGTGAAGTGAACAGCTTTGGAGAACTAATGCTACCTTACTTATCTGACTTCTCATAAAGCTACTTTATCAAGAAAGTGTGATGTGTGCACAGTTGACAGTTGACACGGTTGACAATTGACACGGTTGACAATTGAATTGCGTGCACAGAAGGACAATTGAATCAGTGCTACAGCCTAGGGCAGTGGTCCCCAACCTTTTTGGCACCAGGGACCAGTTTCATGAAAGACAATTTTTCCACAGATCACGAAGGGGTGGGGAATGGTTTCAGGATGATTCAAATGCACCACATTTATTGTGCACTTTATTTCCATTATTATTATATTGTAATATCTAAAGAAATAACTATACAACTCACCACAATGTAGAATCACTGGGAGCCCTCAGCTTGTTTTCCTGCACCTCAGTGGTCCCATCCAGGGGTGATGGGAGGCAGTGACAGATTATCAGGCATTAGATTCTCATAAGGAGCACGCAACCTAGATCCCTCACATGTGCAGTTCACAATAGGGTTCATGCTCCTATGAGAATCTAATGCCACTGGTGATCTGACAGGAGGCAGAGCTCCAGCGGGAATGTAAACGATGAGGTGTGCCTGTAAATACAGATGAAGCTTCACTTGCTCACCTGCCGCTCATCTCCTGCTGTGTGGCCCAGTTCCTAACAGGCCACGGATTGGTACTCATCTGTGGCCCCTGAGTTGAGCACCCCTCAGCATAGAGTCCAGCAGTAGACTCAAGCTTATGTAGCCGAATGATTTTAGACAAAGATACCAAAAGCAGTTCACTGGGGAAAGAAAAATGAACTCGGAGTCTTTCTTATGGCATATACAAAAATCATTTTGAGGTGGAGCTTAAACCTAAGCATAAAAGTCAAAAACATAAAGTTTCAGAAGAGAATATAAGTGAATATCCACACAACCTGAGAGTAGTTAAACATTTCTTAGGTAAGACACAAAAACAGAAAGAAAACAAATAATAAATTAGACTTTGTCACAATTAAGCATTTTTCCTCATCAAAAGTCATCATGAAAAAAATACACCAAGAAGCCACAGATTATTTTAAAAAATGAGAAAGATGTAGCTGACAAATGACTTCATGAGAATATATATAGAGAGAACTCCTATAAATCAATAATAAAAAGACAAGAAATACAATTAAAAATAAGCAGAGCTTTGACCATCCTCTTGCAAACAAAGATGTAGACATTTTGAATAAGCACATAAATATGTGCTCAACAACATTAGTCATCACGAAAATGCAAAATCAAAGCCACAATGGCATATCACTACACCCTCGTCTGGATTGCTAAAACTAATAGACTGACAATACCAAATGTTGGCAAGGATACAGAGGAACCAGGACACTCCCACAATGCTCGTGGGTGTATATAAATGGCACGATAACATTTAAAAAAGAATTGGCAGCTTCTATCTAACAACCTAGCAATTTTACTCCTAGAAATATATCAAAGAGAATGAAAAGATATGCCCACCAAAAGACTTGTACAAGCTTGCTAATAGCAGCTTCTTTATAATAGCCCCAATTAGAAACAACCAAAATAGTCATTAACAGAAAAGTGTGTAAGCAACTTGTAGCATATTTATACCCTAGAATAACAACTAGAAATAAATAGGAATAGACTACTTATGTATATAATATCATGAATAAATCACTTGGATATCGGCCCGGTGCAGTGGCTCATGCCTGTAATCCCAGCACTTTGGGAGGCCGAGGTGGGCGGATCACGAGGTCAGGAGATCGAGGCCATCCTGGCCAACATGGTGAAATCCCGTCTCTACTAAAAATACAAAAAAATTAGCCAGGTGTGGTGGCAGGCGCCTGTAGCCCCAGCTACTCGGGAGGCTGAGGCAGGAGAATGGCGTGAACCTGGGAGGCAGAGCTTGCAGTGAGCAGAGATAGCACCATTGTCCTCCAGCCTGGGCAACAGAGCGAGACTCAGTCTCAAAAAAAAAAAAAAAAAAAATCACTTAGATATCATGCTGGGTCAAAGAAGCCAGACACGAAAGAGAACTTAATGTATGAATCCACTTACATAAAATTTAAAAAATAGGTAAAACTTGGCTGTGGTGGAAAACATCAGACAAATGGTTGTCTCTTTTCGGGAATTGCCTGGGACCTGGGTTTAAGGGGACTTTTTGGTGTGGTGGAAATGTGGCTACATCTACTGATAGGATTGTGGGTTACATGGACATACACATTTTGCAAAATTTGTGTACTATATATTTAAGATGCATGCATTTTATTTTATACATATTTTGCCTTAAGAAACATTTTTTAAAAATTTGAACTCCAGTAAATTGGTTTGCTTTTCACAGTGGAATGAATCGACAATTCTGAAACTATTTTTTGTGTGTCCTGGGCTTTAGCAGAAGTGTAAATATTTTGAAGATAATGAGATCTAGGTTTTTCATTGTTAGAAAATGTAGTTACACATATGGGAAGAGAAAAAAACTAGAATGTTCCCTGTGCTGTTGGATTGAAATTAAATGTATCAGTATAAACTCATGGTTTTTAATATAGGGGTGTGTGTGTGTGTGTGTGTGTGTGTGTGTGTAGACATGTATGTGTAACTTAGTCTATCTGCTGAGAGGGTCTAGTAGCAATGATAAAGTAATAGCAATGAGTACATCTAGACCCAGATATTGATTTCTAAATATCAGTTTCCTCTGAAAGGAATTGTAATTCCTTGGAGAAAAGGTCAAACCTAGAGTTGGGGAAGAAAGAGTATACATTGAGCCTGAGACTCCTTTTTGTGCCAGAAAGTAGGGAAGTGATGAAGAGCAATGTGGATTTATCAAAAGCACACAGGACCAACATGAAGGAGCTCCCACTGGCTTCAGCTGATACAGTTTGAGTATTAAAACAAATCATGATAGTAGATTATAACTCATTGACTAAAATAAGAATCTGTGAGTTTGTAATGACAAATGAATGAGTAAATGGAGAAGACACGCTCTTCCTTATAGAATATCAACTATTAATAATAAATATAGAAGGATTAATGGAGTTGGAAAGGCATCAAATAATACTAAACCATGCTATGAAAGTTTCATTAAGGAACAGGATACATACAGCTTCAATGTGTCTATGCACAAGTTATTTATTATTATGAAGGAAATGTAGTGACTTCACAGTGGAGAAACCTGGCAGACACATTAACCAAGTGATTTTGAGGCACATTCAATGAAATAACTGATAGAGTTTGGATATTTGTCTCCGCCCCAATCTCATTTTGGGAATTATAATCCCCAATGCTGGAGGTGGGACCTGGTGGGAGGTGTCTGGGTCATGGGGGTGGATCCCTCATGGCTTGGTGCTATCTTCGTGATAGTGAGTTCTCACAAGATCTGGTCATTTAAAGTATGTGGCAGTCCCTGCCAACTCTCTCTCTCTCTCTCTCTCTCTCTCACACACACACACACACACACACACACACTTTCTCCTGCCTTCACCATGGGAACTGCCTTCTCCTACCTCGCCTTCTGCCATGATTTTAAGCTACCTGAGTCCTCTCCAGAAGCTGATGCCAGAGCTATGCTTGCTGTACAGCCTGCAGAACCACGAGCCAATTAAACCTCTTTTCTTTATAAATTATCCAGTCTCAGGTATTTCTTTATAGCAATGCAAGAATGACCTTATACAATAACCAATCAGGGCTCTTTAAAAATATCAAGGTAAAAAGAAAAAAAAAAGAGAAAAGAAAAGGCTGGGGAACATTCTAGTTGAAAGAAGACTACAGATATAGCAACTAAATGCAGAGATGGGAGGGTTGCTTAAGCCGAGAAATTAGAGGATGCAGTAAGCTATGATGATGCCACTGTACTCTGGCCTGGGCAACAGAGTGAGACACTGTTTCAAAAAGAAAAATATACACCAAAGTTAATAATCAAGGGGTATGATATCTCCAATTTCTCAAATGTTTCATAAAAAATACTTATGTAGAATGGAAAAATATTAATAATTTGTGAATGTTGATAAAAGATATTGACATTCTCTTGCAGTCATCTTGCAGCTTTTCCATAAGTTGGAATTTTATAAAAATCAAAAATTGAGAGACAGAGAAAGAGGAGAGCCCAGGATGTGATTCGTGATGAACAGGGCTGCTGGCCAGGCTGTTAAGGTTCATAAGTTCTTGGTAAACAAGCCGAGGCTGTGCCTGGGTTGGCAGGCACTGATGGGCAGAAACTGATTATTACAAGTCTGTAAATCAGAGAGCTGGTTTAGACCATAAAATTGAAAGTTAAAAAAACTCATGTTGCACTATAGGCAATTTAATTCCTTTGCATATCTTATTTGGAAAGTTACTTTATAATTACAAGCATAGCTAATACAAAGTTATGTACTTTGTAATTAAAGATCTTGTGGGGTAAGGAAAACACAGAACTGGAACTGACCTTTCTTTCTTTCTTTTTTTTTCTTGTTTGAGACAGGGTCTCGCTGTCACCTAGGTTGGAGTGAAGTGGCACGAACACAGCTCACTGGAGCCTGGACTTCCTGGGCTCAAGGGATTCTCCTGCTTCAGCCTCCCAAGTAGCTGGCACACAGTTACATGCCACCGTACCTGTTTTTTTTTTTTTTTTTCAGACATGGCGTCTCACTATGTTGCCCAGGCTGGTCTCAAATTCCTGGCCTCAAACGATCCTCCTGCCTTGGCCTCCCAAAACCCTGGGATTACTGCATCTGACTTTGAAACTGGCATTTCTATGCATGTGTGTGTACCAGGCACTGGTCCCATGGTACCTCCCTGGATCTTCCCAATAACCCTTATTACCACACTCGGGTAGATGTGATCATCTACATTTTACAGAAGAGGCAACTGAGGTATTACAAATTTGTCTTGGCTAGGTGCAGTGGCTCACACCCATAATCCCAACTTTTTGGGAGACTGTGCTGGGAAGATCACTTGAGCCCATGCATTTGAGACCAGCCTGGGCAACATAGTGAGACCTCATCTCTACAAAAAAATAATTTAAAAATTAGCTGGGCATGGTGGCATGTGCCTATAATTCCAGTGACTCTGGAGGCTGAGGTGGGAGGATCACTTGAGCCTAGGAGTTTGAGGCTGCAGTGATCTGTGATCATGCCACTGCCTTCCAGCCAGCCAGGGTAACAGACAGAGACTCTGCCTCTAAAAAAAAAGAAAGAAAATTTGTCTTACCCAAGGTCACATGGCTAGAAAGTGTTTCAGAAGGAGGGGTCCTGCAGACAGAATGAAAATAAGGATGACTTTTAACCTCATTACCCTCTGAAAGATAAGCCCCAGGAAGGTAGGGATCTTTTTCTATTTTGTTCAGACTTTTATGCCCAAACCTCAAACAAATACTGCTACAAAATAATGCTCACTTAGTAGCTGTTGAATGAATAAATTAATTTCTCACTGGCTTTGACAAGATCTAGGTTATTGGGAATAGTCATTACTGTGGTGGACTGGAGACAAAAGGCAGGTAGGAGCAAGCAAAGTGCTGGGATTACAGGCATGATCCATCACACCTGGCAAATTATGGGCTTTACGGTAAATTATATCTCAATTAAAATATATGCCTTCTCTGAGAACATGATTTTGTGGAGCAGGATGAACACTCAGGGAAAAAGTAGAGGAGGGAAGAGTCTCCTGCAAGGGAGACACTGGATGGAGGGAGGTGGGTGTGGGAAGAGCTGATAGGGTCTGCAATAGAGAGGGATAAGAAGAGCTCTCTGCTGGCCACTGGGCACTCACAGGGGCCTGCGTTCCTGCTAGCAGGCGTAGCTGACTCAGCTTGGTCACTGGCTAGGCTGTTGTCAGACCGAGAGCCTGGCTGGGAGAGCTCTCCTTGGCTCTGTGTTCCTCTAAGTTACTAGAGCTGGAGTGGGCTAGGTGGATGGAGCCCTACAGAAAGCCTGTCCAGGTTAAGATGTGTGTTTGCGTTTAACTGACCTTGGTCCTAGGAAGCTTACATGGAATCAGTTGCATCAAATGTCTGCCCCCGATCTCCATCCTCTGTGTCATCCTCTCCCCATCCTTCATCACTTGGTAATCCAAGGCTGTTGGGGATAGAGTTGTAGTTGAGCTCTCTCTTCTTCTACTGCTTAGAGCCATTATTTGTGATTTAATTAAGGAATATTTTTCACAGAACATTTCAAACAAAATCATGGACTGTACTCGTGACCTATGCAAGGGAGAGAGGAGGGAAGTGAGAGAAGGAGAAGGGAGGAGGAAGGGGGAAAAAAGAAAATAAAAGCAAGGAAATGAGAGTGAAAGGAAATGAGACAGTAAGAGAATGAAATGGTGAGATAGGAAGGAGGGAAGTGGGGGAAATAGATATAAATATAAGATTTGCTTTCTTCTTTGCCCAGATCCTCTCCCCATTTCTCGCTCTGATCTTGGCGTCCTCACCTCCATTAGAGAAGGTTGCCAGGAAACAGGAAAGAAAGAGGGCCAAAGAAAAGGGACCACTAAACTGATCCCGGGGAAATACGTCATCATCCAAGGATGGGTTCATGATTGCTGGAGGAAAGAGGTTTGGAATCAACAAAAAATATGAACCATATAATGTATTTTAGAAGAGATAAGTTACTACTTTCAGGTAGACAGAGACATTCAGTGGAGGATCAATTCTTTTTAGTCAGAGGCCGTGGGAACCTCCTGAAATGAATGAACTAAAGGCACATTCTAGTCTGTCTGTGAAACTTACTTGGTGTCTTTCTGCCAGGTAAGTCAAGTCTGGAAGGAAGACAACAGTGACATCCCTAACCACTGTTTCTTCTTCTAGTTCTCCCTCCTCCAGGATGAATAACTATATGTAGTATATTGGGCACTTACTATATGCAGTTGTGTTATTTCTAGTATTAACCTATTAATATTTACCTTGAATACTAAAATAGCATAGCATTACATATTAAGGTAATATTAATATTAGTACGAGGATGACATTGTGATAATACCCACCTTTTATTTTTGCACTTACTGTCTGTCAGATACTGGCTGAGGCACTGCACATTCATTAATGTTCTCAGTAGCCCAAGGACATTATTCTACCCATTTACTAGATGAGCTAACTGATGGTGGTCAGAGAGATGAATAATTTGCTCACAGTCACATTGTTATTGGTAAAACAGAGATTCTAAGCTAATTCTGATTGCCAGATCTGTGCCCTTAACTACCAGGAGAATTCACCACTTTAAAATATATATTTCCTTATTTAATTCTGATGGTAGTTAGGTCTCCTTATCCCTGTTTCAGAGATGAGGAAACTGAGGCACAGAGGCATACAATAACTTGTTCTAGTTTACGGGAGTATCTCCTAAGACCCCTCATTTCCATTCATAACCTATCAGATATTTAGCATCCCCTAATTTATCTAATTACAGATGCTTCTAAAGTGCTTGTAACCTGCTCTAAGTGGGAACAGCATTGCATGTTGCAACCTCATTTACACTGTTAATTTGGTAAACTTCCTTCAGCCTCCATCCAACATGTCACAGATTCCAGTCTTAATGAAACTTAATGAGATTTGGCTATAAATATACGGAGGTAATGGTTTGTATAATATTGTAATGTTCCTTGAATTTTCTACCATATTTGCTAGGATTTCTGGACAGGAAACTTATTCAATCTCTTTAGAGGAGAGAAAAAGAAAAAGATGAAAACCTTGGGCTATCTCACTGTGACAGTTCCTAGAACCTAAGGAATAAATGGCCCAATTTTACCTTAAAATCCTGTCTTTTAATTGATGCTGAGCCCTTCCCTGTGTTCACAAATGGTAATTGATTACCGACTGCATACAGAGTTCTGATGTTTCACTATGAAGACGTACAAAAAAATAAAAAGAATAAATACACATAAATACATATGTATCTATTATGTAAATAAGTATCAGTGATATAAGAGATATATTTCTTTATTATAAACAAAAACCCCTTATAAAAATTGTCTTTAAAATCTAAGTTATGTTGCTTGTAAATGTCTTAAATGGCAAAGGTTGCAGGTTTTGAAAAGCAAATACACATCAGGAAAAAACGTAAAAAGGAAAGAGAGCATAGTTGGCCATATTACAATCAAAGTCAAAGCAGTATGACATAGTGAAAAGAATTTGGACTTTAGACTTAGACCTGAGTTTATATCTTAACCTTGACTGATCATCAACTATCCTATTGAAAAATTTGGGATTAAATAATACCTATATTACAGGGTGATTATGATAGTTAAAATAAATGATACAGCATGTGCTCATAACTCATTAAATATCCTGGCTCATGGCAGGTAACTCAATATAGAGTAATAATTCTTGTTATTTTTATTATCACTATATTACAATAGACATCTGCTGTATATAGGAAATGTAAAATTGATGGTTTGAAAATATAAGTCCTGAAATGTTTATGAATCCCTACATTCACATATAGTAACAATGAGGTGACTGGTTCTTACCAATTATAGATCTCCCTGACTGCTCACAAATGGAGCAAACCTCATACTGATAAGAGTTTGCGTGCTATGGGGCCATTGAAATTGACCAACTAGACCAGGGTCTCAAAAATCAAATCCATACAAAGATCAAGTTGGAAATGAAAATCAGTGAAGCAGGCTGGGTATCCTAAGATATATGCTTCCAACACAGATGAGAAAGAAGCGCCAGATAAAACTTATATTCGTATTAAAACATATTGGATATTTTTCAATTCTATAATTCTAAATTTTCTTGAAATATGTGGCCCTCTCAGTCTATATTTGATTTTCTTACATTTGATTCAGGTGGGTATAATAAATATTTTACAGTTTTATAATTATCCTAAAAGAAGAATAACCCAAATGCAACTATAAATGTCAAGGAGTATTTGGATTCAGACTCAGAGAGGCAATGGGGAGTTGTGGTGAGTGCTGCAAATCAGAATACAGATATTGTCAGCTCCAATGTATGGTTGCCAAGCAGACCTCGCATTGCAAGATTTCCCAGTCTTTCCAAAATCACAAAAATATCCGGATTTTATGGGGGTATATTCTAATATTTACATGTTGACAACTTTAAAAAAAAACATGATATGGGCTGATGTTCTATGGGCCAAACAAAACACATTTGCGGACACCTGATTGGCAAGGACCTCTAAGCAAAATCACCTGGCCATGGAATCAGCTGATAAAATTCACACAGTGATTAATTTATTCCACCCATGTCCACTGCCTGCTGTGTCCAAAGCATTCATGTCATACATTGGAAGAAATCCGAGAAGAGTATGATGTTTGCAACTATGGGCTTTGAAATTAGATATTCTTGGTTTAAATCCCAGCTCTGCAACCTTCTAGCTGTGTAAAATCATCAGTAAAATGGGGTGATTTCTAACTCTCAGGGTTGCCATGGGAATGAAATGAGATAATGTATTAATTATTCATAGTGAACATATGTTTGTTGATTGTTCACAGACTGGCACAAATAAAGGCTAACTCTTATGATCACTGACAGCCCACTGCTATGGTCCTGGGGTTCTGTTCTCCATATCCATAATCTTTATCCCCAGTCAGCTTCCTGTAAGTTCTGCCTGGTGCTCCTTTCTTGATAATGTCCTCCCATACAGCTACCACCCAAAGTAACACAACGGTTGTGCATATAGATGCCTCTTCTCCTGACATTTCAGCCGTCATGTTGAATTATGTGGCTTCAACCTTACTGAGCCACTGTACCTTGTAACACACTGTTACATCTGATACCATGAATCACCCAGTCCTGTTAGACCCAATTTATGTCCAGCTGCACAGTTGTATTTTCTTATGCCATATCTTGTTATATATGTCCTTAATGACTGGCCGAGGCAGTGGCTGCAAAGTCTCCTAATTTCAGAGTCCTAGACTGTGCTGCCATATTAAAGAGCCTCGTGGTGCTACATGAGATTTCCATCCTAGCCCTGTGTGTCTATTCTTATCCTCTCTGATGACTCCACTCTGTTCCTACCATAAAGTTTACTTCCTAATATCTCCTCACTCAGGCTACTTGTCCTTTCTGCTTTAAGACTTCTCCAAGTGCTCATCAAATCTGCTTACTCATCTTTGATAAAGAATTGAAGCCAGCTGAACTCTAGACAGTATATACCGTTATATCTTCTCAAATCCTCTATTCTGCCCTTGCGCGTTTTTCCTCTCATTTAATTTTGAGGACTTCCAAAACTCTGCTTTATATGATGACATCTGCCACCATGGGGTTAATTATCACTTACATACAGAATGATTGCTATGGACTAAATTTTTGTGTCAGCTCCAAATTCATATGTTGAAAACTAATCTCCAATGTGATATTTGGAAGTGGGGCCTTTGGGAGGTGATCAGGTCATGGGAGAAGAGCCCTCAAGAATGAGATCAGTGCTCTTATAAAGGGCTGGGACTGGAGTTCCCCTTCCACATGACACAGTGAGAAGGTATCTTCTATGAACTAGGAAATTGGCCCTCACAAGACATGGAATCTGCTGGCACATTGATATTGGACTTCCAGCCTCTAGAACCTTGAGAAATAAATGTCTGTTGTTTATAAGCCACTCAGTCTATGGCATTTTGTTATAGCAGCCCAAAAGGACTAAGATAATGATGTCAAGAAAAGACTAAAGTCTTTAGGGTCAGCTGGTGTGCATTTGAGCGCCACTTACCTGTCAGGTATGTAACTTTTGGCTATTCCCTTTCCCCTGTGAGCTAAGTTTCCTTACATATTACATGAGGTTATTAATGACACCTGCTTTACATGAAGGTAGAGAATGAGCAGATAAAGACAGTGGCTATCACCATTTCTGGCACACAGTCAGCACTCGACAAATGTTTGTTCATTCATCATATCAGGAAAAAAAATGTTCATTGAATTCCTCAGGGTAAGGACTGTGTCTTTATCATTTCTGAACCTGCAGGAGAGTCACAGTGACTGAGGTTTGAAGGACAGAGGTGAACATTTGGGGGAGAGGCACTGCTAGAAGACGTGTCCATAATACATGTTTCTTATTTCCCGAAGTGAATAGAGTTCTCAGACCCACTATACTAGTCCATTTTCATGCTGCTGATAAAGACATACCTGAGACTGGGCAATTTACAAAAGAAAGAGGTTTAATGGACTCACAGTTCCATGTTGCTGGGGAGACATCACAATCATGATGGAAGGTAAAAGGCACATCTCACATGGTGGCAGACAAGAGAAGAGAATGAGAGCCAAGTAAAAGGGGTTTCCCCTTGTAAAACCATCAGATCTCAGGAGACTTATTCGCTACCATGAGAACAGTATGGGGGAAACGGCCCCCATGATTCAATTATCTCCCACTGGGTCCCTCCCACAACATGTTGGAATTATGAGAGCTACAATTCAAGATGAGGTTTGTGTGTGGACACAGCCAAATCATATCATCCACTCACCAGCACCCAGGAACTTTCCCTCCATGCCTGGGTTGAGTACTTGCAGCACTTAGACTAGAGAGGGTCTAATCACCTGGAGGTCATCAGAATTATCCAGAGGGCTTCTTAAAACACAGATGAAAGGGCCCTGCCTCCAGTTTTGGGTGAGGCCTAGTAATTTGCATTTCTAACACTTTCCCAGGTGATGCTGATGCTGCCTGTCTGGGGACCACACTGTTGACTGTTAAGTATAACTGAAGTGGAAGGTGGGACTTAACTCCAGAGGTGGGGCTCAGACATTGGACCAAATTGAGGACCAGCTAAAACAGGGACAGGGCAAACAGCTTTCCATAAGACACACCCACCAGTGTGCCATGTCAGTGTACCATTGCCATGGCAACCCCCAGGGGTTACTACCCCTTTCCATGGCAATGCCCTGATAACCCAGAAGTTACTATACTTTTCCTAGATATTTCTGTATAAACCACCCCTTAATATGACTGCAGAACTGCCGTGAGCTGCTACTCCCAGCACACTGCCTGTGGGGTCACTCTGCTCTGCAGGAGCAGTTATGGAGCTGTAACAGTGTAGCTGGAGCTGTAACACTGCTTCTTCAATAAAGCTGTTTTCTTCTACTCTATCATCAGCTTGCCCTGGAATTCTTTCCTGGGTGAAGCCAAGAACCCTCATGGGCTAAGCCCCAATTTGGGGCTCTCCTGCCCTGCATCATAACCACTCTATCTCAGCAGTTCTCAACTAGAGGGTCAATTTTGTGCCTCCCAGGGGACATTTGGCCATGTTTAGATACTTTTGGTTATCCCAGCTGGGTTGGGGAGGACTCAACTGGCATCTAGTGGGTAGGGAGCAGAGATGCTGTTAAACATTCTACGTAGCACAGGACAGCCCTCAGCAAAAGAATTATGCAGCCCCAAATTCAATAGTGTTCAGGTAGAGAGGCCCTGCTCTTCCTCCCCGCAATCCCAGCAAGTATTCAGAATGATGATGTCCATCTGCCCATCAGTAAGTCAGCAGGATGTCACTGCTGTATTTCCTCCCCTCCTGCTTCACTGAAACAGATGAATGGGTCTCAGGCCACCCCAGTTCTCCTCTACTCTGAAGGCAGAGCTGCCTGACTACACCACTGCCTGCTTGAACCCTCCATGGCTCCTCATTGCCCGTTTAATAAAGACCAAGGTCCTTCCCATGCCTCCAGGGCCTGCCTGTCTGTCTCTCTAGCTTCCTGTCCTGCATCCACCCTACTGCCCACCCTCCAGCTGCTCACATCTGCTTTCAGTTTCCTGACACTGCCAAACTCTCTCTTACAGTGGACGTAGGCTCATTTTTTCCACTGGTCTAGGGCTGCCATACAAAACACTGCAGACTGGGAGGCTTAAACAATAGAAGTTAGCTCCTCACAGTTCTGGAGGGTAGAAGTCCAAGGTTGTGTTGTTAGTAGGTTTGGTTTCTTCTGAGTCCTGTGTACTTGGCTTGCAGATGGCGGCCTTCTCAATGTGGCCCCACATGGTCTTTATGTGTGTGCACGTGCCTGTGTTCAAATATCCTGCTTCAGTTATACTCGTTTAGGGTCCACCCTAAAAATCTCATTTTTAACTTAATTTCCTCTTTGAAGGCCTTGTCTCCGTCCAAATATAGTCTCACTCTGAGATACTGGTAGATAGAAATTCAGCATACGAATTTGGGTGGGAGGCACAATTCAGCTGATGACATCTGGGAAATCCCCACTCAACCTTTAGATATGAAGGTGAATGTTGTCACCTCTGGGAAACCTTCTCTGGTTCCTTCCTCCACCCTCATATGCCACCATGGACTACCCTTATTACACATAGCACCTCTCACGATGTATTGTATCAACTCACCTATCAGCGGCCCCTGAAGATCAAACCTCTAAGGGGTAGGCACTGTGGTTGCCTTGTTGAATCCTGTTTCCCCAGAGCTAGCACCACTCTTGACAAAAAGATTTTCAGTATATATTGCGTAAGTAGCTTAAAGAGCCACAAGTGCATCTGTCCTAGATTTTAGATATAAGATTTAATGTCATGTGATATCTTGTTCAATAAAGAAAATTCATTGAATCACTAAATTTATTTTATCCCGAGTTTGGTCCTGGCAATAAATTCACAGCACAGATTTTATTTCTGTGGCCAGATTACACTCCTTCATGAAAATGAACAGAAAATGGTTAAACATGACCTATAAGTGAGGGAGTGTTACACACAGGATTGCAAACTCTGATATGTCACTACCACTTTTCAAAGATGCTCTTGAATTCCATTTGTCATTTCCTTTTCCAGGGAAAACTCACTTGAACAAAAGTGACACTTAAGTCAGAATGCATAGCAAGATGAAGTCAGTCAAGGTGACCAAGTTTGTGCTAACTTGCATCAGCTCTCTCCTCTAGGGTTGAGCCCTTCCTACATAATCCTGGCTTGGCATTTGTGGATTTGAAGTTTTCAATATTCCATATAACTAGGGCCTCTGTGGGTGGTTGTTTAGGTTGCATTTTGCACAATCGTAGGCTCCAACCCTACTTGCCACTCCAGACTTCAAGAACTCATCTCTTCAGGGGTGTTATCTAAAAGACTCTGGGAAGTTTGGATGATTCAGGAGACTCTTTAGTGTCTTACCTCTAATGGGAGTATTTTAGTGGCTAAACCAATTCTTCATGCTCACTATGTGACCCAGGTCTCTACAAAGAGGTTTGAGCAGGCCTGGAAAGGTTTGATTCACTCTAGAAAAAAAATATGTTTGACTGCCTGGCTACATGCTCACAGTTCTCAGATCGAGTCAACACATTTACTGTCTATTACATTCATGGCACCATGCCCAGTGTTGAAATATAACCCAGGGCTGGCTGCGGTGGCTCACGCCTGTAATCCTAGCACTTAGGGAGGCCGAGGCGGGTGGATCACCTGAGGTCAGGAGTTTGAGACCAGCATGACCAACAAGGCGAAACCCTGTCTCTACTAAAAATGCAAAAATTAGCTGGGCGTGGTGGCGCATGCGTGTAATCCCAGCTACTCAGGAGGCTAAGACAGGAGAAT
The DNA here is from genome assembly GCF_000001405.40 of Homo sapiens. Taxonomy (NCBI): domain Eukaryota; kingdom Metazoa; phylum Chordata; class Mammalia; order Primates; family Hominidae; genus Homo; species Homo sapiens. Next base: position 9,635,580 of record NC_000016.10, read on the forward strand.
CACTTGAACCCAGGAGGCAGAGGTTGCAGTGAGCCGAGATCGTGCCACTGCACTCCAACCTGGGTGACAGAGCAAGACTCCATCTCAAAAAAGAAAAAAGAAAAGAAAGAAATATAACCCAGACTGGGCATGGTGGCTCACACCTATAATCCCAGCACTTTGCCAGGCCAAGGCAGGTGGATCGCTTGAGGTCAGGAGTTCGACACCAGCCTGACCAACATGAGGAAACCCTGTCTCTACTAAAAATACAAAAATTAGCTGGGCGTGGTGGTGGTTGCATGTAATCCCAGCTACTTGGGAGGCTGAGGCAGAAGAATCACTTGAACCCAGGAGGCGGAGGTTGCAGTGAGCTGAGATCACGCCACTGCACACCAGCCTGGGCAACAAAAGCGAAAGTCCATCTAAAAAAAAAAAAAAAAAAAAAAAACAAAAAACCCTTAAAGAAAAGAAACATAACCCAAAGGTTGTGATTTCTTATTTATAGCTGGAACATAGTAGGTGAGTGAGTGTATTAATTTGCTAAGGCTTCCATAGCGAAATACTACAGACTGAGTGGCTTAACCAACAGAAATTTACTTCCTCACAGCTCTGAGGCTAGAAGTCTGAGATCAAGGTGTTGGCAGGATTCGTTTTGTTGTTGTTGTCTTCCAAGTCTCTCTCCGCTTTGGCTTGTAGATGACCATCTTTTTCCTTCTGTCTTCCTCATGGTCTTCCCTTTGTGCATGTCATTGTCTTAATCTCCTCTTCTTATTAAAAAACCAGTCATATTGAATTAGGGTACACCCTAATGACCTCATTTTAACTTAATCACCTCTTTAAAGACTTTATTTCCAAGTACAGTTACATCTGAAGTGCTGGCGATTAGGGCTTCAGGATATGAATTTTGGGAGGAGGACAAATGAGTACCCAAAATTCTGAGTTGCAATGCCCTTGTATTAGGCCACTCTCTCATTGCTATAAAGAAATACCTAAGACTGGGTAATTTATAAAAAAAAGAGGTGTCATTGGCTCATGGTTATGCAGGCTATACAAGAAGCATAGAGGCTTTGCTTCTGGGGAGGCCTCACCAGGAAGCTTCCAATCATAGTGGAAGGCAAAGGGGGAGCAAGCTTCTTACATGGCAGGAAGGGGAGCAGGGGAGAGAGAAAGGGGAGGGGCGCAACACACTCTTAAATAACCAGATCTCATGAGAACTCACTCACTATCTCCAGGACAGTACCGAGGAGATGGTGTTAAACCATTCATGAGAAATACACACTCTCACAATCCAATCACCTCTGACCGGGCCCCACATTCAACACTGGGGATTACGATTTAACATGAGATTTGGTGGGGACACAGATTCAAACCATATTAGTCCTCATCTCTCAAATAGAGACGATGACACCTACCTCGGTGCAGGGGAAGCCCTTAGGACAGAGTAGGGGTTTGATTAATAAAAATATTCTTTCTGGTACCAGCTCAATGACCTGCCATTAATCCAGTTTCTGTTCTGGAGGCGGATGAGGGGAGGAGAGATGACTCCCTCAGCCACTGGTCTGGTCTGGAATCTCTCTCTTCAAAGCATTGTCCCCATCCCACCAGCATCATTTGTGAGCTTTTTGGAAATGCAGAATCTCGGACCCCACGCCAGATCTATACTGAGTCAGAAGCTCAGGTCCTTAGGTGATTCACACACAGGTTAAAATTGAGAAGCAGGCCAGGCGCGGTGGCTCACGCCCGTAATCCCAACACTTTGGGAAGCCGAGGTGGGTGGATCACGAGGTCAGGAGTTCGAGACAAGCCTGGCCAATATGGTGAAACCCCATCTCTACTAAAAATACTAAAATTAGCCAGGTATGGTGGCGCATGCCTGTAATCCCAGCTACTTGGGAGGCTGAGGCAGGAGAATCGCTTGAATCCGGGAGGCAGAGGTTGCAGTGAGCCGAGGTCACGCCACTGCACTCCAGCCTGGGTGACAGAGCAAGACGCTGTCTCAAAAAATAAATAAATAAAAATAAATATAAAATTGAGATGTACCAGTATAAATATGGAGTGACTCAATTGTCCCCTTCTGCCACCTGCCTCCCCAGCGCAGACAGTATCTCTGGAACTAAATAATCTGCCCTGACCCTTTTGCCATGCTTCTCAAGTCTATATAATCCTTCCTAATGTCATTTTCACCAGTAGACAAGAGGGGGAAACATTTTCTTAGAAAGACAAGTTTTAGTCTTGACATTTAACCTCTGTAGTTTGTAACCTGTCAGTCAGGAGAACACTGAAGGTCATCTACCTGATCTTCATGCAGTTCAGGCTTCCCTGACTGCTCTTAAGAAGGTCATCAGGTCCAGCTCTGACTCTATGCAGCAGAGAAGCAAAACCATTGTGATGGGTCATTAACAAGAATCAGGCAGACAGTGTGGGTGGAAAATCATGGTCCAGAATGTCAAATGTCTCTTAGGCCTACCAGGAGAGATGCTCAATTAATTCTGTGCTTTAGCACCCCCCTGAAAAGTTCTGCACATAAGAGCAACTCACTTTATCGGCTCTTGGAGCTCACCTCTTTGTTACTGGCTTTAGCCTCAGCACCCTAAAATCTGAGGCCACTCCATCCAAACAAACCAAGAACATCCCGCTCTGGGTCAAAGGCTTTCAGCTGTGTTCATGCATTTGGAAGAAGGAGAACTTCTAGCCCCTGTAAAAAGAGTCTGCATCATTTTACACCGTGGCTTCCATCCCACTATTCACCAGGGCTGCTCAGCGTTCTCAAACACAGTTAATACCACAAAGTCCATTAGTATCTCAGCCTGCTACCTTCTGCTTCCCAGACTGTGGTCTGCAATCCCGACCTAGCCTCAGTGACAGCAGCCGCTGATGGAGCCCTTTAGGAGACAGTAACACCATTTCGTGTTCCTGTCCATGGGATTCTTATCAGTCTGGATGAATGGCTGAACAATTTTCTAGGCTCTTCGGTCTATTGCTCAGACACCTGGGAGTCCCATCCCCATGTCTTTTGCAATGCCTCATTTCTGGTAATTTATAACACATTCACTGTTAAATATCCGTCACAGAATGTCAGCCAGGCCTGTGCCTGGGATCTGTGTAACAGTGTTTCATTCTGTCCACCTTTTTAGGCACAGAAATAGCCCTGCTGACCCAGAAGAAGCAGTCATATGGTTTGCATCTGGTTCTTGGGAGATGCTGGTATCAGAGAATGATGCTCCAATAACCACCATCGACTAGTTATATATCACAACTTTCTTTTTTTTTTTTTTTTTTCCGAGATGGAATCTTGCTCTGTCACCCAGGCTGGAGTGCAGTGGTGTGATCTCAGCTCACTGCAACCTCCATCTCCCGGGTTCAAGCAATTCTCCTGCACCAGCCTCCTGAGCAGCAGGGATTACAGGCACATGCCACCATGCCCAGCTAATTTTTGTATGTTTAGTAGAGATGGCGTTTCACCATGTTGGCCAGGCTGGTCTTGAACTCTTGGCCTCAAATGATCTGTCTGCCTCAGCCTTTCAAAGTGCTGGGATTACAGGTGTGAGCCACTGCACTCGGCCTCATATATCACAAATTTTGATATGATGTATTTTCATTTTATTCAGTGTAATGTTTTAAAATGTTCCTTGACACTTTCTATTTGAACTTTGAATTACTTAGAAATGGGTTGCTTACTTTTCAATTGTTTGGAGATTTTCCTGTTATTGATTTCTAGTTTGATTTCATTGTGATTGAAAAACACAACTGTAAGAATTAATTCTTGTTCAGTTACTTGAGGGGTTGTTTTAGAACCCAAGACATGGTCTTCTTAGAATATGTTCCATAGCACTGGAAAAAATGTGTATTCTGTTGTTGGTGGTGGAACTTTCTATTAATGGTGATTAGATCTGATGGGTTGAGGGTGTTGTTGTGTTCCTCTATATCTTTGCACAGCTTCTTTCTACTTACTCTGTCAATTGTTGAGAGAGGGTTGTTGAAGTCTCCAAGTGTAGTTGTGCATTTGTCTACTTTCATTTCCATCAGTTTCTGCTTTATATATTTTGCAGGTTTATTTTTTTGGTGCATTTACATTTAGGATTACTATGTCTTCTTATTTTATTGACACTTTCATTTTTATATAATGTTTATCTCTGTTTCTATTTTTTCCTATAAAGTCTGATTTATTGGATATGTATATTGCCATTCCTCCTTTTTACTTTTACTAATGTTTACATCGTATATATTTTCCAAAGCTTTTTTTAGACAGGGCCTCACTCTGCTGCCCAAGCAGTGGTGTGATCATAGCTCACTATAAGCTTGAACCCCTGGGTTCAAGCAATCCTTCCACCTGGTAGTTAGGACTGCAGGTGTATACCACTATGCTTAGCTAATTTTTTAATTTTTATTTTTGTAGAGGTGGGTGTCTGTCTATGTTGCCTAGGCTGGATTGAACTCCTGGCCTTAAGCAATCCTCCTGCCTTGGCCTCCCAAGGCACTAGAATTACAGGCATGAACCACCACTCCCAGACAAAACTTTTACTTTCAATCCATCTATATTGATATATTCAAAATGGGTTTCTTCTAGATAGGATATATTTGGGTTATGTTTTTAATCCACTCTGGAAATATGTTTTTAAATTGATATATTTAGACCATTTACACTTAGTGTAACTACTGATATATTAGGGCTTAGGCTTGTGTGGTTTTTTAAAAAACTTGTTCTCTCTGCTTTTTCATTTCTATGTTTTATTTTTATTGCCCTTCTCTGGGTTAGTTGACATTTATAATTCCGTTTTAATTTATCACAGAAATTTTGAGTGTACAAATGCTCCTTTACTTATGATGGAGTTAAGTCATGATAAACATAAGTTGAAAATATTGTAAACTGACAATGCATTTAATATAATCAACCTACGAAACATCATAGTTTAGCCTAGCTTACTTTAAATGTGCTCAGAATACTTGACATTGGTCTAAAATTGGGCAAAATTACCTAACACAAACCCTATTGTAGAGTAAAGTTTTGAATACCTCATGTAATTTATTGAATACAGTAGTGAAAGTAAAAAACAGAATGGTTGTATTTACTGAATCGTATTCCATTCTATGGGTATATCACATTTAGTTTATCAATTCATCCATCAATGTATGTTCGGCTTACTTCCAGTCTTGTCTATTATGAACAATGCTACTGTGAACATTCATGTATAAGCTTTTTTTTGTGTGGATATATATCTTCATTGTTCTTTGGTAAATGCTTAGCAGTAGAATTGCTGGGTCATGTGGCATCTCTGTGTTTCACATTTTGAGGAATCACCAAACTGTTTTCCAAAGCAGTTGTACCATTTTATAGTACTATCAGTGACGTCTGAGGATCTTATCATGTTTTTAACATCTCCAAAATTGAGATGTCTCTTTGATGTACTTTGCAATTACAAATGGCTATGTTTCTTTTACTTTTTTATGACATATAAAAATGGTGGATTTTACAGTCCATAGCATCTTGAATTTAATTATATGTGGTTGTTGTTTACCACTATATGAATACTCTCAGTCTTGACAGTAACATAAAAGCACAGATGACAGAAATTAAGAAGTGGAAGAGGAAGGGATAGGGTCAAAGGATGGAGTTCAGATCTTATGTCTAATTGAAAGACAGGAAAGGAAGATATTTAAGAAACATTTACAGCAGAGGAATTTACAAATATGATGTATCTGAGAGGAGGAAAGAGGCTAGGTAGTTTAAGTGAAGTAATGACTCATCTACCATAGAAAGAAATCAATAGATAATATATAAAACTCATCTGCTCTTACAAACAGCAGAATAACTACATTATTTAGAAATATGGAATTAAAGATTAGAAGAAACAATGAAAGAAGATAAGGTCATTTTTGAAGTTGTGTGTTCTAGGAAATGAAAAAGATGTCGAGTTGGTGACGTGCAGGACCCTAGCCATTTATGAGCCCTTTTGTTCTGTCTGATGTTTAACCACGTATAAGGCTTTGATAAAAATTTGTAAAAGACACACAAAAGTAAAATTTAAAGCACATTCTTTATGAAACTAAACTCTTGTGGTGAATGCTTTGAGAGAGATAAGAATATAGGATACAGATTCTAAATAAGATGAAAAAGACAGGAGATAATGCCGGACAATGAGTTGATAAAAATTTTCTGCTTCTCAGATGCTATTTATTCAACATGAGGTTCGTTTTATGCATTACTTATGCCATTTCTCTAAAATTCAAAGATAGCAGAAGCTCAAGAGGAAAAAAGGAGAGAAAAAGCTTATTTTTAGTTTTATGACATATAAGTGGCTGTAAGTTTTAAGATGAAGGGAAGTTAATATTGGGATTCTGATTCAGTTTCCAATACTTTGCAGGGTATGACAGAACTAAGCTATTTAATCTCCTGGTGACTCAGTTTTCTCAGCCCTAAAATGGGGATAATACTTTTTTATCCCACAAGATTGCCATAAAAATTAGATAAAATCAGAATGTAAAGATTCTTTGAAACATATAGAATGTAGATAAATGTTTTCTCTTAAGGCTCTTTACACATTACCAAAACAGGTGTTTGAAATTATAACGTAGGACTCCTCACATTATCCCAGCAATAATGAATATTTGACAACAACATTTAAGATATTAAATTTTCAGTTTTATGTTCTACTCTTCTTTCAAAATATTAAATATTAAGATTAAAAACATTCATAAATCTTCCTTGTAGGAATCATGATGTCACATGTCTATCTGTTACCTATCAGATATAAAATGTGAATCTAAGGTCTTGTGCAATCTTTCTTGGACCAGAAAACATCATTTGTGCATATGTGATATATTTTAAGGTGGTAAATGACCTAAGGGCTTCTGTTGATGTATGGATTTTAGAATTTCCATCTGGTTGTTTCATTTCAATCCAAATAGACATGAGACATCACAAGCAATTGAAAATTATCCATAATAAGACTGAAAGTACATTCTAGATTATGATTATGTATTTGCCTTTTAGAAACATTTTTCATATATAGAACAGAGTTAGTCCCCTCTCCATCCCTTTCAGGAAGATTAAGAATAAATGTTTGTTGATATGTGGAGTGTTTACAATGAGCCTTGGCATTTGGCTAAGTTCTGGGCATACATTCTATCATCTACCTGTTGTACAAATTTAAGGGATGGTGCTATCGTCATCCCCATCTTACAGATGAGGAAACAGGCTTAGAGAGATGGGCCAACATTATCCTAAGCAAATTAGCGCGGGAACAGAAAGCCAAATTTATTGCACTTTTCCTCACTTATAAGTGGGAGCCAAACACTCGGTACTCATGGACATAAAGATGGCAACACAGACACTGGGGACTGCCAGAACAGGGAGGGAGGGAGGAGGGCAAGGGTTGAAAAATGAACTGTTCGATACAATGCTCAGTACCTGGGTGACAGGATCATTCATACCCCAAACCTCAGCATCACGCAATATATCCAGGCAACAAACCTGCACATGTATCCCCTGAATCTAAGTTTTATTTATTTATTTGTTTGTTTATTTATTTATTTTTGAGACCAAGTTTCACTCTTGTCACCCAGGCTGGAGTGCAATGGCGCCATCTCGGCTCACTGCAACCTCCGCCTCCCGGGTTCAAGTGATGATTCTTCTGCCTCAGCCTCCTGAGTAGCTGGGATTACAGGTGCCCCCACCATGGCCAGCTAATTTTTGTATTTTTAATAGAGATGGGGTTTTGCCGTGTTGGCTGGGCTGGTCTTGAACTCCTGACCTCAGGATCCACCCACCTCGGTCTCCCAAAGTGCTGGGATTACAGGTGTGAGCCACCATGCCTGCCTGTATAATTTATTTTTAAATTTGTTTTGAGACAGGGTTCCCGCTCTGTCATCCAGGCTGAGTGCAATGGTGCAATCACAGCTCACTGCAGCCTCAACCTCCAAGGCTAAAGCAATCCTCCCACCTCAGCCTCCCAAGCAGCTGGGACTACAGGAGCATACAACTAAGCCTGGCTAATTTTTGTGTGGTTTTTTTTTTTTTTTTTTTTGAGTTTTTTTTGTTGTTGTTGTTGTTGGTTTTGTAGAGACAGGGTATTGCTATGTTTCCCCAGGTGGTTTTGAACCCCTGGGCTCAAGCAATCCTCCTGCTTGGCCTCCCAAAGTGCTGGGATTACAAGCATGAGCTGCCGCACCTGGCCCTGAATATAAAAAAATTGAAAAAGAAAGCAAAAAGAGAGAGATTGGTCGAATTACTCAGAGACGCTGAGCTACAGAGGGAAAAAAAACAGAACTCAAATCCTGCATTGAAAGTCTGAGCTCTTAATCACGATGTTGTACACTTCTGTTGTACCTATGAGGAACTATATAAAAGATACAAAGGAAAGAGGCCTATAATCACCAGAACTTCTGTTATCTGTCAGGCATCTCCATGGGCATATTCTATTTAATCTTTGCAGCAGTCCTATGGGATTGATTTTATTATCACGATTATTCTTTTCTTTTTTCTTTTTACCAATGAGAAAATAAAGAGGCACAGAGGTCGGGAGCAGAGGAGGGTGGTAAAACACAGGTAGTGTCAGAATTGATGGCCACACAGCCTGTGGGGGTGCAGAGGAAAGAGGGGGAACAGTCTGTTGGTGGGAAGAAGCTGAAGGGGTGTGGAGAATCCCCGGTCAATGATCCACTTTCTTACAATGTGCTGTGGCTTGAATGTATCATAAGCCAACTTAATTGTAGTGAAACCTGGAGCTGCCCCGGGGCTACTAAGCTACAAGAAAGTAAACCTAATGCCAGTTACCTCCTTATCGTTATCTGGGAAGCTGGTAGTGAAACCAGAGTCCAGGATATCAGAGCCAAAAGGTGGAAAGTGAATAATTCCTACTGATACCATTTCAGCACCTGGATCTAGCTATACCTGAGGCCATCACTGGACTTTGTTATATTGGCCAGTATCATTCTCTGTTGTACATAACCCTGTTAGAGACACATTTCCATAAATCTTAGTAGCAAGATTCCTGAAAACAGATACCCATAGCTTTTTATAGCACAAATATTCAACTTTTCTATCCATAGGACCACAATATATCTGGAAAACGAGGGTTGACATGAGAGATTTTCCCAAGGTGACACAGCTAGTGAACACTGAGGCTGAGATTAAAGACTTGAAATTAAAATCCTGACCTCCCCACTCCTGGTTAGGACAAAACAAGTTGACATTTTATGTAATTGTTCAGCACACTGAGTTTTATAAAATTCTATTTTAGATAATACTTCAGATCATGTTTCATAACCACAGCTTCACAAGAAACTGAAGGATAGTTTCTATTTGTGGTACCTGTTGAAATACTTTTGGGGAATAAAAGGATGAGAAAAAGAATTTAAAAAGGAAACAAGCATTTATTGAATACTCCTTATTGTCTAGCACTGTGAAGGCATTTTGGCCTGGATTATCTCATTTATTCCTCAAAATAAGTCTTAGAAGTGATTATCCTCATTTCCACTGTGTGGATAAAAAAAAAATTGAGTCCAAACTCAGCCATCTGCCTTCATCTCCATACTTCTAACAGTGGCAGTATTGGGCCTTTCTATACACAGTCAACTGGGAGAGAGGGTCTCTGTCTTCAAGGGGCTTATGCTCCTTCTGTGGGATTTGTTGCAGGAAAACCATCCATACTTGAGATGAAGCCTCGCACCTTCACCTCTGAGCTGTGACCTTGGACAAGTTGCTTTATTTCTCTGAACCCCATTTCCTATCTGTAAATTCAGGATAATACAATGTGACCTGCAGGAATGTTGTGAGAATTGTTAACTAAGTATGTGTGTGAAACAGAGGATACTAGAGGCTGGAAAGGCTGGGTGGAAGGGAGGGAAGGGTGAGAAGAGATTTGCAAAAGGATACAAAATTGCAGCTAGATAGGAAGAATAAGTTCTAGTGTTCTGTAGCACTGTAGGATAACTATAGTTGACAATAATATATTGTTTCAAATAGCTAAAAGGAGGGTATTGAATGTTCCCAACACAAAGAAATGATAAATGTTGGGAGTTGATGGAAATGCTAATTACCTTGATCTGATCAGTATACATTATATGTATCAAAACAACATCATATACCCTTTGGATATGTACAATTATTTGTCAGCTAAAAAACTAAATTAAAATAAAATATAAAAATACATGTGTGACATACAGAAGGATTTCAGCACCAAATTTAATGGATGACTTTATATGTTTTTTTTAATCACCTTCAGAGAGGTATCATCTCTGATTAATCCCTCCCTGCTTTTCAGCACACTTCTCTTGGTTCTGAGATGCTGAATTTTTTGACTGTTCTCCTCCAACTCTCTGGCTTCCTCTTTGCCACCTCTGCCCTCTCTCCTTGGCCTCTCTGAGGTGGATGTACCCAGGGCACAGTCCTGGGCTTTCTTATCTCTGAACATTGTTCCAAGGTGGTCCTATTTATATGTGTGGTTTCAAATATCATCTACTCACTGAAGGCATCCAAATCTATGTCCCCTGCACTCACCAGTCCCCTGACCGCCAGAATCATAACTCTGCCTGCCTAATCAACATCACCAGTAGGGTGTGTAGAAGGCATCTCAAATCTACCGTGCTCCGAAACAACCCCAACTCAGTTTTGTCCTCTCCAGGTCAGAATGGCACCTCCATCCACTCAGTTGCTTTTATTAAATTCTCCCAAATCCATTCTTAATATCTTTATATCATTCAAACCTGTATGCCCTTCATCCAATTTCTAAAGGGGGCTTGGTTCCTTTCCCTAAACCATTACATCTGTGCACTTTTCTCCATAAATGTTGGTGTCATCCTAGGCTAACCTTCCATCATCTCTCGCCTGGATGACCTTAAGAGCCTCCTAATTGGTCTCCTTGCTTCTATTCTTGTTGCTCAATAATCCATTCTTGACACAGCAGAGAGAATAATTTCTTTCTTTCTTTCTTTCTTTTTTGAGACAGAGTCTCGCTGTCTCCCAGCTGGAGTGCGGTGGTACGATCTCGGCTCACTTCAAGCTCCGCCTCCCAGGTTCATGCCATTCTCCTGCCTCAGCCTCCCGAGTAGCTGGGACCACAGAATAATTTCTAAAAATACAACTCAGATCATGCTACCCCATGCTTAGCATCTTTTAACAGGTGCGCATTACACACAATATAAGCCCAAATTTCTCAGCATGATCTACAAAGCCATACATTCCTCTCTACCCACGCTGTAACCACACTGGCTTTCTTTCTATTCCATAACTCACTGAGCACACTCCCTTCTTATGGCTTCTAACGTTTAATTTTATTAATCATTTCTTCTTTTTAGGGTATTCCTCATGGCTGGTCCCTTCTTTTTATTCTGATCTTGGCTCAAATTTTACCTCCCCAGGTAAAACTTTACCTACTCTGATAACTAAAGAAAACTTCCATCAATATCCTTGCTTTATTATCTTCATATCCTTATAGCCTTCTAAAAGCATCTTCTTTATTCATATATTTTCCTCATATTATCTGTATTCTACTAAAATGTAAGCTCCATGAAGACAGAGAACTTAGCTGTCTTGTTATCACTGTATCTATAGCACTGAAGTATTACCCAGTGCATGTTAATTATTCAATAAATATTTATAAGATTAATTAGGTGCTTAACTAATACATAGAATATACAATTAACTTATATGGCATAGAAGCACATATAATCACTAACAATACCAAAAATAATTCATGCTATTTTTTTGTGCCTAATCAACAATCCATCAAAATCCCTATATTTCAGTGACATTAGAACAAACAAGTTTCTCAGAGTTCATAGAATTGCCCACCTTTCAGTGAACTCAGGAATACTATTTTATTTGAGAGTTACCCAAGGCAATTCTTGTCTTGAGCTGATGTCAAATGCAGTAAAAACTCACAGGTGATTTTTAATTGAATTGAATTCATTGCATATTTCCTGAACACTTATCATGTATCAGCTGCAGTGCTAGACCTTGCAGACAGAGGTTAATAATAAGTGGTATTTGGGGGTGAGTTTATATTTTGTTTTACATATGTGTGCAGCAACAATCAAGGCTGAGATGAAGGTGGAATTCAGTCCTGCCTCTTCATGTCTGCTGGAGTGATACGGCAAGGTCCACAGATGCCTTAATCATAGGTAGAAAGGAGGTCTCTGAGTAGAAAGAATTGAAATGCTCAGATAAGCTGACAAGCTCTACTGCCTTGACACCCCTCCAACATCTTGCTTCTAAAAGTGGGGTCTGCAGGCAAGCAGCATTGGCCTCAGCTAGTGGTGCAGAACCTCAGGTGCTACCCCAGGCCTGATGAATCAGAATATCCAATCAAGCAAAACCCCCAGGTAATCTGTGTTCATATTAAAGTTTGGGTAGTACTTCATTAACAACGTCACATAAATGGGCTCAAGGCATTCTCTCCTCTGGTGCCCCGATCGGGTCTCACTTCCCTACAGACCACTGGGCAAGCAAGGACTGTGGTGGTGTTCTGGGAGCACCACCCAGGTGGGGATCCCTGGCTGGGAGTACACTTGTTCATGGGTCATCAGCCCTGAGGATTCCCAGCCATATCTGAACAGCCCTGGGCAGGAAGTGTGAGATGGGACAAGAGGGAGTGGTGTTCAGCTTATTATGGTAGCTAAGGAGACGCCTAAGGGAACTCGAGTGACCTACGTGAAGTGTCAAGGATAGATTTTGACAGTTCCATTTATTTATTCAATAACGGCTTATGGAACATCTGCTATACACCAATAGAGGGAGGCAGAGAGCATGGTGAATGCAACATTGCATAATGGTGTTGGGAAAAGTGTCCCGATTTCAAGGAAGCTGACAGCCAGTCTCTGTCATTTCCTAGCTAGGTAACTTTGAGTAAATTACTCAACCTCTTTAGATTTTATTTTCCTACAGTGCAAAATCAGGGTAACAATAGTTGCTGTCTTTTAAAATGGTTGCATAACTGAATGAAACAATGCATACAAATTGCAAAGCTCAGTGCCTGAGCCACATTATAAAAGATCAATAAATGTTAGCGGCTGCTGTCACCACTACTACAAACCCTGGATGCTAGATGCTAGGGCAGTGGTTCTCAACCTTGGCTGAGTGAATGTCAAAGTTACCTGGGGAACGCAGTACACTGTTGGTAGGAATGTAAATTAGTGCAACTGCTATGGAAAATAGTGTGGAGGTTCCTCAAAAAACTAGAAATAGATATATGATTTGATCCAGGAATCCCATTGCTGGGTCAATATCCAAAAGGAAGGAAATCAGCATATCAAAGTGATATCCACACTCTGATGTTTATTACAGCACTATTCACAGTAACCAAGGTATGGAATCAACCTAAGTGTCCATCAATGGATGAATGGATGAAGAAAATATAACATATGTATGGAATGGAATACGACTCAGCCATTGAAAGAATGCAACCCTGTCATCTGCAGCAATATGGATGAAACCAGAGGTCATTATGTTGAGTGAAATAAGCCAGGCCCAGAGAGACGAATAGCATATGTTCTCACTTATACATGGGAGCTTAAAAGGTTGATCTCATGGAGGTAGAGAGTAGAATTATGGTTACCAAAGACTAGGAAGTAAACAAGACAGGAGGGATGAAGAGAAATTGGTTAATGGGTACAAAAATAAAGTTAGATAGAAGACATAAGTTCTGATGTTTGATAGCACAGCAGGATGACTATAGTAAATAATTTATTGTATATTTCAAAATAGCTAGAAGATTTGGAATGTTCCCAGCAGAAAGAAATGATAAATGTTTGAAGTGATGGAATTCCTAATTACCCTATTTTGATCATAACACATTGCATGCAGGTATCAAAATATCACAAGTACTCCATAAATATATACAACTATTATATATCAATAAAAAATGGAGAGGAAAACAACTGAAGTTATTTGGGAGCTTTTAAAATTTGCTGATTCTTAGCCACATCCCAGGCCAACTAAATCATAATATTTGGGGATAAAAGCCAGACATCAGTATTTTTTAAAGCTCCTCAGTTGATTCTGTAACCAAGTTCGAATCCAGCTGCTCACTGCTCAAAAGCCAAAATGTGAGAAGTGAGGTGCAGTGAAAGGAAAGCAGCTTTATTCAAACACTAGCACTTGGGAGATGGTTGGACTCAAGCCCCAAATAAAACATCTCAATATTTTAGGCAAGGGAGTGGATTTAAGAAGGGAAAATCTACATGGAAAGCATGCAGGTGTGGTGCAGTCTTGTGTGTCTTGTTCCGACGGCCATCTTGCATTATTGTCCACCTGGAGTGAGGCCTGGTGCCATCTTGACAATGCTTGGGTTGTAATAATAGATTAATCACTTTGAGGTAATCTCTAAATGGGGAGAATTCCACTGCTGGGTCTTCCCGTCTGGTTTAAGATTAGCCCCTGGAATTTCTAAGCAAGCACATCATTAGATAAGCAAGCACTGTGAAAGAGAGTGCCTGGTGGGAAAACAAAGAAAGAGTTTCAAAATACATTTCAAGGCTTAGACAAGAAGAGACAGAAAAAAAAGTTCTTTACAATGCATTTTAAAGCCAAGCCACTCAGATACAATTCCAAGGTGTAGCCAAAGTATACCTTGTACCATGGAATCTAAGATGATTTTAGGAAAGTTCACCTTCTCTCTGGGGTGCTCACAGTCTTCCAGAGAAGATCAATATGCAAAGAGATAATGATAATTCTATGTTCCAAATATGTGCAAGGAGATATGAAAAAATGACAGCAGGACTGCTCAGTCTAAAAGCCATGTCAGGTAGCAGGAAAAAAGTACCTCACACTATTTTTCTTGTTTTTTATGTAAAAGAAAGTGACTGCCCATGCATGACACATAGTCTGTGGGAAAAAAAAAAAGGTGATTCTCACAGCAAAATGTAAGTAGGTCATTGCAACCCAGACTGACTCCAGCCACTGGCAGTTCTAAAGAGGTCCTGGTTGTTCATTAACCTCTGGGTATCTCAGCTTACTCCTTTGTGAGATAAGTGGGTAACGGTGATGCTCTCTAAGGACCTGCCAGAGGGTGAAGAGCAGAGCCACCATTACCTGCCCCAAAGAGGTGTTAAAAGATTCAGTTAGATGCAGAAACCTGGAGATGGTCTGCAGTCCAGGAGAGGTACATGAGATAGGTATGATCCCTTGCTCATCAGCAGTGTGGCGCACCAGCAATCTGTGATTCCTCTAATTGCTTTTGGTCAAAGAGTCTTGATAAGTCAATCCCCCAATTCAGAGTTCACACCAAGAACAAAGAAACCAGATAAAACTGGTTCGACAGCCGGGTGCGGTGGCTCAAGCCTGTAATCCCAGCCCTTTGGGAGGCCGAGGCAGGTGGATCACAAGGCCTAGAGTTGGAGACCATCCTGGCCAACATGGTGAAACCCCATCTCTACTAAAAATAGAGGTGCGTGCCTGCAGTGCCAGCTACTCAGGAGACTGAGGCAGGAGAATCGTTTGAACCTGGGAGGCACAGGTTGCCGTGAGCTGATGTTGTGCCACTGTACTCCAGCCTGGTGACAGAGTGAGACTCCGTCTCCAAAAAAAAAAAAATGGTTTGACTGGTTGAACTGTGTCCATTCCAAAAGATATGTCCCAGTCCTAAACCTCCGTACCTGTGAATGAGACCTTCTTTGGAAATAGGGTCTTCGTGGATGTAATTAAGTTAAAATGAGATCATACTGGATTAGGATGGGCTCTAAATCCAATGACCTGTGCCCTTATAAGGAGAGAGAGATACAGAGAAAGAGAAGAAGGCCATGCGATGACCGAGGCAGGAATTGGGGCCATGGAGTTACAAGCCCAGGGACACCCACTATTGCTATACCAGACACCAGAAAGAGGCAAGAAAGGATCTTCCCCTAGAGTCTCTCGGGAGAGGACGGTTCTGCTAATACCTTGATTTCTGGACTTACGGCCTCCAAAACTGTGAGATCACATATTTCCATTTTAAACCATGCAGTTTGTGGTAATCTGTTACTGCAGCTCTGGGAGACTAATACGACTGGTGATCTGTCCTTTCTCAAATAAGAATGGGCAATTACTTAGAGCCATTAGCTCTGATTTGAGAGCAGCCAAACAGACAAATCACTATACACCAGGGATTGAATCTGGGTGCCCTGACTCTCACTAGCCAAAGTCCCAGAGGTCTAAAGCTTCATGAGTGCTTTGCAAAGAGTTCACAGCTTTTATTTTGCTCAAGGCAAAGAAAAATCTGACTTAGGTAGACTTTGTTGAAATCAATTGGATTTTAAAAGATTTAAGTGAAGATTTCCAATTGTGTTGGATCTATCTGGTTGCATGGGCACCAGTACCAGGACCCTGCCCCACAAACATAATTCTTATTAAAATATAGAAGGGGAATGGTTCGGGTCAAAGAACTTTAGATTTTTTTAGCTTCCTGAGAGCTGACCATATTTGGTTTCAAGCCAGACTCATCCAACATTGCAATACTGTCTTTTTAGTTTCTTCCCAATCTTGCCTCCTTCCATAATTATAATGTATTAGGCCGTTCTTGCAATGCTATAGAGAAATAACTGAGACTGGGTAATTTATAAGAAAAGAGGTTTAATTAGCTCATTGTTCAGGAAGCTTCCAATCATGGTGGAAGGCAAAGGGAGGGCAGACGCTTCACATGGCAAGAGCTTCACACGGCAGGAGCAAGAGCAAGAGAAGAGAGCAAATTGGGGCGGGGGGAAGGTGGTACACACTTTTAAATGACCAGAATCTCGTGTGAACTCAGAGTGAGGACTCACTCATCACCAAGAGGATGGCCCAAGCCACTCATGAGGGATCCGCCCTCACTATCCAAACACTTCCCAGCGGGTCCCACCTCCAACACTGCGGATTACATTTCCACATGAGATTTGGGTGGGGACAAATATTCAAACTATATCATATAATATATACCTCCAGGGGTTCCTCACAAAATAGATCCCAGTTTTCACCTTTCCAGGACCTCCAGACTTCAGGGCATGTAGATTTCCCCACTCACCCCCATAATTTTCTAAGACCTGTGTGTCTACCTATGGCTAAAGCACTCATATTTATTCGTTTAGTGATATTTATGCTGTCTCTTCTCTGTGCCTGGAATTGGTCTAGATGCTGGGGAGGGAACAGGAAACAGAAAAGACAAGGTCCCTGCCCTCTAGGCGCTCAGGTGCAGCATTATAAAAAAAAAAAAATCCTACATTACGGAGACTTGAAAGAGCAAAGAGGCGAAATTGAGGCCCCTGTCAGGAGACCTTTAGCATAGTAGATAAGAGAAGAAGCATAAGGGGTAAAATGTATTTTAAAGGACTTAGCCAGGAAAGCAAAGAGAAAAGATGAATCAATTGTGGAAATAAAAGGATTAGTTCAGGAGAAACATAGCGATGCTTGTTGCAACACAAAGATAGAGAGAGAGGAAGCTGATTTTTTTTTTTTTCCTTTAGCTTGAGTCACTTAATTGTGCTTGAATATTACACCCCTGAGTGGTTAATGGTATCAGCACAACTGTAAATGGCTGATTTTCATTCTGAGAAAGGTGATAGTTCAGGGTGAGCAGCAAAGGCCACCCTGCCAGCCATACGATTTTGACATTTTCCCTAACCCCTGCATACCTTGGTTTTCTCATCTTACATATATTTTTCAAAAGGATAATAACATCTATCACCCATGGCAGCTGGGAAAGATTAAATGAGCTAATGCAAACAAAATGCATCTCAAGTAGTTGGCAAACAATGTTAGATATTATTTTCATAAGCTATCTACGAAATGTTTACTAACTAGAGTACTCCTATTTGACAGCTTTGTTTACCATGCTTGGATTCACAAGCCCCTAATTTGTTCTCCTTGCAGAAACCAAGTGCTGCCTTTCATTTATTTTCTCACCCTCAATTTAGAATTCGAGATGGTCAGCTCCTTCTGCAGGGCTAACTGTGGCTCTTCCGTGCTTTGTTTATCCAATGAATATTGATTTAGTGCCTCCTCCTAGTGCAGGGGACCTAGTAGTGAACTAAAGAAAGTCTCTGTCCTCTTGCAGCTTACATTCTAGTGACAGAGAAAATGAAATAAGGTCAGGTAGTGTAAAATGTTTGAAGGATATACAAAGCAAAATTAATTAATAATTGTTGGACATCTATTAGGCATCAGGGCTGTGGAGTCTGGGGACGCAGCTGCACACACAGAAATGGCATTGCAAGCTGGACTAATGCTGTAATGCAAAGTAATGAGTAATCTCTGGAAGAGCAAAGCTATCACAGAACTAAGCATGCTGATTAATGCTAGAAAGGACATGCTGATCAATGCTAGTATGGGTATGCTGGTCAATGTTGGTATGGGCATGCTGATCAATGACAGTATGGGCATGCTGATCAAAGCTAATATAAGTATGCTGATCAATGCTAGCATGGGCATGCTGATCAATGCTAGTATGGGGGTTCTTATCAATGCTAGTATAAGCCTGCCGATCAATGCTAGTACGGACGTGCTTACCAATACTAGTATGGGTGTGCTGATCAATGCTAGTATAAACCTGCTGATGAACGCTAGTATGAGCATGCTAAACAATGCTAATATGGGCATGCCAGTCAATGCTAGCATAGGTGTGCTGATCAATAAGCAAAGAGAACACATGCTGAAGTCAAGGGCTTTAACAATAACTTTTGTAAATACTACCCTTTAATGCCCTGTTAAGTTTACTACCTTCATCCTAACCCAAGACGTAAATTTTCAAGGAGAAGGAGAAGGAGAGGAAGGAAGGAGAAGAGGAGGCAGAGGAGAAGGAGGCAGTTGGAATAAATATACAGGAACAGAACTTACTTTGATCTTTCTAAAAGGTTAACGTTGGATTTTAATTTCTACTCTAAGCAGGAAATAGAAGTAGAGTTTGCCTAAAATAATTTGAGAATATTTCATCTTCATTTAATCAGGAAATTCCTCCAGAACTGTCTTCACCTAAAAGTTTGGTTAAGTATAAGTAAAAAGAAAAGCATGCAGATTCCAACAGGGAAGAGGAAATCCAAAGCTTGGGCCTGGAGGGGGCTTCTCAATTTTCTTGGAAGACTCCCCAGTGATCACCTGTACCTCCTCCCTCCAGGAAGCTCTGCCGTAACAATAATTGTCCTCTCTTAGCCAGGTGGAGGGACAAAGGGGCTTTAGCAAAACATCACCTCCGAGGGTGGTCAGTCCTGTTGGACATTTTAATCAGCACATGGGAAAGCAGCTCCAATATTTCCCTGCCCTGGTACTGATAGCTGAAGCATCCTTCCCCCCAACCCTCTTTCTACCCCCTGGCAACTACAAATTGCTCCTGCCCCAGGAGACAGTGAGCTGTGGAAAGCTTCAAAGTCAGAAAAATGTGGGCTTGGTCACCTCCTCTGTCAATTGCCAGTGGTGTGTCTTTGGGCAGTAAGCTGAACTTCTCTGATGTTGTTTCCCCTTCTATAGTCTGCCTATAGGGATTAAACACCAGCATGGATGTCAATCATCTGGCCCATACTAAGTGTTCAATGAATGATCTCCAGGGCCTTTTTTACTTACCTCAGATAATAAAAGCCCACTTAAAGCCTGTGGGTCCTGAAAGCCGAGAGGAATTCACAGCTTGGCCAACGATGGAAAGATAATCAGAATGGAAAGAAGAGAGATGTATAATTGGGAAATTTCAGTCCCCCTCTGTTTCTCTGGCTGTCTGTGTCCATTCACAAAAGCCATTTTAGCCCGTATTCACTTATGCGCATATGTAAAATGAGGACTTGAACAAGTCTCTTCTTCCCTGAGCCAGCCATCTGAAGCTCACTGGTGCCATAGGGCTAACCTTGAAGTTCGATTAAAACAGTGACCTTCAGAGCAGTACTTCTCAGCTTGCAGGGGAGATTTTTCACATGTATCATTTCATTTGATGATCACATTTTTTTTCTGAATTTTTATTTTCCAGATGATCCAGAACTGAGATCCAGAGCCACAAAGGGCTTGTGCCAGACCTAAGTGAGATGCAGAGTCGGCCTTAAACCCAATTCTCATGATCAGTGGTGATTGTGGTGATGATGATGATGATGGTGATTCTGGGGATGATGATGATAATGGATTTTTCTTCACAGTGTCTAGCAGTATTCCTGGCACATAATATGCATGGACCTATGCTGGAACTAAATGATTTAATATCCATAAAGGGTCCTATGAGGCAAGCTCCAGAGACACAGAGGAAGGCCATACAGCAATAGCATGAAACACAGCTTTGAGGTCCTGGGGCCAGGGAAGGGCACAAGGTGTGGCTGAGGGGATGCTCATGTGTGCTTCCCTGCTCTTTCCTCAGGAAGGTTTCCCTGTTTGGAGCAGCCGCCACATGCCATGGCTTCTTTCTCTGCCTTTTGCTTTGATTAATTGCACCTTTCATGATTCATATCGCATAATTGCCTTCCAAATGGGTTATTCCTGGGTGGTAACCTTATGGGGGTAGGTTTGTGGGTCTCTGGAGCATCTTAAGTATGATGTTGCAGTCATAACTAAATGAGGCATGATCTCTTGATGGCACAAGACATGCAGGGAGGGTATACCTTGTCTCTAAATCAGCGCTATTCCGTAGAACTTTCTCTGCTGAAGGAAATATGCTGTATCTGCACCATCCAATATGGAAGCCACTAGCCACATGTTGCTATTGAACACTTCAAATGTGGCTAGTGCAACTTGTAACTGAGTTCTTAATTTTATTGAATTCAAATTAATTCAACTGTATGTGTAAGTAGCCACCTAGGATAGTCTTGTGGCTACCAAATTCGACAGTGCCGTCTCTAGAGTAATCAAAAATCTTAGGATTCAGCAGGATGAAGTTCGAATGCCACTACAGTCACTCAGTGCCTGCATGACCTTGGACGTGTCAGTTAAGCTCTCTGAGCTTCAGTGTTCTCTTCCATAAAATAGGTTTAGTAATTTCTTTTCCTTGTAGTTGTTGTAACGATTTCATAGTATACCATGTGTTTACTGTCTAGAACAGTGTCAGGTGCATAAAATGGAAACCCATTAAGTTGAAAGCTATTAATACTATGTGTCCACTTGGAGATCCAAACCACATCTTACAGATAGGAAACTTCAGTGGCAACATTTCCTTCTTGTGAGGGGGGAATAAAAGGGAATCTAGGACCAAGTTACCTGAGATTTATGCATCCAGCATTACCCTCATTCCTATTGATATTATGGAGAGAAGCTTACAGGAAAATGTTCACCTACTTAGAATATATGTTATAGAGTGTGTTGAGGTCCAGGAAGCTGCTGTGGTTAGAATGTACCTTAGGGACATTCTGGGGGGTGGGTCACCAGTTCTGCTCTCATATTCTTGACCAGGCTTTGTGCCAGGTCATGTAGCTCCCAGAATGCATCTTCTGGGTCTGGAGCTCCATGGTATTCTTCTACTTGGAATATTATCCTGCACTCAAAACAGCACCCTTTTGTCTGCCTTACTAATTTGCTCTCCTCTTGGACATTCCTATGGCATCATTCAGACATTGTTCCTCTTGGAGTCTTCAGTTACCTCTTCTCTGTGCCCCTTGAACAAACCTTTGTTGCAGCACCATTGGGAGGTCTGCATGCCCAACTTCCTATAAAAGGGTTATATCTTTCAATCTCTAGAAATTCTCAGAGCCTAGTACACAACCTGGTATGTAACAGGATCTATAAATGTTTAACAAGACAATAATAATAACAACAAAGATGATAATGTGGTGGTGATGATGGTGGTGATGGCGGCAATGAGGATGATGGTGATGATGGTGATAATAATGTTGATGGAAATAATGATGGTGAATGATGGGGACAATAGGGATGATGATGGTGTTGATGTTGATGGTGATTTTGATGATGATAATGATAATGAGAGCAAACATTGACACCAGACACTGTTATAAATGCTTTATATATATATATATATATCACATTATATTTATTTAATTCTCATAACAAGTCTACAAAGTAGCTGTTATTTTTGTCCCGTTTTCACTGACAAGTAGAATAAGGCTCAGTGAGTTTAAATAATGTTTTCAAGGTTAGATGATCTTAGAAGTAGATTTCTACCTCTTCATCAAAGTGGCCACCTTTCCAAGAGCCTGCACTACAAGACTGCTGAAGGATCTCTCCCAAGATACCTGGCTCCCAACATTTGCCATTGGCCCCACTATAAGAACAAATGTTGCTCTGAGTCCTGTTGATTTGGGAGCTAAAGAACCAAGCCCCTTGATTTTCAGCATAAGTTGCCAAGCCTTGGAAAGAGCCCATATGGCTCCTGAGGATGGGAGCACATCCCCCATCCCTTCCCAATTCCCAGTCACTTCTCACTCGGACAGCTGCGGTGGAATGATTTACAGCCACTTGGTGTTTTCCAGCAGGAAGCTAAAAAGGACCATATACTGTGAAATACCAATTGCAGAGCCTCTCACAGAAAGCAGTAGCTGGTGACTTTTTGCAGACCTGCTTGCCTTCATCCCCAGTCCCCCATCCCCTGACTTTTTAATGAAGGGTTCGGCTGGTCTTATGGCAGTCCTGCCTTAACTTGGCTCTCAGCAGCCGGGGGCGGGGGGTAGGGGTAGCGGGGGGTGGGGTGGGGAAAGACATTGACATTAGGGCTGAGTGAGATGAAAGATACACATTGGTGAGTTTTATGAGTAGTGAAATCTGTCCATGTCTCCACTGAGCTTCAGGGTTTTCTTTTCCTTCACATTCTCCTTCTTATCTATAGCAAATTGGCTCATTTAACAAATATTTATTGAGCCCTTTCATGTGCTGAGACACGTGCAAGATGCTGGGGACACTGGGCTGGAAGAATATCCAGCTACTGCCCCAGGAAGCTTCTTAGGCTAGTGGGGTGGTGGGTAACGGTAAATATTTGCTATGCAGTGTGATAAATACTATGACAGACTGAGCCTGGGGGATGCTTCAGAAGCACGAGGGAGGAGGATCTCACTCTGCGTGAGGAAATCAGGGAATGCTTTACAAAGGGGAGGGTGTGATGGGCATTTGGACTGTGCCTCCAGGAATGGCATGAATGAGAAGGCTGGGAGGGAAGCCCTGGCAGAGGGAACAGCTTGCACAAAGGCCTGGTGGCATGAGAAGAGGTTGTGATGGTTGCTCTCATGTGTTTACTCGTCTAGGTTGTAGTCCACAGCTATTTAATCAAACACGAATCTAGGCATTGCTGTGAAGGAATCTTATCGATGTAGTTAACATTTATAATCAGTTGATTTTAAGTAAAAAAGATTACTCTTTAGAATATGGGTGGGCCTCCCTCAATCAGGTGAAGGACTTCAGAGCAAAACTGAGATTTCCTGGAGAAGGAGAAATTCCGCTTCAAGTCTGCAGCACAAAAGCCTGCCTGAGTTTTCAGCCTGGTGGTGATAATTAGCTGATCAAGTAACCTACCAGTGTGGGGGCAATAAGGTAACCGTAAAGGAGAAAACAAAACTGTCTCTCTACTCATACTCAACACACTCCACGTCAGTCACCGACATGTGTGGGACATTTTTTCCTCCACATAACAAGCAATTTTCTGGTGGACACCAACTTGATGTCCTTTAATTCAACTAAATTCAATCCTGATGCCATCTACCTGGAGTAGTGTCAGACTCCACAGGTTAAGTGCTCCATCGCACAAGACTATCTCTACTTCACAAGCCAATGGCAAGTCCCACCTTGCGACCCCTTCTTCTGACCAACCAGCTATAAATTAGGGTTCCCACAAGCCCTTCTCAGCCAGGTTCAGTGGCTCACACCTGTAATTTCAGCACTTTGGGAGGCCAAGGGCAAGTGGATCCCTTGAGCCGGGAGGTTCGAGACCAGCCTTGGCAACATGGTGAAACCTCATCTCTACCAAAAGTACAAAAATTAGCCAGTTTCATAACCTGGTCTCAGCCGCTTGCTGGCCTGCACAATCATGCAAGCCAATTCCTTGAAGTAAATCTCTTAGTGTGCATATATTTATAGGTATAGCTGTCTTCTTGGTTGTGTGTCTTTGGAGACCCCTGACTGTGTGCAGGAAATGGGTAATGTTTCTGGGTGGCCGGAGGATAGGGAATATGGTTGGGAGTGGAGGAAGATGCAGCTTGTGAAGGAGCAGGGAGATGACAACTTTTTCGTGAGGATGTTGGGGAGCCATGAAAATGGAATGTGGGTTTGATTCCGGTGTATGTTTCAGAAAAGTCATCTTCATGGCTAAGGACAATGGCCCTGTTACCTTCTCTGTGTGTCTTGTGTTTTCCCTGTCTCATTCCCCTTCTCATGGGATCATCCCAGGGATGCTACACACAAGCAGGGGTCATGGTCTCTCTACACACAAGCAGGGGTCATGGTGTCTCTACACACAAGCAGGGGTCATGGTCTCTAACAGAAATAATTATGAGCATGAGTTCCAAAATCAGACAGTCCAGGTTTGGATACCAGCTCTGCTGCTTCCCTGATGTGCGACTTGGTCGAGGTTCCTAAGTTCTCAGAGCCTTTTCTCAGTCCCTTCATGTGGAAGATAAGGGGACAACAGTCCTCACCTATAGGGTTGTGGCAAGGATGAAATAAAAGTGCTGTAATCCCAGCACTTTGGGAGGCTGAGGCAGGCAGATCACCTGAGGTCAGGAGTTCAAGACTAGCCTGACCAACATGGAGAAACCCCATCTCTACTAAAAATAAAAAATAAAAATAAAAAATTAGCCAGGCGTGGTGGCTCATGCCTGTAATCCCAGCTACTCAGGAGGCTGAGGCAGGAGAATCACTTAAACCTGGAGGCCAACGTCGTAGTGGATGGAGATGGCGCCATTGCACTCCAGCCTGGGCAAGAAGAGCAAATCTCTGTCTCAAAAAAAAAAAAAAAAAAAAAAAGGGCACCTACGGAGTTGTGCTGCGTATCCCCTTTATGCTTCTGTATTCGTCTGTTCTCATGCTGCTAATAAAGACATACCCGAGACGGGGTAATTTATAAAGGAAAGAGATTTAATGGACTCGCAGTTCCACGTGGCTGAGGAGGCCTCACAATCGTGGCGGAAGAGTAAGGGGACATCTTACATGACAGGAAGCAAGAGAGAGTGTGCAGGGGAACTCCCCTTTATAAAACCGTCAGATCTCATGAGACTTATTCACCCATCGGGAGAACAGCACAGAAAAGACCCACCCCCATGATTCAATTACTTCCCATCGTGTCCCTCCCACGACATGTGGGAATTACAGGAGCTACGATTCAAGATGAGATTTGGGTGGGGACACAGCCAAACCATAACAGCTTCTTAATCCTCTCTGTGCTCCATAAGCTGAAACCTCTTCCACTGCATCATCCCTGGATTCCCTGTCCCTCCGGTTTCCAGTTGGGTTTGGTCCATGGGCTGCACGGTAGAGAGTGGGAAGTGGGTATTGCTCACCTGCTGGCTTTCTGCACCACCCTGAGCTGCTGTCAGGCAGCCCTCTCCTAAAGCCTTGGTTCCTCTCGAGTTCCCTTCACTCCAGGATGAGTGGTTTCCTACTCTTGCTAGCCCTGGTAGTATTTTATCACATCTGACCCACACCTTTGTAAATAGAACCCTTATTCAACTCCCTTCCATTACATCTTTGGGTGTGCCCACCACATACCATGAATTCAATGCATGTTATTTCTGGTGAGCTATTATTAACTTTAATGAAACTGAAATACAAAGGGACCATATTGACTTGCTTAAGGTCGTACAAATGTCTTTCGCTTAGCGAGAACCCTGTGTACAGCAGCTGTTTTACACACAATAAACTTCAGCCGTCACTGTTATTATCAACTCCATCGGCAGGTGAGAAAACTGATGTAGAGAAAGGTAAGACACTTGTCAGCGTTTGCACAGCTTATATAAGGCACACCCTGGATTCAGACCCAGAAGCTTGACACTTGCACTGTGCCACAGTGATGACCCCTCTTTTTCTGTCCTACCCTAAAATCCCACAGTTGGTGCTCTACCCTGTGTCGCCTATGCTCTTGCTTAATGAATCAAGACATCTATCTCTGTTTCAAGTCACAGCCGCCCCCACCTTCCGAGTAGATAAAATCAGACTAGTAGTTTGTCTGCAGAAGCAAAGAGGGATTGGGATGTGGGGCGGGGATGGGCCAATCTCAGCCAAATGGGTAATTTATTGCCAGAAGCCCCTGGGATCAAATCAGAACATTGTCTTTAGATCTGCCAGAAAACCACCCCCGCCTGCCCTCAATCATTTTGGATTCTGGGGAGGATTTGTCAGGCAGTGAGAGATGTCAACTCCCCAGGATTGGGGCTCACAGGATAGGTTTGCCTGCGCCCTCTGCTTGCTCCTTGACAGCCCCAGTTGATAGCCTCAGAAACTCGGTTTCTTTTGCAGAATAGTCTGGGTCAATACGGCACTGCCATCAATTACAGTGCAAGGCTGGGGAGCCAGCCATCCATCATGTCTTCACAAGCCCGCTCAAATCAAATTGTCTGGACCCTGCAGCCTATTCTTCCAGTTTAGAGCTGAGATCTCACACTCAGAATTAAAAGGCATCTGTTCTATCCTCTAATTTGAAATGTCTTTGCATCAGAATTGTTGGTATTTGTCAGGCTGTAGCCTCATGAGTATTTGATGTCAGGATAATAGGACTTTGAAGTTCAGCAATTCCTTTAGTTTCATTTCAGTTTCTTTTTCTTCCAGTTCTACTCTTCTTTTACTTTCTTCTTCTATCCAATAAAAAAATTAATTCAGTACTGTATTTCAAAAAGAATCAGGATGCTATGGTCCTGTTTTTGTAATCTTATTTCTATCTGTTGATCTTGCTTCTATTAGGATATAAGCATAAGACGTCTGGAACCATCTTCATCCAATGCTAGCCATCGTTATTTCTAGATGGTGGAATTTCTAGATGGTGGAGTCTGGGTTAAGTTTTTTACTCTTTCTTTGCACTTTTCTGAATTATTTAAGTGTTAATTATTTCTTCTGTTTTGCTTTTGTTTTTGATTTTTGAGACAGAGTCTCGCTCTGTTGTCCAGGCTAGAGTGCAGTGGTGCCATCCTGGTTCACTGCAGCCTCAACCTTCCGGGCTCAAGCAATCCTGCCTCAGCCTCCTGCATAGCTGGGACCATAGGCATGCACCACATGACCAGCTAATTTTTTATAGAGATGGGGTCTCCCTTTGTTGCCCAGGCTGGTCTCGAACTCCTGGGCTGAAGCAATCCTCCCACTTTGGCTTCCCAAAGCGCTGGGATTACAGGCATGAGCCACCACGACTTAACTTATTTAAATGTTTTATGTCATGTATTTAAGTGACAATCATGTACTGTTTCCACAAAGACAGTCATAATTCTCTTATGAGAGAGAAGGAGAAGTATAGAACCTCAGAACTAAGAAGAGGGCTCTGAAGATTTTCAAGTCTACACATATATAAGACAGAACTCTCTTCTAGAGGAGGCTAGAGATTTACCTAAGGTCACATAGTAATTTGATGGTTGAAGTAAGACTAGAATCAAGACGT
Organism: Homo sapiens; assembly: GCF_000001405.40. NCBI lineage: Eukaryota > Metazoa > Chordata > Mammalia > Primates > Hominidae > Homo > Homo sapiens. The sequence goes on from NC_000016.10 coordinate 9,662,981, forward strand.
GGATCTCTGCCTGGGTTTTCCCCCAATATTTATTTGTTCATCAAAAATTTAGTGAAAACATCCTTGGAAATGGGTCTGGTGCACTTCCTGCCCTTGAAGGGACAGAGAATTTAGTCAGGCTAACAGAATCATCAGTGAACTTATGGAGACCACAGGAGGCTGTGTGAGAGCACAGGAGAGAAGGGACATATCCCAAATTTGTAAGATATGTGTTATTATTAAGTTCATTTTACAGATAAAGAAACTGAGGCCTGGAGAATTTAGTAACTTGTCTATGTTCCCAAAGAAAACAGTGGAGCTAGGGTTCAATCCCAGATAGTCTGAATATAGACCCATGCTTTTAAGCTCTAACACTTATAGGTTATGTGTCTCTGTACCGATCATAAAATGTATAAATATATAAATATAAAATGTATAAATATCTTAGCCCAAAGAAACAATTAAGAATGGGAAATGTGTGCATTATGCCAAGCAAGGAATACTGGAACCCTGAGGCCTTATGAGTGACAGCTATTGCTATCCTTAAGTACAGGGTCTTTCATATGGTTGAGAATGAGTAAGAGTAAATTTTATTTTTTTCTAACCTTCCTTTTGGTGGACCTCTCTCATTCACTTAAATATCTGCCACCAAAGTTGTCATGAAGCCAATCAACAAGCTAGCAAAAGAGATCAACAGTTGAGTGATGAGTAATGGCTAACTTCCTGTAGTGGTACCCAGGAGGGGACAAGATAAATGAGATCTAGGGATGACTATGATTATCTGGAAAGGAACATGAATAATCATCTGGACTTCACCAGCCTCTGGGCTCCCTCTTTATTGGAAAGTCCAGCTCCTGGAACTAGTGCAGCTGGTGTGAACAGGCTGGCCTTAAACCTGGAGGCGACAATCATCTCCCTAGGGAATCTGCGACATTTTCATGTTGTGCTTGGTCTGACTTGGGAAAAGAGATTACAGAGGGGAAAGAGACATGCCCAAAGCCACAGGTTGTGTCATCAGATAAGAACAGAGACCCCTTCAGCCTCATCCTTTGTCACTCAGCTCACCACGTTTTCCCAAAAGCAACTGGTGAAAGAAAAGTACATCCTGGGAAGGGGAACTGGGCCGGGGGCATAGAGTTGTCACAGAGGTCTGGACCCAAACAGCTGGGGTGAAAGCCCTGACTTGGTAACAGGGTGACTCCAGGAAAGTGTGTTAATCATTTTGCACCTGTTTTGTCTGAGTTTTAAATTAAAGGTGCTTAGCAGAGTGTCTGATACATGGTAAAAAGTTAATTATGTTAGCTCAGGTGGTCATAATCGTAAAAATTGCTTCAATTCCAAGAAGCATCTTCTTCACATTTTGAGGTTCAGAATGCATCTTTAAATTGATATGTTTTCTGTAAATCTAAAATTACCCAAATAAAATGTCCACTTAAAAAATCAATGTAGGCCAGGTGCGGTGGTTCACCCCTGTAATCCCAGCACTTTGGGAGGCTGAGGTGGGTGGATCACCTGAGGTCAGGAGTTTGACACCAGCCTGGCCAACATCGTGAAATCCTGTGTACTAAAAATGCAAAAGTTACTCAGGTGTGGTGGTGCGCCCCTGTAATCCCAGCTACTTGGGAGGCTAACGTGGGAGAATTGCTTGAAACCAGGAGACAAAGGCTGCAATGAGCCAAGATCGCACCACTGCACTCCAGCCTGAGTGACAGAGCGAGACAACATGTCAAAAAAAAAAAAAAAAAAATTAATGTAGTCATTGAATGTGGTAGTAAAGCTCTCACCATTTTTTTTGTTTCAATTTTCAATTTAAAAAAACAATGTTAACAAACCAATGGGATAACTTACGATCATTGACATCTTAGAATCAAGGTAACTAGATATGACGGGACCTAAATCTGTGCTGTAACTGAAGATACAGTGATGGATTTTGAACTGTAGCCGGAAACCCACTGAATGAAGCTACACTGGTTTTTGCCAGTCCTTTCTAGGCACAACACTCTTCCTGCCACGAGGCTTTTGCACATGCTGTTCTTTTAAGTTCTTCATCCTTCTTTCTTCACCTAGTTCATGCTTCATCATCCTTTAGTACCCAGTTCTAATATCATCAGAACTTTCCTCATGGAAGTCTTCCCAACCTTTCTGTTTAGGTTGATACTTTCTAGTATCATTTGCTATTCATTATACCCCTTGTCATGGTTGCAATTTTATGTGTATTATGCAAACATTTGATCTGTCTCTTCCGATAAACTCTAAGCTCCATGGGAGAAAAAGGATGCATCTTCTTTTACTCATCACATTATCTCCAGAACCCGGCATGGAGTCTGGTTTATAATAGGAGCAGAATAAATATCCTTTGTAAGGATGGGCCGGGCACAGTGGCTCACGCCTGTAATCCCAACACGGGCCAAGGCAGCTGGATTACCTGAGGTCAGGAGTTTGAGACCAGCCTGGTCAACATGGTGAAACCCCATCTCTACTAAAAATACAAAAATTAGCCAGGTGTGGTGGCGGGCACCTGTAATCCCAGCTACTTGGGAGGCTGAGACAGGAGAATCGCTTGAACCTGGGAGGCAGAGGTTGCAGTATACTGAGATCGGCCCACTGCACTCCAGCCTGGGCAAAGAGTGAGACTCTATCCCAAAACAAAAACAAAAACAAATATAACTTTCGTAAGGATGAACAACTAAATTAATGAATTTTGAAGTCACCACAGACCCAGCTGGAAAGATCGTTACTACAATTTTTAGCATACATTTGAATGGAAACTTCGATTCATGTCTCTTAAATTTCACTGCAACCTAAGCTCCATGAGGACAAAGTTCTTGTCCTCTTGGATTTATCGTAATCTAGCCTTTGTCATATTTTATATTGTATTGTAATTATTTCTGTCTCTGCCACACCTTGTTTCCACCACCTCTGAGAGTCATGAAAGCAGGTATTATATTCTGATCCCTTGTACAATGATGAGTCATAAATCTGCAGCCAAAGCTCAGACTGGTTTCCCAAGCTTCAGCTCTGCATATCCAGCTACCTATTGAACAGTGCCCCTCGGCTCCTCACACAGACAATTTAACAAGCACATATTCAAAGCTGGACCCGCCCTCCCCCTAAATCCACATGGAGCTCACTCACTGAATAAGTGAATAAATGCATGTTCCTGTAGTACCCAGGGATCTTCCTCACTGTATCACAGATGATTTACAAGAAGGCATCACCTCCCGCCTGCCATTGTACTGTCATAGTGGCAGAGGGTAGAGACGGCAGGCAGCGTGGAGGGGTGCAAAGAGTGTGGGCTGGGAGATCAGCTGGTCTGAGTTCAAGCTCCAACAACTGTTTTTCTTAGGAAGAAAAAGGAGCAAATGGAGAAGGAATTATTAAGCAGTATATTTGACATTGTCTTTTTATATAAATGTTCCACTGAATTTATAATAAATCCATGGAGTGAGCATTACTATATCATTTTAATAACTAGGAAATGTAGACTCAGAGAGGAGAAACAACAAGGTCACCCAGCTACTAAGTAACAGATGAGAGATAAGAACCCAGAACTATCTGACCTCAAAATGGAGCTCTTTCCTTTATACCGTCTTATCTTACAGGCTGGCTGTGTGACCTTGAACAAACTGCTTAGCTTCTCTGTTCTTCATTTGCTCATCTATAACCAAGATGATTGCCACACTTACCTCCAATGACTGCCCTGAGGGTACGATGATAATGCACGTTAAGGTGGCCTATAAGTGCCAGTTACTACTTAACTCAATATCCACAAACAGCGCAGAAGGACTAGATTCTTTCATTGGTCTGTTTAAGACAGGTGAGAGCTCTTATTATTCCTGAAAGAGTTATCACAGCTGGAGGAGCAGCAATACAATTCTTGCAATAAAAGAGGTGGTAAGTGAAATCAAAAGGCAATGCATCTCTCTTTCTTCCAACCCAACGTATTTTTATTTTTACTGGAATACAAGTTAAGATTAGGTTGCTTATTCTTCGGCTGAGGTATGAGCATTTATAGCTCAGCTGTTCAGAGCAAGAGCTGAGCAGTTAAATACTGCTCTGTGCCCTGGTCCTCCGCCAGCCGCCCAGCAGACAACACAGCACGCCGAGCTCAGAGGAACACTGTCTCCTCAAGTGCTTCTTCTTCCTCTGTGTTGTTTCCTGTGTTTCCCCACATACTGTGCCTTTCCCTGTACAGGTGCTGTTTCCATAAGAATATGTTGCTCAATTCTCCATGTGGTCACCTGTTGAAATGGTCCATCATAGCCACCAAAGCAGCACTAGGCATGAGATCCTGGCTGGCCCCCGAATGGTGGCAATCTTACTGCAGTTGCAGCCACCCACGTTGGCTCCGCTCCTGTTGGCTGAGATTTGCTTCTGGATGAGTGTCTCCCATGATGAGACTGGAGATGTTGATGCTCAGTGTTCACAAACCCAGTTAGGGAAGGAAAAAGAGCAATTAATAAACATTGAGGATGCAGAAAAAAAAAAAAAAAAGCCACATTCACTGCCCTCAAAGAGCCTAGAGTTTACAAGGAGACAGGTATGGGAATGAATAAAATAACAATAAACAAACACTTTTGGAGTGTTCATGTGTCAGGCACTGCTCCAAGTGTGTTAGATAATTTAATACATTTAAACCTCACAACAATTCCAAGAGGAAGATACCCTATTATTATTAATATCTCAAACTTTACAGATGAGAAAACTGAGGCTAACTTGTCCAAGATCACAGGGGTAATAAATGGTGGAATCAGGGTGTTGGAGTTCCAGAATTTGTGCTCTCAAAGCTTGTCTCAGATGATGATAGTGTGTAGTGTAGGCTTAATAGAGGGAGAGTTTTTAAAAGATTGTTCGTGGACAAAGGTGTCCTAGGCAACACAATTATAGGTGCAGAGGTGCCAAAGAACCAGTACCCACATGGAACAAAAAAAATAACTCACTGCAGTTGGAGCACGACAAAGAATGGAGGAAACGAGGAGGTAGAGAAACAAGGAAGCGTCCTCATTAGAAAGGTGGGGAAGAGACGGGTGTGGTGGCTCACGCCTGTAATTCCAACAACTCAAGAGGCTGAAGTGGGAATGCTTGTGGGGAGAAATTTGAGACCAACCTGGACAACATAGTGAGACCCTATCTCAAAACAAATTAAAATTAATTTTTTTTTTTTTTTGAGACAGAGTCTCACTCTGTCACCAGGCTGGAGTGCAATCTCCGCCTCCCAGGTTCAAGCCATTCTCCTGCCTCAGCCTCCCGAATAGCTGGGATTACAGGCGTGTGCCACCATGCCCAGCTAATTTTTGTATTTTTAGTAGAGACGGGTTTTCACCATGTTGGCCAGGATGATCTGGACCTCCTGACCTCATGATCCGCCAACCTCGGCCTCCCAAAATGCTGGGATTACAGGCGTGAGCCACTGTGCCCAGCCTTAAAAAAATTTTAAAACAACAGGTGGGTTCTGGATGGGCTGCAAATAGCCCAGATGCCAAGTTGAAAACCTTGGATTTTGAAGTATAAAATGAGGACCCGCTGACATTTAGAAAGAGTGACATCAGTAGCTTAAATTGAGAATAATACCCTGGCAGGAGATGAGAAGGGGTATAACAGGGACACTGGAGGCTGGGCATGGTAGATCACCTGAGGCCAGGAGTTCTAAATTAGCCTGGCCAACATGGCAAAACCCTGTCTCTACTAAAAATACAAAGATTAGCTGGGCATGGTGGCAGGCACCCGTAGTCTCAGCTACTTGGGAGGCTGAGGCAGGAGAATCACTTGAAGCCGGGAGGTGGAGGTTGCAGTGAGCCAAGATCATGCCACTGCACTCCAGCCTGGGCAACAGAGTGAGACTCCCTCAGAAAAAAAAAAAAAAGAGGGAGACTAGAGGAGAAAGGAAGAATGAGGGAGGCTGAGGCTGTGCTGGGTGGCAGGGGGACTCACCATCTCCTCTGTCTCCTGCTCTTGGAGGGAAATGGGCCATTAAGCATCCTCTCAAGTGAGTCCATTGGCCTGTCCCTGTGTCTTGGCAGTAGCATGCTGCTATGTCACCAACATCTGCTTATAACTTGGATTGAAAGTCTTCCAAGGAATATGATTTGGCCAATGACATCATTGACAGAGCCAGTGTGCCCTTCCAAGTCTGAAAAGTCTAATGACATAGTCCATTTTCTGGACACGTGAAAAACATAGGGACCCATTCATAGTTAAAAGGAACCGTGCGGGGCATTTGCCTACCTTGGAGAAACTGCTCATCCTCCACAAACAGTGAACTTGATGGCACCTGCTGCCCCACCTCCCTGCAGCTGCAAGGGTGACCTGGATACAGCCACTCATAGAACTGCATTTTCCCAGCTGTAATTGGCCAAGGGGGTAGACTGTGCAAGTGAGTGGGAGCAGTGAAGAATTCTCTTGTGAAATTTGATATATGGAGCCTAAGGCTGAGAAGGGCACTGCTTGTAGCCAGAATTCTTAAAATGTAGAGAATGTGTACAAAAAACTGAAGCAACATAAAGGAAAATAGGACCAGAGATGGAGAATGACAGCTTCTTGTTTATACACTTGATCCTCTGGATATAGCTGAACCTAAAGCCAATCAGATCTATTCACAACTTAGATACTTCTCCAACATTTAGGAAAAGTTGGAATTGAATCTCATTGGCTTATTCCTGAGTCAATCACTGAGGCCATGAGGATAGAATATGGTAATTGGGCAGGTATGAATTACAGGGTCCCTCTTGGAGCCTAGGGCTGGGGTGTAGGTTGGGGGACAACATCAGAATTACATGGACTTTAAGTTGGAGTGGGTGTCTTCCCAGGCAAAATCAATGTCCTATTACCAGAAGAAAGAAAAATTGTTGCTGGGCAGGCAGAAAATAATACATGTGCTCTACAACCTTTTGCAATACAAATGTTAAAATTACTACATCAATCTTTTGAAACTCATTAGTCCTTGAGCTGGGTTATTTAGGGCATAATTCCAGCAAAGTGAGAGCTCTTGGGATAAAAGGTACATGGTAAGTGACTCTCTTCATTTCAATCTGTTTCTAACTCCATGTCCTGGTCTCTCTGCCCCACCAGAAGCCATTGGGTCAGCTAAAACACAACGTTTGTCTCTATAAGCCCGAGGCCTCTGCTTCTAACTTCTCACAACTCTCCCCTCACATTAGCATTCATGAACTCAAACTGTCAGAGACTCAGATAATTAGAGGCGATGAACAAATGCTAATTAGCACTCTGGCTGTACCCAGAGGATGCCGCAGGCATAGACCTAAGCCCAATGTTTGTGTTTCCAGGATTCCTTGAATTCCCACATCTAAGAACCCTTTATGAAGCTTCTTTATGAAAGAGAGAACACAGAGATAGTGTAGCATTTGGTTAAAGGCATGGCCCTTTCACTTTCACAGACTTGGAGCTCAACCCCAGCGCTGCCACTTAGGAGTGCTGTGACTATAGGGAAGTTACTTAACCTGTCTGAACCTCAGTTTTTTCATCCATAAAATGAGAACAAGAATAACCTCTACCTTAATATGTTTTCATTATGTGAGTCAAACGATGAATGCAATGTGTACAGTACTTGGTTTCATGTGTGTCCGTGTGAAGAGACCACCAAACAGGCTTTGTGTGAGCAATAAAGCTTTTAATCACCTGGGTGCAGGTGGGCTGAGTCCGAAAAGAGAGTCAGTGAAGGGAGATAGGGGTGGGGCCATTTTATAAGATTTGGGTGGGTAAAGCAAAATTACAGTCAAAGGGGGTTTGTTCTCTGGTGGGCAGGAGTGGGGGTCATAAAGTGCTCAGTGGGGGAGCTTTTTGAGCCAGGATGAGCCAGGAAAAGGACTTTCACAAAGTAATGTCATCATTTAAGGCAAGGACCGGCCATTTACATTTCTTTTGTGGTGGAATGTCATCAGTTAAGGCGGGGCAGGGCATTTCACTTCTTTTGTGATTCTTCAGTTACTTCAGGCCATCTGGGCATATACGTGCAAGTCACAGGGGATGCGATGGCTTGGCTTGGGCTCAGAGGCCTGACATTCCTACCTTCTTATATTAATAAGAAAAATAAAACAAAATAGTGTTGAAGTGTGGGGGCGGCGAAAATGTTTGGGGGGTGGTATGGAGAGAGAGAATGGGCGATGTTTCTCAGGGCTGCTTTGAGCGGGATTGGGGCGGCGTGGGAACCTAGAGTGAGAGAGATTAAGCTGAAGGAACATTTCGTGGTAAGGGGTGATATTGTGGGGTTTTTGGAAGAAACATTTGTCGTGTAGAATTATTGGTGATGGCCTGGATACGGTTTTGTATAAATTGAAAAACTAAATGGAATAAGAGAAGGAGAAAAACAGGTATAAAAGGTCTAAGAATTGGGAGGACCCAGGACATCTGATTAGAGAGTGCCTAAGGAGATTCAGCATAGTCCTGCCAGCAAAGATTATTTATTTACTTCAAGAATTTAGAGTGGCAGTTTGGGGATAGCACCAGGAGATATCAGCTGTGATGGCTTGGAGAAACAGTGTAAACAAGAGCAGGGCATGTATGAGTAGTTGAGAACGGTGAATAGTACTATGACTAGACAGAAGATGGTAGGGATGACAAGTTTTTTGGGGCACAGTCTAAGTTGGTCTGGCGTCTGGAATGAGACTGGGGCCTAATAAAAGGGAGCGTCTATACAGGAGCTTAAATGGGCTGTACCTTGTAGCATTCTGAGGACAGGCCTGAATTCTGAGAAGCGAAAGTGGTAAAAGTATTGTCCAGTCCTTTTTAAGTTGGTGGCTGAGCTTGGTGAGTTGTGTTTTTAAAAGACCATTAGTGTGTTCTACCTTTCCTGAAGACTGAGGACTGTAAGGGATATAAAGGTTTCACTGAATACTAAGAGCCTGAAAAGCTGCTTGGCTGATTTGACTAATAAAGGCTGGTCCGTTATCAGACTGTATAGAGGTGGGAAGGCTAAACTGAGGAATTATGTCTGACAGAAGGGAAGAAATGACTGCGGTGGCCTTCTCAGACCCTGTAGGAAAGGCCTCTATCCATCCAGTGAAAGTGTCTACCCAGACTAAGAGATATTTTAGTTTTCTGACTGGAGACATGTGAGTAAAGTCAATTTGCCAGTCCTGGGTAGGGACAAATCCCCGAGCTTGATGTGTAGGAAAGGGAGGAGGCCTAAACAATCCATGAGGGGTAGTAGAATAGCAGATGGAACACTGAGAAGTGATCTCCTTGAGGATAGATTTCCATGATGGAAAGGAAATGAGACGTTCTAAGAGACGGGCTAGCAGCTTGTAACCTACATGGAAGAAGTTATGAAATGACAACAGAATAGAATGGACCTGTGAGGCTGGCAGGAGATATATTCCTTGGTCTAAGAACTATTTGCCTTGTGTGGGAAGAGATTGATAGGTGGAAGTTTCAGCAGGGGAGTAGGTGGGAGTGACCAATGTGAAGGAGAAAAACTGGCCGTGAGGGACAGAAGTTGGAGAGCTAGCTGCTTGTCTAGCCACCTTATCAGCATAAGCGTTGCCTAGAGCAATGGGATCTGATGCCTTTTGATGCCCCTTGCAGTGAATGACCCCAGCTTCCTTTGGAAGTAAAGCGGCCTTGAGTAGAGTTTTTATTAAAGAGGCATTAATGATGGAGGACCCTTGTGTAGTGAGAAAACCTCTTTCAGCCCATATGACCGCATGGTGGTGCAGAATATGAAAGGCATATTTAGAATCAGTATAGATATTGACGCGTAGTCCTTTGCAAGAGTGAGAGCTTGAGTTAAGGCAACTAGTTCGGCTTGCTGAGAGGTAGTGGAGGGGGGCAGAGTGGTAGCCTCAATGATAGATGTGGAAGATACTATAGCATAGCCTGCCTTTGCTGGTGAGTGGCGATTAGGCCTGGTGGAACTGCCATCAATAAACCAAGTGTGATCAGGGTGAGAAACAGGGAAGAAGGAAATGTGGGGAAATGGGGTGAACATCAGGTGGATCAGAGAGATGCAGTCATGAGGGTCAGGTGTGGTATCCGGAATAATGTGGGAGGCCGGATTGAAGTCCGGGCCAGGAACAATGGTAATTGTGGGAGACTCAACAAAGAGTGAATACAGCTGAAGGAGCCGGGAAGCAGAAAGCATATGCGTCAGGTATGAGTAAGAAAATAGATTTTGGAAGTTATGAGAACTGTAGAGAGTGAGTTGAGTATAGTTTGTGATTTTGAGGGCCTCTAAAAGTATTAAAGCAGCGGCAGCCACTGCACGCAGACATGAGGACTAGGCTAAAACAGTAAGGTCAAGTTGTTTGGACAGAAAGGCTACAGGGTGTGGTCCTGGCTCTTGTGTAAGAATTCTGACCACGCTAACCATGCCTAGGAAGGAAAGGAGTTGTTGTTTTGTAGAAGGTGCTGGGGTTTGAGAGATCAGTCGGACACGATTGGCAGGGAGAGCACGTGTGTTTTTATGAGAATTATGCCGAGATAGGTAACAGATGAGGAAGAAATTTGGGCTTGACTGAGGTAATGGGGGCTGTCTGTGAAGCTTTGCGGCAGTACAGCCCAGGTAATTTGCTGAGCTTGATGGGTGTCAGGGTCAGTCCAAGTGAAAGTGAAGAGAGGCTGGGATTAAGGGTGCAAAGGAATAGTAAAGAAAGCATGTTTGAGATCCAGAACAGAATAATGGGTTGTAGAGGCAGGTAGTGAGGATAGGAGAGTATACGGGTTTGGCACCACAGGGTGGATAGGCAAAACAATTTGACTGATAAGGCACAGATCCTGAACTAACCTGTAAGGCTTGTCTGGTTTTAGGACGGGTGAAATGGGGGAATTGTAAGGAGAGTTTATAGGTTTTAGAAGCCTATGCTGTAGCAGGCGAGTGATAACAGGCTTTAATCCTTTTAAAGCATGCTGTGGGATGGGATCTTGGCATTGCGCGGGGTAAGGGTGATTAGGTTTTAATGGGATGGTAAGGGGTGCATGATCGGTCACTAAGGAGGGAGTAGTAGTAGTCTTATACTTGTGAGTCTTATACTTGTCTTATACTTGTGAGTTAAGGTGGGGAGATATAAGGGGAGGATGTGAAGGAGGCTTTGAACTGGGGGAAAAGGTGGCAGTGAGGTGCAGCTGTAGCCTAGAATAGTCAGGGAAGCAGATAATTTAGTTAAAGTGTCTCAGCCTAATAAGGGAACTGGGCAGGTGGGGATAACTAAAAGGGAGTGCTTAAAAGAGTAATGTCTAAATTGGCACCAGAGTTGGGGAGTTTTAAGAGGTTTAGAAGCCTGGCCGTCAATACCCACAGCAGTTATGGAGGCAAGGGAAACAGGCCCTTGAAAAGAAGGTAATGTGGAGTGGGTAGCCTCCGTATTGATTAAGAAGGGGACGGACTTACCCTCCACTGTGAGAGTTATCCAGAGCATCTGTGATGGTTCTGTTGGCTTCTGAGGCGATTGGGCGGTGTCAGTCTTCTGCTGCTAAGCCGAGAAGATCTGGGAAGGAGTCAGTCAGAGAGCCTTGGGCCAGAGTCCCAGCGACTCTGGCAGTGGCTGCCAGGTGAGTTGAACAGTCCGATTTTCAGTGGGGTCCCACACAGATGGGACGTGGCTTAGAAGGAATCCCGGGCTGCGGGCATTCCTTGGCCTGGTGGCTAGATTTCTGGCACTTGTAGCAATCTCCTGGGGGAGGAGGTTCTGGAGGAACGCCTGGCTGCTGCGGTTCAGGCGTTTGGAAGTTCTCGTGTGCTGGAGATGTGGCTGGGGTTTGTCTCACAGTGGAGGCAAGTAATTGTAACTCAGAAATGCATTGCCGTCTGGCTGCTTCCTCTCTATTATTGTACACGTTGAAGGCAAGGTTGATTAATTCCTGTTGTGGGGTTTGAGGGCCAGATTCTAATTTTTGAAGTTTTTTCCTAATGTCAGGAGTGGATTGGGTGATAAAATGCATACTAAGAATAAGGCGGCCTTCTGGCCCCTCTGGGTCTAGGGTGGTATAGCATCTAATGGTTGCTGCTAAGCGGGCCATGAACTGGGCTGGGTTTTCATCTTTACCTTGGGTAGTTTTTTTAAGTTTGTCATAATTAACAGCTTTGTAAGCTGCTTTTTTAAGCCCTTCAACTAGGCAGGAAACCATGTAATCTCACCTAGCTATACCTGGGGAATTTGCCTGGTAGTTCCACTGGGGGATCCTCTCGGGGAACTGCTCTAATGCCTTCCTGGAGGTCTGGCTCATGAAGCCGACGGTTATCAGCGTGAGATTGGGATACAGGAAAAACTCTTTCCCGTTCATCTGGGGAGAGGGTAGAAGTCAGGATGACATTTAGGTCACTCCAGGTTAAGTTGTAGGACAGAGTTAGATATCGGAATTCCTGTATATATTTAGTGGGGTCTGATGAGAAAGAGCCTAAATGCTGACTGATCTGAGAGAGGTCTGATAGAGAAAAAGGTACATGTGCGTTGACTATGCCTTCAGCTCCAGCCACCTCTCTAAGAGGAAATTGTTGGGCAGGTGGGGAAGAGCTAGTTGCGGAACTAAACTGTAAGCCGGACCGGGTGTGAGGAGGGGAGGTGGTAGGAGGATTATAGGGTGGAGGAGTGGAGGCTGAGGAAGAATTGGGACTTAGCTCGGCCTGGCGATGAGCAGGCTGGGGAGGAGGGGAAAGGTCAGATGGGTCTGTAGAAAAGGAAGACTGGAAAGACTCAGCGACACTTGGGGTTGGGACTGCGGGGACAGGCGGGAGGGAAAGAAGGAGGATCTGGGAGGAATCGCATTGGGAACAGAGGCTAGGGATGGAACGAAGTGTGAAAAATGCCTGGACGTAAGATACCTCAGACCATTTGCCCATTTTTCGACAAAAATTATTTAGGTCTTGTAGGATGGAGAAATCAAAAATGCCGTTTTCTGGCCATTTAGAGCTATTGTCAAGTTTGTATTGGGGCCAAGCAGTGTTGCAGAAGAAAATAAGGCATTTAGGTTTTAGGTCAGGTGTGAGTTGACGAGGTTTTAAGTTCTTGAGGACACAGGCTAAAGGAGAAGGAGAAATGGAGGGTGGAAGGTTGCCCATAGTGAAGGAGGCAAACCCAGAGAAAAGAGAGCGTAGAGACACGGAGGGAAGGGGTTCGGGGGTTCTTACCCTCCAGAAAAGCAGGAAGGGGGGTCGGGGCATGGAAATAAGGGATTGGGGCACAGAGATAAGAGGTTGGGGTGTGGAAATAAGGGATTGGGGCACAGAGATAAGAGGTCTGGGTGTGGAAATAAGGGATTGGGGTGCAGAGATAAGGTTGGGGTGCAGAAATAAGGGATTGGGGGTTCTTGCCCCGTAGAAAAGCGGGACTTGCTGCTAAGGGTGAAGGAGAAGGGGTTGAGGGGTACTTGCCCCTCCCCCAGAAAAGCAGAGAAGGGGTAGAGACAAGGAGAGAAGGAGTTTGGGTACTTGCCCCTTCCTCAGAAAAGCAAGACTTGCCACTAAGGGTGAAGGACCAAGGCAGGCGTCCCTGCGTGGTCTGACACCTCTGAAACGTGGGTGAATGATCAGAGAGGCGTCCCTGCAATGATGAAACACCAAGGGAAGGCTGCCTTCCCAGTCCGTGACGGGCACCGGAGTTTTGGGTCCACGGATAAAACGTGTCTCCTTTGTCTCTACCAGAAAATGAAAGGAATTGAAATCAAGAGAAGGGAGAGATTGAAGTGTGGCACCAAGATTGAAAGGAGAAAGAGGTTGAGGGATAGTGAGGGAGGTTGGAGAAGACAGTAAAAAGAGGCCGCTTACAGGATTTGAAATTGGTGAGATGTTTCTTGGGCTGGTTGGTCTGAGGACCTGAGGTCGTAGGTGGATCTTCCTCATGGAGCAAAAAACAGGAGGACAGGGGATTGATCTCCCAAGGGAGGTCCCCCGATACGAGTCACCGCACCAAATTTCATGTGTGTCCATGTGAAGAGACCACCAAACAGGCTTTGTGTGAGCAATAAAGCTTTTAATCACCTGGGTGCAGGTGGGCTGAGTCCGAAAAGAGAGTCAGCAAAGGGAGATAGGGGTGGGGCCATTTTATAAGATTTGGGTAGGTAAAGCAAAATTACAGTCAAAGGGGGTTTGTTTTCTGGCGGGTAGGAGTGGGGGTCGCAAGGTGCTCAGTGGGCAGGAGTGGGGGTCGCAAGGTGCTCAGTGGGGGTGCTTTTTGAGCCAGGATGAGCCAGGAAAAGGACTTTCACAAGGTAATGTCATCACTTAAGGCAAGGACTGGCCATTTACATTTCTTTTGTGGTGGAATGTCATCAGTTAAGGCGGGGCAGGGCATTTTCACTTCTTTTGTGATTCTTCAGTTACTTCAGGCCATCTGGGCATATACGTGCAAGTCACAGGGGATACGATGGCTTGGCTTGGGCTCAGAGGCCTGACACTTGGGACATGATAAGTGTTTAATAAATAAGTTTTCCTCTGAATTTGTGTTATAGGGAAGGGGGAATAATAGGAGGTCAAACACGAAAGATTGGAGTGTAGATTCCTTTCTGTTTTATGCATTCCCATCACTGCTATTGGGCTTAATGGCCAGAGCAGGAGGAGGACAGAGGGAGAGAGAGAGAGTGGGGAGGGGCTACACACTTTTAAACAAGCAGATCTTGAGTGAGCAGTTACTCACTATCACGAGAGCAGCACCCAGGGGGAAATCTGCCCTCATGATCCAATTGCTTCCCACAAGGCCCCAATATTGGGGATTACAATTCAACATGAGATTTGGGGGCCGGGTGGGGGTGGGGGGACACAGATCCAAACCATATCATCATCCTTATATCCATAATAGCACTGATCATCTAGCAGATAGTTAGCACTGATCATCTAGCAGATAGTTAGCACTTAAAAACAAAATGTTAGAAAGCCCAAGTTGAAAAAAATATAATAGTTCCAATGTTCAAAAAGAAGACACAGTCCGGGCCGGTGGCTCACGCCTGTAGTCTCAGCACTTTGGGAGGCCGAAGTGGGGGTCAGGAGTTTCAGAACAGCCTGGCCAACATGGTGAAACCCAGTCTCTACTAAAAATACCAAAATTAGCCAGGCATGGTGGTGTGCACCTGTAGTCCCAGCTACTCAGGAGGCTGAGGCAGGAGAGCTGCTTGAACCCGGGAGGCGGAGGTTGCAGTGAGCTGAAATCACACCACTGCACTCCAGCCTGGGAGACAGGGGAAGACTCCATCTCAAAAAATGAAATAAAATAAGATAAAGTAAAAAAGAAGATACAATCCTTATAATATACTGGAGGAGAAAAAAATTTTCATCTACTCTTAAGTGTGTCCCCCATAGCCTGCTATTACGTCTCATATTTCTGCCATTAGCATGATCCATTGGGGTCCTTAGACTTGGATCTGTAACAGCCCGTGGCATTGGACTGCCTCAGCTGGAAAGAGATTTGCCAATGTACCCTTTACTCATTTAGCCTGCTACCACTATCACTGCTCAATTCAACCAGGCTTTGCTAGATTCATGGTGGACATTATATTTGAAGTGAGGTGTAGGATCGGAGGTTGACCCAATCCTTAAAGAACTTATAAAGAAATTTTAGAAAAATTTCTAAATAGCGGGCAGGACCTGGAGAATGGGATAGAAGACTGATAAGTTTGGAAGGAAGAAATAATAATAACAGACAATAATGATAAACTGTTTTCTGGGTACCCAGCTGCACAAACATCAATCTGTGAGGTTTAATCCTTAAAATAGCCCTTGCAAGGGCTGGAAATGAGAATCCCGTTTTATAATAGATTGGAAAGGATTTCCGTTGCTCCAGCACTAGATGGGTCCTGGTAGGAGGTATTATCAGGACTTAAATAATGGAGAAGCAAGAGGACAGAGAAAATGACACCATTCAAGTTTTCCAGGAGATGGTTCTGTTATTAATCCTGACTCTGTCACCACTAGCTGTGTGACTGTCAGAAACTTGCTTGACGTCCCTGTGCCCAAGAGCCCTTGGCTGTAAGAGTGGTCTTATGAGTACTTCTCCCAAGGGGAGAGGCACAAGGTGGGTCCCCAGCATCATTGTTTCCCCTTTTCCTTCCTTTTCTCAAAGTGAGAAGAGCAGCAGCAGAAGCACAGACACTGAACAGTATCCCTGCTAAAAATTAAGAAAATCATGAATGAATGGAAAATGACTTTTAAAATTCACCTTTAAGCCAATGTTCAAGTAATGTTTAAGTCATTTTCTGGGCCAACCAATAGCACTGATTAGAATTGGGAATGGAAGGCAGAAAGTTTTATAAAACACAAACTATTTAACTCTATTAAAAACCCCTATGTTCCTTTTTTTTTTATGCAGAGAAATTAAGTCCAACAGTTGGACGTTAATACATGATCAAAGCTGGGCTCCAGCAACTTGGGGTATTGGAATTGAAAACTTTGCAAACTGCAGAAAGTTTACACCGCAGCAAAGCCATTCTTCTCGCCTCTAGCAACACACAAGTATGTGTGCATGATTGTTTGGGGACTTGGCAGCAAAGAGCAGTGGAAATAATTCTTTGGAAACGAAGAGAATCAGCAAAACATGAGGGAAAAAAAACAGACAAAAGAAGAGAGCAAACAGAACAAGAGAAAGACGTTTGGGGATGGGTCGATTTTCTCTGCCTCATGCGGTTTTGGTGGCTTGCAGTAAATGAGTTTCTAATGATGTTTTTATAGAGCTGTTTTTATTTAGTGAGGCTGACACAGCTCCTGTTGCTTCTTGTGCTGTGTCCTGGGGAACCAGATGAAAGCAGGAGGGAGAAGTCTTGAAGCTGGGGTTGCTGGTCTCCTTGTCCTTTTGGGAAGGACCCCGGCCATTAACTCTTCGCTTTGCCACTCCCTGCATCGAGCATTCAATGAGTCCGTACTACATGCCCACAACTCTGACCTTTGAGTATCACAGTCTTATGTGGGAGAGAAACACAGACAGTGATAACTCTGTGATAATTCTGATACAGGGGCTAGAAAGAAATTATTCAGGCAGATAGTGAGGGTAAAGGAGTCCTCAGGAAGGCTTCCCTTTTAACAAAATGCAGCCCCCAAATCATTTCTTTTCTACCAAAGAGCAGCCTGAAAAATCAAGCTGCAAATATGCAAGCTGGAACCTGGCATAGGTGAATGCCGGCAGCTGGACCAATAGGAAAGGGCTACCTGGGAGCCAGGTGTGTTCAATATGGAGTCTCTATCTCCCCTTTTCTTTGTCACCATGTGTACAGTAAAAAAGCAGGCAGCATGGCACTGGCGAGGCAGAGAACCCACCTGCATAATAAAATATAAGGGTGAGTGGCCAGCTTCTTCACACACTATGCAAATGACACACCCAGTCTTAATCAGTTCTTCGCATGCTATGCAAATTGCACACCTGGTCTGACCAATCTTTTATGCCCTATGTAAATCAGAGACCACCTTCTCAGGCTTATCTATAAAACCTCCTGCACTTCACCACGGGGCTGGAGGACCGGCTCGGGACCCCCTCTCTCTGCAGGAGAGAGCTTTTCTCTTTCTTTCGCCTATTAAACCTCCACTCTTAACCTCACTCCTTCTATGTCTGTGTTCCTGATTTCCCTGGCATGGGAAACGTCCCCACCTTTGAGAGGAAAAGGCAAGAGAAGACTTCTTGGAGGAGGTGATGCCTGTACTGAGTCTTGAAGAATGAGCAGGAGAACTCAGGAAAAGAAGGCACAACAGGGCTTTGAGGCTTTGGAGCCTCAAAAGGGCTTTGAAGGGAAGGTGTGAGCAGAGAACTGCCAGAAAGCACATTTTAGTCCAGAGACGTTCAAGTCATTGGATTTAAGTGGAGAATTTCAGAGGCAAGTGATGGGAGATGATAATGACAACCCTATTGAGAGCACTTACTGTGTGCCAAGGGTTTTCTATCAGGGGTGATTTTGTGTCTCCTCCAGGGGATATTTGCCAATATCTGGAGACATTTCTGGTTGTCACAGCTGTGGTAGGAGGGAATGCTACTGTCATCTAGGGGTAAAGGTCAGGGATGCTTCTAAACATCCCACAGTGCACAGGACTCTTCCTCTCCCAGGGCCAATGGTGCTGAGCTGGAGAAGCTGTGCTATGTGTACACCTTGGGCCGATCACCTTATAAACTTGAAACCACTTTATCCTCATAACTCTGTGAGATAGTGGTTTCAGCCCTTGTCTCAGACAAGGAAAATGAGGCTCTGACAGGCTAAGCCACTTAAAATCAAAGAGCTAGCAAGAGACAGTGTGGATTTGAACTCAGCCAGCCAATCTCCAGCTCCCTGACATTAATGACTGCAGGAGAGAAATCCATTGTCCATGTGGTGAAGGTTTTTAGATGCTAAGTTACAAAGTTTGGGCTTATACGTGTTGTGCAACAGCAACACCTGAATATCTTTCATCTGCAGATTTTTCATTTCCTCATTCACTGGGCACTTTCACCCAAAGAACCAAATATTGGAGTCAAATTAAATTCCTGTCTGTAAGCAGAAAGACAAAGCAAAGGATTTTCCAATGCACTCATCATATTATCTCCCTGTCTTTCCATGTCAGAGAAGCTCTGGCCTACTATTAAATACAATTGCAAGAACAACTGACCTGGTTTATTCCGAAACAGGCGTATAATATAATGAAGTCTCCTCATATGGCTTCTGATTTTCCCTCCTCTGCAGTAGGAATGCCGAACCCTCGCGTGGCCTGTTCTTAAGTGACTTCCTTGAAACTCTAATCATGTGCACGATTCCTCTGCAGTTCCATGTGGAGGTGCAGTATTCTCAACGCATGCTTGTCAGTTCTAGTTTTCCTCTGAAAGAAGGCACAGAGGCCGGCTTCCCTGAGCTTCATGGGCTGCTGCAGGGCAGAGAAGCGGAAGCTGGCCTCGGCCTCACAGCAGCAGAGTGGAGCTATGTGTTTGCAAGCAGACCTCAGAAAACCGGAGCTTAAGAAAGTGATCACCTCTGGCTGCAGCCCTTAACTGGGTGCTGACTACAGACTACAGAACAGGACCAGCACATGCTGACACATCCCTAGGTTTCCCCACAGCCAGTGAGGCAGGAAATAACCAACCCATTGTACAGAGGAGAGGAGGAAGCCAAAGCTCAAAGAACCCGAGTCGTAAACTGCAGAGCAGGACTTCAAACCCAGATGCTTAGCACAATGTGTAATGAGATAATAACTTGTTTGTTTTTTTTGAGATGGAGTTTCGCTCTGTTGCCCAGGCTGGAGTGTAGTGGTATGATCTTGGCTCATTGCAACCACTGCCTCCCGGGTTCAAGTGATTCTCGTGCCTCAGCCTCCCAAGTAGCTGGGATTACTGGATCCCGGCAGGATGCCCAGCTAATTTTTGTATTTTTAGTAGAGACGGGGTTTCACCATGTTGGCCAGGCTGTTCTCAAACTCCTGACCTCAAGTGATCCTCCCACCTTGGCCTCCCAAAGTGCTGGGATTACTGGCATGAGCCACTGTGCCTGGCCCGTTATATTTATTTCTTTAGTGGCTTTAGGGAAGAAGCTCCTTCTGGTTTTGTTCATTGTTGTGCCCCATACTTCCCACGGTGCCCTTGCTCAATAAAGATTAAGTCAGCCACACAAAGCACACATATTTCAGACAAACAATCCCCCCACAGGGAAGCTCTTGCTAGGATTTTGTTATTTTCTCTAAATTACTCTAATAGGGTGATAGCTTACAGTGGGGGCCCTCCATTTGCAACTCATTTAGAAGAACAGAAGCTCTAGAGAGAGTGAGATTTGGGTTTGAATCCCAGCTCTGCCCCTCACTGGCTGAGTAACCTGAGTCTCTGTTCTGTCCCTAGTAATACTGAGATAGTAACACCCACTTCACAAAGTTACTGTGAGATTGCACGAGTAAAGAGCAGAGGAAATTCTTGTATTGAATGCTTAGTACACTTAAGAGGTGATCATTGCATTCACTAATGATGTTTTTAAAATACTCTTCCTCATTTGAGCACTAACTTAAGTTAGATAAGTTAGGCTTAGAGAGGTTAAGCAACTTGCTTGGAGTCACACAGATAGAGAAGGCACAGCTGGGATTGGACTGCAGAACAGTAAAACTCCAAGTTTGTCTCTTTCTGATATACCTCATTGCCTTTGAGCAGGGCATGAAAATCTGGAATGTTGCTTCCAAATTTAGGGGTTTTTTTTTGGTTGGGGTGCAGGGGAGAAGGAGGAAGAGGAAAATGTTTCAAATGTTTGGGAAGTAAAGAGGAGAAACCTTTCTTTTGAAAGTGAGCACTGATGGGTCTAGGGTTTTACTCTCTTGAGGCAGTGAGTGTGTCACATTGATTTCCTTCTCTGATGGGAAAGGATTAGGAAACAAAAGAAAGGACAGACAAGGTGAAAAGGAGGGTGTGGATCTACAGGAATGAAACACTGGTAAAGCAGCCTAGAGGCAAACTTGAGGCTGAGGGTTTAAATGGCCAGCCTATAGGAGTGCGTACCCAGTATATGAAGAATTCTTAACAGATCAATAATAAGAAGATACATGACCTGATTTAGAAATTGGCAAAGGATTTTAAGAGGCATTTTCCCAAAGACGACATACAGATGACCAATAAGCACATGAAAAGATGCTTAATGTAATTAGCCATCACGGAAATGCAAATCAAAACCACAGCGAGATACCACTTCATACACATGAGGGTGGCCAGAATGAAAAAAACAGACAATAACAAGTGTTGGGGAGGATGTGGAGAAATTAGAACCCACACACATTGCTGGTGGGGGTGTAAAATGACATAGCCACTTTGAGAAATAGTTTGAAAGTTTTTCAAGATATTAAATGTGGCACCACCACAGGACCCAGCAATATCACTCCTAGATATATACCCAGGAGAACTGAAAACATATGTCCAAACAAAAACTTGTACAGGAATGTTCATAGCAGCATTATTCATAACAACCAAAAAGTGGAAACAACCTAAATGTTTAACAACTGGTGATTAGATAAACAAAATGTGGTATATCAATGCACTGGAATATTATTCAGCCATGAAAAATAATGAAGTATTGATATACACTACAACATGGATGAACCTCAAAATATTATGCAAAGAGAAAAAAGTTGGGTACAGAAAGACCACAATTGTATCATTCTACTTATATTAATTTTCCAGAAAACACAAATGTATTGAAACAAAAAGTAGATTAGTGATTGCTTAAGGGATGGGCTAGGGTGGGGAGATGGGAAGTGACTGCAAATGGGGATAAGGTTTCCTTTGGGGTTTGAGACAGGAATAATACAGGGTGGTCACAGGAGAATAGAAAATTTCAGGCAGCAGTTTCACATGACTAGTAAAAGAAAATTGTTGAAATAGTTGCAGAAGCTAGAGACTGACAAGACCCTGAAAAACCAGGGTGCGAATCAAGCTGGCTAAGACTGACTGGACGCAACATGGCACCGGATTTGACCTAGGTTTTACATAGGACCTCATTATATGCTCATTAACATACTAAATAAAACACACCAGTGCCATGACAGTTCCAGGAACACCCATATTTCTTTTTATTTATTTATTTTTATTATTATTATTATTATTATACTATAAGTTTTAGGGTACATGTGCACAATGTGCTGGTTAGTTACATATGTATACATGTGCCATGCTGGTGTGCTGCAACCATTAACTCGTCATTTAGTATTAGGAGGTATATCTTCTAATGCTATCCCTCCCCCCTCCCCCCACCCCACAACAGTCCCCAGAGTGTGATGTTCTTCTTCCTGTGTCCATGTGTTCTCATTGTTCAATTCCCATCTATGAGTGAGAACATGCGGCGTTTGGTTTTTTGTCCTTGCGATAGTTTACTGAGAATGATGATTTCCAATTTCATCCATGTCCCTACAAAGGACATGAAGTCATCGTTTTTTATGGCTGCATAGTATTCCATGGCATATATGTGCCACATTTTCTTAATCCAGTCTATCCTTGTTGGACATTTGGGTTGGTTCCAAGTCTTTGCTATTGTGAATAGTGCTGCAATAAACATACGTGTGCATGTGTCTTTATAGCAGCATGATTTATAGTCCTTTGGGTATATACCCAGTAATGAGTTGGCTGGGTCAAATGGTATTTCTAGTTCTAGATCCCTGAGGAATCGCCACACTGACTTCCACAATGGTTGAACTAGTTTACAGTCCCACCAACAGTATAAGTGTTCCTATTTCTCCACATCCTCTCCAGCACCTGTTGTTTCCTGACTTTTTAATGATTGCCATTCTAACTGGTGTGAGATGGTATCTCATTGTGGTTTTGATTTGCATTTCTCTGATGGCCAGTGATGATGAGCATTTTTTCATGTGTTTTTTGGCTGCATAAATGTCTTCTTTTGAGAAGTGTCTGTTCATATCCTTCGCCCACTTTTTGATGGGGTTGTTTGTTTTTTTCTTGTAAATTTGTTTGAGTTCATTGTAGATTCTGGATATTAGCCCTTTGTCAGAAGAGTAGGTTGCAAAAATTTTCTCCCATTTTGTAGGTTGCCTGTTCACTCTGATGGTAGTTTCTTATGCTGTGCAGAAGCTCTTCAGTTTAATTAGATCCCATTTGTCAATTTTGTCTTTTGTTGCCATTGCTTTTGGTGTTTAGTCATGAAGTCCTTGCCCATGCCTATGTCCTGAATGGTAATACCTAGGTTTTCTTCTAGGGTTTTTATGGTTTTAGATCTAACATTTAAGTCTTTAATCCATCTTGAATTAATTTTTGTATAAGGTATAAGGAAGGGATCCAGTTTCAGCTTTCTACATATGGCTAGGCAGTTTTCCCAGCACCATTTATTAAATAGGGAATCCTTTCCCCATTGCTTGTTTTTCTCAGGTTTGTCAAAGATCAGATAGTTGTAGATATGTGGCATTATTTCTGAGGGCTCTGTTCTGTTCTATTGATCTATATCTCTGTTTTGGTACCAGTACCATGCTCTTTTGGTTAGTGTAGCCTTGTAGTATAGTTTGAAGTCAGGTAGCGTGATGCCTCCAGCTTTGTCCTTTTGGCTTAGGATTGGCTTGGCGATGCGGCCTCTTTTTTGGTTCCATATGAACTCTAAAGTAGTTTTTTCCAATTCTGTGAAGAAAGTCATTGGTAGCTTGATGGGGATGGCATTGAATCTATAAATTACCTTGGGCAGTATGGCCATTTTCATGATATTGATTCTTCCTACCCATGAGCATGGAAGGTTCTTCCATTTGTTTGTATCCTCTTTTATTTCCTTGAGCAGTGGTTTGTAGTTCTCCTTGAAGAGGTCCTTCACATCCCTTGTAAGTTGGATTCCTAAGTATTTTATTCTCTTTGAAGCAGTTGTGAATGGGAGTTCACTCATGATTTGGCTCTCTGTTTGTCTGTTACTGTTGTATAAGAATGCTTGTGATTTTTGTACATTGATTTTGTATCCTGAGACTTTGCTGAAGTTGCTTATCAGCTTAAGGAAATTTTGGGCTGAGACAATGGGGTTTTCTAGATATACAATCATGTCATCTGCAAACAGGGACAATTTGACTTCCTCTTTTCCTAATTGGATACCCTTTATTTCCTTCTCCTGCCTAATTGCCCTGGCCAGAACTTCCAACACTATGTTGAATAGGAGTGGTGAGAGAGGGCATCCCTGTCTTGTGCCAGTTTTCAAAGGGAATGCTTCCAGTTTTTGCCCATTCAGTATGATATTGGCTGTGGGTTTGTCATAGATAGCTCTTATTATTTTGAGATACGTCCCATCAGTACCTAATTTATTGAGAGTTTTTAGCATGAAGGGTTGTTGAATTTTGTCAAAGGCCTTTTCTGCATCTATTGAGATAATCATGTGGTTTTTGTCTTTGGTTCTGTTTATATGCTGGATTACATTTATTGATTTGCATATATTGAACCAGCCTTGCATCCCAGGGATGAAGTCCACTTGATCATGGTGGATAAGCTTTTTGATGTGCTGCTGGATTCGGTTTGCCAGTATTTTATTGAGGATTTTTGCATCAATGTTCATCAAGGATATTGGTCTAAAATTCTCTTTTTTGGTTGTGTCTCTGCCCGGCTTTGGTATCAGGATGATGCTGGCCTCATAAAATGAGTTAGGGAGGATTCCCTCTTTTTCTATTGATTGGAATAGTTTCAGAAGGAATGGTACCAGTTCCTCCTAGTACCTCTGGTAGAATTCGGCTGTAAATCCATCTGGTCCTGGAGTCTTTTTGGTTGGTAAGCTATTGATTATTGCCACAATTTCAGATCCTGTTATTGGTCTATTCAGCCATATTTCTTTTAAAAATGAGCAATACCACAGTTCTGGGAAATCTCTACCTTTTCCCAGGACTCTTCATGAATATTCCACCCCTTGGTTAAAGAGACACATAAAGATGGAAACCTCCAACCCACTGTGTGACTCTTTTTTGAGTACGCCTGTGCTTCTCTTTCTTGAATGTGTACTTTTTGATTTACAATAAATCTCTGTACTTTCACTGTTTTCTGGCTTATCTTTGAATTCTTTCTCATGATGCTGTCAAGAGCCTAGACACTGGCTGGGGTTGAGGTCCCAACAGTATTTGGGGGCTCTCCCAGACCCCTGGAATCAGGATGAGAAAAGTATTCTAAAATTAGGTTTGGTGATGTTTACAAAATTCTGTAAATATACTGAATGTCATTGAATAAATAGTGAATTGTATGGCATGTAAGTTGTATCTTAATAAAGCTATTGAAAGATTAGTGGTCCCTTGTCCCTTCTAGTGAATGACAACCACTGGACCCCAAGCAGTCGGACCCCAGTCCCCACTTTCTTATCCACTACAGAGCACAGCCACACTTTAGCACGAACATAAACCTCAAACTTCCTACTTTACTTTTTTCTCAAAGGCCCCAGGAACCCTCCTTGGGAAAAGCCAGGAATGACCAGTCCCCAGCTTTGGTGCTAGTAGAGGCAGCTCCTACAATTGCTCTCAGAGCAGCTCCAGCCACCATCCATCCCAGAGGCATGGGCGGGGGGACTCACATCCAACAACATCTCAAATGTGATTAAGTCAGCAGTATGTCCAATGTGTTCACTAGATTTGCATCATGGCTCCAGAGCCTGGCCAGGCATTCATCTGGAACAAACCTTGCAGAACTGGGCAGCCAACTAATTAATTGTTGCATCAATAAAGCCAGGGTTTGACTATCTCATGATGAATTACCTTGTTTAAAAGAACTTAACAGCTGTATTAAATAAAGAAAACAATGGAGATCGATACTAGAGAATTTCCTTAGCCAAAGAGTCAGCATTTCTCATTAACTAGAGGTCAGTGGTGAGAAGAGAGTTTATTCGCAGAGCAGAGATGATGTTTCTCTCTGGCAAGGCTATACTTAGTTAATATGTAGGATTTTAAAACAGGAAAAGCAGAATACTGGAACCCTGGAAACAGTTAGGAAGTCGTTGGCACAAAACTCAAAACTTTGGAGTTGGTGAGACTTGTGTTCAAACACCAGGTACTTCACTCTCTAGCCATGGGTCTCAGCAAACCACCTAACCTGGGGCTCAGTTTAACTCATCTGCAAAATGGGGTGTAAACCAACACTAAAACTCTAAGGCCTCCAAATGACTAAACGGACCTCCTCTCAGCCAATGGAGCCTGAAAAACTAATTCTGGCCATGTCAGGAAGGAGAAGTCAGACATGCCTCATTGTCTCCTCTTTCCTTTGGTGTTCAGGTACACAACTGATCAGGATTAACATTAAAATAGAAATCCTAAGACTGACAGAACAGATTCTTTGTAGCAATAAAATATCCAATTCCAACCTGACTCTACTACAGCATCACATGACAGCAGGGCTTTGAAAGAAATCAAAGTATTTTACCCCAAAATATATTTCTTTGACATATTTTGAAATGGCACTGCAAAGCTGTCTCTTGTGGGAGAAATTTGCATTCTATAGCAAATCCCCTTTGCTTTCTAGGTCTTTTTCTGATCCTGAAGATATTGGCTGAGAGTCTAGTGCCTTTTAAGGGTCTGAATCAGAGACATTTGCCATCTATTGCCTCTAGGGATGATCACCTATGAGACTTCATCTACATAATAAAAACCTTGGTCTCCACAACTCTTTATCTTAATCCAGATACTTCTTTCTATTAATTCCAGGTCTTTTGTTGTTTCTCTTTTTTTTTTTTTTTTTTTGAGATGGAGTTTTACTCTTGTCACCCAGGCTGCAGTGCAATGGCACAATCTCAGCTCACTGCAACCCTCCTGGATTCAGGCCATTCTCTTCCCTCAGCCACAGGAGTAGCTGGGATTACAGGTGCCCACGACCATGCCCAGCTAATTTTTGTATTTTTAGTAGAGACAGGGTTTCACCATGTTAGCCAGGCTGGTTTCAAGCTCCTGGCCTCAGGTGATCCACCTGCCTTGGCCTCCCAAAGTGCTGAGATAACAGGCGAGAGCCACCACATATGGCCTCCTTCCTGGTCTTTAGATAATAACTCAACCATTTGGCAATCATAACATCTTTGAAACCACCCATGACCTCCAAGCCTCACCACCCCTTCAAGCTGTCTCACCTTTCTGGACCAAACCAATGTATGCCTGACACGTATTGATTGATGTTTTGTCTCTACCTAAAACATAGAAAACCAAGCTATAGCCCAATTACCTTGAGCACATGTTCTCAGGACTTCCTGAGGCTGCGTCACAGGTCAAGATCCAAAAGTTTGGCAAAAAAAAAAAAAAAAAATCTAAATTGATTAAAAATTTTAGAAAAATTAGAAACAGGAAGTATTTGTCTCAGATACTTTTTGGCTTACAGGGGACAATAACAAAATGACTATCCTAGTGTTGTTAGGAGGATTAAATTAGATAAAAGGGAGTAATATTGCAGTGCTTGCTAAGTCAGTGCCCAATAAATGTTTGCTATTAATCATATAACATTTTTCTCTTGTTAAGATGTTTTCAGAATCAAAAGCATCATTTCCATCCTCCTCCACAGAAGATGACATCATCAGGATTAAAAAAGAATTTTAAGTTAACATATGCTAAAATGGACTTTTTTGATACACAGTTCTATGAATTTTAACACATGTATAAATTTGTATAACTAACACTATAATCAGTATACAGAATAATTCCATCACTTGCCCAAAATTCTCTCATGCTACCCATTTGCAGTCACAACCCACCCTCTCTCTACCTCTAACTCCTGGCAGCCACAGAAGTGTTCTCATCCCCATAGCTTTGTAGTTTAGAGAATGTCATATAAATGGAATCATAGAGTATGTATTAATAACATTCTGAAACTGGCTTATTGCATGTACTGGTGGTTTGCTTCTTTTCACTGCTAAGTAGTATCCCAGTGTGTGGATGTACCACACATTTTATCTAATCTCTCATTGAAGGACATTTGTGGTAGTTCAGCTTTTAGAGATTATTAAACTACTATGAATGTGCATGTGTAGGTTTTCATGTGAGTATAAGTTTTCATTTTCCCAGGGTGACTACCGAGGAGTGGGAACACTCGGTTATGTACTAAGGGTATGTTTAATTCATTAAAAACTGCCAAATTGTTTTCCAGAATGGCTGTATCATTCCCATTTGCAGTAGCAAAGTATGACAGTTCTAATTAGTCTGTCTGCATCCTTTACTTAGGTATTGGCAGTATTTTCTACTTTAGCCATCTGAATAGATGTATAGCAGTACCTCATCATGGTTTTAAGTTGAATTTCCCTAATGGCTGATGGCATTAAACATCTTTTAATGTGCTTATTTGCCTTCCATCTACCCTCCGTGGCAAAGTGTCTATTGAAGTTTGTTTGTTTGTTTGTTTTTGGCCCATTTTGTAACTTGTCTTCTGACAGCTGAGTTTGAGAGTTTTCTATATGTATTCTGGATACAAGTCCTTGGTTGGATATGTGATATGCAAACATTTTCACCCAGTCTACTGTTTGTCTTTTCACTTTTTTTAACAGCATCTTTCATAGAAAAAAAGTTCTATGTTTTGGTAAAGTTCAATTTATCCTTTTGTTTCTTGTAGAGTATGCTTTTAGTGTCACGCCTCATAACTCTTTGCCTTACCCAAGTCACAGATATCTTCTCTTCTATTTTCCTCTAAAAGTTTTGTAGTTTTTCCTTTTACGTCTAGATCTATAGTCTATGTTGAGTTCATTTTTGCATTAAGTGTGAGGTGTTGATCAAAGTTCTATTTTTTTTGGAATGTGGATGTCCAATTCAACATCATTTGTTGAAAAGAATATCTTTCTCCTATGAATTGCCTTTGCACCTTTCCAAAAATCAATTGAACACATTTATCTGGGTCTATGTCTGGAGTCTCTGTTCTCCTTCATTTATCTACTTATGTTGATTCGTTTGGCAATCCCATACTGTACTGATTATTGTGATTTTTATAGTTAAATTTTAAAACTGGTATGACTCATCTAATTTTATTGTTTGTTTTTAAATTATTTTGGCCATTCTAGGTCCCTTGACTTTCCACAAAAAGTTTAGAATCTGGTTGAGAGATTATTTTTGGGTGGCTTTAAAGTATTAATTCAATGTATTTTATAGATCTAAGTCTACTGGGGCTATTTCATCTTGATGAATTTGGTAGTTTCAATGAGTTGGTTTGTTTCGTCTAAGTACTCAAATATATGTTTATAGAATTGTTTGTAGGGTTTCTTTATTAGTCCATTAATATCTGCAGGGTCTGTAGTATTCTCTTTTATTCATTCCTAACATTGGTAATTTATTTCCTCTCAGTTTTCTTTACCAGTTTTGCCAGAGGCTGATCAAATGCACTGATCTTTTCAAAGAACCAGTGTATTTTGGTTTCATTGATTTTTTTCATATTGCTTTTCTGATCTCAAGTCAGTTTACTAGTACTCTTCTCTTAATCATTTCCTTGTTGAAAACAAATACAATAACATTGTTCTATTTTGGGGAGATTTTTGCTCATTATTTTTAGATTTCTTAAAGCAAAAGCTTAAAGTGTTGACTTGAGACCTTTATTCTTTCCGAATAAAAGTAATTAATTCTAACGTAAGTAAATTAATTATAAACTTACCACTAAGTACTACTTTATTTCTATTTCACTAATTTTGATATGTTGTGTTTTATTTTCATTCAGTTTCAGATATTTTCTAATATTCTTCAAAATTTCCTTTTTGATTAGTGGATTATTAAAGAATGTGTTGTTTAATTGCCAATTTGTAAAAGATTTTTCTGTTGTCTTTCTGTTATTCATTTACAGTCAAATTATATTGTGATTAGATGCATACTTTGTCTAGGTTCGACTTTTTAAAATTGGTGAAGGTTTGTTTTATAACGCAAGATATAGTTTATCTTGGTAAATATTTCATGTGCACTTGAGAAGTATGCTGTTCTTGGGTGAACTATTCTATAAAGGTCCATTTGATTTAGGTTTTTTAGATGATATTGCTCATTTCTTCCAAATCCTTGTCAATCTATCAGCAAGTTCTATCTACTGTTGAGAGAAGTGTTGAAATATTTAACTATAATTGTGGATTTGTCTATTTTCCCTTTCAGTTCTGTCAGCATGTGCTTTATATATTTTGAAGCTCTGTGAGATGCATATGCATTTAGTATTGTTATATCACCTTGGTGAATTTACCTTATATCATTAAATAATATTTGTCTTTATTAGTGATAATTTTCTTTGCTCTGGAGTCTACTTTGCTTGATATTAATATACCCAGCTTTTCTTTTTTCTTTTTTTGTGTACAAGTTATAACTTTTTTGTTCCTTATAATCTTTTATGTTTCTTTTAAGCTACCTATATTATTATACTTGAAGTTAGTTTCTTACAGACAGCATATAAGATCGTGACATTTAATTCATTTTTACGATCACTGCTTTTAATTGGCATGTTAGAGCATTTACACTAGTTGCAATTATTGACATATTTGGAAACAGATGATGTACCACTTTATTATTTGATTCCTGTTTGTTCCTGCTGGTTTTTGACCCTTTGTTTCCTTTTGTCTGCCTTCTTTTGTGTTACGTGAACCTTTTTCTAGTATCCCATTTTAACTCGTATATATGGTTTTCACTATATCTCTTTGTGTAGTTATTTTGTAGTGGTTGCTCTAAAAATACTTAATTTTTCAGTCTATTTTGAGTCCATAATATACCACTTCAAGTAGAACATGAAAATATTGCCACCATATAGGTCTTTTTTCCCTCCCTCTTTGTGTTAGTGTTGTCTTATAAATTCTATATAAATATATTTAAAATTTCATTGGACAATATTTGACAAATATTTCAAAAAAATATTTGCTATCAACTGTTGAAGCTGTTGTAAAATCTCAAGAGGAGAAGAATAGTCTATGATATTTACCCAGATATTTATAATTTCTGTTGCTGTTCCTTCATCATCAATGTTCCAAATTTCTTTCTGGCACTGTTTTGCTTTTGTCTAAAGAATTTCATTTAGCAATTTTTTTTTTTTTTTTTTTTTTGAGACAGAGTTTCACTCCTGTTGCCCAGGCTGGAGTGCAACAGTGCAATCTTGGCTCACCGCAACCTCCGCCTTCCAGGTTCAAGCAATTCTCCTGCCTTAGCCTCCCGAGTAGCTGGGATTACAGGCATGCGCCACCATACCCAGCTAATTTTTTGTAGTTTTAGTACAGACGGGGCTTCTCCATGTTGGCCAGGCTGGTCTCAAACTCCCGACCTCAGGTGATCCACGTGCCTCGGCCTCCCAAAGTGCTGGGATTACAGGCATGAGCCACCGCATCCGGCTTAGCAATTCTTTTAGAGCACATGCTAGCAACAAATTCTCTTGCGTTTTCTTCATGTGAGAATGTTTATACCTTACCTTAACTCCTGAAGGATATTTTCTCTGTGTATCAAACTGTGAGCTAACAGTTATTTTTTTCACATTAAAAATATTGTTCTACTTCATTTTGGCTTCCAGAGTTTCTGCTGAGAAATGCAGAGTCAATACAGTTGTTGTTCCCTTATAAATAACACACTTTCCTCCTCTGCCCCTTTGGGTGCATTCCATATCTTCCTTTGTCTTTAATTTTCTGGAGTTTGAGATGATATATCTTGGCATGAAGTTTTGAGGTTTATCCCGTTTGGGGTTCACTAAGCTTCCAGGTTTATGAATTTTTTGGCCAAACTTGGGAAGTTAGCAGTGATTAATAAAAACACTTTTTCTGCCTCACATTCTTCTGTTTTTCGTAACATAAACAGGTCTTATAGTGTTATCTCTGAGACTGTGTTCAGTTTTTGGAATTTTTTTCTCTCTCTGTTGTTCAAGTTGGATACTTTCTACTGATCTAAAAGTTTACTGTTTTCCTCCATTATTTCATTATGTTATTTCATCATTCTAGTCAGTTTTTATTTTGTTGCATTTTTCTGTTCTAAATTTTATATTTGGTTCTTTGTTATATTTTCTATTTCTTTGCAAAACGTTTAATATCTTTATCATCCCAAAAATATTTGTCTCTTGGAACATTTTTGTCATCAGTGTTTTAATCTTTTTTTCATATAATTTCCACATCTGTGTCATGTTGGTGTTGACATTTGTTGGATTGCCTTTTTCTGTGCAAGTTGAATTTTTCTGATTCTTCATATGCTGCATAATATTGGATTTTATCCTAATATTATGAGACTTTGGATGTTGTTTAAATCCTGTTGAAAATAGGTATTCTTGTTTTAGTGGGGAACTGATCTAGTGAGTTTGGATCACAGTTTCTGCCATCTTTTTCTAGGTCGTAGTTTCAGTGTTACTTCTACTCTCAAAGGCTTTTCAGTGCTATTTGGATTTGACTCTTTCATGAGCCACTCATTAGTCAGTTGGGAGCTCGCTGGTGTCTATTTCTTAGTTCAGTTCTGAAAGTCTTTGGTACTGTATTAGTCCATTTTCACACTGCTGTAAAGAATTACCTGAGAGTGGGTAATTTATGAAGAAAAAATGTTTAATTGACTGTCAGTTCTGCATGGCTGTGGAGACCTCAGGAAACTTACAGTCATGGCAGAAAGTGAAGGGGAAGCAAGCGTCTACTTCACAAGGCAGCAGGAAAGAGAGAGAGAGCACAGAGGGGAAGCGTCACACTTTTAAACCATCAGGTCTCATGAGAACTCACCACTCTCACAAGAACCGCATGGGGGAAACCCCCATAATCCATTCACCTCCCAATTCGAGATGATATTTGGGTGGGGACACAGAGCCAAACCACATCAGATACTTTGAAAAGAACCATACCCACCCACACAAGTTCAGCTCAGGGGTGAGCGCCGTAGATTATGAACAACATTATGGAGGCATTTTCTGGAGCTCCTACCTGTCCATGATCTTCCTTATAGTTTTTCAAATTTCCTGGTTCACCTCTTTTTAGTCCTCTAGCTGGAGAGCTGGGCTTATTTCCCTCACTTGGCTTTGCACTGCCATGAATGTGCCCATATATGGGGCCAAGTCCTATGAGGACAGAGAAAATAAGAGCCAATTTTTGCCCTATCCTCTTGGAAACGCAGCTTCTTCAGTTAGAAAGTTTCCTTCCCTTAGATCTTTAGGCCCCTTGTGGCTGCTGCTGTCACTACCAGAATATTCCTTTCCTGCTCCTTGAGCCTGAAATAAAAGGACTTCTGGATGTCTGACTCCATCGATGCCCACTTCTTGGGTTTGCTGCTACGTTGAGTCCAGGCTGTGGATACCAGAGGGAAAAATGCTAAACTTACTGATGAGTCTGTGGCACTTTAGTATCTTTCCCCCAATCTGCCTCTTACTTTTTACTTTCCAGAGTTTTCTAATAGCTGATCCATACATTATGCTTAGGTTTTACATCTCTATTCAGTGGGAGAGGAAAGATGTTGTGAACTCATTTCATACCACCCCTGAATTGAAATAATCTGGGTAGTTTTAAGGCATGGCATTATCCTTATAATGAATACAATGGATTCTAGAGTAGGAATAGTTAAAAATTTATTTATTAAAGACAGAGTAGCTTAAGGGTCTTACCTTATAGATTTCCCCCCAACTTGCAAAATAAGTATTATCCCCTTTCATGAGGGCTTATGTATTAAATTCCTCCAACAGCACACAACTGGTAGCATAAGCAGGATTTGAACTCAGTTTTGCTAGCTCTAAGGCCCATTATTCTTCCAGTAGCACGTGCTGATTTCAGATAATAATCTTATTATCTGCAAGCATAAAGCTTATGATTTCCTTTCTTGGATAATGGTGATTGATGGCAGCCCTTAAATGGTGGAATTGGATCATCAAGTCCCAATAATAACAACCTAAGACAATTCATTGCTTTCTAAGCCTTTGTTCTTTCCCAGTGATTTGTGAAGGGGATGGCCACCTTCTATGGCTTGCAGCCCTGTCCTTTGGCAACACATCTGCCTTAGAAGCCTGACCCCTCACTCCAATTTTGCAGGTGACTATGATGGAAAAGAGACAGAGTTGAGGCTACTCGTGTTAAATGCAGTAACATAGTTAAGGAAAAGCAATCCATTCTGTAGTCATGAGAATGAAGGACACACAGCTAGCAGCTGAGATCCACAGAGGAATCCAGTGATGACTGTCACACCACTCCTGAAAAAAATGTGCCCAATAGCTGGTTGGAGCCAAAGGGTCTGATATATATTGGTCATTTTTAGAATAAAAAATGTTAACTCACCCAAGCATCTTTGTGTCCCATTTGGTGATGCCTTTGCATCTGTTTGTTTGTTTGTTGAGATGGAGTCTCACTCACTCTGTCGCCTTGGCTGGAGTGCAGTGGTGCAATCTCAGCTCACTACAACCTCCGCCTCCTAGGTTTAAGAGAGTCTCCCACCTCAGTTTCCCAAGTAGCTGGTATTACAGGTGTGCGCCATCACCCCCAACTAATTTTTGTATTTTTACTAGAGACGGGGTTTCACCGTGTTGGCCAGACTGGTCTCAAACTCCTGACCTCAAGTGATCCACCTGCCTTGGCCTCCCAAAGTGCTGGGATTATAGCCGTGAGCCACTGCACCCAGCCTCCTTTGCATCTGATGTCAAGAAAGTCCTAATGTATTCAGACAATAGAGAAAGGGGTGAATAAGACGATTAAGAGTACAAGATGGAAAGTGTTAACATTCTTGCAGAAGATACTAGGGCTCTGAAATCTCTGTCAGTAATTTAAAAAATCAAAGTGCAAGGTATGGAGCACTAAAACAGAAGTTAGGAGACCATATTAATTAGAATTCTTTCAGTGAGTAGTGTGAGAAACCATCTCAAATTGAGTTAAAGAGAAGAACAAAAATGTACTGACCTAACAAAATATATTGGCTATGTTTCCTCAGATTCTAGGAAGTAACTAGCTTCAGGTGTGTCTTGATCAAGCACACAGTAACATTAGGAATCTCGTCCTCTATGTAGTTTCCTCTGTGTTGGCTTTTTCCTCAACATGGCTCCCTATGCATGATGGCAATGATGGTTACCAGTAGCTCCTGGTTTTCATCCTAGCTAAGTAGTGATCCTACCAAAAAGATGACACCTCTTTCTCAATAATCCCAGAATAAGCTTTAAGTCTGATTCTCATTGCCTATTATTGACCCTACTTTAATGATATGTGTATTTTAACCATCTCTGCAGTCGTGAAGATTCATTTCTCTACCTGGACATGCCTGGATCATTTGGCTATTTCTGTACCTCCCTGGGAGAGACCAGCTTAACCTAAATTACAAGGGCTGAGAGGAAAGAGGAGGTGTCATCCAAAGGAAAATTAAGGTCTTATTGCCAACTAAATGCAGAGGGGAAGGGATTCTAGTTAGTAACTAGTTAGGAAAAGAAAACAATGAAAAAAAAAGAAAGAAAAAATAAAAATGTCTGCTGCATCTGCTGTCCAATACCAGCTCTGCTACTTACTAGTTCTGTGACCTTAAACAAATCCTTTCTTTCTCTGATCTTTTGTTTCTTCATATACCAAAGAGAAGGACGTGAACAGTAGGTTTAAGATCCTTTCCAGCTCTAAATATTCTTTGATTATGGATCATGTACACACAAATGCTCCTCAAATCCCATATCACAAACACCATCTTTACACCTAGAGCTTAAAGAAGGTAGTTTTAGAAAAAATGCAAGGAAAGGCTTCTTCCTAGAATTTATTGTTTGAAGAACATGGACTCTGAAGCTGACAGCTCAGGCTTTAGTGCCAGATTTCCAACAGGTCCTGCACTGTCTCATACAAATTGTGGTGCTTGGTATGAACAACAGGTTTCATAACAATACCTCCCTTCGAGAGTTGTGATGGAGAGTATGGCAGACAGCATTCCAAGACGGTCCCATGATTCCGACTGCCAGGCATCCTTGCCCTGTACGAGCCTTCCACATTTCTTTTCGTTACTTGGTGGAATTCCTTGAGTGAGGAGAAACCTGTGATTTGCTTCTAGCCAATGGAAAATGGCAAAGATGATGGGATAGTCACTCCTGTGTTTGTATTACATTATATAATGCCTCATCTTAGCCTGTGACTTGCTTCTAGCCAATAGAAAATGGAAAATATGATGGGATAATCACTCCTGTGTTTGTATTACATTATCTAAGGCTCCATCTTAGCCCACTGGAGCAAAAGATCCTCCCTATCATCTTGAAGAATTAAGCTGTCATGTTATGAGAGGCAGGGACCAATCACAGGGACTTGAGCCTGCAAATAAAGTCCTGGTTCTTCAACTATAAGGAAATGAATTCTACCAAGTCACTGAAAGGAATTTGAAGGTGGATGTTTCCCCATTGTCTTAGCCTGTTTTCTATTGCTTATAACAGAATACCTGACACTGGGAAATTTATGAGAAATAAACTTTATTTCTTATGGTTCTGGAGGCTGAGAAGTCCAAGGTCAAAGGGGGGCATCTGATGAGAGCCTTCTTGCTGATGGGAACTCTGAGCAGAGTCATGGTGGCACAGGCCATCACAAGGTGTCACAGGGCATCATGAAGTGGCACAGGGCATCACGAGGTGGAACAGGGCATGGCAAGGTAGCACAGGATGTCACGAGGTGGCACAGGATGTCCCATGGTGAGTAGCTGAGTATGCTAGCTCAGGTCTGTCTTCCTCTTCTTATAAAGCCACCAGTCTCACTCCCACGATAACCCATCAATCCATCAACCCACTAATCCATTAATTCATGAATGGGTCAATTAATTCTTTGAGGCAGAGGCTCTCATGACCCAATCACCTCTTAAGGGCACCACCTTTCAATCCTGCCACATTGGGGATCAAGTTTCAACACGAGCTTTGGAGGGGACACACATTTAAACCATAGCACCCTGTCAGTCCTCCAAATCGGAATGCAGCCTGGCTAATACCTTGAGTGTGGCCTTATGAAACCTTGAAGAGGAAAACCAGCTAAGCTCTGCCTGGGACTCTAACCCATGGAAAATGAGAGGTAGTACATGTTTGCTATTTTAAGATGCTAAGTTTGCGGTGATTTGTTATGCAGTAGTAGAAAATTAATACAAAGTGTTAATTAGATAATGCATGCAAAATGAATAACTTAGCAAGATGCCTGGCTAAGTATTCAATATTAGCTATTCTTCTTATTATAATGACAGAGTTTGGCATTGCAGACATAAGACAACACAATACTATAAATCTCTCTGTGACCTTCAGGGATGGCTTTCTGGGCTGGACAGACCATCTTTGCAGACATCTATACAGCCAAATGATGACCAAGCTGATGAGCCATTTACTTGAAATACAATTTATCATCATCTAGTTTCAGTGGAAACTAGTTTATAGTATAATGGAAACTGATCCAGAGTATTAGTATTGGAAAGGCACTAAGCTTATACAATAAGAAAGGAGATTGGGTGAGGAAGAACAGGTGTTTCTA
The DNA here is from genome assembly GCF_000001405.40 of Homo sapiens. Taxonomy (NCBI): domain Eukaryota; kingdom Metazoa; phylum Chordata; class Mammalia; order Primates; family Hominidae; genus Homo; species Homo sapiens. The sequence continues at coordinate 9,699,632 of NC_000016.10, forward strand.
ACAACTTGTTTTTAAAAAATCTATAATTGGGTTCATCTAGGCTCTGAAAGCTAAGAGAAAAGAAAATAACATTTATTGAGCACCTGCCAGATGGTCTCGAGTGCATTATTGTCTTTAATGTGAATAGTTTACAGGGAAGAAATTATCCTCTTTATTTCGCAAGTGAAGAGGATGAGCTCAAAGGTAGGTGACACACTCAGGGTCACCCAGGTCTAATCCACAGCTCTTGCTGACTTTGATAACTGGGAGACTCCTAGGAATCTACTATAATGGGACTGTAATATTTGTATTGAAAGGAATCTAGCTTATGAAAGAGGAAAATGAGAATGAATGAATAGGAATAAGAGCTAAAAAACCTTGATGTGGAAACTTTGACATTTGTCTCAACTCAGACGGATGATAGGTTTTCAAGAAAACAAACTTTAAAGGAGACAACGCGAGATATATCCACTTCTGAAGCCCCTAGTGGAAGCACATACCTTTCATTTTTAAAGAGTGAACATTCATCATTTTCCTGGGAGCCTCTATATTGATTTTTTTCTTCCAAATTTTTTGAATTGACCACTGAAAATTGAAATGCCAGAGGGTGTCTTTCTTTCTTTCTCTAATCTTGTATTAGAATGTTTTTACTCTAGCTTGTTCCAAACAGGACTTGAAGCAGTTATCAAAGATATATGCAATAGTTCAGAAATTATAACTAATTAATTAAGAAGATGCAAATAAAAAATCCAAACTACAAACAATAGAGTGAGGGAAGCAAGATTTGTTATACAAAATCTATGCCACGGGGTCCTGGACACTTGGTCTTGGTCAGCTGCAGATTTTCCTCTGTACTTCCTGATGTCCAACAGGAAAAGACAAAGACAGTAAATTGCAGGGAAAGAAATATATTTTTTTCAATCTTTATAAATTCCTAGGTGGAATGCATTTCTATAACAAAAGACAAATTAACAAGAGAAAAACAGAAGTGTATTAACATGTGTATTTCACATAGACAGGGGAGATACCCAAGGAAGGAGGATTCTTTAGAGAGATGTCTTTGAATTCTAGCTTAAATAGCATCTTCAACAAAGAACAGTAAGTTTTTTTTCCACCTGAAAAAAAAAACTCATGTATTAAAATATTAAACTTGCTCAGAATATTGGAAAAAGTTGCCTATTTCATAAGTTCTCGTTTGTTTGTGTCCCAAGTGTCTTGTCATTCCAGGCCACTCTAATTCTTGGGTATTAATAAACAGTTTGAGGTATAGTAAGTCCTCTAGATCAGATAAATAAAACTGAAGATAGTCAGAGTTCCCAAAAGGCAGGCACAGCGTAGTTAGGCAGGACCACAGGGGAAGCAGCAGGGTTGGTCAGGATGCAGAGGGAGGGGTACTCCGAGCAAGCACCTTTCCTGTGCTGCCTGACACGTTTGTGCCCTCCATTATCTACTCGTTCAGCGCACATTCACTGCCCACTGGGCCTGTTCCAGCGACCAAAGCACGCCAAGGGGAGAAGCAGGCAGAGATCTCCATTTCAGTGGGCTGACAGCCCACCAAGATGCCCGTGGTCCCACCCTTCAGAGAACCGTAAGTTTTTAGAGAAGCAGCAAGACAAAGAAAAAGAACATTGAGTCTCTACAGGAAGGTAAGTAGATGAAACACAGAGGCTAGTTCGCAAAGCTTGTTAATGTTGTTTCCTCTGGTACCATCTCCAGGCCAATGAGGGTCATAGGTATCTTCAGTGATTTACCTTTGTTCTCCCTGATTGAGAGGGGGAGTGGGACAATTTGTCTTCGTAAGTCTATGCCATGCTTTTGGTCAAATAGAAGGAAGAGCAGAGAGCTTTTCTGCGTTTGCCTTTTCTTAGTTGCTTTCACCTCAACAATCCTTCCTGTTTGGAGATGGTGTATGTTGATCTGCAACATACCCATTAGCTACGTAGCCATTAACAAAAACAAACAACACTGACAACTACCATTTATTGAGCACAAACTGAATACCGGTCCTCTACGTATATTATCTCATCTCATCTTCACAACAGCCCTGGAAGCTAGACAATATCTTACAAGTTTGCAGATGAAACAGAGGCCCACGTTTGCAGAGCTATCACGTGGTAAGGATGGAATTCATTCCCAGGTCCGATTCTTCCAAGACCTGCCCCCTTTCCCGTTGCACTTTGTGGCAGGCATCTTCTGTCAGCTGCTCTGGAGAAGCACTGCTTTTTCTCATACTAAAATCCAAAAATTTCTCCAAGGGCTCCTCAGAAGGAGGGCCCTGTGTAAGATAATGAGCTTTGCAAGAGCCTTAGAGCAAACACAAAAGCAAATTAAAGGGTGATTTCTCAGCCACCCTTACGGTTCTCTGAGGGGTGGGACCACGGGCATCTTGGTGGGCTGTCAGCCCATTGAAATGGAGATATCCGCCTGCTTCTCCCCTTGGCGTGCTTTGGTTGCTGGAACAGGCCCAGAGGGCAGTGAATGTGTGCTGAACGAGTAGATAACGGAGGGCACAAACGTGTCAGGCAGCACAGGCACGGTGGCTCACGCCTGTAATCCCAGCACTTTGGGAGGCCGAGGCAGGTGGATCACAAGGTCAGGAGTTCAATACCAGCCTGGCCAAGATGGTGAAAGCCCGTCTCTACTAAAAATACAAAAAAAAAAAAAAAAATTAGCCAGGTGTGGTGGTGGGTGCCTGGAATCCCAGCTACTTGGGAGGCTGAGGCAGAGAATTGCTTGAACCTGGGAGGCAGAGATTACAGTGACCTGAGATCGCACCACTGCACTCCAGCCTGGGTGACAGAGTGAGATTCCGTCTCAAAGGAAAAAAAAAATTGAAAGGATGATTTTTCACTTGGCTCCTACATACAGGTGGCTAGCATCATGCCAAGGTGAAGTTTGGCAAGAAAGCATCCTACAGGGGGATAACCATGACCTGATGGGACGTTCCTATTTTTCTTTTAAACATGCCAGTGTAAAACCATTCCAACAGAGACTTCTAGTCTATAGCACTCGGAGGCCTTAGCAATTGGAGTCCACGTTCTACCGCTGGTATCTGACTAGTGAACTCCTAAGAGGTCAGCCCTGCTTTAGTTAACACCTGCAGGGAGGTAATGAGCTGCAGCTTGGACTGAAGTAATTACCCACGTTAGAGACAGAGGGAGGCTGAGCGGGACCCATGTCAGCCAGACAATGAGCTGTTGAGAAAAAGGACTAACAAAGCGGGTGGTGGCAGGGAGGTGGTAGTGAGATGTGTTTGGGAGGCTGAATTTCTATCAAGCACATTTTTAATTAGGACTGAAACAGCTAAAAAAATTAACCAACACAAAACTCAAAACTTCATGTACAGTACTCCCGTAAGTACCAGACACATACAGTGATGTATAGTCACAATCTTGCCTTGATCCTACATCCTGGTACTTTTTAATGATGTATTTATGAAGTGCCTGCTATGCATACAGGACTAGGTTCTGGGATATAGTGTGAGTCCTGCCATCATGGACTCTTCCCTTTCTGGGGCGTCTGGGCTCTGCCTCTCACTTGAGCTGTGGAAAGCGAATCTCAGGAAGGGAGAGGGAAATTCACTTTGCCCCAGTGGATGAAGATTATGATGCCGAGCTTTCTTGTGTGCTGTGTAATTGACATCCATGAGCCTATTCCCTCGAAATTCTGAGGATGACAGATTACCCTGCTGGTGGGTAACTAAGGCCAGAACTAAAATTCAGTTCTCTCTGACTGTAAACCAAATTTATTCCACAGTAGTTCTCTGCTTCTTGACTTTTTGAAAGTCAAGAGGCTCAAGTCATTGGTTCATTAAGTGCATTAAAATGTTTCTCTTGAGTTATTTGTAACCTTCTCCCTTTTTTGGGCAAATCTCAAATGAAAATTGTAAACTAAAAATAAAATCCTAAACCCCCCAACCAACTAAACAGACCCCGCTTTTGGTGAGGGGGCCCTCAGAAAAACCTTAAAAACTGAATTCCCAGTCATGACCAGAAGGTTGGTTGGATATGCCTCACTATACCCCCTTTTTTTGGAGTTTAAGCACAACTGACCAGCATTAATGTTGAAATAGAGATTATAAGACTGACAGAATAGACTCTTCGTGGTAATAAGATACCAGATTATAAACAAGACCTAAGACCATGAGAAGCAAGGGTTAAGTCCTGCCCTACAAACCATAAAATCTTGTTAAATGTTTTGTTTTTTTCTTAAATCTAGTATAATGTGGCTTACTTTTTAACCTGACTCTGTTTTACCATCACATGATAGACAGCAGGCCTCCTTATCTTAATTTAAGCATTCCTTTGCACTGACTTTCAGTCTTTAGACAAAGCTGAACTCTTTCAACCAATTGCAAATTAAAGAATCTCTGAATCCACCTATAACCTGTAAGCCTCTGCTTCAAGATATCCTGCCTTTCAGTCCAAACCAACTTATACTTTCTCTATATTGATTTATGTCTTTGCCTGCAACTCCTGCCTCCTTAAAAATGTATAAAACTAAACCGTAACCTCACCATCCTGGGCACAGTTTTTCAAGGCTTCTTAGGTTTGTGTTTTCTCTGGGTTACAGTCACTCATATTGACTCAAAATAAACCTCTTTAAAATATTTTAGAGTTTGGCTTTTCTGTTAACAAAATGAAGCACCTGACCTTTGTTATACATATGCAATGTATCGCTGGTATACCAGTGGTTACTTTTGCAGCTACCTTGCCTCTTTGAATCCCCAGTGAGAAGTGGAGATTGAGACGGCAACCTTGATGTCAAAATACAACAGAAGCTCCAGAAGCAATGTTGCCACATTGCTCAAAGCAAATGCAAGCCTCTGAAGTCTGTATTGGAGGCAAATTTTCTCGTGTTGTTTGCACAACTAAAAGAAGACACCGAGGAGAAGCACAAGGCAACAGATGGGTGAAGGGGCAGCCTACAGCCCCACTGTGGAGAGGTCAGAAAACAAAACAGCAGACAGAGCTCAAAAAGATCCTTATCCCTGAAAGACAGCCCCACTCAGCCCTAGCCATTTCAAAGCCTCCTAGTGCCATTGAACTTGGTGAGGTTCCCAGAGGTACCAGGTTCTGAGGAATATTAATAAGTCAGGATTACCTGGGTATAACATTAATCATATCAAGGTTCAATATTAGTAAAACAGGATTCATATAGGGAAAAATTTTATTTTTCCTGCAATGTTTCTCCCTACTCACCAACATTCTGTTAGATATTTGATATTATCTCAAGGAAAATGGCAGAGAATGGGCATGCATTGACATACCTTTATTTTACTTTCATTCCTTTGGGCATTTCTATTACTCCAACTAATTGCTTAAAAATACTGTGCTAATTCCATTCATTCTTCAGATGAGCATGTAGCCCACTGATACAAAACAATAGAGGTTAACAAGACGTCTTCAAAGCTGAGTGCTGAAGATAGCAGTGGTGCTTTAAACTTTTGGAGCATCAAAGGAGAGCTTACCTGTGATCTCTTTTTTACATGGGTTACCATAGTGATGACAGGGCTTGGCTTGAGAGGAAACTGGATAATAATAAGGCTACCATTTTCAAAGAATTTACTGTATGCTAGACACTGTGCTTTTGCCCTGAATCCTCAGAGAGATTTCACCATCCGCCTTTTACAGATGAGGAAGCTGAGGCACAGGGGGTTAAGTATCTTGCACAAAGTCTTCCATCTAGAGAATGGCACAAACCAGGATTCAAATCCAGGCATTCTGACTCCAGAGCTGTCTCCAAAGCATCAATATTAGCTGCTTGGAAAAAGTGGTGAAATATGGAGATGCTTACAATATATATATTTTTTGAGATGGAGTCTCCCTCTGTTGCCCATGCTGGAGTGCAGTGGCGTGATCTTGGCTCACTGCGACCTCCACCTACTGAGTTCAAGCGATTCTCCTGCCTCAGCCTCCCGAGTGGCTGGGGCTACAGGCATGCACCACCACTCCCAGCTAATTTTTGTATTTTTAGTAGACACAGGGTTTCACTGTGTTGATCAGGCTGGTCTCGAACTCCTGACCTTGTAATCTGCCCACCTTGGCCACCCAAAGTGCTGGGATTATAGGCGTGAGCCACTGAGCCTGGCTGACGGTTATGATATTAGTGCATATTTGTCTTTCTGACTTCCGTGGCAGGATAAATATTCAATGAGCCTGTCCCTACCTTTGAAGGCAAAGGCAGTCTCTTATAAAGTTACCTTGGAACCATGAAGGGGCAGCTGTGAGTGAGGATGGTTCCACATACATACAACATCCTGTATCATGAAGAAAAGCTGGATTCTTCTCTGTTTCTAAAGGCAGAAATTCAGGAGGTCAGAAACTGGTTGGGCACAGAGGACAGTTGATGGAAGGATGAAGAAAAAGAGAATAAATGTTTTCGTTTCATGATAAACACATGTAAACATCGAACAACTATATGTAGAGGTTCACATGCATCACCTTTTTCTACAACTCAATGTCTGATTATTCAGGATCTACTCAAAGGTAATACTGTACTATATGACACAACCATTCTACTCCTAGGTATTTACCTAAGAAAAATAAAGGTTGAGGAATAAAAGTGAAATTCTAAGCTCCCCACCCACCTGAATGGACCCCATCTTGGCCAAGGGGACTCCAGAGAAACCTTAAAAACTGAGTACCTGGTTGTGATGGGATAGGAGGTTGAACATGCATTGTTACACTTTCTCCCTTGCTAACCACCATGAGGCTTTCTTTCCTAAGGGCTAAGCAGACACCAGCTCTTTTAAAAGACTTGCTGGACTCTACTCACTTTTTGTGGTTTTGACACAACAACCGACCAGCATTCCTTCCTGATAAGAGACCACAGACCATGGACTCATTCTGGCTGGTTTACAGAGGCTGCACATAGGATGACTCTGTGTCCTCCGTTTTACCTTTTGAAGTTTAAAGCCTAATTTTAATGCATTTAGATGTTAAGTCTCCACCCCAGTGTGAAAACGGGACATATGTAGCATGCATATTTGCTTACTACGCATGTGCACCCACCCTTTGTAAATATTCATAGCTCCTCCTATAACCTGTTGAATATGTGTGGCTAGCCAACTTGTTCAGCATAAATCCCTGTCCCATCTTTCCTTCCTCAACATGCCTGCTTTTGGTTTCTATCCAAGGCTACATTTCCCAGCCTATGAAATAGCCACGAGGTCAGGAGATCGAGATCATCCTGGCCAACATGGTGAAATCCCATCTCTACTAAAAATACAAAAATTAGCTGGGCATGGTGGCACATGCCTGCAGTTCCAGCTACTCGGGAGGCTGAAGCAGGAGAATTGCTTGAACCCAGGAGGTGGAGCTCACAGTGAGCCGAGATCGTGCCGCTGCACTCCGGCCTGGTGACAGAGCAAGACTCCATATCAAAAAAACAAACAAAAGAAATAAAGTTCTCCTCTCCAATAAAGCTTATGATTCTTCAGTTGACAAAATCTATATCTATATAAAGACTTTTACATGCATTTCTATAGCAGCTTTATTTGTAATAACCTCAGACTGAAAATAACCCAAATGTCCATTAACAAGTGACTGGATTAACACATTGTGTATCTATTATCCATCCAATGGAATGCTGTACAGCAATAAAAGGAATGAACTGTTGATACCCATAACAACATGGATGAATCTCAAAAGAATCATGCAAAGTGAAAGAAGCCAGAAAGAAGAGAGCACATGTTTTAGGAATCTATTGATATAAAATTCTACAAAATGCAAACTAACCTATAATGATGGAAAGCCAACCCATAATTTGCTCAGGGATGGGAGACAGGGAAGGTGGGGAGAATTATAAAGGGGCAAGAGGAAACTTTTTGAACTGATGCATATGTTCATTACCTGGATTATGGTGATGGCTTCACAAGTATATTTGCACGTCAAAACTTTTTCTATTGTGTACTTTAAACAATGTAGTTTATTGTGTGTCCATTATACCTCAATAAGCTGTCTAAAAAAGAGCAAATGAACATTTTGTTAGAGGAAACCTGCTTGTCAAGGCAAGGAGTTATGAAACCCCACATTACGATGGCGGAGTGAACCCAGGAGGTGGAGGTTGCAGTGAGCAACCTGGGTTTATTAATTCAGAATGATTAGGTGAGAGGAAATAGTCCCACCATGACAGGTGCATGAACATCACATCACAAAGGGTCTTGCAAACTCACCTACAGTATTCTGATTTTATCCCACAGCTTTGAGGAGCTACTAAAAAGAGTGATGTTTTCAGATTTGTCATTATTATGGGATGAACTGTGCCTCCCTGGAATTCATATGTTGAAGTCCTGACCTTTAACCTATCTTAGAATGTCAGTGTATTTGAAGATAGGGTCACTAAAGAGGCAAGTATGGTGAAGTAGTTATACCGGTGGACCTAAATACAATATGTCTGGTGTTCTTAGAAGAAGAAGAGATTAGGACATAGACATGCAGAGAGAAATGACCACGTGGAGATACAGGGAGAAGACAGCCATCAACAAACTAAGGAGAGGGGCCTCAGAAAAAAACAACTCTGGTCGACATTTTATCTTGGGCTTCCAGAACCGTGAGAAAATGCATTTCTGTTGTTTAACCCACCAAGTCTGTGGTACTTTGTTATGGCAGCCCCAGGAAACTAATACAGTCATCCAGGGAGGTCATGATGGCTGTGATGGGTAAAATGATGGGTCATGATGGCTGTCTCAGTAATCCAGCTGAGCTAGGGAGACCCAACCTGGACTGATGGGTTTGAGAGTTTTTCCTTTTTAGGACTTAATCTAGGAGATGATGCCAAGGTATATACTGAGAATGACTCCCAAGTTTCTGGCTTGATTGACTAAGAACTCCCTGCCAGAATCACAGCTGCATGAGGAAGAGTAGGTTTTGAAGGAAATAGACAACTATCGATTTTTGCCACATTGAGTTTGAGGCAATCATGGAATTTTCCCACTGGAGAGGTACAGTCAGTACTTGGAGACATGAACCTGGAGCCTGGCAGTCTATTCCAGCCTTGAGAGATAGACATGGAATCTTCCAGCTAAGAGCTTAGGACTGCAATCTGCAAGCAACAGGGAGCACTCCAGGGAGGTGGTGAGATTTGTGCTTTGGGGAGTTCATTTTTAATGGTGTAGAGAAAAAATTAGAACAAAGGGAAAAGATCAGACAGAGGGCCATAGCAGTAATCTAGTTGAAAGATGTGGAATACTGAACTAAGCCAATGGCCATGGGGAAGCAGAAGGAGATAAAAGTCAAGAGGCAGAGTTCAGAAGTGAGCAGTAAGGAGAAGGCAGATGAGAGGCAAAGAGTACGCTGCCATGGGGTGGGGGGCAGTGGGAAAATGCCGTCATGATTCAAAAGTTTCCATTGAAAACTCTTCACAGCTGATGAGACCTAGGTCAGGAGGCCAGAAGGTCTGGCTGCTGGGACAAAAGGCATGCTGGAAGTTTTGCAGCAAAACTCAAGAGTTCTTTTTCTTCCTTTCTCATAGTGGAATTTCTGTGTCCTTTAGCTGGGTAGTGTAGACTGCCAAGGGTCACCTGAGCAGGGAGAATACACATGCACTCACCAATAATTCAGTCAGCATGCTGCTCTTCCGATGATGTAATTCCACAGTCTCTTTAAGATCCTGCATTTACAACTCAGAGATCATTTGAAAGTCTCTTGCCACCCTCCTGCCTTCTGGGTTCTCAGTTTAATAAATGCTGCTTTCTTCCTTTGGAAAGTCTCCTTCATAAAGCAATTGGGAAACTGTCAGTTACTCACCAGACACGAAGGAGACCAAGAGAGCAGGCTAAGAATGTTCGGTACGCCTGGGTAAATGCCTTCCTTCCCCTTCTCCTGGAAGGAAACAGAAGCTCAGTATATCTGCTAGACACATTGCCACACAAAATAAACTCTCCGGGCATCTTTCTTTCCCAAGCCACCATTTTAAGGATGTGTCTTCCTAAATAGAGGCAAATGGATCTAATGAATGTGAAATGGACATAGAGCTCACATAGGGCTCTGCATTGAGCAATGGCCAAGCAGGATTACAGAACTCTGGTTTGCTCAAAAGGGAGGTGCTGGAGAAAAATGTAACCCTGTCTTGTCTGTTACCGAAACAGAGAGTTTGCATTTCTTTCTTGGGTTTTTAGAGCAAGGAAGGATTTTTAAATTTTATCTTCAAAGGCTTTGCATTTTATTTCTTTATTTTTTATTTATGCAAGTGTATGGGGTACATGAGAAAATTCATTACGTGTATATAATGTGCAGTGATTGAGTCAGGGTGTTCATGACCTTAGTACGATACTCTTCGGCTAAGCATAGTCATCCTATTCTGCTACCAAACCTTGAATTTATTCCTTTTACCTCACTGTACGCTTGTGCCCTTTTTTAAGCATTTATTTTAAGTTTAGGGGTACAGGGGCTGGTTTGTTACATAGGTAAATGTGTGTCATGGGGTTCGTTGTACAGATTATTTCATTACCCAGGTATTAAGCCTTATACCCATTAGTTATTTTTCCTGATCCTCTCCCTCCTCCCATCTTCCGCCTTCCACACAGGCCCCAGTGTGTGTTGTTCCACTCTATATGTCCATGTGTTCTCATCATTTAGCTCCCACTTATAAGCGAGAACATGCAGTATTTTGTTTTCTGTGCCTGCATTAGTTTGCTAAGGATAATGGCCTCCAGCCCCATCTATGTCCCTGCAGAGGACATGATCTTGTACTTTTTTACAGCTGTGTAGTATTCCATGGTGTTAAAAACTCTCTCAATAAACTAGGTGTTGAAGGAACACACCTCAAAATAGTAAGAGCCATATATGACAAACCCACAGCCAACATTGTATTGAATGGGCAAAAGCTGGAAGCAGTCCCCTTGAAAACTGGCACAAGACAAGGATGCCCTCTCTTACCACTCCTATTATAGTGTTGGAAATTCTGGCCAGGGCAATCAGGCAAAAGAAAGAAATAAAGGGTATCCGAATAAGAAGAGAGGAAGTCAAACTATCCCTGTTTGCAGACAACATGATTATATATTGAGAAAATGCCCCCATAGTCTCAGCCCAAAAGCTTCTTAAGCTGAGGAAGGATTTTTGATGTAATCTGTCAAGTCATCAACCAGTACAAGGCAAGGGGTTACAGAATTTCATGGTAGCACTTCAATTCTATGGGATGGAGAAGATGGAGAGAGTCAGAGAGGTGGGCAGATCCCAAACCACAAAAAGGGTGATGTGCTCACCTAAAGACATCTTAATTTTATCCTGAAAGCTTTAAAGAGAAGGTCATGGTAGCTGACATGGGTCAGATGAAGTCAGCCAAAAGGCAGGGAGACTTTAAAGTCCCAGGGGCTGAATCAAGGTGACAGGGAGGATTAGGGGTGAAGAAAGGACTAGTATGGGTATGGGAGGGTGCTGGCTCTCTATCTGAGGTCAGTCACTCCAACCCACTCACCTTCATGGCTTGGTTCTGAGCCTGCAGCTAATATTCCTTACTAGTGCTCTCTGGCTGAACCCCAAGAAATTAACCTTGCTAATGTTTTTTGGTTCTTGTTTTTTTTGTTGTTTGTTTGTTTGTTTGAGACGAGGTCTTGCTCTGTCACCCAGCTGAGGTGCAGTGGCATGATCATGGCTCACTGAAACCTCTTGGGCTCAAGCAATCTTCCCACCTCAGCCGCCCCAGTAGCTGGGACTATAGGAACACATCACCATGGCCAGCTAATTTGTATATTTTTTGTAAAGAAAGGATCTCACTATGTTGTCCGGGCTGGTATCAAACTCTTGGGCTCAAGTAATGCACCCCCTTCAGCCTCTCAAAGTGCTGGGATTATAGCATGAGCCACCTTGCCCTGCCAACACCTCTCTAATATTATCCTGTGACCTAGGCCCTATCAGTGCTAATACAGCTCTACTAACTGTTCCGTTCCTCAAAGCACCAAGTTTGTTTCTGCCTCAGGGCCTTTGCACATTCTGCTACCTCTGCCTAGAATGCACTTCTGGTTCACTCTTTCTCTGCAAATGCTGCCTCATCCTTCAAGATTCAGCATATATCGTATGTTTAAAACAGGTATTCCTGCCCCTACTCCTCCAGCCAAATTAGAGCCTCCCTCTTGTTTTTCTTAATAGCACATTTGGCAGTTTGAATTGGTCCACACTGAATTGCTAGCATTTATCCCAGTGCTTGGCATGGAGTCCATGCCCAATAAATATTTGTATGAACACTTGAGACCACGTATAAGAAATGTCATCAAAGGAGCTCTGGAGTATCAGAACAACTCTGTTAGAAAGAAGCCCCATTTAGTGAACTTTCGGGCTCCCCAAGGTCTTTGTTCAAATTCTAGCTCTACTCCTGAATGGCTATGTGGCCCCAGTAATGTTATCTAAGCTAGGAACCTCGGGTTTCTCATGAGTTGATTGCAAATATTTACTTTATTTGTACAGCTTTTCTGAGATTCAAATAAAAATACATTATATATCCATTTCTAGTATAGTGCCTGATAACTGTTAAGCGCTTGTAAAGATGAGTCCTCTTCCCAGCAACAAAGCAAAAGCTGTAATTGCATGGGAGATGGCTTCAACATGTGTAACTGTATTAGTCTGTTCTTGCATTGCTATAAGGAACTATCTGAAACTGGGTAATTTATGAAGATGAGAGGTTTAATTAACTTACAGTTCTGCAGGCTGTACAGGAAACATGGCTGGGGAGGCTTCAGGAAACTTACAATCATGGTGAAAGGTGAAGGGGAAGCAGGTACATCTTCGCATGGTGGAGCAGGAGAGAGAGAGCAAAGGGGAAAGTGCTGCACACTTTTAGACAACTAGATCTCGTGAGAACTCACTGTCACAAGAACAGCAAGGGGGAAGTCCGCCCCCATGATTCAGTCACCTCCCACCCTTCTCCAACATTGAGGATTACAATTTGACATGAGATGTCTGTGGGGACAAAGAGCCAAACCATATGAGCAACATTGACCTCGAAGCTTGGTGCCTGACTGTCTTGGTTTGAAACCCAAATCTGCCACTCACTATCTGAATGTTGTCAAGAAATGTACTCAGCTTCTCTGAGCCTCAGTTTCCTCAAATGCAAAATGTAGATCTTCATGGACCTCATAAGGCTACTATAGAATGCAATGCATGTATTTACATACCAAGCCCTTGAAGCAGCATCTGACACTTGACAAATGCTATGAAAGTTTCAGTGATGATTATTAATATGCTTAGAACAATGCCTGGTATATTGTAAGTATGTACTCATGTTATCTATGATTGATCAAATTTGCTTGAGTCTATTCAATGGGATTCATAAGCAATGAGAACTGATGGGATGGGGGGGGTCTCTGGCAGCTGGTGTTTGGAACTCTGACAATTCAGCACCCCAGCAGGTGGTGGCAGGGTGCTGTTGCTTTAAGAAGATATCAAAGTTGCTTTTCCTTTAAAACGTAAAAACTAGTGAGAATATCAATGCTTAGAATTGGGGCTTGGGATTCAGATTTATACCTTTCACTTGATGTGAAATGTTCTAATCTTGCAAATTGTAAGCACGTCTCCTCTTTGGAACATAATTTCACAGATATATATTAAGAGTGCCTATCTGGGAGGGTTTTTGTTTGTGAGTCTGTTTTAAGCATTTGAAAAATATTTAAGAGTTTGAGGCATCAGGGTAGCAAAGAACCCTTATTTTGCTTCTGGTATCTTACAGCACAGCTTCCCTCTGGGAAATAAAATGTGAACAATTTGGTGGCTGGTAACAGGGACAGGGCACCTCCATCTGGCTGGAATTGTTTTCCGGATTCTAACTAGTAAATTAGCACATGCTCTGACTGCCTGGGACATAATTCTCTTTAATGACTGGTTTCCTTTTGCACCTCAGAGCAGCTTGAAGAGAAAAATCAAAGGTGCCAAAGACCACTGACTGCAGTTTGCTGGGTTCTGACTTCTCAGGCATGAGAGATTGTACAGGGATAAAGAGAACTAAGGTCAGGAAAGCCCCTTATCCATGTTAAAGAGTGGAAGCTGCAGCCTGGGGTTGCCACCAGGCCACATAGTGGGTAAAGCAGCCCGGGCTGAGATTTGCTCCCAGGAAACTGTGGCCTGTGGGTCCAGGGATCTTTTCTCGGGGTCTGGGAGTCTTTGTTTATTGAAGAACCATTGTCCAACAGCTCAGGCTTACCTTGGCACACATAGGCCAACTGCATGTTCCTTCTTAGACACATTTTTCCTACCCAGAAATAATAAAGAAGCAGGGAAGACTTAAGATGAGAAAGCCAAGGTTCTTCCCCAATCACTGAAGGATGTAGAAACTACAGATAGAGGGTTAGGTCATTGACATGAAACCAGATAATTAATGACTGAGTAATGCAAAAAGTCATACACATAAACGTACTTATTCCCAATAGCCAGGGCCTTACATGGCCCACACCCCCGACCATCTTCTCTCTAACCTCATTCCCTTGCCTCCACCCCCTTGCTCAGTCTGGCCTTCTCACGGTTCCTCAGTCACCCCAGCGTGCTTCAGTCTCTGGGTCTTTGCCCTGCCTCTTCCCTCTACCCAGAATGCTCTACCTGCAAATATTCCATGGTTCACTCCCTCACGTCCTTCCTGTCTTTGTTCTGTTGTCTTCTTGGCAAGGCCTTCCATGACTACGCAACTTAAAACTGACACCCACTGTCAGTCCCAAACACACCCACCCCAGACCTTCCAATCTCCCTCTCCCCACTCTGCTTTTTCTTCTTCATTTCACTTACTGCCTTTCATGTAAATACTACATAACTTACTTATGCTTATTATATATTATCTGCCTCCTCCCACTAGAATGTAAACTGCACCAGGGTAGGAGTCTTTTTGTTCATTGATGTACACTGAGAACCCAGGCCATATCCAGTACAAGTAGGATTTCAATAAATACAGGAATGAATGAATATGGTGGTTTGCTTTACTTCCCCTTTGCCAGTCAATGGGACATCTATCTTTACTTATGCCAGTGACGGTGGGAGCCCTGTTTGTGTTCACCATGGTACCTCCAGTGCCCTGGAGCATTGTGTAACAAATGATTGTTAACTGACCTAGTTGGTTGAGAACCACTGGCCTAAGCCAGTCATGGAAATTCCATTTCTTTATTTAAAGTGATTGATGTAATAACTTAAGCATGTGACATAAATCTGGCCAATGGGCCCTGGAGCTAAGTCAGCTGGGAGTGGACTCTGAGAAAGCTTTTCTTCCACTGAGAAAAAGAACATAAGACATTTGTAATCTCTTCTATTCTCTGACCCTGAGTGTCATTGCCTCTGTGTGATGCCTGGAACTTTAGCAGCCATCTTGAGGCCATGAGGTAAGAAGGAACCCTGTCTGAGGATGGCAGATCAGAAATAGAGAAAGATAACGCCCTTACCATTGTGCTTTTTAAGTTTTCAATCCTGACCTGGAACCATCCTATCTGTCAACATCATATTATGTGAGATAACAAATGCTCTTGCTTTTTAAAAATTCACTTTTTTCTATTACCTACACAGAAATACAAGTAACATAGCAATCGTATATATGGCAAGTAATAACATGACAAATAACTAATTACAGCAAATTTTAAAAATTATATTGTCAGATGATGCCATATCCTTGGATGATAAAATACTGGCCAGACTTCTTCTGTAGGACTTCCAGTAGGACATGGATAGAAAGTTGCAGAAGAAGTGATATATGCAGTGTAATCTCTCTGCAGTCACACAAGGTAGGTCTGGTCCATAATCTACAAGGACAGTGCCATCCAGGAGTGGCAACAGCGTCTCTGTCGGTGTCCCTTTTCTAACTGGAAGAAAAACTTTCCAAGACTATTTCCAGCTTACTTAGCCTCCTGGCTTATTAGTCAGGTTTATGTCACATGCCCAAATCATGGCATCAGTCATTTGACCAAAAAAATGGAGTTTTCATAACTGGCTTAGATCAGTGGTTCTCAATCCTGGCAGCCCAGTAGAATTACAAATTGATGCTTATAAACCATGGTAGTGCCTGGTCCCCTGCATCACAAACCAGTTGAATCCAAACATTTGGAGGTGGGGCCTGGCCATTGGTGTGTTTTCCAAAGTTCTATTGGAGCTCCACAAATGGATAAGTTAGTCAAGATTCATATGCCTTCATAACCAGAACTGAGGATCTTAAATTACATGGCCTCTCAGAAGAGGTTGATCAAAATTGGGATTCCTCTAGAAAGCAGGAAGACGTGGTTAGTTGCTAGGTAGGCAACTGATAACAGTCGATTTTATAGATAAGGAAATTAAGGTTCAAGTATTCAAAGGAACTTGCAGAAGGTCACATTGATTATTTCTGAGCAGGAATGGATGCTAGCCTGGACTGTTTGACTCTGGAGACTATGGTCTTTATACCTCTTCTCTATCAGGTTTTCCATGTTGTCAGGAGAACTTTGCTTGTCCCATACCTTGTGGCCTTGATTCTGAAAACTTCTCATTTTGGAAGGTCAAGCAATTTCTCAAGTAATGAGCCTGACTTTGTGATGCCCTAGATGGCACTTTATAGTCAATCACTCATTTAATAACTCTTTATTGAACATTGAACATCTACAATGGGGAAGAAATTGCTTAGGTCATTGGGGATCTTATTATTTTGGTCATTAAGACAGGGAGAGCCTTGAGCTCATGGAGCTTTATATTTTATCAAAAAGACACCAAAAAATGAACAGATATCTGAAATAATTTCAGAGAGTGATAAATGCCATGGATAAAATACAACAGAATAATGTGATGGAGATAAACTGAAGCTGAGATGCCAATATATAGAGAGTAGTCTAGGAAGTTTGCTTTGGGGAAGGGACACTGCACCTGAGACTTGAATGGCTACATGGCAGCAAAACTTTCCAGGACATGGGAGCAGCCTTCCTGATTCAAGATGAACTTGGTGTGTTTGAGGAACAGGCAGGAGGCCTGGTGCCTGGAGTTAAAAAGTGATGGGTAACATGGTAAGAAATGGCATCAGAGGTGGGAACTTTGTCTCAGAAGTTGTAGTGAGCTGAGTGATGTTCCCCCCATAATATATGTTCACTCAGAACCTGTGAATGTGACCTTATTTGGAAAACGGTCTTTGCAGAGGATCTCAAGATGAGCTCATTCTGGATTAGACCCCAAATCCAATCACACGTGTCTTTATAGGAGAAGAAAAACAGACAAGACACACAGAGGAGAAGATGATATGAAGACGGAGGTGGAGATTGAAATGATGCATCTACAAGACAAGGAATGCCAAGAATTGACAGCAGGCAGCAGAAGCCAGGAGAGATGCATGAAACAGATTCTTCTTTGAATCCTCCAGAAGGAATCAACCTTGGTGACATCTTGATTTTGGATTTCTGGTTTCCAGGACTATTAGAAAATAAATTTCCATTGTTTTAGGTCATTATATTTGCTGTAATTTATTACAGCAGCCTCAGGAAACTAACACGGATGTCATGACTCAAAGAGTCCTCCATGGTTCTGCTCCAAACTGGTGTTACATGTCAGCACCGCATCCCACACCTGAGGAACCAGGGCAGGCTCTTACAAACTTGTTTCCTCCGAGAACATCTGCTTCTCCATTCTGAATGTTCTAGGAAATGTACAAGGGACCATCATTTTGTTGTAAGTCAATTCATTTGAATTTGTACCACTTGAAAAATTTACATCTGTATGTTTGAAAATTCAGTTCAATTGTTGAGCAAGCCTTGGCAGCCATCATTGCACCAAGTTTAATTATCTTTCTGGTATTATCAAGACTCAACATTAGCACTAATTGTGCTGGGTCCAACTCTAATGTCTTCAAATAATTATTAGCAATTGCTTATTATCTCTTTTGAAAACCCTAAATACATACCTATTTTTTAAGACGTTGGCTCATTGAGACTGGAAAGAACGCAGACTTCCATTCTTGGGGCTGATGTGAGTCAGAACATTGTTCAGGAAAATAAAAGTGTGTGGGTTTTTGGGTGCCAGTTTGAAATATTGACTGTGTTTCTTGATTGATTGGCTAAGCCTAGTTGGAATATCAAGCTTCAGTTTTCAGATGTGAGGCCCAAAATAAAATGTTTCACTTCGTTCTCTAAGCCACTTACTTGTCCCTCAGGTTTGCTTTTCCCTCATTTCTCAGACTCCTATTCTGCATACCTTAAAACATTTCTCCTCTGTTGCATTCAGAAGAAACAGAAGCCTCTCCTGTTGCAGACAGCCCTTCCCTCTACAGAGTAAGTTTCTCCTTTCCTCCCTAAATTACTAGGCTATACTAGAAGTCATCATTCATATTTTGCATAATTTCTACCCATTATTAATGCATCTATTCATGCTTCCATGAATCCATGCATTCATCCATATATGCATCCATGCATGTAGGCATTCTTCCAAGAATCCATGCATCCATCTACACATCCATGCATGTAGCCATGCATCTATCTGTTCATCCATGCATGTGGCAATGCATCACTGAATCCATGAATCCATGTATGTAGCCATATAGCCATGCATCCATAAGTCCATGAATCCATCTATACACACATGCATGTATCCATCAATTCTTTGTTCTCTGTTATTCCTTTTTCAAATAATCCTCCTTTACATTTCTATTTTATTTCCTTCCAAGACTTCTACTACATCTAGCTTCTAAAGCTCTTAAGTTAGTGACTATCATTCTATTTCTTTATCATCCCGTGATGATGTCAGAGAAACTCTTTGAGCCAATATTCTAGGTATCTATACTTTTATTTTTAAATCAAAAAGATCAACCCATCCACTGAGTTTTTATTTTGGAGTTTGACTAGAAGTTATGATTATAGTTTCCTTGTAACCTTTACTTGTTTCTCAGGATCCACACCATAGGAACTGTTTTTGGATGAGGTGAAGGTAGCTGCTCTCTGTAGGTTACCAGTCCAGATGACTAGCCCACAGGGGTGAACCTGTGTTGGGTGATGCTAACATGCTCAGGTGCTAGCCAGTCCACTCACACTCATTACAACTGGCCACGTCCCCTCATAGATAGTTCTACCCTGAAGATACACTACAGCTTGCAGAAGGTATTCCTGCTTCTTTGCCCCGCAATAGCACCCAGGATGGGTAATTGCCTTTATAGCTTGTCAGGAGGAGGAAAGAGCTTAATTAGGACTCTCTCCACCAGCACAATCCATGTCCACGAGCACTAGCACACTTATCTTCCAGGCCACCTTTTACCCTACACCAAGACTTAACTACATTTTGTTTTTCTATTGGTCTTTCACATATTTGAGTTTGGGATCTAGAGGTGCTCTGACATCTTTTGTCTTCCTCATGTCTCCCCTGGCACCTGCAATAGTGGAAGACAGCCATCAGCTATTGTAAGTTCACCACTTATCCATCTGCTCACCATTTACCCGAGGAAGACCATTCATTTAGGCAGTGGTCGGAAACTCACAACCTAAGGGCCTCACCCACTCACTCATCCTCTTTAATAATAAGCTAGTTGCCGGGTGCGGTGGCTCACGCCTGTAATCCCAGCACTTTGGGAGGCCATAGGCGGGTGGATAACGAGGTCAGGTGATCGAGATCATCCTGGCTAACACAGTGAAATCCCATTTCTACTAAAAATACAAAAAATTAGCTGGCCCTGGTGGCGGGCGCCTGTAGTCCCAGCTACTCGGGAGGCTGAGGCAGGAGAATGGAGTGAACCTGGGAGGGGGAGCTGGCAGTGAGCCGAGATCGCGCCACTGCACTCCAGCCTGGGTGACAGAGTGAGACTCCGTCTGAAAAAAAAAATATATAATAATGAGCTAGTTCACCATTTACTCATCTTCTTTAATCTTTGAGTTTTTCTGAAACATAAAAACAACACACCTCAAATTTATAGCCTTTCAGCAGGTAACATTTCTTAGCTAAATTTTTAATGGCATTGCCTTATTTTTATTGTATTTTGATGGGGAATATCTTCTACCTATGACATCTGCTACTATAAAAAGTGGTAACAAGTTTCCTTTTATAGCAGTATATGAAGTTTAATTTTGAAATGAAAAAATAAGAAAGACAGTAAGTAATAATGACAAAGGAAACACATGCAAAAATCACGAGCTGTTATGTGAATGACTGAATTTGAGAAACATGACTTTAGCTTTTTAAATCCTCATAACACTCCTTTCAGGTGGAGAATAATGTTCTTGTTTATAAGATGAACCAGTTGTAGTGAGGCTAAGAAACTGGCCCAAGCTACACACCTGCTTTTCAGTGTCAGGCCTTAAAGCAAAGTCAGAATGACTCCAGATTATGAACTCAACTTTCCCTCCAAGTGTTCTCCCTCTTGAGCTTCCATATGCATAAATGTGTAGATGGATGGATGCATGGATGCATGGCTACATGCATGGATGGACAGATGGAAGAATTTGGGAGTTAGCCAATTCTTGTCCTAAGTGATCAATCATAAATCTAAACTCTTAAATATAAGCAGGGAGAGAATTAGTGTTTAGGGCATTTTTGTGTATCGTGTGCTATTATTATCTCTGCCATGGTCACATTTGTAGCCCCATTTAATCCTCCCAATAATCTTAGGGAGGCACTGACCTGTGTGTTCCATTTCACAGATAAGGAAACTAAAGTCACAGAAGTAACTTTCCCAAGGCCACGTAGTAAATGACTGACCAGAATTGAACCCTGGTCTGTCCCCAAAGCTTAAGGTAGTTCAGTCTCATCATACTGCTCTCCAATAAAAGATAACTGATCATCCAACAAGTTTTAACATATCTGGCTTTATCCCATCTTTATAAGACAGGGTAGTGTCAAAAATGTTTTATAAAAACTTTCCTTCAAAACATACTTAAAAATTTACAAGGAGCTTAAAGGCTTCAGCTACAGTTTCCAGAAAAGTGAGCTTCCAGCTGCAGTGACTAGAGAAAAGTGATGAACTCTCAGTCTCCTCAAGTGTCAATGGGATGGGACTATGGACAGAATTGTGTTTCTCCAAAATGCGTAGGTTGAGGCCCTAGCCCCCAGTGTGACTATACTTGGACACAAGACGGTAGGAAGTAATTAAGGTTAAATGAGGCCATATGAGTGGGACCCAGATCTGATAGGGTTAGTGTCTTTATAAGAAGAGACAACACAGAGCTTTCTCTCCCTCTCTTTCTCTCCTCTCCCTCCCCGAAGGAAAGGCCCTGTGAGGACAAAGCAGCTGTGTGCAAACCAGGAACAGAGCTTCCCAGAAGCCAAATCCTGCTGGACCTTGATCTTGGACTTGCCAGCTCTCAGAACAGTGACAAAATAAATTTCCATTGTTTATAAGCTATTCAGTTGATGACATTTTGTTATGGCAGCCCAAGCAGACTAATACAGATGGCAGTTAACATTGAAGGTCCTATGTGATCAGATTAAAGCTCTATGTAAATGGGCAATAGCATAAGGGGTATTATTTCTCTGAAGGGCCCACTTTGGGCCTGGGTCAAGCTGGGGATGCAAAATATGTGACTCTATAGGCAGTAAAAAATGAAAACCCAGAAAAATCCCAGCAGGACACCCGTGGGTGTAAAGTGGGCTCCTTAGCATTGGAGATCATTTCTAGACAAGGCTCATGGTTGCCTCCTGCTTTGCTTTTTCTCTTCCCAAAGTGGAAATCGCCTTATTTGCTTTTTTTTCTGATTACAAAAATAACACATACTCTATATAAAAATAAGCCAGCAATTTTAAAAGGTAGAAAAAAGGACGTAAAAGCTGACATAGCCCCTCTGCTCGGCATGACTATCTGTACTGTGAAAATGTCACAGCCCACCCTTCCAGACCTAAATTTTTTGTTCATTTCCGTACATACTTATATACATAGAGATTGCATATGTGCTTTAAAATAAAAATCGGATTATATTATATCTGCAATTTCAAAACTTGCAATTTACAGTTGGGAAAAACCACCAGTATAACAAAAATTATCTCTGAAGCCAGCCTGCCTGGTTTAAATCCTAGTTCTGCCACTTATTAACCGGATAGCCTTGAGTTCTCTAGACTCAAATTCCTTTTCCAAAAGAATTGATAATAGTAGCTCTTATTTCCCATGGTTGTTTTAAAAATTAAATAACCTGATAGGTGAAAAATGTTTAGGACTATGCCTGGCATATAGTACATGCCATTGTAAGAATCTACAGCCAGGCGCGTTGGCTCACACCTGTAATCCCAGCACTTTGGGAAGCTGAGGCGAGTGGATCATAAGATCAGGAATTTGAGACCAGCCTGGTCAATATGGTGAAACCCCGTCTCTACTAAAGATACAAAAATTAGCCCGGTGTGGTGGCGGATGCCTGTAGTCTCAGCTACTTGGGAGGCTGAGGCAGGAGAATTGCTTGAACCAAGGAGTCAGAGATTGCAGTGAGCCAAAATCATGCCACTGCACTCTAGCCTGGAGGACAGAGTGATACTCCATCTCAAAAAAAAAAAAAAAAAAAAAAAAGAATCTACACACACACACACACACACACACACACACACCACACCTCATAGTCAATCCATTGCTTCAGATTATAAGTGTTCATTTGGTTCTCACATCTGCAGCTTGACTAGGCAATTTTGCTCATGTGGGACAGACTCGATTGATCCCTACTGGACATGGACATGAATCTATGGTCAACTGGCTGGTTGGCTGAGGCGGGCTGACATAGGATGCCTCACTCACATGCCTAGTGGTGGCTGGTTGTTGGCTGGATGGTGGGTGGTGGTGATGATGAGTCCCAAGTCACTCATCATTCAGCAAGCTATCCTGGATTTGTCCAAGAACAACAGTAGAAGCACACAAGACTTCTTGAGACCTTAGCTCAGAACAAGCACATGCTGTTAACCCTACTCCATGTTATTGACTACATAAAGCAAATCACAAGGCCAGCCCACATTCAAGGGGTGAGACCCAGAATCCACCCTTGATTAGAGAAGCTTTACAGTCACATTGCAAAGTTGTGGGTATAGGAAGTGATAAATACTTGGGGACATTTAAAAAAATCAATGTAGCATACACATGTTACAGATAAGGAAACTGAGGCTCAAAGAGGCCCAAGGCTCTGGAATTCTAGCCCAGGAGGGCTGAGCCCAGAGTTCAAGCTCTGGAATGCCACATCACACAAACAAGGGTAACAACTTCCCCTTTACCAGACCCCTGGGGATAGGATCACCTTTGCCTCACTGGTAGAGAGCACATAGAGAAAGCTACTAACTTTTTCTGCTTCTGAATCACTCAGTCTGCAAAATATCCTAGGATCTTCTCTCTTTCTCCTTCTCCTTTTCTTCCTCCCTGGGTTCAATTACGCACAGCCAGAGCTTCCAGAGTAGAGATAGCAGCAGCCTCCAAGCAAACAGCAAAGCATCCATTTATCATTCCTTCCTTTCCAGGTATTTTCTTCTGACTAAGGAGAGGAGTACTTTCCTATGCAATGTGAACCTCATATCCCCTCCCATCCTCTTTCTCCAATTCTAAGAGGTTGAAGTCCCATTCTTGTGAGAGATGTACTTCCTGGTCACACTCAGAGTCAGTCCACAGGGAGGAGAGTGTGATGGCTGATGGGGTGTGGAGCTGAACATACACTCCTTGTTGGTGCTGATTGAGAGTTATTTCTCTTTGCATCTGTGTCAAAGGGAATCAGGAAAGAGGCTTAGGTTTGCAGCAGGAGGAAGAGGAGGAGGAGACAGGGAAGAGAAGGAGGAGGAAAAAGGAAGAGGAGGAGGAGGAAGAGGAGGAGGAGAAGGAAGAAAAGGAGGAAAAGATGGAGAAATAGGAAGAGAAGGAGGAGGAGGAGAAAGAGGAAGAGGAGAAGAAGGGAGAACAGGAGGAGGAGAAGGAAGAGGAGGAGGAGGAGAAAGTGGAGGAGGAGGAAGAAAAGGAAGAGGAGGAGGAGAAAGAGAAGGAGGGAGAAGAGGAGGAGGAAAATGAATAGGAAGAAGGAGAAGAGGAGGAGGAAGAGAAAGAGAAGGAAGAGGATGACTACTTAACAAAAGAACCTAACTTGATCTTAAGATCTAGGGCATAAAGAGATACTGTGGCTTCTGCTTACCTAGATGGAAGTCTTTTATTGAATTCCAGGACCCCAACTTTCCTTTGGGAATCACTCCTACCACATATTCTATCTTTTGTCCATACTGACTGAGTACTTGAATCTATCTGTCTATGTCTGAAGCCAAATATTACTGGATAACTTAGGTAAATGAGCCAATACAGTGCCTCTCTCTCTCTCTCTCTCTCTCTCTCTCTCTCTCTCTCTCTCTCTCTGTCTCTCTGTCTCCTCGTGCAAGTTTAAGTTGGATTTCCATCAGTTGAATCCAGCAGTCCTACCTTGTACAAAAATTCATTCATAGCTCTATCATTCTTTCCTGATCATCCACAGTCAGAACTCCTTCTTTCTTTTATTATTATTATTATACTTTAGGTACTAGGGTACATGTACACAATGTGCAGGTTTGTTACATATGTATACATGTGCCATGTTGGTGTGCTGCACCCGTTAACTCATCATTTACATTAGGTATATCTCCTAATGCTGTCCCTCCCCACTCCCCCTACCCCACAACAGGCCCTGGTGTGTGATGTTCCCCACCCTGTGTCCAAGTGTTCTCATTGTTCAATTCCCACCTATGCGTGAGAACATGCGGTGTTTTGTTTTCTGTCCTTGCGATAGTTTGCTCAGAATGATGGTTTCCAGCTTCATCCATGTCCCTACAAAGGACATTAACTCATCCTTTTTATGGCTGCATAGTATTCCATGGTGTATATGTGCCACATTTTCTTAATCCAGTCTATCATTGTTGGACATTTGGGTTGGTTCCAAGTTTTTGCTATTGTGAATAGTGCTACAATAAACATACGTATGCATGTGTCTTTATAGCAGCATGATTTATAATCCTTTGGGTATATACCCAGTAATAGGATGGCTGAGTCAAATGGTATTTCTAGTTCTAGATCATTGAGGAATCGCCACACTGTCTTCACACAATGGTTGAACTAGTTTACAGTCCCACCAACAGTGTAAAAGTGTTCCTGTATCTCCACATCCTCTCCAGCACCTGTTGTTTCCTGACTTTTTAATAACCAGCATTCTAACTGGTGTGAGATGGTATCTCATTGTGGTTTTGACTTTTTAAAACCATAAAAACCCTGGAAGAAAACCTAGGTAATGCCATTCTGGACATAGGCATGGGCAAGGACTTCATGATTAAACACCAAAAGCAATAGCAACAAAAGACAAAATTGACAAATGGGATCTAATTAAAC
This sequence comes from Homo sapiens, assembly GCF_000001405.40. Classification (NCBI taxonomy): domain Eukaryota; kingdom Metazoa; phylum Chordata; class Mammalia; order Primates; family Hominidae; genus Homo; species Homo sapiens. The sequence goes on from NC_000016.10 coordinate 9,724,799, forward strand.
TAAAGAGCTTCCGCACAGCAAAAGAAACTACCATCAGAGTTAACAGGCAACCTACAGAATGGGAGAAAATTTTTACAATCTAGCCATCTGACTAAGGGCTAATATCCAGACTCTACAAAGAACTGAAACAAATTTAGAAGAAAAAATCAAACAACCCCATCAAAAAGTGGGCGAAGTATATGAACAGACACTTCTCAAAAGAAGACATTTATGCAGGCAACAGACACATGAAAAAATGCTCATCATCACTGGCCATCAGAGAAATGCGAATCAGAACTCCTTCTTTCTTCCCCAACTACCAAATAAAATTTCCATGCATATCAGTGAATGCAGAATCTAGTGGTGAGAATGGGGGCATGGCATAAGGAAATTGCTACCTGCTCTCACTGTAAGTCTGAGCAGCCGACAGCATCCTACTTCACACACACACACACACACACACACACACACACACACACACACACACACATCCCACACATGCACCTACACATCCTTGAAGTCAAGGTAAGATGAGTTTGGGTGAGCAGTTTCATGTTCCATGGAAGTCTAGAGCCCTTCCCAAGTTTTCAGGTTATTAGCTGGGGGACAGAGGAAAGGAAGTGGCTATGATTTCAAAGTCACCACTGACTTCAGGATCATGATTTTCTCAGGCTGCACCTGTTTCAGCCTACACTGCAGCAGTGTTAAATTCAGGCCCTTCTCACATACAAAGTCACACACACACACACACACACACACACACACGTAGAGAGAGAGAGATACAAAGCACTTATGAATGTAGTAAAATTGAATGAATACAAAGACAACTTAAAATGACTTAAAAACGACTTTAAGTAACATGCATCTTTTTTTTTCCCCAATGTATTAATAAACTCCCAAGAAAATTTCCACTGGCCATAGCCTCACATGAACTTGGCAACTCCTCATTTCCCTCCTTTTCATCTCTTCATCCCTCCCTCCCAGGAGCTCTGTACTCATTTCTCTCATTGTTCTACCCAAGGAGTGACTTTCCTCATCTCTCCCCCCACCTCCATCTCTCTCTGAACCACACCAATTTCCCCAGCCTCGCCTTCTACAACAAATGCCTCTCCAATGTATTATTTAAGATGCTAAAAGAAAATCAACTCCAGATTTTAAAATAATATTTTTACCTTAGTATGTCTGTGTAGAAAAACATCAGGTAGGAAATGCCCCCAACATAGCAGTGGCTGGTGGGATTACAGGTAATTTTTCTTTTTTCTTCAAATAAGGATATTTCTAACTAACCTCCAGTAGAAGATATATTACATCTTTGTATAAGAACCCCAGAAAAGGAAATGAAGGAGAGTAACACTTTTATTAGTAAACCCACCCAATGGGACTCACTGGTTATTCTTAGATTTGCAGAATCTGAGCTTTTTCTGATAACATATGGAACCCGGAAGTGACATCTAAGCCATCTGATTCTAGCCTCTCCTTCTGGAAGGACTTAAAGGACACTTTTTTTCTACTAAACTAATACTCAGTGATCAGAGAGGCTTAGCAGCTTCTCCAAGGTCACCCAACTGGAAAGAGGTAAAGCCAAGATTCAGAGTCAGCAATGTCTGACTCTAAAGACGATAGTTTTTTTTTTTCATTGCTGGAGATTCAGGGATCCCAGGTTGTGGAGAGGAAACCTATGGAGGCTGAAAAACACTTAGCCGGGTATCACTTGTGGTTTTTCACAATGCTCCCTAACCTCAGTGGTAACCTTTCAGGCATTGATATATGTTGCTTCACAATTCACAAGCTAGGCATCAACGTGCCTGAGAAAATACGCCTGGAATTCCCGACCACCTCCAGGAATATTTCACCTGTGTGAAATGATGCTGTGAGTGTCCTCAGAGCAATTATTTCTATAAAATGATGTAACTGAAACGTGGCCTTTTAAAAAGGAGTGTGATCAGGCTCAATTTGGATACAGTTATTTGAGACACTGAATCATCCAACTTTTATTAGACCCAGGAGATGGTCGCCATGGTTTTCTGCCTGGGAGTTTATGATCAAGTTTTGGGTTTTTTTCCCTCATTCTGAAGTAAAAAAAAAGGAGGTAATCTATAAACAATGTGTCTCCATCCTTGTGAATTACCTGTTAGATCTAGAAGAGGGAAATCAGTCATGTGCACAGCAGACCCCACACTGGGGAAGGCAGATTCCCCCTCCTCAACTTTCCCTGCAGGTTTTTGGATCCATTTTATCTTGGAAGGCAATTAACTAAGCATCAAAGCCCAAAGTGACAAGACCCTAATAATAACCATGGGGAAAACATGGTATTGTGTAGTCGCTAAGAACTTGAATCAGAATGTCTGAATTTATATTTATGCTCATTTTATCATTCATTTAGCAGACACTTTGTATATACCTACTATGTACCAGGCACTGTTATGGATGATGCTTGGAGCATAGCCGTCACTAAGGTGGGGTCCTTGCTTTTATAATGTTTCTGGTTGAGTTCACAAATAAATACAAAAAGAAGCAAGGACCTAATAGATGGCAGTGAGTGCTGTGGGGGTGACAGAGGGGCTGGGGGCTGCTTTTGTTGGGGTGGGGGATGGGGTCAGGGAAGTCCCCTCTTTGAAGGTGACTGTGAAGCTAAAACCTGAATGTAGAGAATGAACCAGTCATGGAAATTCCTAGGATGTGAATTCCCGGCAGACACTGCCGTTTACTAGTTGTGGCCTTGGGAAATGTCTGAACCTGTCTAGGACTCAGTGTTCTCATCTATTAAGTGGGGATAATGAAAGGCCGGTGCTAGGGTTGAATGTCATAGTCCATAGGAAGCCTCAGCACACTGGGCTAGGCTGAAGCATGAGAAATTGCTGATACAATTTTTGACGTACAAAATGGCCATGTTATGTAGTTCAGCTACATCTCTGTTTAATCAATGCCAACTGTTACTATTTATAACTACTGTTTATTGAGCACCTGCTAGTTTTCTTTCTCTTAATATTTTTTCTAATCCCTATAATTTGGCAAAGTACTCATTATGAGCTTCATTTTCTAGAAGAGGCTCAGAGAGGTAAATGATTTTCCCAGGGCCACAGGGTCAGTAACTGGGGCTGTCTGACCTCAAATAGTGAGTGCTGTTCTACTTTGCTCCCCTGGCCTTGGGGATCCCAGTGCAGCCCCCATGTCCAGAAAAGGCTTGCTGAAAATTTGTTGAGCAAACGGAAACTGATGCTTCCCTCCTATCCATGGGATGAGCAACGATGTTTTCAATAACCCCAAAGACTTCCTCAGCCATCTCATGCACTCATTTCTAATTTGGCATTTTTTTTTTCAAAGGCTAAGGAACTTTCTGCAGGTGGTGCTGTCACACATGAGCTGGGGTTTGTCAGAAGGTCAAGGTAGAAAACTCTAAGCCAGTGTTAATCCTGAATGCACATTGAAATCACCCAGGCAGTCTTAAAAAACTGTGATGTCTGGGTCCTGCTTCCAAGGATTCACATGTGATTGGACCAAGCATAGGTATTCTTTTAAGTTCCTCAGAAGATTCTATTGTGCAGCAAGATTGGAGAACCAGTGTCCTAAACAATTTATACCCAGGAAGCATTCAGCTAGGGCCACAGGGATCAAGGCACAGACAATAACTTGGGAGATAAGGAGTTACTCTCTTTGGTAAACAGTTCATATATTTCAAAGCTGAACCAGATCAGGACCAACACCCCAGAGCATTAGTTATCATTTTCTTCTCTGAACTCTACCCCAAGAGGTAGCAAAGGACAAAACAGTATATGCCTTGGTCAGAATGCAGACAGAAAACCTGTAACCCTGCTGTGTTTTTCGCTTGCCTTGTGGCCTTGGGCATATTGCAGAACCTCTCAGGGCCTCAGTATATGCAAAATACAGATAGTAAAACCTGCTGCACGAAGGTATTAGTCTCTCTCTTGCTCTCTCTGTCTCTCTCTCTCTCTCATATATATATATATATGTATATATATATGTATATATATATGTACACACACATATATATACACATATGATTGTTATATAAAATATATTTATATTTATTATATATTTGTTTTTTTAAAGTCCTTTTGTTATTATTATACTTTAAGTTTTAGGGTACATGTGCACAATGTGCAGGTTAGTTACATATGTATACATGTGCCATGCTGGTGTGCTGCAGCCATTAACTTGTCATTTAGCATTAGCTATATCTCCTAATGCTATCCCTCCCCCCTCCCCCCACCCCACAACAGTCCCCAGAGTGTGATGTTCCCCTTCCTGTGTCCATGTGTTCTCATTGTTCAATTCCCATCTATGAGTGAGAACATGTGGTGTTTGGTTTTTTGTCCTTGCGATAGTTTGCTGAGAATGATGATTTCCAATTTCATCCATGTCCCTACAAAGGACATGAACTCATCATTTTTTATGGCTGCATAGTATTCCATGATGTATATGTGCCACGTTTTCTTAATCCAGTCTATCATTGTTGGACATTTGGGTTGGTTCCAAGTCTTTGCTATTGTGAATAGTGCCGCAATAAACATACGTGTGCATGTGTCTTTATAGCAGCATGATTTATAGTCCTTTGGGTATATACCCAGTAATGGGATGGCTGGGTCAAATGGTATTTCTAGTTCTAGATCCCTGAGGAATCGCCACACTGACTTCCACAATGGTTGAACTAGTTTACAGTCCCACCAACAGTGTAAAAGTGTTCCTATTTCTCCACATCCTCTCCAGCACCTGTTGCTTCCTGACTTTTTAATGATTGCCATTCTAACTGGTGTGAGATGGTATCTCATTGTGGTTTTGATTTGCATTTCTCTCATGGCCAGAGATGATGAGCATTTTTTCATGTGTCTTTTGGCTGCATAAATGTCTTCTTTTGAGAAGTGTCTGTTCATATCCTTTGCCCACTTTTTGATGGGGTTGTTTTTTTCTTGTAAATTTGTTTGAGTTCATTGTAGATTCTGGATATTAGCCCTTTGTCAGATGACTAGGTTGCGAAAATTTTCTCCCGTTTTGTAGGTTGCCTGTTCGCTCTCATGGTAGTTTCTTTTGCTGTGCAGAAGCTCTTCAGTTTAATTAGATCCCATTTGTCAATTTTGGCTTTTGTTGCCATTGCTTTTGGTGTTTAGTCATGAAGTCCTTGCCCATGCCTATGTCCTGAATGGTAATGCCTAGGTTTTCTTCTAGGGTTTTTATGGTTTTAGGTCTAACATGTAAGTCTTTAATCCATCTTGAATTAATTTTTGTATAAGGTGTAAGGAAGGGATCCAGTTTCAGCTTTCTACATATGGCTAGGCAGTTTTCCCAGCACCATTTATTAAATAGGGAATCCTTTCCCCATTGCTTGTTTTTCTCAGGTTTTTCAAAGATCAGATAGTTGTAGATATGTGGCGTTATTTCTGAGGGCTCTGTTCTGTTCCATTGATCTATATCTCTGTTTTGGTACCAGTACCATGCTCTTTTGGTTAGTGTAGCCTTGTAGTATAGTTTGAAGTCAGGTAGTGTGATGCCTCCAGCTTTGTCCTTTTGGCTTAGGATTGACTTGGTGATGAGGGCTCTTTTTTGGTTCCATATGAACTTTAAAGTAGTTTTTTCCAATTCTGTGAAGAAAGTCATTGGTAGCTTGATGGGGATGGCATTGAATCTATAAATTACCTTGGGCAGTATGGCCATTTTCACATTATTGATTCTTCCTACCCATGAGCATGGAATGTTCTTCCATTTGTTTGTATCCTCTTTTATTTCATTGAGCAGTGGTTTGTAGTTCTCCTTGAAGAGGTCCTTCACATCCCTTGTAAGTTGGATTCCTAAGTATTTTATTCTCTTTGAAGCAATTGTGAATGGGAGTTCACTCATGATTTGGCTCTCTGTTTGTCTGCTATTGGTGTATAAGAATGCTTGTGATTTTTGTACATTGATTTTGTATCCTGAGACTTTGCTGAAGTTGCTTATCAGCTTAAGGAGATTTTGGGCTGAGACAATGGGGTTTTCTAGATATACAATCATGTCATCTGCAAACAGGGACAATTTGACTTCCTCTTTTCCTAATTGAATACCCTTTATTTCCTTCTCCTGCCTAATTGCCCTGGCCAGAACTTCCAACACTATGTTGAATAGGAGTGGTGAGAGAGGGCATCCCTGTCTTGTGCCAGTTTTCAAAGGGAATGCTTCCAGTTTTTGCCCATTCGGTATGATATTGGCTGTGGGTTTGTCATAGATAGCTCTTATTATTTTGAGATACGTCCCATCAATACCTAATTTATTGAGAGTTTTTAGCATGAAGGGTTGTTGAATTTTGTCAAAGGCCTTTTCTGCATCTACTGAGATAATCATGTGGTTTTTGTCTTTGGTTCTGTTTATATGCTGGATTCCATTTATTGATTTGCATATATTGAACCAGCCTTGCATCCCAGGGATGAAGCCCACTCGATCATGGTTGATAAGCTTTTTGATGTGCTGCTGGATTCGGTTTGCCAGTATTTTATTGAGGATTTTTGCATCAATGTTCACCAAGGATATTGGTCTAAAATTCTCTTTTTTGGTTGTGTCTCTGCCCGGCTTTGGTATCAGGATGATGCTGGCCTCATAAAATGAGTTAGGGAGGATTCCCTCTTTTTCTATTGATTGGAATAGTTTCAGAAGGAATGGTACCAGTTCCTCCTTGTACCTCTGGTAGAATTCAGCTGTGAATCCATCTGGTCCTGGACTCTTTTTGGTTGGTAATATTTGTATTAATATAGTTTATAATATGATATTTATTATATTTATTATACATGCTATATCATATTTAGTATCTATTGCATCTATGTATTACCTACCTTTAGTAAAGTGCCTGTCTTACACATGGTAAGTACTCAAATAATGATTGTTATTTTTTGAAAGATACAGCACTAATTATGAAGTACCTGCCTGTCCAATCGCTATTGTGGGTGCTCTTGGATATCATTTCACTTCATGCTCCCCATTGTCCTGGAGCTGGGTGTGATCTCTATCTTACAGATGAAGAAACTGAAGCTTTGGGAGGTTAACTGACTGCCAGGACCACATAGCTGGTAAACGATAAAGGTGGAAATTGGACTCGGGCATGACTTTCTACTCCACCGTGGAGCCTCTCAAAGATTCAACTTGAAATACGAAAACGGAAATGTCTTCCAGAGACTGACCAGGGCTCTTTGGATGGGGCAGCACCTACAGATAAAGGCATTTTTGTTGCCTTACTGGACACAATTTCTTGTGCTTTTTAAGGTTTCCAGTGAAAAAGGACAAAGGCAGAGGATGTTCCTTGTTAAACCCCACCGCTATCCCCACCAGTGCAGCCCATCTGCTGTAAATTGGTTTAAATACAGAACCCAGTCCAGGCTAGTGAAAGAGGAAAAGCACCGGATTAGGGAAAATGTCTGAATGTAGTTCGTTCTCACACTGCTATAAAGAACTGCCTGAGACTATGTCATTCATGAAGAGAAGAGATTTAACTGACTCACAGTTCCACAAGCTTAACAGGAATTATGACTTGGAGGCCTCAGAAAGCTTACAATCATGGCAGAAGGTGAAGGAGAAGCAAGTACGTCTTATCATGGTGGAGCAAGAGAGAGATAGCGAAGGAGAAAGTGCTGCACACTTTCAAACAACCAGATCTTGTGAGAACTCATTCACTATCACAAGAACAGTCAGGGGAAAGTCCGCTCCCGTGATCCAATCACCTCCTACCGGGCCCTCCCCTGACACATGGGGATGACCATCCCAGATGAGATTTGGGTAGGGACAAAAGCCAAACTATATCAATGTCTATATTTCATGTTCCTCAGAATCATCTTTGAGAGGCTTCAATAAGCGTTTTTACTCTTCCTTCAATAAGTTCTTAATAGGAGACTCCATTCAGTGTATACAGAAGGGGCCCAGAAATCTTCATTTTAACAGGAACCCCAGATGGTTTGATGCCCATGTTGACGAATGCTGCCCTAAGGGAAATGCCAAGCCCCACTGTAAAATGTATGCATCTTTCACTGCTTCTATAAACATTTACTGGGCACCTATTCTATGCCAGGAGCTATAGCAAGTGAGGAGATTAAGAGTGATAAAATGAACCCCATACCCCTGCCATGCCAGGATTCTGTTTAGTTTGTTTTCCTTAGTGCATGGGTATGAGGCCACAGTGGACTAATTTACCTTGGGTAAGTTACTTAATTTGTTGAGAAATCCTACTGCTTGTCCTCTATTTGCTTGGCACTGCACTGCACAGCACACTGGTTATGCAGGGGTGGATGTGAGAGACATGGCTTTGCTCTTGAGCAGCATGCATTGAAGTGGAAGAGAGACAGAGCAAGTGCACACAGAATCCACGTGATAACTTAAGAAAGAAAATTGTGGTCATGAAGCGGTGAGTAAATGGGAGTGGGGGCGGCTGGCCAGGCTTCATTGGCTTGTCTGCACGGTGAGCCATAACAAACAGTACCTTCATCATCGCTTACAGTGAGAATTACACTAAGCAATGGACCAAGGGCTGACTTCTGTGCTTGGCCCCTAATAGGTGCTCAATGACATTTAGTGCCCCAGGCTCTGTCTGGTGAGAGCTTATTTTGACAGCACTCAGTAAGTTTGGGGCCAAATGAAATTTTTGCCCTGCTGTGTAGCACATCTTGTTTGCATTGCCATATCTCACTTGAAAGTGGACACAGTTCAAAAAACCCGAATTCAGCTGACTTCTTCCAATATATTAATTTTCCTTTCCCCATAGGATGTCCTAGTTGTGTTCGAAGGTCAGGGATAGAAATTCCATACTATTTTCAGGTGATAGAAGTTGACAGGGCTATTTATTCACCATTTTGCATTCAAAGAGGCAATCATTGCCATTGTTATATAATCACCATCACCCTCAGTGTTTTCCAGCATGTTCACCAGAGCAGAAATCTTTGCATAGCTGGTTACCTGCACTATGAACCAGCGTATAGCTTGAACACAGTTGCATTTTCTCATTACACAGTCTTCTTTTCCTTCCTTGAGCTTATCATGTTCCATCTGCCCCAGGGCCTTTGCAGAGGCTTTTTGCTCCATCCAACATGATCTGCCCCAACCCTCTTCACCTGGTTAACTCCTGCTCAGCCTTTGTTTCATCACAGATGACTCTCTCAATCTCCTAGTCTGGATCAGACTATTACTGTTCTGTCCCATACCCATGTTCTTTCCTTCAGAAGTCTTACCATCCTTTGCAATCATATGCTGATTAGTGTGATTGTTTGGCTCTTCTCTGTTAGACTGGGAGCTCCATGAGGGCAGGGACAGTGGCTGCTGTCACTCACTATAAACTTCCCAAACTTTGGGTGGTGTTTGACTCATAGAAGATGCTTAATAAATATCAGTGAGGGGAAGGAAGGAAGGGAAAGAAAGAGGAAGGGAGGAAGGAAGGAGGGATAAACAAAAGGAAGGAAGAAAGAAGAAAGGGAGCAGACTCATGATTAACTAAAATGAAAGCCCCGGGCATTTAAAAATAAGATTCCTCCCTCTTGCTGTTTCGCCAGGAATTGTCCTTCAGGTCTTTGTGTCCTGAGATCATTAAACCAAGGATGACTCAAAATGACACAATTCATCTTTAACTGGCTCAACTGGCAACCGGGAGTTGAGCACCAGATGAACAGAGAACAGTTTTGTTGCTGTTAGTCAAAGATTTTTGGTTGACTGTGCCTCAGGGTCAAGCAGTTTGCCCATGGGATGCTCTGACCCTCTGTCTCTAGGCAGTTAGCTTATTAGAGCACTTAACGTATCGTGTAGTAATTGTCTATTTGCTTGTAAGTCTTCCCAACTAGATTTTAGGCATTCTGAGCACAAAGACTTTCATTCAGGGGGAATTCAGCTCCATATTCATCATTTCTATGCAATAAAGGAATGGGAACTGGATGGCTCGTTCTAAGGCTTGTAAGGGAGCACATTTGTAAAAATAGCAACAATCTCAGAGAAAGAGCTCCAGACAAAGAGGTCAGAATTGTTTAGTAAATAGAGGAATGAGGCTCCCTGGAAGCTCCCATTATCAAAAAGCTGAGAGATTACTTGAAACATTCCATTTGTTTTCACTAGCACAGGAGAGATGAACAGAGCAGAGAACACTGATAATGTGCACATTCACTTAAGCTGCAACTTACTCAATGAAGGGTAGGAGGAAAAGAGTGAGAACTATGTTAGATTGAGCGTCTATTGCGCACCCAGCATCATGCAGGCAGCATGGTGGGAATGTGACATGGTGCCATGAATAGGGGTGTTGGTTCTGGAGTTAGGATGACTTGGGTTCAAGTTCTGGTCCTGTAACTTCTTAGCCCTGTGACCCTAGAAAAGTTACTCAACTGGTCTATTTTTAGTTTTCTTACAAACAGAGGAAAATATGCTTACTTCACTAAGTCATAAGAAAGAATAATTAATGACTTCTCAATGAGCAAAAAGGAACCAATGACTATAACAGATAACATACAGAAAGTTCTTTCCATACTATATAGCTCGGTTGGCTTGGGAGAGTCTCTTTGAGAAGGTGACATTTACTTTGAGATCTAGAGAATGAATGGGAGTCAGTGGAGAAAGCAGAAGAGGAATCTTAGAAGATTAAATGCAGGTTGTATGACTATCACGACGTAGAGAAGACTGATATATTCAGAGAACTAAAGAATGGCCAGAGTGCCTGGCGTGCGGTGAAGAAGAGGGGTACCTAACTCAAGAAGAGCTTAAATCACATTGTACCTTAAAGGTCATTTGAGGAAGTTGGATTTTATTCTAGGGGCTGAGTAGGAAATAGGAAAAGGAAATAGAAACAGGAAAGAGGAAGGCAATCATTGCACTGGTGATGGTAGAAATGGAATGCAGTGGGTTGAGATAGGCAGGATGGAGCCACGGGATGGGGATGTGTGAGGCCAAGGGAGGAGAAGGTGATCGGAATGACTCCCTGCTCTCCTAGCTCTGGGCTAGGAAGATGGTGGCACCAACCTCTGCAATGGGGAAGGCTGCAAGATGAATAAATGGATATTGGGACGAGATCAGGATTTTAGTTTTAGAAGTGTTAAGTCTAAGATTGCTGTTAGATATCCAAGTGGAAATGTCAAGTAGGCAAATGAAAATTACAAGTCTGAATCTCACAAGGGAGGTCTAGATCAGAGATATATATTTTCGAGTTGTCAGCCTACAGATTGTATTGAATGCCATGAGACTGAGGGGGGATCTAGATAGAATAAAGGGAGAAAGAATACATTAAGAAAAAGAGATTGAATCTTACGTGCTCTGTAATTCAACACCTCTCCCCCAACACACATACACACACAGATACACAATATGGACAGTGAGCTGGAGAATACAGCTATTTGAATTCTGCCTCAGCCCTTGACAACCTTTGTAACTTTGACAAGTTACCCCACCTCTCCAAGCCCTGCTTCTATGATCATAAAATAAGAGAATGTTATAGCCCAAGGCTTTATGAGGATTAAAAATGATACATGTTAATGCCCCAATCACATCATAAGATCACTGCAAATGAGAGCAGGCTTCAGGGCTATTTTCCCTCCTAGGCCCCTCCCTGGTCCCTCAGCCTGTGTCCCTGACTCTACAATTCCTTGATTCTTACCACATTCTTTCCTAATCTCATTCCAAACTCCCAGCAGCAAAAGGCAGATCATTGATAACTCTCTGTGGAGTTTATTTGATTTCAGATATTCTTCCCCTTTCCTGCCTTCAAGTAATATCTGGCTCATCTAAGCAATCTCCAAACTTCTCATGTGGAAAGAAAAAATAGACTATTTGGGATGAGCCACTTTCTAAGCTGCATGCTAATAAGTGGCGCTCTTATTGTTATTATATTTGCTTTCAAATCAGCAAGAATTCTGATTAGATCGTATAGATGGGGACAATATTAGCCAGTGGCGTGGAGAATATAAAAGCTATTCTTAGAAAATCTCTCTCTTGATTAGTCCCTGGTGCCTATTGAATAGTTGTTGATGTCAGTAGATAATCTTGAGATGATGTCAGTGGATGTTTTGGGGAAGCTGTAGGAGAGAGAATGAGAACAAATGTGTTTCTGAAGAGTAGAGTATTATGCAAGTGTCTCTCATGTGGGCCATTCTCAACATCAGCATCTTTCAACCAGTACTTCCAACGTGTGACCTGCAGCAGGCACATCTTAAATACTGTGCGTGAGGCAGAGTGGAAGATGAGCTGAGAGCTCAGGTTCTAGGTCTGAGGTAGGTTGGACAGGACAGTCACAGCCTCCCTTAAAGGAGAATGCACTTGCTAAATAAAGGGAGAGAACAAACCACCCCACAGTGTACAAACCACATCCCAGGCTCATGGTTAGGACACCGTGCAGCAAGGAGGTAGAGGAGCAGAAGAGAGAATCTCCAAATTTGTGCAAGTGCAGAAACCCATCATTAGTGTGCTTGGGCTGATTTATGGACATGATAATATTTAAAAACACACCCCTGGGTAGGGATCTAAGATGCTAATGAGACATGTGATGTATATACTAGGATGTACAACCACAGAGCATTCACCGACAGAAAACCGCCCATAACATGCTACCTGACAACAACCCTTCCCATCCCTTTAGGAGTAATCATGAAAGCCTCCCATAAAGACAGTTACCTTAGCACGAGTCAGTGCTGTCTTGCCTTTGAGCAGCCTGCTCTGATCAGCTGTCAGAGTGTACTTTCACTTTGCAATTAACTTTCTTGCATACTTTTACTTTGGACTCACTCTCAAATTATTTTGTGCAGCAAAGTCAAGAACCTGGTCTGGTCCGGGAGCAACAGGCCTACACATCTTGGGTTCAAACATGGTCTCTCCCTTTCCTGCATGGAGACACTTAATCACTCTAGGCTTACATGTCTTTTTCTATCGCATGGAGGAAATAATACCACTTGCCTCAGAGCTTCGTTGCAAGGATTAAATGGGATGGCCCATGTAAAAGATTAAGGAGTTTAGTTGAGACCTGGTGACTGTCTCATAAATGTCAGTAATGTTTATCTTATTTAATTCACATGGCAGCCCTCTAAGGCAGGTGCTAATATCACCTCTTCCTCTCTCTCCTCTTTGCCAGCACACTCACACTGAGGTTCAAAGAGGTTAAAGGACTAATCTGAAGACCCAAGCGTAGCAAGTGGCTGACCTGGGATTTGAGGCTAAGCCTTCCCTACTCGAAGCCAGTGTTTTATCTGCTATATCCATAACCTTGAACAAGTGCCAGAAAATTAATGACTGAGCCGTCATGAAGACTTGGAACTGACTGAATGATAGTATTCTAGATGTGGGCGTATGGATGAATGGATAGGCCAAAGAACACGATTAACCCGAAGTTGTGGCTGCTGCGTTCAACAACTTGCATTTGCACCTTCAGTGAATACTCCTAGAAGTGCCACGACATGGCCCAGACACTGAAGTGAGCAAAAGTAGTAAGACGCAACACAAGTCTTTGCCCTTGTGAAGCTTACAATTTAGTGGAAGGGACTCAGACAATTCAAATAACGAACAAATAAATGTACAATGCAGAAAATAAAAGGTCCTTGTTATAAATACATATGAATTTCATTTTTAATTAAATAATTAATTTTTAGAGACAAGGTGTCACTCTGTCACCCAGGCTGGAGTGCAGTGGTGTGATCACAGCTCACTGCAGCCTCAACCTCCCCGGCTCAAGCAGTCCTCTCGCCTCAGTCTCCTGAGAAGCTGGGACTACAGAGATATGTTACCACGCCCGGCTAATTTTTTATTTTTAGAGATGGGGTTGTGCTGTGTTTCCCATGCTGGTCTCAAACTCCTGGCCTCAAATAATCCTGCCTCAGCCTCCCCAAATGCTGGGATTACAGGGGTGAGCCACCATGCCAGCCTAAATTTTATCATATATACACACACATCTATATAATAGGGACACACACACACCCCCCGTGAGTCCAAAATCTAGTATGAGGGTTCAGGGAAGGCTCTCCTAAGTAATTATACTTATTATTATGTAATAATAATTGTTAATACTTTTACAGCACTTACTATATGTCATACGCTTAGGGTTTTTTTATGCTTTACATGTTATCCTCACAATAGGTCTATTATTGCTGCTGTTATGCCCATTTTAGAGACAAAGAAACTGAGACACACAAAGGTTAAGTGTTTTATTTGCCCACGGCACACAGTTAGCAAATGGCAGAGCAGGACCAGGCAGTTGGCTGCTGAGCCGACACTCCTAATCAAGCTGAGGTCTGAAGCATGTACAGGTGTTAACGAGGCAAAGGACAGGGGTAGCATTGCTGCAGGCAGAACGGCAGACACATATTCCTTCTTGCAGCAGGAAGCGCAGAGAGCACTTGGGACCCAATACTGCTGCATGGAGCTGGAGCTCAGGGAGTTAGGAAAAGCGAGGTTAGAGGAGGTACTGAAAGAAAGGCAGAGGTGGACCATGAAGAGCCCATGGGCCCTTCATTGGGTTAATGATCCAGTGAGCTGTTCACCAAAACTAAGATTGGTTCGAAGAGAAGGAAATAGGGAGACATTTGACAACAGTTTGTGATGTAAAATGCCTTAATAGATGGTAGTTTAACTGGGTTAAGTATAAATTCCTGCAATTGGGTCCCAAATGTCCACTGTCCAAAAACATGATAGGGGTGTTACTTCTAATTAGAGCCTATAGGGGAGAAAGGCTTTGGGGTCTGAGTCAGCTGGAAATGCAATGTGTCTTATCTGCATGGCATGGCCGCCAAAAGATGCTTATCTCAGACTGTCTCCCCAGGAGGAGGGGACACATATCGTTGTCTCTTCTGAGATTATCAGAAGATGCCTAGAGTGTGACATATGCAATCCTGCGTGTCATACATTCAAAACTTTTACAGACCGCACTCAGTCTTAGTGGCGTTCGGGATGCTGACAAGGAAACATTTAGCATCAAGAACTTATTTTGTACTAGGCCTTGGCTAGGCTCTTCACACTTACAGCTTTTCTGTTTTTCTCCTGGGTTTATAACATGTCAACTCTGATGAGGGGACAGCAGCTCAAATGGTTAAGTGACTTATTGAAGGTGGTGCAGGAAACAAAAGGGGAATTTCAACTTTGGTTGGCCTGACTCAAAGGTTATACTTTTTCCACTCTACTACATTGTCTCTCTCAAGACGAAAGAGGAAGAGCTGATAAAATGGAAGGATAGTTAGCCTTAAAAGAGAAGACTTGGTGAAACTTGATATTTATCTTCTGGTTCTTGCCTCAGTTTCCTCATCTTTAAAATGGGGGTAATAATAGTACCTACCTCATAGGATTACTTTAGGGATGAACAGTGTAATTCAGGTAAAGGATTCAGTACTTTGTCTGCAAATAGCCCTTCAGAAAGTTAGCTTTTATTAGCATTGTTATTATTTCACTTGATGATGCTTTTGTTGTTAAAAGGGAAATGAAGTTATTCTAGGTGAGTCCAGAAGTTACCATAAAGGCAAATGGCCAATTTTAGAGAAGTTGGTTTCATCCTAATGGAGTTAGGAGGGTCTTTCAAACAGGTAGAAATGACCCGCCTTTGAAAGGAATAAACCCTGTAGAAGGAAGAGCCTCAGGAAGTGGTGAGCTCCCAGTCACAGGAGTTTCCCAAATCCAGGCTAGACAACCACTTGTAGAAATATAATTGGAAGGAGACCGGTGGCTCACGCCTGTAATCCCAGCACTTTGGGAGGCTGAGGCAGGCGGTCAGGAGTTCAAGACCAACCTGACCAACATGGTGAAACCCCGTCTCTACTAAAAATACAAAAAGTAGCTGGGCATGGTGGCTTGTGCCTATAATCCCAGCTACTCAGGAGGCTGAGGCAGGAGAATCGCTTGAACCCAGAAGGCAGAGTTTGCAGTGAGCCGAGATCACACCACTGCACTCCAGCCTGGTTAACAAAGTGAGAAGCCGTCTCAAAAAAAAAAAAAAAAAAAAAAAAAAAGAAGGAGATGTCATAGGAAGGATCTGCTCATCAAATTGAGTTATGCAACCTCTGGGTGCCCTTCAAAGTGAAAATCTGATTCTGTCCTCCCTACTTCTGCTCTGAAGTGACAACTTTTGTTGTGATGTAGAGTAGATCTAGGGCACCTGTTCCAAAAATAGCCAGAGAGTAAAGCAGGAGGCAGAGCTGGGGTTTTGTACATATCACCTTCCCCTTGGCACACTCCTCATGTGTGTTACTAGGCCAGATGGGAGCAGAGACTTGGGGAGCTATTCTGATCCACCCATGGACTTTCTGCAGCATCTCACCTTGAGCACACCCCACCCACTCAAGCTGACCCTGGGAGACCCAACTTCGTGGCTGTCCCAAAAGAAGGGCACCTCAACTCTGGCCAGGGCATCCACCCCAGGAACACTTGGCCTACCCTCTTCAAGATTCTGGTTTAGAATTTCAAGAAGTTATCACTATGAGAAGAAGGCTGGGCTTCTGCTCTTAAGAGCTTAAGGCAAATTCACCCTTGAGTCCTCATGTGGGAGATGAATTGACATTTAGGCACAATGAGAGCTCCTTAAATATAGGAATGAGATGTTATTCCTCTTTGTATTTCTCACAGCCTAGTACAGGGCCTAACACATAATACCTGCTCAATGAGTATGTAGTGAATGAACATGTGAGTTAATCAGCAAATATTTAAATGACAGAATCAATTTATTTATTCAACAAATACACATTTACTGGGGTTCAGATCAGCTTGATAGTTACATTAGAGGGTGCAAGTTAATACAATTTTTAGCATGTGACTACAGGAACAGAAAATATTTCCAGGCTAGAAAGACTTTGAAATTTTTTGGTGGGGGGAATAAAATTGATATTTACAGTTCTATGGCCAGGGCTTGGATGGAGGCAAGACATGTTCACACACAGCAAAAGATGAGAAAAAGAGAAATAGTTGAGCCACCTTGGATAAGTGAGGTTGGGCATATTTGGCCCTTTTCTCTACTCAGCTCTTTCTATATATACGGTGGTTTTAAAATAGAGGCACACATTCTTTGAGATGCCTCCCATTAATAGGTGAAGCTTAATTCCTTCTCCTTGAGTGTGGGCTGGACTTAGTAACTCACTTGACTAGAATATAATGAAAGAGCAAGTAGTTCACTTCTGAGACTGTTATAAAAGGTATTGTAGTTTTCTCTCTCTCTCTCTCTCTCTCTCATCACTTGCTTTTCCTAGACAAGCCAGATGTCATGTGCTTAGCACTCACAAGCAGCCCTATAGAGATGCCCATATGGTGAAGAACTGAGCCCTCTGGCCAACAGCCAGAAAGGAACTGGGGCCTCCTTCCAACAGCTTTGAGAGTGAGCTTGGAGGCAGATCTTCCAGCCCCAATTAAACCTTCAGATGACTGCAGCTCTAGTCAACATCTTGAATATAACCTAATGAGAGACCCTTAGCCAGACCACCCAAAGAAGCTGCTTTAAAATTCCTGACCCACGTTAAGATAATAAGCGTTTTTTGTTTGAAGCTAAGTTTTGGGAAAATTCATTTTGTAATGGTGGATAACTAATACAGAGCATCACCTCATTTTTGGTACCAAATGCTGTATTAGTCAGGATTCCATCAGAGAAGAATCACTGGAAAATATATTGATAGTCAGATAGAAGACAGATAGATTAGATAGATAGACACATAGAAAGCTCAATAGATAGTTTAGTTAGCTAGTTTAGTTAGCTAGATAGTAGTAGATACAGAGCTATAGATAGATGATAGAGATAGAGATAGATAGATAGATAGATAGATAGATAGATAGATAGATAGATAGATGATAGAGAGCTGATAGATTTGTTACAGGGATTTGACCTCATGCAATGGTGGGAGCTGATTAATCAATGTCTGTAGGGCTATTGTCTTCGGGTCCAATGCTGATGTTTGAAGACTGAAGTTATCGGGAAGAGCTGATTGATGTAAGGGGAAGGGAGAGAGCAAGGGCACCCGGATCCCATGAGAATGAGCTGGAATTCATGACAAGGGACTGGAACCCATGTCAGTTCTCACTGCTTCAAGTCTTGCTGATGTGGGTGCCCTGCTGCAGAGGTTGGTACCCTTTGTCACGGAGTTAAACACACACCTGGCCCAGGAGCTGGAGAAACTGAAGGAGGACCCAGTGGATGGCAGAACCAGTGTGGGTTGGCTTGCCACCTCACCAATGAGATGAGCCAGCACATACACAATGAGTGTGAGCTACAGAAGGGCCTGCCCCGACTGTCCAAGCATAAAAACAAATGGTTGCTTTTTCATTCCAAATCTCCAGTGAAAATATCTCTTGTGGCCTACTCTAATCAGAAGATTGACATGGCATGAATCCAACATACTATCTGTCATGGTCTTACCCACATCCACGATTTTAATTATGATCTGTGTCTTGATGACTTCTAAATTATCTTTAGCTCGATCCTTTGCCTGTAACTCAAAGAGACCATTATCTTTAAGGGGAACTTCACAGGAGCGGCAAGTAGACATATAAAGGGGCACACAACTTGCTGCACTGGAGAGCTTTTCCAAAACATTATGGGAGCTTAGAGGAGGGTGCCACTGGCTCTCTTTGGGGGAACCAATAAAGGATTCACAGAGGTGATGCGTGAGCCAGGCCTTAAGAGATAATTATGTATTTGCCAAATGGCTAAACAGTATTCATAAAGAAAACATTTTTAAGGACTTATTCAGGGGATGACAAAAGGTTTGTTGTGGCTGCATCAGCACCTGTGTGTGAGGTAGTGATGGGAGATGAGGTTAGAAAATTCGTATCAGCAAGAACAGACAAGGAAAGTCCTTGTCAGACATACCCAAGATTTGGGTCTTTAGGCAATGGGGAGCTGTCAAATAGCTTTCAGTTGCAGATGACATGGTCATAATTTTATTTTAGAACAATCACTCCATCAAGCATATGAAGAGAGAATTAAAGGTGGGTCAATACTGAAGGCAGGGAGACCTGTTATTAGATTGTCACAATCATTCATGTAGAAGAAGATGAGAGATGGAAATCAGGTAGTGGAAATGAAGAGCAGCAGGCACACGGGAGGATACAGGCAGATAAATTAGCCAGACTCGGGGAAGAAAGGAGAGAGAAGAGTCAAAGTGACTGCCAGGATTTTGTCCTGGAGACTAGGGGATGATGATGCTCTAATCTGAGAAAGAAAACTCTAGAAGAGAAAACAATAAGTGCGGGTGGAAGGGGGTGGGGGAGGATGCATTTGGTGTTGCATATGTTGGGTTTAGGGGTGCCTTCAAGATACCCAGGAGGCAGCTGAAACTACATATCTGTATATTCTTATTGCTTACCTTATCTTTGACAAATAAATGTGAGTTTCATGACTCTGAGCTTGATTCCTTGTAGCCAAACATCAAAAATACCCTAAATTAGGTGAGTGCTTTCTGGTGCTAATGGCAATATCAACACTCACACGTCTTCCTCTAAATGACTCTTCCCTGCAGCTTATGATGGAATGTGGGTTGTTAAGATGATGGGAGAGAATTGGGAAAGATGTAGAATTTGCTTTGCAGTTTTACCCACAATAGTGGATTTGGACTACCCAAGATTATAAAGTCTCCTGTGCATGCAGATTGCACTGAAATAGGCTCATGCCACCACATTACCTATCCCGATGATGTTTCTGCGCCTCGAAGTCATTAAAGTATGCTGTGGTTCTGTGAGCCAGATTGGACCCTGATTTCTTTCTGTTGTTCTGAGCATGCCAGGGGTGGGCATGGATAGTCACTTTCTTGAGCCACAGCATTATAATTTTCCAAGTGAGAAGTCTGTGTGCTTGTTTTTCATTGTGCTTGGTGATAGGAAAGACAGAGTGGGACCTGGGTGCTGTCTAATGAGGGATGACTGTCTCTTCATTTTTTTTTTTTTTTTTTTGAGACAGTGTCTTGTTCTGTTCCTGAGGCTGGAGTGCACTGGTGCAATCTCAGCTCACTGCAACCTCCGCCTCCCAGGTTCAAGCAATTCTCTGCCTCAGCTTCCCCAGTAGCTGGGATTACAGGCACCCCCTGCCATCATGCCTGGCTAATTTTTGTATTTTTAGTAGAGACAGGGTTTCACCATCTTGGCCAGGCTGGTCTTGAACTCCTGACCACGTGATCCACCTGCCTCAGCCTCCCAAAGTGCTGGGATTACAGGTGTGAGCCACCGCGCCCAGCCGACTGTCTCTTCATTCTATCTCTTGTTGCGCCTTCCTCTTCCTTGGCTCTTGTTTGCATTAGAGGCTCCAAGCAATCATAAGTAACGGGAGCCCTGAGTACACACAATGTCACCAGCTCCTGGGATCCCAGCCTTTAAAGTAGTGGCTGGGACTTCTTGTTGACTTTGGAAGAAATGGAAGAGGAGGAGGCTACTCTTTAGAAGGCAGGCCTGCCTGCAGTACTGCTGAGTTAAGAAGAGCAAGGCTGCTGTTTTTTCCTCAGGCAAGAAGAGAGACAGTGAGAGAAAGGCAAGAGAAAGAAAGAAAAGTTCTGAGACACTGTAGTGTGTCAGTGGGAGGTGGAGAATGGAAGAGAGTTGGACACTTCTTCAAGGGAAAGTAAAGAATTTCAAATAGAAAGTCACAGCACTGTCTGTTCTTGGCTTCTGCCAGCCTGTACACTGTATAGAAGTTTTTACCAAGCCAGAGTGCAGAAGGCTTTGCACATATGTCCTCAGAACTTTCAGCACCTTGGAGATTCCGGGAGTAAAAAATATGTGCCTCTTTTCTAACTGCTGTGTAAGAGATTGGTAAAGAAGGTTTTGCACATACCTGTCTGGAACCTTCAGAACCAACGGAAGCACAGAATTAGAGCCTGTGGCCACTTTTCCATCTACTTGAGAGAAAGGCCTGACCTATGGCCTCTAATTCATGGAAAATTCTCACCTTTGTGAAAAGACATGTTCCCAGGATTTCCAGGCACTGGAAGTTGCCTGGAAGTTGTTGTTTCTGTGGACATAACCTGAACACAACTGCTACGTTTTGGAACTAAAAAAAATTACAAAAGGAATTATCCTTTGTAGTATATAGTTAATAATACCTCTGTACAACCTCATGAAGCAGTCAGAAGTGGGGTAAATATCCTCATTTTACAGATATGTGTGAGAAGAATCAGAGAAGTAGAGTGACTGGACTAAAGTCACACAGCTTAGGATGTGGAGAACCCCCCAGGATTCCTGACTCTTCTTTCTGCTGCGTGTTTATTTTAAAATATTTATTGAGTCCTTACTGTGTACAAGGGATTAGGGACCGGGTGCAGTTTCTGCCTGCACTCTCTTGCAATCTAGGTAACAGTGAACATGACAGGAAAGGTACAAGATGATGGGATGTAGAGTCCAACTGACATGTGCTCACCTCCCAATCCCAGCTTCACAACGCCCACCTGATTCTATTGCCTTACGGATATCATTGCAACTCTCCAAGCCTTGGTTTCCTCATATGTAAAATGGCCAGGCAGGGTGGCTCATGCCTGTAATCCCAGCACTTTGGGAGGCTGAAGCAGGAGGATCACTTGAGCCGAGGAGTTCAAGATCAGCCTGGCAACACAGCGAGACCCCATCTCTACAAAAAATAAGAAATTAGTCGAGTGGGGTGGCACATGCCTGTGGTCTCAGCTGATCAGGAGGCTGAGGCAGGAGTAGTGCTTAAGCCCAGGGGTTCGAGGCTTCAGTGAGCTATATGATTGTGCCACTGCACTCTAGCCTGGACAACAGAAAAACCTGGTTTTATTTTTACTGAAAAAATAAAATAAATATTTTCTTTACTCAAAAAATAAAATAAATATTTTCTTTACTCAAAAAATAAAATATTTTCTTTACTCAAAAAATAAAATAAATATTTTCTTTACTCAAAAAATAAAATAAATATTTTCTTTACTCAAAAAATAGTTACTCAAAAAATAAAATAAATATCTTAGTTACTCAAAAAATAAAATAAATATCTTAGTTACTCAAAAAATAAAATAAATATTTTAGTTACTCAAAAAATATTTTAGTTACTCAAAAAATAAAATAAATATTTTTATTTGAGTAAAAATAAAATAAAATAAAATGGGGGTTATAATCCTTGCTGCAAAGGAGAGCTCCAAGGATATTTTTAAGGGTTCTTTTTAAAGGCGGGTTAGTTTAATGAACTTTGACAAATTTTGTCAGAACTCTAAGAAAAAAAGATAAATGACCCCAAAAACTCTATTACCAGCAGAAGACTACAGGATCTTGCAAGATAAAACTTTTTTTGGCTTTATCCTTGGAATTACTGCAAATTTGATGGGAAGTGAAAGCTTTTCCATCTCACAGGACCAGAACTGTCTGTTAATTAAATTTGCTCAACTCTATGGCCATTTGGCTTTAGACAGCAGAATCTTGGGGGACAAAAAAAGAATCAAGCCATCCTACATAGCCACATCACTGACAGAAGCACATGTCCCAAGTCCCAAGTATAAATCACTTCCCAATTAGGAAATAAGTATGGCCCCAAATGGGGCTACATGGGTGTTAAGGCGTCCCACAAATTGCTGATTAGTTTCATAGTAGCGATAGTATTTAGTGCCACTTCAGTTAATAGAAAAACGTGTTGAAAATGGCCCATCTTCAGCTGCTCCAAAGAAAAAGCTGAGGTTAAGGAGAAACTCAGAAGACAGGGAATGACACAAGAAAAAAGAAAAGCCTTTGTCCATGTCCTTGAAGGAGGTACTGTGCTGTAAAGAGTTCAAGGGCTGGGCACGGTGGCTCATGCCTGTAATCCTAGCACTTTGGGAGGCTGAGGCAGGTGGATCACCTGAGGTCAGGAGTTTGAGACCAGCCTGGCCAACATGGAGAAACCCCCGTCTCTACTAAAAATGCAAAAATTAGCTGGGTGTGGTGGTGCATGCCTATAGTCCCAACTACTAGCTCTGGGTGACAGAGCTAGACTCCATTTCAAAGAAAAAAAAAAAAAAAAAGGTTAGGGGGTGTTTCGGGGCATGGAGTCAGACCATCTGGGTTTGAGGCCTCCTTTCTCTGCCGCATATCAATTCAGTGATCTGGGCTGGGTCACTTTTATCTCTGAGTCTCAATTTCCTTATCCGTTACATGGAAGTAAATAAAAATTGCAATATAACCTGCCTCACAGGGCTCTTTTCTATAGCAACATAGAACAGCACACAAATGTTAGTTGCCATTGTGTTCTTATGATCCTCATACCTTATAGATTACTTATTTTGGGATCAAAGAAGTGTTTTCTTGTGCATGATGACATTTGCTTCATGATATAATTGATCTGCTGGCCCTGTGGTAGACACACAGGTTGTAGTTTGAAGTGTGTTGAATCAGGAAAGACTCTTGAATCTGAGCTTTTGTTTGGTTGGAAGGATTTAATGTTATGATGTTTGTGAACCTGGCTCAGACTGGTACATAGTAAGTATTCAAGAAATGTTGATTTTCTTTACCCATCTCAGCACCTGGTGCCAGATTCAATCCTGAAGGCTTGATTGCTAAGATCTGAGCAAGCTTGAATGACATATACCCTTTCTCCCAGCTTCAGTTTCCCCATCTATAACGAGAGGGGATGAGAGGGGGCAGAATTCATTACAGTCTGGGCCAGGTAGAAAAACAAGAAAGGGGGCTCCTGGATACCATGTGTCTTCTCATTATTTCATAACCCTTATAAAACCATCCATTTCTGTGAAAGTCTGAGGCTCCTAAACCTAGAAAGATTTTGAGACCTATGCTTGAGGCACCATCTACCTTACTGTCTTTAAGGACCACAAACCCTGATTCTTAGGGACTCCCACTTGATTATTACTCACCGAGCTCTATCTTCATGATCTTCCAACAAATCAGCATTTCTGGAAGTTACAACTCTGCCCCAGAAAAACTTCCCTAGATCAAATCTTTCCATGGGTGAAAGCTATTTGCCACACAGTGCGACTGACAATCTATCCCATTCCTGCCCTTACCATGAACACAGGGGCAGCGCCCCACTAGAAACTCTCTCAAGGGTCTTCTCCACTCCATCAGGTTAGCTCAGACTTAGAGAAGGGTCTACTGCAAGGGCTTGGATCTTCCACAGCCTCGGGGAAGAGGGTCTGCCTTGTTGAGGCAGAAGGAAGGCAGCGACTTCTTCAAACTAGAGCAGCCGCCATTTCTTCCCAGAAGGCTGTGGGACTTGGCGGCCACTGGGGGGCTCCTGAAGAGGAGCATCCCTAGCCTTACCTAACTGCAAGGAGGCTGCGATCCAGCCCAGGCCCCAAGAAGAAGAGTCTCTATGCGAAGCCACCATCGTCTTAAAGGTTCAGAAGTGACCCCTAGACTGTAATCTCCCAAAGAATGGGGCTTTGTACAGAGTAAGTACACAGTGCGTGTGTGGATTTTGAGAGAATGAGAGACTTGGTTTTCCCCCTAGTTCCACTGCCTCTCAGAAAACAGAGAGAGTTTTGGCTGCCAGAGCCAGGTATTGCGGTCTCGTATGTGACTTTCTGGACTCTGTTACTATTTCAGCGGGGTCCCCATGAACCCTTTTGTATGTGTCCTGGGTTCATATGGGTTGGTATACAAGGCATCCTTCCTAAACTGCCCTTTGGATATCCTTGGGAAGATTAAAGAGATTAGGGGAAAAACTGAGGAGACGTGAAGGATATTTTTAACCCATCATTGAGAATATACTTTTAGTTACCATGATGCAGGGCCCTAATTCTGAAGGAAAAAGTGTAACTTGCCACATGGGAAGTGCCCAGGAGCAAGGTGGGATGAGCTTGGAGGCTAGGAGCTACTTATCCTAATCAACGACATTCTATTCACCCAACCTTCATGCATTCATACTTTCATGTATTTAGCCACATATCCAGTCATGTAGTTATCCTTTCCCTCTCTCTGTCCACTCATTCATCCAATCAATTTTTCATCCATCAACTATTACGTATTGATCCATTCATCCATTTGTTCATGCAACATTTACTGGATACCCACCATGTATCAGACACTGCTGGTGTTTGAACAGTGAATGAGATACATCAAGTCACTATTCTTATTCAGTGAAGAAGACGTACAATGAACAAATACACATAAATATATGATAAAATTACAGATAGTGTTAAGTGCTATAAGGACAAAGTATGGTATGGGAATAGAGAGTGATGGGGGAGATTCTATTTAAGATAGTGTGGCCAGATTGGGCACAATGACTCATACCTGTAATCTCAGCACTTTGGGAGACGGGGGGATCACTTGAGCTCAGGAGTTCGAGGCCAGCCTGGGCAACATAATGAGGCCTCATCTCTAGTAAAACTTAACAGAAAAAAAAAAAAAAAAAAGGTGTGGTGATGCATGCCTGTAGTCCCAGCTACTCAGGAGGCTGAGGTGGGAGGATTGCTTGAGCCTGGGGGTTCGAGGCTGCAGTGAGCTCTGATCGTGCTGCCGCACTCCAGCCTGGGTGATAGAGTGAGACCCAGTATGAAACAAAAAAAAAAAGTGTGGTCAGACAGTGCCTTCCTGAGATGACATTTAAACAGATCTTTAGGTATAATAAAGGAGGAAAGCACAGAAATACCTAGGGGTAGAGTTACAGGGAGAGGCAGTTGCAAGTACCAAGACCCCAAATTGCCTCTGTTTGAAATGAGAGAAGGTCGGTGTGGCTGGATCTTAACGAGTGTGGTGCAGAATGATAGTAGACGACATGGAAGATGAGGCAGACCAATTGGCACCCTGAGGTCATAGGGAAGAATTTGGATTTTATTCTGATTGTGATGGAAAGATACTAAAGGCCTGAGAGTAGATGAATAATATCATCTAATTGATGTTTTAAAAGACTGCCCTGTCTTCTGTCTGGAGAATGGATAAGAAGGAAGCCAGGGGAGAGGCAGGCAGATGGGTTAGAAAGCTGTTGCAGTAGTATAAATCAGAGATGATGGATTGGAGTGATGGGGAAGGAGTAATGAGAAATAGATGGGTCTTGAATGTATTTTAAAGGTCATGAAGGCCAGACGCGGTGCCTCATGCCTGTAATCCCAGCACTTTGGGAGGCCAAGGTGGGTGGACCACTTGGGATCAGGAGTTTGAGACCAGCCTGAACATGGTGAAACCCCGTCTCTACTAAAAATACAAAAAATTAGCCAGGCGTGGTGGTGCATGCCTGTAATCCCGGCTACTCGGGAGACTGAGACAGGCGAATTGCTTGAACCTGGGATGTGGAGGTTGCAGTGAGCCAAGATTGGGCCATTGCACTCCAGCCTGGGTGACAGAGTGAGATTTCATCTCAATAAATAAATAAATAAATAAATAAATAAATAAATAAATAAATAAATGTATGTCTTGAAGACCTGTGATTGGATATGAAGGGGAATAGAGGAGGGAAGAATCACTAACAGCCGTTTGGCCTGAGATATCAGGTCAATAGCCATGCAGTTTCCCGAGATGAGGAACAATGGCAGAGGACCAGATTTGTGTTGGGAGGATGGGATGTCCACAGTACTTTCCAAGATATCTTAGGTCTTGGGTGTCTTTAAGATCTCTCAGTGGAAATATGGATGGGAGTATAGAGCTTATGGAGAAAGTTGAATCCGAATATAAAAATGTGGGGGTAATCAGTGGCATTTAAAGTCACAGGACTGAGTAAAATAAGCTAGGTAGAAGAGTACCATAAGCTAAGAACTGATTCCAAAGCACTCCATCTATCCACCACCCACCAGCCATCCACTCTCTCATCTAGCTATCCTTCTACTTATCCAAAAAATGCTTAGTATCACATGATGTGCTGGGTGCTAGGATTTAAAGGTGAACAATTTTATGGCCCCTGTTTTGGAAAAGCTCGCATTCTAAGGAAAAGTAGCACACCTAAAAATGCAGTAAAGCTCGATGCATTATATAACAGAGGTGTGTACATGGGGCTATGGATCGTGGAGAAGTCAACTGTCAATCATGCTTCTGGAGGAAGCCTGGAAAGACTAAGAAGAGGTTTATCTTTAAAATAGACCATAAAAAAGAATTAAGCATTGATAAGGAGACCAGCATTCCAGGAAGAAAGAACAGCATCAGCAAAAGCATGGAGTATGAGAGCTCATGGTGTCCTTGGGGAAGGGCAAAAATATCTTTGATTCGGATACAGCATAAGATACGTGGTAGAAAGGGTATGGCAGGGGTTGGAATGGCTTTGTGCACTATGGCAAGGAATTGGGCTTTCCCTGTGGGTCATGGGGGACCAAGCTGAAGGTTTTAAGTCAAGGAGAGGTGGAACTAACATGGTCAGATTTGGGTTGTAGAAATGTCACTTGATCTGAAGACAGGGGTTGTCAAACCAAACTCAAATCTGGGTTTAGTAAAGAGAGACTTTATTCAAAAGGATTATTGCAGAGGGAGGGAGAAAGGGATTCTTCCAATAGAGGGAGAGGGCCTATTGCAATCGGGAGAATGCTCTGACAATAGATTTGCAAGCATCTCAGGGTTAGACAAAAGGGTTTTTCTTCTACAGGGAGGAGTAAACAAAGCTAGAAAGAACAGGTTATAGGAAAGTGAGATGAACAGGAGAGGCACAATTGGTCAGAAGGTGGATAGATGGGGAATTTAAGACTCGCTATTCCCAGAAGGAGCTGTTAGGGAGAGGTTTTAGGCTGGCTCGGGCTGAGGTTTGGCCAGAGTTCAAGGACCTGGAGAAGGAGGGAACCTTACTCAACGTTTGGTTAACAAGCATTTTCTTCCAACTGATCAGTGGGGTTCAAAATTTCAGTTAATCACTTATGAGGCAAAGAATAGGCATTTGGAGGGCCTGTGTCTGGCCTTGGTATGGGTAAAGAAGGGGGGAGCATCTGTGAATCTTACCTAAGTCATATAGGTAAGATTCCTGTTCTTGCCACTCCTGTACATCTCGCTTTCCTATACCTTGTTCTTTCTAGCTTTATTTACTTCTCCCTGTAAAAGAAAAACCCTTTTGCCTAACCCTGAGATGCTTGCAGACCTATTGTCAGAGATTTCTCCCTATTGCAATAGTTCCCCTCCCCCTATTGCAAGAATCCCCTTTTCCCTCTTGCCATAAGGGTGCTTCTTGGTAAAGGTCAACATTATCAGGGTCAAGGCTACAAGTACAGGAACTGCACGGGAAGACGAGATCTAGGTATGGGACAGTGGCTAAGCTTTTGGCTGAAATCCTGAAGCCAAGCCAAGAATTGTCCTGAATTCTGTGCCTCCCTCTACCCTCTCCCCTTGCACAAAGTGGGGAACTCAAGTTATTTCCCCTTTGTACAAACATTAAGTCTGCCTGAAACATTAGCAATTGATATGGTTGGGGTATTTGTCCCCTTCAAATCTCATGCTGAAATGTGATCACCAGAAGTTGGAGCCTAGTGGGATATGTTTGGGTCATGGAGGCGGATCCCTCATGAATGGCTTGGTGTCCACCCTATGGTAATGAGTGAGTTGTCTGTTAGTTCAGGAGAGAGCTGGTTGTTTAAAGGAGCCTCGCATTTCTTTCTTGCTCTCTCCTGTCATGTGACACACCGGCTCCTCTTCCCTTCCGTCATAACTAAAAGCTTCCTGAGGCTTCACCAGGAGCCAAGCAGATGCGGGTACCATGCTTGTACAGCCTGCAGAACAATGAGATAAATGAACCTCTTTTCTTTATAAATTATCCAGCCTCAGGTGTTCCTTTATAGCAATGCAAAACAGACTAACACAGTGATGCTTACAACAGCAGCAACAATGACAACAACAAAGACCACAACTCAATTTCTCATTTTCATATCAATTGGCAGAAATTATCTTTATTAGAAAAATGAAATTTTCCTGTATTTACATTTTTACACCATATGACCGGGCACTTCTGTTGCCTCAGGAGTTATATACATATCAGTTTGCACACGAATTTCAATCCCCATTCCTTAAAACAGTTGATAACACATTGAACAAAATTAAAAGACATACTACAAGAAGACAACCATAGTATATACTTCCTCTATCATAGAAAGGTGTTAAGCAAACATATAATTTTGTAGCTATGCTTGGAAATATTTAATACACTTATTAGCACTTCCTCATGCAGTGGATTAAAACATGACAGATATAAACTGCTGCAGTTGATCAGTGAACATTAATTCCCAAATGAAGACCATTGCTTAGAGCAGACAGCTTGCTTTCAGCTCCACCATACAAGACATCAAGTCAGTTCTGATGTGGGTTTTGGATTCTGTTTGAATGTAGCTGTGAATAGAAACCCTCTGCATATGGAGTTCAATCCTAGCCTTGTTGGGTTAAAAATGGACTCAGACATAAACCTGGATAGCTGCTTAATTCAATAACTTTCTTGCAGGCAATGACCAGCTTGTGTATTATGCAACAAGTCATATTATTAATACGTGAGTGAAAAATGAATCATTTATCCTCTTTGAGAAGGCCATTATTTATAATTTTTATGATCTAATTCTTATTCAAGCTACCAAGAAACTCACCTTATTCTTTCTGAACATTCAGCTTGAAATATATATACTATACATAAACATATACACATAAACATTCTGGGGTGATATAAACTATGGTGAATTCTGCCAATTAATTCAGCAGGTTTATGCTTTTAAATTTGTTTTGGCAGGGGAATGAACAAGATTAAGATTCATAGTTAAAAACAACTGGTAAAGAAATCTTTGGGGACCCTCAGGTTTGGAAGGCATCTGAGCCACATCTAACTATGTCACTGCTGTGTCAAGCAGTTTTCTGAATTTTCTATGAAAATGTTATTCTTGAACTTATATCTTAAGTAGGCAATTAGCATCCCTTCCCAGTGAAAAATTTGGGGAACATGAATGTTAAAAGTTCCACTTTCATCTTTTCAAATTCATCAAAAATTTCAAACAAGATCACCTGGATTTGGCTCAAATTAGAGGCCTGAATCTTTTGTTTTTAAACTGAAACATTTACGTAAGTGGTCATGGCCCCAGAGCTTTTCTACAAACTTAATAAACTAAAGATTTAAAAAAATTTAAAAAAGATTTTAAAAGTCAATACTGTTCATTCACTTGAATTAGCTTGACTGAGAACAGAAATAATTAAATAAGTCTTAGATGGCTAATGTAGAAACTTCGATTGAATTCAAAAGGCTATGATTGTTTTTCATGGAAAAAAAAAGACAATGTTTTCGTATTTCTGGATCTTCGCTCTTTGCTCAGTTATCAATAGTCTTTGATTTGAGCCCTTTAAAACTTGAAACAGCAAAATGTCAGATCAATGGGAAGCATTTAAAATGCCAAAGACAAACTCATGTTTGCTGGAGAACAATTAACCTCATTAATTTGAAAGGCAGCTGTGGTATTGGCTATGAGTTATGTTAATATCCTATTGAAGGTTCAT
This sequence comes from Homo sapiens, assembly GCF_000001405.40. Classification (NCBI taxonomy): domain Eukaryota; kingdom Metazoa; phylum Chordata; class Mammalia; order Primates; family Hominidae; genus Homo; species Homo sapiens. Next base: position 9,755,018 of record NC_000016.10, read on the forward strand.
CTTAAATCTTTCCTAAAGGTGTGAAAGAGAATTAACTGGAAGAGGTCATGACCCAGGGCTAATGAAGAATGTTCTAGGATTGCAAAAATGCAAACTCATTGTTTCACTGACATAGTAAGTAAGAGAATTATGAGTGATAATCTCAGTTTTGTCTTCTTCGTTTCTGCAGACCGCTGACACTTTATCTGAGGAAGTTAATCTGAGGAATGACTTCATTTTAAGCAATTTAGTTCTGGTTCCCTGGAGAGTTGCATGCTTTGAAATACAACCCCCAGAGAAGAAATGCTATTGGTCAAATCGTTCTTTGGAGTGCTCCATTTCTGCATAGCTCAACATTCCAAGGAGAACATGGTCACGCACTTGTAGACCCAACAACAGGATCTCCAAATAACAAATAATAATCTTTCTGTCTTAAAAGGCTTTTTACTGCCAGCTTGAAAGATGAAAACAGCTGAGAAATTTTTCTCATAGACTAGCACTTAACTTGCATTAAGTTAGCTAACTCTCCAGAGAATTCATGGAGACTCCCAGAAAGACATTCCTTCAAATCCCCGCTAGTGTCCTCATCCATCAAATGGGCCTAATGCACCCCTCACCTCTCAGTAAATATAAATGCCAGGAAAGAAATGTGGCTTAGACCATGGAGAGGGGGGAATGCAGGAAAGGCAGTGTGTGCTCAGGGGCATGCCTGCAGGATATGTTAAACATTAGGCCATTCTGGGTACCTATAAAGCCCGGTGGAAGCGTTCCAGTTCAACACTCTTCAGTGGGACAGAATAACCGTCATTATCCTAATGCTAAGTGAGCCGGGAATTATCTCTAAGACAATTTGGAAAAGAAAAAAAAAAAGGAACAGACCAAGAAGGAAAACAACAACAACATTTTAATAGCTGGTCCTCAATCATTCTGACTACCAAAGCTCTCCATCATTCATGCAGAAACTCTATTTCCTATTCCCTGTCCCACCTCTGAAACTCATTCCATCTGCCTGGCAAAGATAACCAAACATAGACATGAAATAGGAGGAATAGTCAACTTGCAAATAATATCACCTCTTTGAACATGGGTCACAATATTTAGGAGGACTTTAATGGAGGGTCACATGGCTGTGTGTGTGTGTGTGCATACCCACACACATGAGAGCATGTACTATGTATATATGTTTAATGGAATTAGCCCTGATGTTGACTGATAAAAAGATGAGACATTAGGAAAGAGATATTTAAGATTAGGCACATGCTAAGTAGAGAAAATAACTCCCCAGAAATTTTTTTAAATGCTAAGTGCAAGCATATGAAAGGGAGACACAAACAGTGTTCAAGTCTCAGAAGGAACTATGAACAGAGGTGAGATCCCCAGAAGTTCTCCATACACACAGATCAGGCAATGAGGGGTAAGACCCTAACAGACTTCCCTGTCACAGAGGCTGATACTCAAGGGTATATGCCCAGGAACCTCAAAAGAGCACACCTCTCTTTCTGACTTCTATTCTGACCTCCCTGGAGGAGACCAGGCACTTTGAAAATATGTCTAACGTTAGGGATTTACTAGCTAATTCTAGTTGCTGACGAGGTTGAGAAAAACCTGAGCCTCAGTTTCCTTATCTGTAAAATGGGAGCAATCATATTTATATCTTAAGGTTGTTTTGAGGATCACATTCTAGGATATGCCTAGAATATCGCCTACACTCAATTTAGATATATTTTGATATTTTCAAATTCAGGTGCAGATCCATGGCAAGTACTTGCGATAAGCAGAAAATGTAACATTCCAAGAATGCACAGAATGGGATAGACAGAGTGACAAAAGCTCCCTCTCCACCTCGCCATCCTTCCTGAAATACACCTCTATTCCTTTTGCCATCTCTTTGCCCCGTTTTCTCTCTAGGGAACCTGATGCTTTCTGTCAGCCACAGCAGTAGGCACTTGGAACTTGATAAAGAATTTTCCCTCTATGCTTCCCTGATACATTCATACCCTGGTGTATCAGAAGGGTTCTTCAAATGTCAAAAACAAAACCAAACAAAAAAGCTTTAGGGAAATGCTTCGTCTTTTTACATCATGGTCTATTTTCTAATCCTTTGGGGAATTTTTTCAACCTTTTCTTGAGGCACATGTCATAATGCAAGGCTGGGAGGAGGCATGATTTGGCAAGGACTGGAGAACTGGTTGGAACCAGACAAAAGCCTTCCTGTGCAAAAATGTAGGAGTGTGAGTGTGTTCACCTGGTTAGCAGCTCCTGGGTCTCCTAAGTCCATTATTTGAAGATTAAAATAAATCAACTGCATTTCCGGGACCACTAACTCTATTCTCCGGAGTTACTTAAAGGTTTAGGGAAGGACTTTTTTTTTTTTTTTAAAAAAGGTATGCTCATAGAATCAGATTATTTTTTTTTTCCTGGCTACAACTTTAGTTGTCATTTCTAATTTTTGCTGTTTAGTCTCTGTTTGCATTGCATGGGTCCTTGGTTATCCTTTGTATTAGAGAACTGAACTTCTAAACCATAAGCTACTTATGGGAAGAGACTATATTTTCTATTTATTTTGCATCCCCTCCCCCACAATCCCAAACTGGCTTTCAAAATAAAGTGGACATTCAGTGAAGTCCTATTAGCTGGTCAATGTGCTTGGTTCTTCCTCAATGCATGATACATAGACCTCAATTATTTCAATGGTCACTGCCAGCCTTTTATCTTCAGTTTGAGGTTTTAAACAATATCCCTGTTGATTTTTCCTAAGGAGACGGTCTCTGAGAAAAGTTTTCTCTTCTAGGAACTTTAAGACAGGGATTGTGAGGGAGTTTAAAGGAAAACCAAATTCAAAGAAGCATGGGTAGGTCTTTCTGGGGCAAGTGGCAAAAACAAAAAACAAAACAAAACAAAAACCAGGGCAGCCTTATGGGGATCTCTGGCTCTTATTCCAGAGCTACTCAGGAGTTTCCCCTTGAAAGAAACCTAGAAATAAGTCAGCCCGGTCAGAGAATCGAGCCAGAAATTGAACCATGTCTTGGATCTAATCCTCGCTCTGATACTCTCTAACTTGATGATCTTAAACAGGCAACTGCCCATTTGTAAACTTCATTTTTCTCATCTCTCCTCCCCTTCTCCTAACTTTTGGTGTGGTTCTACGAACTCTATTTTTCTAAGACCCTTCTGGGCAGGCACTTCTAGCTAATACTATACTGAAAGTACTGCTGGGCACAGAAAGAGTGCAGGTGAGGAAAGAGGATAAGGAATTTAAATAGGAAATCTATGCCCTTTGATGTGTTTAAGGAAATCACACACAAGTCCATATCGGCATTGTCTTCAGAAGCAAATGCGAGCAGAATATATTCTATACCCCTCATCCCAGAGTTTTGTTTTTTAAAGAAGGGGCCAAGAACGCCAACACCCATATTCTACTTAGGCTCTGTCATCCTCCCTACAACTGAGATTAAAAAAATATAGTGCCCTCTCTACAGAAATATCCTCCCATAAAAATAACCAGAATGGGTTTTCCATGTGTTAATACCATCATCACCATTTAATTTTTAACATAAACTTTACAATATGTACAATTTTATTTGGATAATACACTTACGTGTGAATTGTAGAAATCAAGCATGTATATTATATACATGTGTACACAAGCAGTTGTATTCACAGGATAAGTGCATTTGATCATCTCTGATCTATATCAAGTGGCAAGCTGACCTCATCTGATACAATTAGATATGAACACAGTACAATGTATAGGGATTGAATGGGAAACAGTAACTGCATATTGGGAGAACTTTTCAAGTATAGACCCCACAGCACTTTCAACCCTGTTCACCAAAAAGAGATGGGGTATCTGGAAAGGTCTAATTTTGTCTCCAGTGAAAATAAACAGTACTTTTGGAAGGAAAATTGCCTTTACATAGAACCCTTCACTCATTAAATATCAAGCAACACATTTAGCTTCCACCTACTCAAACTTCTTTTTCTTTGAGTCCAATCATGTCTACTATAGCCATGGTTAATACAAACAGGCTCCATTTCAGAAACAACGCATGTCCCCTTTTCAAGGATTCATGCACAACAGCTATGCACAAAGAAACAGTACAGGAATGTGCATAATGTTAACGAATATATCCAGCTCCTCTGTAAGGTATTTAGAGTTCTCAAATTAGTGTTTATTTAGGTCTTAAACCGCAAGGGATTTCAGTACAAGGTACTTATTTATATGACAACTGATTATTAAAGCTGCACTTTTTAGATTTAAAGGAGATAAATTTTTAATCACCATTTAATTAACATCAACATTTTTTTTCTTTTTCATTAGCAATTCTATTTGCAAATAATTCAGGGCATTTGTCATTTCCTGTGAAGGATGCAGAATATTAAATACACATCAGTGGTCGACATAGCAAATAGAATAAACAATGTGTGACTATATGACAGCTGTGGATCTTTTGACTAATTAACTGCCTTGGCTAGAGTCCCATTTAAGTGAAACTATTTCATTTGTAAACAAGGTGTAATTTTCTATTTTTCTCCCCAGAAAATAAGCGTGAAATGATTTGACAGATTTTGCTGCAATGTGTGAATTTTAATGCTTTCACCAGAAAAACTAAATACTCAGACTCTCTGGCATCCTGTGAATCAGGGAAGAGAAAATCAAGAGTAATCCGTGGATGCCCAGTCATGGTGCTGGCTAAAATAACGCAGAGAGATTTGCAGAGGACATAACAGTAATGAGTGGTGAGATTGTGAGATTATAATCCTGCAAGTCTCTCTGGCAGAAAGATAGACCTATAGGGACTTGCCAGCTCAGAGCATTGAAACCATAAGTGGCCTAAGAACCTGCAGATGTAAGGATGATGAAACCCATTTTCCAGAAGCACAAAGGTTTCTCAAGTACAGTTTATGCTCTAGAAGACTCTCTTACCCAGAGTATTTTAAATTGGTTGCATGTGCGTGCTATTACCCATGGACAGAGACCCAACCGTTTGCATTCAAGTGTACCTATCTGAGGACTAGTTGGGTCCTTCTCAAGTGGGGAAAACCAATTAGAATTAACAAAATATCATTATGGATGCCAGCTCTGACTTAAGCCAGCTGAAACTCAGGCATTTGTGTTCAGAAATTTGGGCTCCTTGACATCAACAAATCTAAGAACTCAGAGCTGGGATATGTTACGGGAATCTTCTGTGATAGATCTATAGTCTCAGGCTTCCAGGCTTCCTATTTAATTCTTGTTACTTCTCATACTGTGGGTTCCATTTACCACTGGACGTTACATTCCTGATATTCTTTTTGCAAAGACTGAACTGACTTAGATGACCTTTGAATAACTCTACATCTTTTCCTTAGAAATTGACCATCTGATCAGTAGTTGATTTTTTTTTTTTTTTTTTTTTTTTGCTTGGGATCATCACATTGAAGAGTCATTGAATTAGTAGAGAAGGGATACCATAAACTTTGTGTAGCATAACATTTCTGATTATTTATTTGAAAAAACACTTCGGTCAGTGAAAAGAATATATATTTTTTTCACAACATTACTGTTGATTCTTCCAAAGGCCACGTTTTCAGTTTCTTTATCCAGAGATGTATGGGGTTAATAGCAGAAATAATGCTGCTGTTAGGGGAAGGCTTTCTGACCGATGAAGTCAGTCCAAGTATAACTCTCACTCTCCCTGGAGGTCTCTGTGGCATTTGGCAGCCCCCTGGGTTTAGAGGACACCAGAGGAAGACAGAAAGCCTCTTTGGCTTGACGACAAATCACTCTTCTGTATTCTGGGAAGACTTTTTAATTCATTCATGTCAAAACATCCCAGACTCATGAGGAAATGGAGGCGATCCTTGCTGGGGTGGATTAAGGTCTGGAATGCACTGGAAGGGCAGAAGGTAGAAAGGGCTAAAAGGCTACACAGTCATGGAGATTCAGATTTAGGATCAGATGTTGGGGTGACTATTCTGGGCCCTTCGATCCAGGCTTCTCCATGGCTGGGTCTTGGGGCAGCAGAGGTACAGCATCCGGGAAATAAAATGTCATTTTCAAGCACATGCATCCCCAGCACCTAGTCAGCCCCTTCTGCCTTTCAAAAATGAAAGGAAGCTCCTCTCACCCACTGCCTCCCTCTGTCTCCCTATGATTGACCCTGAAATTTATTGCAACCACTTTTCATTATAGGAACACTGTAGGTCAGGTGTACTTTCCCAAAGATGGAGCTATTCCATGCATCCTTGAGCTTTAAGGGAATCATCCCTGACACTTGCCCACATGCAAGAAAATAATACTTACAAAACAGAACGCACACCATGAGGAGAAGAAATGGGATAATTTTTCAACCTGCCACTTTATCCCTTTCTTCAAGAATGTAAAGCAGAATGCAGGAGGAAACCAGGAAATGGCCAGGCGAGTCTACATTAGCTTAGTGTTTCCGTAATGGCCCAAAACAGACTGAGGTCTTCTGCAAACACTGATGGCTAGTTATCCCAAATACTTCAAAAATATTCATGTACATGAAATACACTAATTAACAGAGTAGAACTATATAAAAGGTTTAGTTAATATTATTTGCTGGTTTTATGATATTTAATTTTTAAACTAGAAAATCCTGATCTGAGAAAGTGTCATAACATAGCAACTATCTTGTCGGGGGCACTTGTTTTTGTGGCAGGCACTGTGCTAACAGGCTCCCCATGCATAAGTATTCCCCTCTCTGTCTCTAACTTAAAAAAAAAATGGATATCATTTCATGTCATATATGCACAGGTTTGAGGAGAATAAGAATGGGATAATGCAGGCGACTCAGAAATGACAAATACTTTGAGGAATTTTTCCTACATCTCTGTTGGTGCTATGAAGTGGTTTGCCACCAACAGAGAGAATAACTCAGAAGGGAGAAATTGCTTGTCTCACTAAACTGTATCCACAGTTTGGAGGATACTCAGGGTAGATCCAAGAGTGCCTCGTGTTTTGAAGGCTTTTGATTTGAGGAGTTTGGGGTGGAAGTGAGTGTCCAACAGAATTTCTGGATGTGAAGGAAGATAAACCTAAAACCATGCTAGCCTTCGGCAGACAGATGGCATTGTACTTCTTACAGATCACAGTACACATACGGCTGTTGGTGCATGTCACCACATTAACAACTCTGGGAAGAGCGATACACAGCTAATTGGACACCACCATGGCTGTTTGGAAACGGAACGAGTTATGGTTACTCTGGGAGGGAAGGGGTAACAGATACTATACAACCCTGAGTCATCACCAGAAGGGAGGAAATGCAAACTTACGTACATAGGCGTCTTCGGGATAAACTACAATGGCCACTGTGTCACAGACAGAAGATCCACACTTAGATCTCGGAGACATAAATGTGTTAGTTTATGCAGCTCTGAACAAGACCATCGAAGCCGAGGGTGAGAGAAACACACATCAACATCCAAAGAGATTCCTGTAGCTCTCCCCACCTGAGGGTCCCTCGGGCCTTTGGCTCCAGATGTGTCTTGGAAATGAACTATAATGAAGGTAGCACAGTCATCACGAACACACTGATTTGCTATTCTTTAGGGGAGCCTGGAGTTCTTGGGGTGAGCCTGGGCTGTGATGGAAGGCATAACAAGAAAGCTGAAACTGTTACGAGCCAAACTTCCTAATCTCTTGCACATGTCAATCGCACTACAGTGCAGATGCATTCTTAACTGTTTTTATTTTGTCTGTGTCAGGTTTACATGCACACCATATTGCTTATTCTGTATTAGAGAAACCATTAGGCATTTCTGATGAGAAAATTACATGGTGGGCTGACCTTAATGGAATTTGGAATATAGGAAATCATAACATCACCATTGGCATCCAATGCATCATTATTGCCAACATACCCAGTAGGCATGTCCCGGAGACTTGCCCTTATGTAGTTAGTTATTTTTGGTTAAGGACTCACCTATCTGGTGTCTGCCATGCTCAGCACACACCTCACAAGATTCCTTGAGTGGAAGATTATGGCATGAAGCCGTGTGCAAAAGAGCCAACAACAACAACAACAAAATACCTCCCTACATCTTCTTCCTCTTAGCAGGGCACTATTGGACATCCAACATTTACCCTCCAGAACATTGGCCATTACGTATATTTCCCTATAGATAAAACATTAATGGAAGATTTTTAAACATCAGATTCGATACTAGGCATTTTCTTGTACACGCGTCTATTGCTGCAGGAATTTAAAACCCTGGGGGTAGAGTACATATTATTCTTATTTGCAGCATAAGGCATAACATGCTCCGAAATATACACATCATTGTGGCCCCGACTGTCCCTGGAACAGTACGATGCCGTTGACCTCAAGGACGACCGAAGATAGCTGTCATTCACCGCCTGGGATGGCAACGAGTGTTTGTAAGGGTCCGAGGGGCATCTCCCAATAACCAAGCGTTGGTCATCCCTGTGGGAGTGGAGGAAAGGGTTATCGGAGGTGTGGTCTGGCAAGAGAGACTTGCTCCTCTTGCTGTCCTCCAGACCTTGGGGGAAAAGGGAGCTTTTTTTCCCCGAGAGTTTGCTTGAGGGGACACTAAACAGGCTGCCGTAAAAATTTCCCTCCAGAAGCCGTTCCCTGTCCTTGAGGCTTATGCTCCGGGAGGGCCTGCTAAGGTCTAGCTCCCTAGGTTTGTCGACAATGTTATCGTAGGAATGCTGACGGCTAATCCTTAGCTTGTTCTTTTGTAATTGAAGGGCATTGTTCTGTGCCCAGTCCTGCTGGTAGACCTGCTCCCCGGTGGCTGGGTTACCTGTCTCCTGAAGCATCTGGTCTTCATCGATGTCATAGAGGTTCCCCATCCGCAGGCAGGCATCGCACTTGAAGGGGGACCTCATGGTGAAGTGGCCTGAATAGGTGGGCATGTTGGAAAGGCAGCTTCTGCAGTGCGTGGAGTTCTGCCGGTATCGCTCGCTGGTCTCACTGTGCGGGGAACCCTTGTCTTTCAAGGTGAAGTGCTTGGAGTAGAGTTTATACTGGTCGTTGTTGGAAAGCCCCTCTTCATTATGCAAGGGGTTCCGGTTCATTGGCAGCGTGGAGTCCCCCTTGCGGAAGTTTTCACTGGGATCCTGGTAGGGGTCCGGGAAGTCCACGTTCTCGGGCAGGGTCACATTTTCAACAAACTGGGGTGGATCTAAGTGGAAACCAGGCTCCTTCTCACCATCTATAGTGTAGATCTTGTCTCTAGGGGAGCTTGATTTGGTTTTCAGGTAGGTGCGCTCGACCTCACTACAGTCCTTGGGGTATTTGGAGGCCACTGACCTTTTAAAGTTGTCCTTGGTTTTGTGGTTCTTACTGTTGTCAGGTTCCCTGTGGCACGTGGCCCGATTTGACGTTTCTGAAATGTCAGAGTGGGCCATCTCTTCTGGAAGATACCTAGGGCTCTTTAGGGAGTGGGTCCTATTCTCTGCTGTTGCCTCATCCCTCTGGGAGACTGGATTCTGGGATAGTGAATCCTGGCGTATGGAATCCACGGATTTCTTCCACAGCTGCCGGGGTCTAGAGTTCGCTTTGGATTCTGTGCTCACGGCCACCTCCACCGTGTTAGGGTTGGACTCATTGAGAGTAAGAGGATGTTGTCCCTGGAATACATAGTTATTGAGGTTATCCTTCTGCCGGTTGGCCACAAATGTTTGGAGTTCGTTCATGTTGTCTCCAAAAATGCTCTCTTTCCCCTGAAAGGACCTGTTGTCTGAGTACATCAAATTCCCCTTATCTGAAACCATGTCCATGATGAGGGAACCTCTTTGGATGAAGTCAGCAGCTCTTTTGGGTGAGTCCATTCTTGAGGAGTTCATGTTGGACATGCTGGAAATGTTTTTGGCTGACCGGAGGAGTTTTAACATGTTGCTCTGGGATCCCGTCAGATTGAAGTCTGGAGACTTCTTCTTTTCTTCAATGTGCACTCCATGAATGCAGCTGTAGATGCCCTGTAGGGGAGCAACATAAAGCACTGTCAGCAGCAGCAGCAGTGAACATGAAACCACTTTGCACTTGAACTTTACCTGCAAAGGTGAGATTTGCACTTCTTGCAGGAGCCCTGGAGAAACAGCAAAATTCAGTCTGAATCCTGATAATGTCTCTTAAAGGTATGAGACAAGTTGCAAAGCATAGGGTTTATCTTATTGCTCTGGCTCAAGATTAGCTGACACCTTTGCAAAGAGTCACACATGGAGTTTGAGAAAAGGTATCAACCGATGCTCATACAACTGTCAATGCCTCAGTGTCTCCAAAGTGGCATATAAGAACAGATAACTGAGCCTCCCAGCACCCGGGTCACCAATCCAAGCTTTCATTAAAGTTTCCCAGCATCATCTTTGAAAGTTTAGGCACCAGAGAGTTAACTACTGACAAACACAGTCAGCATGAAAGGATCATCCATTGTTAATTCTTTTCTGGAATTACCCCTACTCTTATGCAAAAGCTAACAATCAAAGAATGTGTCCTAAGTGGCCAATCAGAAAATCTCTTCTCCATGCACACATTGATTCATCTAAAGGAAGGCATGAAATTCATGTGAGGCTCATCATACTCTTTGAGGGGGGGATAGATGTGGATGCTTGGATAGAAGGAGTTGCAGACTTACCATCATGTGGGGGTGTGAGCCTATCAGTGAAGCCATTGCAGTGAAAAGTAGAGCCCAAGAGATAGAGAAAGACATGGTTTAAACCCCTGGAGCCACTCCCTTGAACTTTTTTACTTAATCGACTCAATCTATTCCTTGTGTGTTTGTTTGTGTGTGAGTCTATTCAATGTAGTTAGAACTGGGTTTTAGTTACTAGTCACAGTGAAGAGTTCTGATGACACAGTGACACCGCCTTTAAATCCATCCAGGGAACTGAATGACTTAAGGGCTCCTGGGCAGCCCAAATACAAGCACCTCCATCTATATGTCTTCTCATTTTCTACTCTTTCTTTCTTTTAGAAAACAACTGTTTACGTTCACTTAAAAGTAGCTGTTCAACTGTTATCAAGGGAAGAGCCCTTGATTCCTACCACAATAACAGGCAAAAGGACGTCTGGAACATTTTGATCTGTGGCTTCCCCTGCTTCTCCCCACTCCTACCCCAGATTTCAGCAGCCGTACCTACAGGAAACAGTCAGATCAAGGCTGCAGGATTTGACCTGGTCTTCCCAAGGCTGACAGGGAGCCAAACTATGAAGGGGTTTGTAGGGCAGAATTGGCAGTGGCTGCTGACTTTGGCATAAACTACAGGAAAGTAAGTGTGATTAACTGTGGACTCTGATAATGGTGGCTCCATCGGTCCCCCATGGTGGGGACAAGCTCACCCTGCAGGGATGCTCACGGAACTGTGACAGCCTCAACTCATTTTCACTGCTACATTTTTCTTGTAGTAGACAGTCTCTCCACTCCAGCCTTCAAGGAACCGTAAACACAAAAGCCTACAGTTGCAAGTTTGAGCTGCTCTTTCTCTGATCCTCTCCACCCCAGGCTTCATGGTTGGTGAAGGCCCCCTGAGGCTCAGGGCACTGGCATTACATCCTTTCCTGCATTCCTGCAAACTTATCTGTGGTCTCCTTCTATATATAATGTGTGGTTGGCTGTTTGTCCTGCCACAAAATAACATCTGCCCCTGCCATCACTGCTTCCAGAGCTGCTGGAGCATCCAGACTGTGGATGTGGAAATCTTACAAATGAGCCACTGCGCTCCAGCCTGGGCAACAGAGGGAGACTCCATCTCAAAAAAATAAATAAGTAAATAAATCAAATCAAATCAATCAATCAATCAATAAAAGCACATTGCTCCCATAAAACTTGGGGTCCTTCTCCCCTAGGGATGGAGAGGCCAAAGTTCAAATTCTAGATGATCAAGGGACTCCACCAACAATGCCTGCCCTGTGCTGCCCAGTTTGCCTTCCATTCCCATCCTTTGGAAAGGAAGATATGGATTTACTTCATTTCTTAAAATGTTGATAAATCAACTTGGCTTCCTTAGCAGTGTTTTAGATAGATAGAGGAAATGCTCTTCCAAAAACAAGCAAGATTTAGAAGTAAACGCAACAGTGTGCATTTGTTTGGTGCTAATCCCAGAATCATTTGGATATGAAAAGCCTTTGGTAATTGGCTGGGAGAATTAGCTTAAAGTTGGCATAATACCTAGCTCTATGCACGTACGTTGTTATTTTTAAGCAATCTATGTGTTTAGATGCCATCAAGCTAATTAGGAAATATGTATTTGCACAGAACCCGAGTTTGGAGTGCAAGTGAATGGAGAAAATAAATCTTCCTCACTAAACTAATGTGTACCTTCCGAATCTCCACAGTTCTTGAAACTAGCAAATGTTAAGAATATACAAATCTGTTTTAAAGCAATTAGTTAGCTTTCTCAGTAAACAATAGCATATAAAATTAGATTTTTATTTATTTATTTTTATTATTATACTTTAAGTTCTAGGGTACATGTGCACAACGTGCAGGTTTGTTACATATGTATACATGTGCTGTGTTGGTTTGCTGCAATTAGATGTTTTTAACCAAAGAGTTTTCACCATTTTTCAAATCCTAATTAATGAAGTTCTTCCAAGGCAAAAAAACAAACAAAAACAAAAAAAAACACAAACAAAACAAAAAAACAAACAAAAAAACAAGGTGGGCAAATAAGAGAGATGAGTGGATAAATAGATGGATGCATAGATGGCTGAAACGAATGAATGGACATATAGATAAGAAGGTAGATACATATGTATTTTGTGCTGTTGTTTATGTTGAGTTGAAGGTAAACTTTGTTTTCTGCTTGATACGTGTGCATTTTCTTCTGTTACTTTACACCTGTGTTTCCTTTCATGTGCTATTGCATTCCACATGCTCTTTGTGTTTTATTAGATGTGTATACATATTCCATAGCATTGCAAGTAGATTTTGTTTTGTTGGGCATGTTCTGTTACAATGCATACACAAATTGTAACATCTTGCATAGCAGCATTAGTAGTGTTATACAGCATACCTGGGTGCTAGTGATGGGAGCCACAGGCTGGCTCTGTCTGGCCCAGTGTTTTTAAATTTTTTTTTATTTTTTGTTTTTATTTTTTTGTGAGACGGAGTCTCGCTCTTTCACCCAGGCTGGAGCTGGAGTTCAGTGGCGCTATCTTGGCTCACTGCAAGCTCCGCTTCCCGGGTTCACGCCATTCTCCTGCCTCAGCCTCCGGGGTAGCTGGGACTACAGGCGCCCGGCTAATTTTTTGTGTTTTTAGTAGAGAAGGGGGGGGTCTCACCGTGTTAGCCAGGATGGTCTCGATCTCCTGACCTCGTGATCCGCCCGCCTGGGCCTCCCAAAGTGCTGGGATTATAGGCATGAGCCACCGTGCCCGGCCAAAAAATTTTTACATGGAATTAGTTACTAATATTTAAAAATGGAAAGGTTTCTAACAAAATCAGATGACATTTTCTCTTTTTAAAAAACTAGAAGACCTGATAATATTGACTCTACATTCCCATAAGACAATACTCAGCAGGAGTTGAGGATGGCTGCCACGCTACTGGTGAGGTAAACATCATGCAATTGGCCACAGTCCTCAGTATTCCCTATCGTTCTCTCACTTTGATACTGAGGTTTAGCTGCCGTTTCACGTCATCTGTGCTATTTTTCTCATGTCCCGCCTGCTGCACCCACTCCCGTTTCCTTTCTGCCTTCCTTAGTCATCTAAGTTTGCAACACCTGGCTTATGAATGCACAAAATCTGGATGCTCTTGTGACATGCCCAAGAAAGGCTGGTAAGGGGAGGAAGTGCAGACCCCACTGAGACATCAAGAACCCAAGCGCTTTTCTAAACCTGCTTGCAGTGCAAGAAAGTAGCCACCCGGTGTACTGACCCTGCTGATGGAGAAGAGCAACCCAGGCCGGTCGGAGCACACGCCCGTGAAACAGAAGCGCAGCTTCCAGTAGAAGAGGTGCTCCCAGATGAAGGTGATGAGGCTAAGGGCCATGGCGGCAGCCAGCATGTAGAATACGCCCGCCATGTTGTCAATGTCCAGCTGGCTGCTCATCACCTCGTTCTTCTCGTTGTGGCAGATCCCAGTGAGCCACAGGGTCTCCAGCTCCTCCATCTCACCTGGACAGATCACAACATTCACAGGCAGTGAGGACCAGAACATGCACTTTGGGGCAGACGCTTCTGGGTTTGGAACAGACGATGTGCAACTCACAGCTATGTAACCTTAAGACAAGTTTCTGAGTTTGCTGGGTTTCCATTTGCTCACTTCTTGAGTGAAGATAATAATGATTACATAGCCTACCTAATATTGTTGCAGTGAGGACAAAATTTATATATAAAAATAGAGAATATAATATATATATAGAGAGAGAGTATAGCAAACTTATTCTCTATTAATATGTATATATATTATATATTATATACATATATAATATATATAACTTAGCACAGTTCCTGGTTTTGTTTTTTGGAGTTTTGTCTTTTTTTTTTTTTTTTTTTTGGTCATTATTATGTTTTTCTGACCTTGCTTTCCCTTACCCCTGCCCCCAATACCCACCCAAGCTTGGAACAAGACATGGGAATAAAAGGGCAGAACGTGACAATAGAAAGACTTCATTGCAATTCTGACTTGATCATCTGCTAGCTGCATGGCCTCGGAGCTACAGTTATCCTGTCTGTGAAATAGGCATAATAATAGAACATACTTCCTAGAGTCGCCATGAGGATTGAATGAGATGAGAATGTATAAAATCCCTAAAGGACCCAGATCATAGTAAGTTTTCATAAGCAGTATGTTTGCTACTATTTACTGTTGTGAAGAAAATGCCTAACACAGTGCCTGGCCTGTGGCAATCCTCAAATATGTGTGTTTCTTTTTCTCTCTCTCTTTAGAACATTCAGGATTACTTAGAAAAGTCACACATGAGCAGCATACTTAGGGCACAAAACTTTAATTGAAAAGAGACATCCAGCTGGCTCTGAATGGCCCCTTGCAAACTAAACTATACCCACCCCCCAACTTCAGTAGGCAATTAAAGAACCAGGTGGTTTTTTCCAATGGGGGGAAGAAAAGAGTAGGCATGCTTAGAATTATTCTGTCCCTCTTTTATGTGCATTTTATCCTGTTGCCATTTAGGAGAAAATTCTCTGATCTATATGTCTAGCAATTATACTGTCTAGCAATTCACTAAACTATGGCACTTAGACTATGATTCAGCCTTTAAAAATGATCTTTCAAGGACAGTAAAAATCAAGATGTGTATGCTAAATGAAAAGTATGACTATATTTTATATGTATATACATGATCTCTAAGATGTAATGGGGACATGCAGAGAAAAATTAACGAAATACTCCAAATGTTTATATCAATTCTCTTTGAAGAAGTCAATCAAAATGATTTAATATTGGTCTTTTTTTAAGTTATGTGAAATTAGCATGTATTGTTTTTGGTTTGTTCTCACTCTTGAATGATATGGCTGAATATAAAAATCAAAGTTGACAATTATTTTTCCTTGACCTTTTGGAGATGTTAAATTTTCCTCTGATCTGGATGGCAGTTGTTGAAAAGTTGGCTAATCATCTAATTGTCGTTACTTTCTATGCAATCTATATTTTCTCTCTAGTTGCTTTTGAGAATTTCACTTTGTCTTTGGTGTGAAGTCTAGATGTGGGTTTGTTTTATTGGTTCGGCTCTGGACTTAGTACGATTCTTCAATCTGAATACTTAGAACTTTAGTTCTGGCAAAAATTCACCTGCTATGGCTTTGAATATTACTTCTCCCTATCATATCTTTTTTAAAAAGTTAATAGATTTTATTTTTTTAGAGTGGTTTTATAGTTACAGAAAAACTGAACAGAAAGTACAGAGAGTTCCCATATACTACCTCTCCCCGCTCCCTTCGGTTTTCCCTGTTAACATCTTGCATTAGTGTGGTACAGTTTTTACAGTTCATTTGGGTAAATACCTAGGAGCATTATTGCTAGATTATACAGTAAGTCTGTGTTTCAGCTTTGTAGGAAACTGCCAAACTTTCTTCCAAAGTGGCTGTACTATTTTGCACTCCCATCAACAATGAATGAGAGAGCTCCTGTTGCTCCAAGTCCTCACCACCCTTTTCATTGTCAGTGTTAGTGTTAGTGTTTGGGGTTTTAGCCACTCTCATAGGGATGTAGTGCTAGCTCATTATTTCAATTTGCAATTCCCTAATGGTATATAATAGTCCCATCTTTTTTTTTTTTTTTCCTGAAAACTTTAAAATACTGTGGAACTTTTCATTCTCTCCTCTAGGTTATTTACCTTGTTTTAATATTTGCATTCTTTTTTCTCTCTGTGCTGCATTTGGGTAATTTCCAATAGATGTATTTTCCCGTTAATTTATTCTTTTGTTGGTAATATTTAGCTTTATGTTTTAATTTTATTTATTTTAATTGTGATATTCATTTGGTTCTTTTACAGTTCTGCCTGTTCTTTTTATCATAATATCCCATCCTTTTGTTATATAGTTTGTTATATAAAGTTTAAAAGTTTTTAAAACTTTCATATATTTAATAATTTTAAACCTCTAGTCTTTCAGATTACTCCCCCCCACCCCCACCTTAGTTCTTGGGATTCTCATTCCTCTGTTTGCTGTGTGTTCTGACTCTCATGGTGGGTTACTTCCTTGTGACGTCTGTAACTTTTGACCATGAGCTAATCTTCTGCAGAATTATTTTCCCTCTAAGCCCCATGGGACTCCCAAGAACACTAGGCTACAGAAACATCCCTATAGAGAGTTTCTGGGTTTGCTTCTGCCATGGTTCCAGGAATTTTCAATGTATGAGTTTTTGTATGGAAAAATTTTTACTTTGATTACTACACCATTTAAGTAGCATACATTTGAACTCACATGCTCATTTGGGCTTTAATTTCTTACTGACAGCTTCAAACAGATGGTAAACCTCCTTGCATTTTCTTCACTTTGATGGACAGAGATTTTCCTAGTTTTCTTTTTACAGACTAAGTGACTCATTAAAGTTCTCAAATGTATTAACCAGAAAAAAAAGCATACATGTTAATGAGTTTTTTTTTAAAAAAATAGGAAATCCATCCCTTTCCAGTTCCTCACCCACAAAAATGGGTGCTGATCAATCGGTTGTGTAGGTAAAGGGATGAGAAGAGGGTATCTTGATTCAATTCCTTTTCTTCCAACAGCCTCCCATGCTTTCGCACAGTCACAA
Source organism: Homo sapiens (assembly GCF_000001405.40). Classification (NCBI taxonomy): domain Eukaryota; kingdom Metazoa; phylum Chordata; class Mammalia; order Primates; family Hominidae; genus Homo; species Homo sapiens. Next base: position 9,772,190 of record NC_000016.10, read on the forward strand.
AGTCATGGGAGACTTTGAAATAATATCTCACTGTCCACCAACACTATCTCAAACTCATCCAGATTTCTCTGCCCACCATGTACCTCAGACCTGCACGGCTGCTTCCTCTTCTCACAAAAACACCAATGCCATCCCTTTGGAAATACAATGTGCTGTTGACGTCCCCCCTCCCTTTGGAGGTATTTTGTTTTGTTTTGTTGAGATGGGGTCTCACTACAGTCGCCCAGGCTGGAGTGCAGTGGTGCGATCATAACTCACTACAGTAGCAACTTCCTGGGCTCAGGTGATCCTCCCACCTCAGCCTCCGAAGTAGTTGGGACGACAGGCACATGCCACCATGCTGTGCTAATTTTTTGTATTTTTAGTAGAGACGAGGTTTCACCATCTTGCCCAGGCTGATGATCTCAAACTCCTGGGCTCAAGCAACCCACCTGGCTCAGCCTCCCAAAGTGCTAGGATTACAGGCGTGAGCCACCGTGCTCAGACCCTTTGGAGTCTGGGAGGACACAAAAATGGGTCTTCTCACTATGACTCATCAGATTCCCAGAACATCTTCCTTTCGGTGTTGCCTCAAACCAAGCCAGGTTTGTAAGCCTGTAAGGAGGGCAGTCTGATATAAGAAACATCATCTCGATTCTTTTCAGGATGTAAATAAAAAGATTTCCTTCTGCCCTTTGCCCAAACAATACCTCTTTTTAGAGGAAATCAACATGGTAAAGCAGACTTCAATTTCAAAAAAAAAAAAAAAAAAAAAGAGCAAATGCACATTTCTCATTACCAATTACAGCCTGTTCCAATCATTTTCAAATTAATCATTTCCTGCCTCGTGGCCCTCTTTGACTAGCGTACTGAACTGTAGTTCAAATACTTTCTTATTTCATTTTTAATTTACTCAAGTATATTGTAATCTCCTGGAGGGAGATCAGGGACCATGTTTTATGGTTTTGATATTTTTCGTGGCCTGCAGCACGTAGTGAGCATTGAATCCATATTTTCTGTTTCTGTTTCTTTTCTTACATCCCCAGGCTTAAACTGGGCAGCATTGCAGAAGTGTTCAAATCTGTTTAGTGAGTTATTCTGCCATATAAATAGAAGGAATACAAAGCAAAGGGGAACTTGCAGCGGGCTTGAGAGTAAAAGGCTGGGAAATGTGCATCCTTTAGGTAGGGTGAAGCATCAAATGTCGTTTTTCCAAGGAGTGGCTCTATGATATTTATTCTGCTGCCAGTTTCTCCTATTAAAAAGAGGCCGTGATCTTTGTCAGTGTGATCTTGTGAACCAGAGCTGATAAATGGGGCAATTAAATCTCTTTCCTGAAGCAGACTCATTCTTGCTGGGAACACACAAGCTAAATGCTCTCTTGGGAACAGATGGAGCCTGGGAAGTTTTGGGGTTGCAGTCAAACCACACTGCCTTTGTCTCCCCACCGGAGAGGACTGGTCCCCATGTAGCACTCAAAGCCCTCTCCTTTTGTGTTTCCACCTCCTCCAGTGACAGTAAGCTCATGCACATTTGCAGAACTTCTTTGCGCCCATGGGAACTTGCACCTGTTCTTCCTATATCTGTTTTCAGGGGAGATGTTTCCAGCCACAAGTATCTCTACTAACCACTTAGTTCTGCACCATCGTGAGGAAAGCTGTAAGTTCAGTAGAAGGAGCAAGGTGTCAAGGTCACTCTTTTCCTAATGCTGACAACATTAAAAGACAGAGTAATAGAGTTTCAGGAGTCAACCGTCAGAGAGATGCAGAATCTAAAAGGGAACAGGCAAGGGTAATTGAGGCAGTGTTGTGTGTGTGTGTCTCCAACTTGCTTCCATTCCATTTAAAAGGGAACAGGCAAGGATAATTGAGGCAGTGTTGTGTGTGTGTGTCTCCAACTTGCTTCCATTCCATTCCACTGGCTGCTTGGGTCAGGCTGTAAGAAGGCTGGTTAGACAAAAGGCACAGACAGGATGCAGACAGTGGAGGAGTTTCTCCCATTACCCATCCACCCACTGACAAGGTGGAAGCCAGGGGTTTTATATTTGCAAAAAGGAATGAAAGAAAATTCAACTAGATACTGTCCAGCAAATTACAAGAAAGAATGTTTCAGGTAGAAAACACTAGAATGAGATATAAAAGGAAGCACCCTTCCCTTAAGATTTTGGGGAGCACATCCAGTCATCTGGTAAGGTCTAGATAGTAACACAGAGGTATTAATACACTCAGGTATTAATACACTCAATATCTGAGTCAGACGGCCTGCATTAGACTCTTGGCTTCCACAGGTACCGGCTCTTTGATCATGGTCCAGGTACTCTACTTTAATCTATCCAACTACTCATCCATTCATGTATTTATTTTTCTATTTAACAAAATTACATAAAATAGACTGTCCTTCAGGTACTATACTAGAGTTTAAAAAAATTAACTCATGTAAACTTAATATGGCTTGTCTAGTTTACAGATGAGGGCACGCAGGTGCAGAGAGGTTAAGGAGTTTGCTTAATCACTCTAAGCTTCAGTTTTAATATCGAGCAAATGGGAGTACATCAGAATTTATCTCATAGGAGTTTTGTTAGAATTAAACGATGTTGCATACACACAGTGCCTGGCATACACTAATTACAAAATCAGTATTTCTGGAGATATTATTATTGCCTGAAATCAGGGAAGCTGGGGGGTGGGATGGACCACATAATGCTCTCTGTGCCCTTCTAACTCACTCTATCTATGATTCCAAGAACGCAAGTCCAGGGAGAAGGTTCAGCTCTCCATGGAGACTCTCTTATATCCAAAGTAAGAGAAATTAGTTCTCTATTTGCCCTAAGACTCATTCTCAGCACTTCCAGAGGAACTGCAGTTTTTGGGAATGGATTTTATAGCAAGCAATGTGACTAGCCTTCAAACTTCCCAAGTACCTCTCCCCTGAGGTCATTTGTGAAAAATCCATTTTGAACCTGTACCCTTTAGGCTTTGTCCAAAATTTGCTGAAACATATCTTCTAAAATCAGCTTCCACAGGCACACGTCTACATATTTTTTTTTTCTTGGTTTCTTGCCAAAGCACCTGACCCAAGGCAGTGATGAAAGATGAAAAGAGAGAGTATGTGGTTCTGAGAAGCTGAGTTCGATGTTCTATTTCATGTCTGGTCAAGGAAGCTGTTGCTTTTTGGTTTTCCGAGGACTTCATTTGTTTTTTTTCTTTACTCATTCATTCACTCATTGAAAAGAGAAAATTTGTAAAGCACTTAACATGTGGCAAACATCTCTGTATTTTCATATAGAGATGAATTACAGATAGTCTTTGGCCTCTAAGAGCTCATTCCTGTGAGAGAGACAGTCATGAAAACCAGTAGTTACGGCAAAATGAGATGATTGGATTTGCATAGGGCTGGAGGCAGGAAGAAACAAGGAGTGTTGAGATCAGAGAGCAGTTCAGGATTTCTGGGAAGGAAGAAGGGATCAAAGGAGGAGCCCGAAGAGTAGAAGCCAGAATGCTAAGAACTTGATTTTCATTCTAACAAGTCTGGGGTACCCAGGGAACAGCAAGGCCGTCAGATGTACATCTGTAGTGAACACCCAACTATTTTCTTAGTGGACCCAAGGTTCTTCAGTTGTTGCTCATGTTTCTCCAGTCATGGCCCCCTGATTGGAAATCCAGTGTCTCCTCACATACAATAGGAGGTAAGCTGTGATGAGTGAGTGTGCAATGTCTCATTCAAATTGCAAATGTGTACAATGGTGCTACCATGTGGAGGAAGGTCACCAGTCAACTCTATCCTGGTGACACAGTCACTATTAGAGTCCTGTCCTGATTTCAGAGTCAGACAGAAGACGCAGCTTAAGCTTTCCTGTTCCGAGGTTATGCAGTGACTGGGAGAAACGCACTTACAAGAAACTGCTGGCAAGGATTCATTGTAAACTGTCACCAATATCATAACCCATTACAGTCTACTCTGGATATACCAGCTGCATGGTATTTGTGCTGAAAACTTGGCAATAGCTATCTTTGGTGTATAGCTCAGAGGTATCCACCTTCAGGAAGTCTTCCCTGAAGGCACAGGAATGTAAATATGACGCCATGGTTTCCTCTACCATAACATCCTGGATTTTTTTTTTTTTTTTTTGTATAGAATTTGTCACAGTGGAACGTAATTGTCACTGGGAGGTGAGTTTATTCAGGGCAGGGATCTTGTTTTATTCTCCTTGTACCCCCAGTCTGTGGCACAGGTCTTGGTACATGTGGTTCATGACATTGCACCAACTGTGGATAACACAAGGCTCCTGTCTCCTTGATTAGTTTGTGATCCACAGATCTGAGGATCGGTCAGAGCCCAAGACAGGAAGAAGTTTGAGAAGCCCCAGGCAAAGGGGTGAGGAATAGATTCTGAAACCCAGAAATCAAGGCTGGCTCTTGGGCGAGTATGTTCTCATCAAAGATCCCAGCAATAGAGCCTGGTGGTTTCCTACAGGGAACAGACTTCCATCTATAGCTGAAAGACGTCAGAAGGTTGTTGCTGCTGATCTCATTCGGGTTCGCTGTGAACACCGAGAGGGTAACTGACCCCATTTCAATCCTGTTTCATGTCTTGCCCAGGGGTTGGGTACTTTGGGTTTCTCAGAAGCCCGATTGGAATTGGAAATGGCAAAGGAACAACTTTTTTATGGGAAATCTAGGGCACAGATTCATTGGCAGGCTCATGTTCTCGATGACAACAGACTTGGTCATTCTGAGTTCTGAGTTGTGGTCCTGCAATTGAGGATGGCCTGGGGGACACAGAATTGGGGCCAAATCCTCTCCTTGCCCAGTTGTCCTGTAGATGAAAGGAAGTTGTGTATCAGATTTGGGGATGTGGTCTGTGGCCTTGGAGCAGAGTAAGATCAGCTAGACCATCTGAGCTTTGACCTTGAGGGCCCAACTTCATTAATTCCACCATCTTGACTCAAAGCCATGTGAGGCAAGTCCACCCTCCCAGATGCAGCAGTGAGAAACTCATTCCTTTCTCTCTTCCCTGTGGTGACCCAACACCCATGTTGTTTTAAAGACAAATTTAAAAACTCTCAAAAGGACAAAACAAAGGCCCAATAAATCTGACAAATAAGAAAAAAAAATGAGCTAGAGAAAAATAAGACCCAAGTAACCCTGGGTTCAGAAATAATATTCTGGAGCCTGTGACCTCTGTTCTCACGATCTCAGAGGGTCACTGAACTATTTGCCGAAGTGAAAAAATACTTTTGATGGTGGTGGTGATAGGAAATAGTACAAGATTCTGGACACAAATAGATTGAATTTGGGAGATAAATATTCCTTATTTAAATGTCAGAATATTCCATTTCTGTATAATGCTGAGAAGTCACAAAACCAAAATAAAAATAGGGCTAGGCTTAAATGTATCCAGTTAGAGGCAGGGACAGGCTGTCTTTGGCATAAATGTTTCACCGCCACCTTCCAACTGAGATTTCTGCTCCATGGATGAAACTTGAGTATTGTTAAGTTCATTGCTACTTGTCACATTGCAGGATTTCACAGGCCACGTGATTAGTCGCACAAGTTGGATGGAGTTGGGGGATTTTATGCACACAGGTTCCCAACCATAAAATCTCCCAACTCTGGCCGGGTGCAGTGGCTCACGCCTGTAATCCCAGCACTCTGGGAGGCCGAGGCACGCAGATCACCTGGGGTCAGGAGTTTGAGACCGGCCTGGCCAACATGGTGAAACCCTATCTCTACTAAAAATACAAAAAATTAGCTGGGCGTGGTCGTGGGCGCCTGTAATCCCAGCTACTCAGGAGGCTGAGGCAGTAGAATCACTTGAACCTGGGAGGTGGAGGTTGCAGGGAGCTGAGATCGCGCCATTGCACTCCAGCCTGGGCAACAAGAGTGAAACTGTCTCAAAAACAACAACAACAAAAAACCCAACTACAACTTGTGCAGCTTCCCAACCAGTGTCTCTTTCAGAAGAAAAATTAAAAAGAGGATTGGACAATAAAAGATTGGACAACTCTATCAAACATCAAACAATACACATGGTCATAATTTTCCATTACTGGATGAAGTTGGAGAGATACAATTCTTTGAAGTAAGACGGCAGAAACCTTGTAGGAATCCAGGAAACCTTATTATATACCAAGCACTTCTGGAATCTGCTTAACCAATCTGCCTCACACAAATAAAGACGGTCAAGCTGACATGGCTTAAAAGGCACATGCATTTGTGAGCACAAATGAATTCATAGTGACTTTTTGCCATTGCATATTTTCTCAATCAATAGTCCTCAAAATCTGATGACTTATCATGGGAAGGTTATGAGGACTTTTTAATATCACAAAGGAGTTCTTGTGTTTTAAACACATACAGATTTAAGAAAAAAAAGGATAGCAATAACTTCAGATCCCGTGCTGTTTTGAGAGCCACTGGCTAAACTGGGTTTCCAGTACTACAGCAGCTAACAACCCTGCCCTAATGACCAACGAGGGGAAGTAAATCTGGGTGTTTACACGTGCCTTTCACAGGATGCTTCTTTTACCTAGTAGACAACCTCATGCCTAGTTTTCCTATCCATGACCAGGGGATCTCTCCCAGGAGGAACTTATTTATAACTGCTGATGCCCTTGCAGCTCTTGTCTGACCCATGTCCAGTTTATGTCTGCCTGATCATCGCTCTGGCACTGGAAGCCCAACCTTGTAGTCTCCCCGAGGGAAAACCCAGTCTGCGGTAGTTCCTAGGTCTTCAGATGAAAGGTGCAAATTCAATACACCACCATATAGAAAATAAGCTCAAAGATTTATTACTTACACATCCTGGGCAGGGAGGGTGCAATGAATCAAGAGGACAGTTTTCTGCTCCTGCATCACACAAGGCAAGAATGAAGAGTCAGCCCGAGAAAGAGAGAATGTGGCCAACTAGTGGTACATAAAAGGGAATAGCGTGCGGGTCACTTTAAGTTTGCAGGCAAATGCCTGAATGATCCATTTAAAGGAAGCAGTGGGAAAGCATGGAGCCTGGTCTCCCAGGTTGGGGAGATGCCTCTGAGTTCTTATCTCTGGCCAGGGGCTTCAGCCATTTGGGTGTGATGCTTCTCTTGTAACTCCAAGGTAACCTATGCTGTGTTGCTCAGTTCTACATGCCAAGAAATAGCTCCTCTTTTCAGCAAGTAAAATTATCTCACTGCTTTTCAGTTTCTTTTTTATCGAAGTGTTGTCAACAAGTTCCTTGAAGCTGTAAAATCCAGAAGCGAAATGGATCACTTCCATTTGATCTGTATTCCCCATTGCTTAGTATACACAAGGAGCTTAATGGGCATCGGAGACTTAGTTGTGGAATGAAGAGAGAAGGAGAGAGTGGAAAGGAAAGAAAAGAGGACAGGGAAGAGAAGGAGGAGGAAGAAAAAGGGGAATGGAGAAGGACAGAAAGTGAGAAATAAAACTATTACAGAAGGGACCCTATATCAGCTGTCAGAACCATCCGTAACTAAAGCAGAAGGAAGACCCTGTTTTTCTTTCCATAGAGGGTAATAGGGTGGTGTGCAGGGCTGGGTTATGACTTAGGAGAGCTCTCAGCTCTTCCTTTGATGACATCCTCCCGCTCCCCAGGTATGGAGGTGCTCCTCTGACCTCCTCTCCCTTTTCCCAAGTCTAAGGCACCAGATGGGGTGAGACAGTGGCCAGGGATGAGTGGAAGAGCACATGCGGGTGGCAGAGAAGCTAGATATCAATTCTAACTCAGGAAAGTAAGTGGGGCAGACTCCACAGTCCTCTGCCCCCATTGTACTGACATTAAATCTGAGGTCAGGTTACATGAACCAAGGTCACAAAATAAGGCAATGTTGATGTTGGGGCAAGAATCTGGATCTCTAAATGACTGGTGGCAACAGCCAACCACACAGCCACTGATGAAGACACCTAGAGTTCTGTTGCACAAGCCAGCTTTACCTCTTACAGAAAGTCGAAAAGGAGCACTTGCAAATTGGAGAAACTACCTGCACTGCTGGCAGGAATGTAAATTGGTTTACATTTTCAGAACACTGGTTCAAAGTATCTACTAAAGTTGAGTAGACGCGCTCTATTACCCAGCAATTTCATTCCTAGGTATATTTCCAAACCAATAAGTGCCTTTGTGCACAAGAAAGGTACAAAAATATCCAAAGCAGACAAAAACTAAAAGTGATGTAAATGCCCATCAGCAGCAAAATGGATAAATTTGTACGATAAAATACCACCCAGCAACGAAAAAAAATAATGAGCTGTGGTTACATGCAGTAATATGTATCAATGTCACAAGAGACATCAATGAATACATGTTGTATGATTCCACCATTTATTTGAGGATCAAAAGAAGACAAAACCACCCCATGGTCATGGAGGACAGAATGTTGATTACTTGTGGGGGGCATATTGACTGGCATGGGCCATGAGGAAGCTTTCTAGGATAGTGGTCACATTTTATAGCTCAATCTGGGTGGGAGTTGCACAGCTGTACAAAAATTAACTGGATATTGGGATTTGTGCAATATAACGAATGTATGTCATAGTTTATAGAAGGTAACAAATAGAAAAAAACAGTGAGTGGCATAGTACAGGTATAAGTGTTCTTTTACTTTGGGGGTTAAGTGAGGTAATAATAAGGAAAGTTGAAGAAAACAGACTTTCTAAACCAGAGGAGAGAAAAATACAAACTTTTTTAAGCGTGATATTTCTTTACAAAAAGAGAAAATTTCTTTAAGGATAAGGGGAAACCAGTCATGTTTAGTTAAATTCTTCCAATTGTTGGAATTGTTTCAAAATAACATGTCACTTTTATTGTTTAAGCCAGAGGTCACTAATCTTTTTTTTTTTTTATGGTAAACGGCCAATTAGTAAATATTTTCAGCACTACAGGCCATACGGTCTCTATCACAACTACTCAACTCTGCCTTTGTAGCACAAAAACAGCCATAGACAATGCGTAATACAGGAATGAGTGTGGTTGTGTTCCAGTAAAACTTTATAAAAAACATGTAATGGGCCATAATTTGCAGAATTCTGATTTAACCAATCAAAACATGAAACATGAAATAACTTTTTATATTTATATAAAAGAGATAGCATGTTGCACCTTCTAAAATAGCAAAAAGAACTGTAATGCCTAATGCTGCTAGATAGTGGTAAAATTGGTACATTGATCCACTATTACTATTACTTTAGATGGAAACAAAACTTTTTTTTCTTTGAGACAGGGTCTTGTTCTGTCACCCATGCTGGAGTGCAGTGGAAGGAACACTGCTCTCTGCAGCCTCAACCTCCCAGGCTCAAGTGATCCTCCCACCTCAGCTTCCAAAGTAGCTAGGACCACAGGTGCATGCCACTATGCCTAGATAATGTCTTTATTTTTTGTAGAGATGGGGTCTCACCATGTTGCCCAGGCTAGTCTTGAACTCCTGGGCTCAAGCAATCCCCCCACCTTGGCCTCCTAAAGTGCTGGGATTACAGGTATGAGTCACTGCACCCAGGGTTAACAAACCTTTTGGGCATCAATATGACGCCATATATCAAGACTCCTAGAGATCTTTAGAACCAGTAACCTTTAAATTCTACATCTAAGAGTTTGTTGCAAATAGTTCAAAAGAAAAAAGAAATAGGCATGAAGAAATTTCTTCCATCGTTATCTATACTAGCCAAATATCAAAATGTGTAGCATTTGGAAAATAATGTAATGGTTTCTGGTTTAATAAAGATGATGACATTTTATGCAAAAAATTAAAATAATTGTGAAAGCAGATAGTATAGTTACATAAGAATGCTTAAAATGTAATAATAAGTGAAAAATCATGGACTATAAAAGTATATATAACCAATAATTATAATTAAAGAAATGTGTCTGCAAGTAACAGGGATCAGGAGATAATACATAAATTAAAAACAATTATGTTAAAGTAGTAGATTGGGGTGATTATATGTACAGTCAGCCCTTTCTGTATTTGTGAATTCAAATGATCACAGATTGAAAATATTTTGGGGAGAAAATGGTGTCTGCACTAAACATATACAGACTTTTTTTTCTTGTCATTGTTTCCTAAACCATACGGTGTAACAACTATTTAGATCGCATTTATATTGCATTAGGTATTATAAGTAAACTAGAGATGATTTAAAGTATAAGATGTGCATAGATTATATTCAAATGCTACACCATTTTATATCAGGAACTTGAGCATCCACAGATTTTGGTGTCTGTAGGAGACCCTCAAACCAATCCTCCACAATACTGAGGGACAACTGTATATATAATATATTGCCTTTCCAAATTAAAGTGTTTAAAAAATATAGACTGAGAGGGATTTGGGGCCACTGTTTATCCATGCCATAAATTTTGCACGAGCCTATGTGACATCAATGTTTGACTTACCAACAAGCCATTCATTATATCTTATTTCCACTTTGATGGTTCTCTTGACATTTGACTTTCTCTGGTTTGAGCAATTCACTGCTTGTCAGGCATGGGCCTGGCATGCTGACCTTGTACTAATCCTGGTGTTGGATTGATAACAGACACTAAGATTCTGAATCTCAACAGGCCCATTAGGGAATTCACTGCAAATTTACGCAGATTAAATCCCCTGGAGTTTTACCACTGAGGAAGACTCAGTGGCTCTCCAGGATATTTATGGATATTATCTGTTTCTTAATAAGTACTGTTCCATTATTATTCCAAATATGTCTCTAGTTAAAATTAGGAGGGAAATAAACAAGTCTAATTTTTATGGTATCATCTGGTCACAGGCCAATGGAGAAGCAGTTAAGTCCTTTATTGCTAATCTATGCTTAGAACTGACATATCTCTTATTTGAAAACGTTGCATTTCTGAATAAATGGTTTGCCCTAGACAGTTTTTGGGTCATAGGAGAGTAAGTGACTTAGTTGTTGGGGCATCAGAATGGTTATTAATGATCACCCCCTTCTGATGTCTATATCATCAGTGTATTATCTTTGTGTATACATGAGGTTTATGTACATGCAAAAGTCACCCACATACGTGGGAGCAATAATGAAATCCACATAAAAAATTAGACTCAATCAACGGTCTTTAGCTGCACTTTCCCCGTGGTTTCACATGAGACCCCGTCTACACGTATAAGGAATCAGGATAGCCATTGCGTCCAAATCTAGTTCCAGATCCGATTTAATCGATAGAAGTGCTGGCTCAGTCTTTACCCAAATGTGGGGTTTTCAGTTTTGCCTGCTTTATTTTTAACACTGTTATTATAGTCAATAAATGAAAATGAAATCTTTGGAAGCAATAAAGGCTTTCATGTCTATTTCGATCCTTCCTGGATGAGGAAGCTTAACATTAAAGCTTATCTGACTACGTCTTCCATTCATAGCCTACCCTCATATCTCCTATGTTCTTTATTGTGGTTGGCATGTGGACTAACGCTTAGAAGTGCCAAACCATTTATGCCTCTAGTTTTCACAATCACCAAGGGCTCTGTGTAAACCCAATTAGAAGCCCTGAGAGAAAGAGAATGAATAAAACTCAGGGCAAAGATTCAATATCATGGACCCCAACTGAGTGATTGGATGGCAACTGATATGTGTACTCAACGTCTGCCAATCACAGGATAAAATGTTTCTAAATGGTAAATATTGTTACTTTAAAGAGTGATTCTTAAACCTTATGGATGGAGCTGAAGACCATTATTCTCAGTAAACTAACAAAGGAACAGAAAACCAAATACCCCATGTTCTCACTTTCAAGGGAGAGCTAAAGGATGAGAACACATAGACATATAGAAGGGAGCAACACACACTGGGGCCTAATGGAGGGTGGAGGATAGGAGGAGGGAGAGGATCAGGAAAAACAAATAATGGGTACTGGGCTTAATACCTGGGTGATGAAATAATCTGTACAACAAACCCCCATGACACAAGTTTACCTATATAGCAAACCCGTACATGTACCCATGAACTTCCAACAAAAGTTTTTTAAAAAGAATTATATGGCTGGGTGTGGTGGCTCACAGCTCTAATCCCAGCACTTTGGGAAGCCGAGGTGGGTGGATCACCTGAGGTCAGGAGTTCAAGACCAGCCTGGCCAACATGGCAAAACCCAGTCTCTACTACAAATACAAAAATTAGCCAGGCGTGGTGGTGGGTGCCTGTAATCCCAGCTACTCGGGAGGCTAAGGCAGGAAAATTGCTTGAACCCAGGAAGCAGAGGTTACAGTAAGCCGAGATCTCACCACTGCATTCCAGCCTGGGCTACAAGAGCAAAACTCTAACAACAACAACAACCAAAAAAAAAAAACAAACAAACAAAAAACCTAAAACCATAAAAACCCTAGAAGAAAACCTAGGCAATACCACTCAGGACATAGGCATGGGCAAGGACTTCATGTCTAAAACACCAAAAGCAATGGCAACAAAAGCCAAAATTGACAAATGGGATCTAATTAAACTAAAGAGCTTCTGCACAGCAAAAGAAACTACCATCAGAGTGAACGGGCAACCTACAGAATGGGAGAAAATTTTTGCAATCTACTCATCTGACAAAGGGCTAATATCCAGAATCTACAATGAACTCAAACAAATTTACAAGAAAAAAACAAACAACCCCATCAAAAAGTGGGTGAAGCATATGAACAGACACTTCTCAAAAGAAGACATTTATGCAGTCAAAAGATACATGAAAAAATGCTCATCATCACTGGCCATCAGAGAAATGCAAATCAAAACCACAATGAGATACCATCTCACACCAGTTAGAATGGCAATCATTAAAAAGTCAGGAAACAACAGGTGCTGCAGAGGATGTGGAGAAATAGGAACACTTACACTGTTGGTGGGACTGTAAACTAGTTCAACCATTGTGGAAGTCAGTGTGGCGATTCCTCAGGGATCTAGAACTAGAAATACCATTTGAGCCAGCCATCCCATTACTGGGTATATACCCAAAGGATTATAAATCATGCTGCCATAAAGACACATGCACACGTGTGTTTATTGCAGCACTATTCACAATAGCAAAGACTTGGAACCAACCTAAATGTCCAACAATGATAGACTGGATTAAGAAAATGTGGCACATATACAACATGGAATACTATGCAGCCATAAAAAATGATGAATTCATATCCTTTGTAGGGACATGGATGAAGCTGGAAACCATCATTCTCAGCAAACTATCGCAAGGACAAAAAACCAAACACCACATGTTCTTACTCATAGGTGGGAATTGAACAATGAGATCACATGGACACAGGAAGGGGAACATCACACTCTGGGGACTGTTGTGGGGTGGGGGGAGGGGGGAGGGATAGCATTAGGAGATATACCTAATGTTAAATGACGAGTTAATGGGTACAGCACACCAACATGGCACATGTACACATATGTAATAAACCTGCACGTTGTGCACGTGTACCCTAAAACTTAAAGTATAATTAAATATATATATATATAATGTAAAGGGAGCAAATGCCTGCTTTAAGAATTTTCACTTAAAAGTTATAAAATATTATAAAATTATGTACATGGAGATTCAATTTAGAACACTAGATAAAAAGTATAAGTTTCAATAAAAAAAACCCTTAATGTGTATTAGAATCACCCAGAAAGGATGTAGAAATGCCCCACAGGAGGTGAAAATTAGGTGTCTGTATTTTCTTGCCAAGTGATTCTATTGGATGCAAAATGTCAAAAGCATCTCCATAGGCAAGGGCAATAGAGCAGGAGTGTTTAATCATTTTTATATCCCACCACCTGGAGTTTAAAAGCTGCTCAGTTGTTCTTTGTTGAATCGATGACTAGAAGGGAGAATGAATGAATGAACAAATGGGTGAATACATGGGAAGGGGGTTGTCAATGGCACCCAGTTCTTCCTAACTTGATTAGAAAGTTAGTAATTTACAGACTAGCCCAGCTCATCCCCAACTGTGATTTCTGCCTTTGAAGTCTCAATTTGATTAAAACACGTTTAGCAAGGAACAATAACTTTCTGAAATTCTGGAGATTATGCAGCTCCAAGAAGCTCTGTGGGGAACAAGCAATTCCAGCAACCAAGACAGGTCTTTGTGAACCTGGAGAGGCTGCTTTGCAAGCCTGTATCGAGGCCAAACATCTGACTTCTCTTAATTACATTCTGTCCTTGTTTCATTCCTTCTCATCTCCTGCTTCTGGGTCCTTAGTTTTCCCCAAACTGGCAGGGTTGAATGATCTCAAAAATTAGGCTGGGCCTGCTCCCACGGTGCTGGGGCCTGAGGCATGGACGAGTCTCCTTCACCATGAACAATGGAAAAAAAGTGTAGGTCATTTTCTCTCCCACCCTAAACTTCTGTCGCAAAGTGATTTTGCCCAGTACCTTCTGCAGGGTAATGATGCTGTTTCATTAGTAAAAGAGGAAGGAGCACTGACTCTGGGGTGTGACCTACCTGTGTTTAAATCACAGCCTTGCCCCTTTCCAGATGAGAAAACCACCTGTCTTCCAAGATGTCTATGAGGGTTTATAGCAGCTAAAGAAGTAACATCATGTAAAGATTAAAGCAAAGATCCTGGCGCCCTCCTGCATAGGTACCAATTGTACCAATCTCAGATCTCCCACTTAGCTGGATAATCCTGGACACCTTACTTAACTGACCTGTGACTCAGTTTCCTCATATGTAAATAGGAATGAATAATTATAACTCCATGCCATTTAGTCATTGTGAGGGGCAAATGAAATTAATATAAGGACCAAACTCCGACCATTTTCTTCTCTTGCCCAAAGCCCTATCTAAGGGACCTGAAGAGTCACATCCTACAGACAATAAAGTCTTGTCAGAGGGGTTTTATTCCATGCTATATAACATGGCTTAGTTTCCAACTTTGGCAGAACATCACATGACAGATAAAGGAGGAAGTCAAAATATTTTACCTCCAAATATGTTTCTTTGCCGTATTTTTAAATGGCCTGCAAAGCCATTCTTGTTGGGGAAAAATGCATCTTATATATATATTCTCTATTAACATAACAAGATCTTTCCCCATTCCAGGCCCTCCCAATCTTGAAGAGACTATCTGAGAATCCAGCATCTTTTAGAGGTCTGAATAGAAACACTGAGGCTTCATGCACATAAGAACCCTAGTCTCCACAACTCCTTCTCTTAACCCAGAAAGTCCTTTCTCTTGATTCCAGGCATTTCTATAATAATTTAACTCTTTCAACCAATTGCAAATCAGAAAATCTTTGGACTTTGACTCTACCTTTTACTTGTGCCCCACCCTCTACCCCACTTCGGGTTATCCCGCCCTATCAGACTGCACCAATGCATGCCTCACAGGTATTGATTGATGTCTTTTGTCTCCCTAAAACATGTAAAACCAGGCTGTAGCCCAACCACCTTGGGCACATGTTCTTGTTCTCAGGACCTCCTGGGGGGCTGTGTCCTGGGTCATGGCCCTCACATTTGGCTCAGAATAGATTTCTTCGAATATTTTACAGAGTTTGGCTCTCTTCATGGATAAATACATACAAGGACTGAGATGATTTTGTGACATGTAGTTATCCTTCTCGTGTTACTTATTATGACAAATATCTATAACAATCATGGTAGCTGTTGAACTACTTCCATGTGGAGAAATGGAAAACTGTCCCATCCTCTCAAACGAGGTTTTCAGATGCTCTGCAGTTCCTCTCCCCTCTATTTTTACTTTGCATTTATCTCTTTAATTGGGCTGAGGCTGCTGGTTGTAATGGGTGTTGCTGAGTCATCTGAGGACACAGGGACCTATGTCAGGAAGAATTGCTGGCAGGGAAGCCATCGAAAGACAGATTAGACATCTCCAAGGCAGGAGTGAGTCATCTGGTGGTCTGTGCCTTGTACCAACACACCGGAGCCGAGGAGAAGCACGGATGGCTCTGAGACATCTTCAATTTCATCTGCAGCATGGCTAATTCTCAGTTTAATAAAACTAGCCTGCTCTGTGGATGCACAGGCTAAACATTGCCTGAACTATCACTTAGCAAACATTTCTTACCTCTCCCACTCCTTCTTTCTTTGCCTCTCTCTCCCTTTACTCCTCCCTTTTTTCTCTCTCTTCCTTTCTCTTCTCTCTCCTTACTTTTTGACTCTATTTTTTTTCTTTTTTTTTGGGATGGAGTCTTGCTCTGTTGCCCAGGCTGGAGTGCAGTGGTGTGGATCTCAGCTCACTGCCACCTCCACCTCCTGGGTTCAAGTGATTCTCCTGCCTCAGCCTCCAGAGTAGCTGGGATTATAGGTACCTACCACCATGCCTGGCTGATTTGTGTATTTTTAGTAGAAATGGGGTTTTGCCATGTTGGCCAGGCTGGTCTCAAACTCCTAACCTCGAGTGATTCACCTACCTTGGCCTCCTAAAGTGCCGGGATTACAGGCATGAGCCATCATGCCTGGCCTTCTTTTCTCTTCTTTATCCTTTATTATTACCACCTCCTTCTCCTTTTTTCCCCCTCTAATTTCTCCCTCATATATCTCTATCCCTTTTTCCTTCCCCACACTATTTGTCTTTCTTTCTTCTTGTTCTCATCTTCATCTTCTCCCTTCTCTTAGGAGAACTGGACAACCAACTTTAAGTCTTCTTTTTTTTTTTTTTTTTTCTGAGACAGAGTCTCATTTTGTTGCCCAGGCTAGAGTGCAGTGGCGCGAACTCGACTCACTGCAAACTCCGCCTCCTGGGTTCAAGTAATTCTCCTGCCTCAGCCTCCTGAGTAGCTGGGACTACAGGCACCCACCACCACACCTGGCTAATTTTTGTATTTTTTAGTAGAGAAGGGGTTTCACCATATTGGCCAGGCTGGTCTCGAACTCCTGACCTCGTGATCCACCCTCCTCGGCCTCTCAAAGTGCTGGGATTACAGGTGTGAGCCACTGCACCCAGCCTTCTCTGCCCTTCTTATCTGTCTCCAGACAGTCTAGACTAGGTGCCATCAAACTTGTTCTGTAAAAGGCCAGATAATAAACATACTGGCCTTTGCAGGCCTTATGGTTTCTGTTGCAATGACTAGGCTTTACATGTGATTGGGTTTCAATAAAACTTCATTTTCAAAACCAGGCAGTAACCGGGATTTGGGTCATGGGTTTTGATAAATGCTAAGGGAAATACTATTTTTTCTTGGTCGCCCTCTTCATCATAAACCAGCAGACTAAAGAACAGATTTCAGCCTCATGGTACTAATTTCTGGGCCCCTGAAGGTACAGTCCCTCTCTCCCAGGTTCTTGATTAAAGAGACTGAATCCCATATTCCAGAACCCTCCCTAGATCTGGTGGACATGGAAGAACCATGAGTTCTGACTTATGTTGCTGACTATTATGTGGGAACGCCTGAATTCCTGTCTGAGTTTAGAGAATTTGGAAAACAAACCTTGGTTGATAAGATATATGAAACATACATACACACACACACACACACACACACACACACACACACAAACACATAAATAAATTAAGGAGGACGCTTTTGAGTGTTTAAATTCTTAGGACTGCAGCAGCAAGTTTAGCAAAGAACACAGTAGGAGCTCGATCCAGTTTGGCAAAGGGTCTGGCTAAGTCAAAACTGTGCAATTATCATTCCTGGTTGTTGGGGTTTTAGAATTCTCTATTCATGCTAATGACATTGCAATGAACAAAACCACATCAGTGAAGAACAGCAAAAGTCAAGGGTGGAGCAACGCAGCTTTATTTCACAAGCCCCTCCTTGGGGAAGGCATTAGAGCTACAGTTTGGAAGAGGTTTGCATGGAAGAAAGGGAGAAACTGTGAACAGGGCTGGTTTGTCAAAGAAAGACATAAACCAGTGGTGTGTGCCTGGGAACACTATGGATATGAAACTTGTCTACTGTTCTCCCATTAGCATGCAGTCTTGCCTGAAATAAACAAAGCACATGTTTTGGAGTCCACATTGTTTCTCCTGTCTTGCCTCTACTGTGCTGCAGGGAAGGAGGGTGCCTGGGAGACAGCAAGGCTCATTCTACTGGAGGCTTTTATGATTTGGATGGGGCTGCTGACCAATATGCCTGGAGATACCCCAACTGTCCTCTACGACCATTACTTCTACTGCAGAGGTCAAGTCTTTCCCAAAGAAACAGAACAAAGGACCATCACTGGTTTTGTGTTCCCTTTGTTTTGTTTTTAATATATAATTTGTCTAGGAGGCAGAGAACCTGGGTTTGAGCCCCAACTCTGCACTCCCTCGCTGTGCATCTTTAGGTGAGGTCATATCCCCTCTGTGGCTTCAGTTTCCATATTACTGGACTAAGTAGCAATTTATGATCCACTACAGTTGTAAAAGCCAGGGAATATATAATTCTGTTGGTTATATGCCTCATATTGCACATATTAAATATGTGCATATATGTGCCTCATATGCATATTGCATATATTGCATTAAAGAGCATAATACAGGGATATTTGACTATTATAATATACAAATAAGACAATGGAGGAATTTGCCTCTATCTTGTGGTGAATACAGAGGTAAGATGCCTGGGAAGACTGTCAAAAGATTGGCAGTGATTCAGTGATTACCTCCTTGCATCTCTCTCTCTAGAGGTATCTAGTGTCCTTTCTAAAGAAAATAAGGTCCCTTTCATTAAAGAAGGTATTAAATCGATGACATAAGACTTGCAAAAGTGTATCTGCAGTATTTTCTAATTCATTCATTTGTTCATTCATTAAACAAATTTTGTTTATGCCAAGCTCCACTGAGTCCTGCAGTAAGGGAACAGCAACAGGGGTGGACATGGATAGCGTATGCCCTCGAGGAATCTATAATGCAGTGCACTCAAGTGGCCCAGGGCACATGGAGAGGCCAACAATGGCATCTAATGTGTGCCAGGCATGGACTAGCTTCTTTATGTTTATTTTCATATTTAATCCTTAAAGAATTCTGATTTTAAAATGAGAAAAATGAGACTCTAAGAAATTAATTTGCCCCAGGTCACACCACTAGGAAACTGCAGAACCTTCATCTTACTTATTTCACTTCTCTTGCTTTGCTAAATGCCACAAGTGTAGAGATAAGGGAGTTCACAGGCAGGGTATCTAGCTTAGAGGTCTTTATGGGAGTATTCACAGAGGAGCGCAGAGGCTGAAGGATGGATGAGATGTCATATCAGGAAATGGGGTTAGGAAAAGAGGGAAGGAGGAATTCCATTTTTATAGGGTGTTGCATGCAGCAATCCACACTTATCTAAAAAAAAAATTTCAAATGGTGAAATTCTGGATGCTGTAGAAAGTTGAAAGGGAAAAATATTCAGGGGTAAGGGGCATTCAAGGATTTCCCCAGTCCACACTGTCATACCATTCCTAAGCCAGCCCTAAGAAGACTGGCTGTGAAGGCCTCTCAGGGATACGCCGTCCTCAGAATGGACACATGTGTGGTCATCACTGCCTGAGCTGTGGGACTGTCCAGCTCTACCCCAGACTCGGATGTCAGCCCAAAGATATTAAGCTGGGAAGTTGATCAAGGGCAGTGTTGAGGATATTAGCAACCCATCCAGCGGCCCAGAGCAATTTATGAGAATTCTAATTAGATACAAGGACTTCTGTGACCACACAAACACTTTCTATTCTGCCTGCCAGCACGGGGTCCCCTGCCGTCAAAAGCTATCTTGTATGCTTCAGTGGAAGATACAAGGCCAACAAAAAAAGGACTCAGGATGCCAACACTGACCCACTCAGAGGGAGAAAGTGAGTTCTCCATTGACTTCCAAGGCTCCCCCACTCCAAGATCTGTGAGCATCATTATGCTGAATGGTGCTATTAAAACTCTAGAGTCCATTGCAGGAAGTTTCCTTATTAACATGAGAGCAGGGTTTGTGGTCCTCTCCAATCTGTTAACAATCTAGATGAGTCTTTAAAATTATTGCTGGCAAAAGTTGCAGTACAAAAGGAACAGAGGGAACCTGATGAAGTAAAATTGTGTGTGTGTGTGTGTGTGTGTGTGTGTATCTTTCAAATATTTAACATATGATTATATGTACAAATATGATATAACTGGGGTCACTCACTAGTTTTAAAACTTGGACAGTCCAGGCAACATTGGTTGAGTTGGTCACTCTATTAATGTAATTATTTTTTGGAGACAAGGTCTCACTCTGCCACCCAGGCTGCAGTGCAGTGACATGATCATGGCTCACTGCAGCCTCAAACTCCTGAGCTCAAGCAATCCTCCTGCCTCAGCCTCCTGAGTAGGTGGGCCTACAAGCATGTACCACCATGCCCAGTAATTTAAAAAATTTTTTTGTAGAGATGGGTTTTTGCTATGTTGCCTGGGCTGATCTTGACCTCCTGGATTCAAGCAAACCTCCCACCTCAGGCTCCTGAGTAGTTAAGATTACAGGCATGAGCCACTGCACCTAGCCTAATATAATATCAATGCGAGAGATATGTGTACCATATCTTTCAAATACTTCACATATCTATTATATATACCTAAATATGATATAGGTGCAATTGAATATGCCATATACATAATTTTTAACATACATGATAAATATATACATTTAATTTTATGTGTTAAATGACCTCAGACTAGATGTCAGGGATGAGTAATGTCTATTGGAGTTTAAAAATAAATCCACAACCATTAAAACTGAGCAAAATACAAAGAAGAAGATTAAACGCTTCTCAATACTAAAAAGTATTACTTATAGCTAAGCTGACCTGGCCGCCTGCAAACCAGGTTTCTCCTTGCAGCTTGGTTTAGTAGGAAATGATCAGAATTGGACTCAGATGAACTAGAGCCAATTGTTACCTCTATAAAAGTCTGAACAGGGTGTTGTCCATTGGCTGGTAGCCTCAGCATCACCTGGCAGCTTGTTAGAAATGCTGGGTCTCAGGCTCCACCCTAGACCCACTGAAACAGTCTTTGTTTTAGGAAGATCCTCACGTGATTCTTGCTCATGGTAAAGCTGAATGAGCTCTGCTGCAGTTCACTTTACTCATTGGAGCCTCATTTTCCTGCTTTGTGCAAGGGAGATAATAAGATTTACTCCAGAATATTATATAAAGGCTTACTAGGATATTATATGTGATGTGCTTGGCATAGTGCTGAACCATAGATGAGAGGACCTAAAACAATTTTTTCCTTCCCTTTTCTCAGCATCACTTGTGACTGAATAATAAAATTAGGCATTCTTGTTCTTCTCAGTATCTTTTGTTCTGGCCCCCAGATATGAGAAGGGTTTGACCTTTATGGTCTTTCTTCTGCTTCTTCAAACCCCACAATCATTTTTTTGAAAATCACAAAATGCATGAGATAGATGGGACTTATGGGATCCCCTGTTCACCTTTACTTCAAAGCCAGAAATGCCATTCTTTAAGTCCAAGGCTTACCCAGTCTTCAGGTTCTCACTCAAGTGTTACCTTTTAGGGACCAAGCAGAATCGAGGTACTCAATAAAGAGTTGCTGGTTGCTGGATGAATAAATGGCTGAGTCTTCTGTGAACCCTGGCCCATTCTATTCTTTGTCTAAATCTTGCCACACGTGTTTTCTTTATGAATCATTCTGTCCTTTATTCTTAAAGATACTAGTTATGTCTCGTATTTCTCCTTGACCATTCTCTTATCTACCCAACACACCTAAGAATATATATGTATGTATATATATACACATACATAAGAATATATACCACATACATAACACATGTGTATATGTATGTCTACATATGTGTATATATACACGTGTGATATAAATTTATATATGTGAATTACTAGAAACGTTTCGATTTTAGGATTAGATATTTTGCATTTATACATTTGTCAGCCTACTGGACTGTAAGTTCATTGAGGGTAAGAAGAAAAAGACCATGATAACCCCTTCTGGGAATATCAGTGCCTACGAAAACATCTGTTTCTCAGTAAATGTTGGGTATCGATGCTGAGCAATGCTGAAACATATGCATGAGCATTGTTACTCCAGTACTGAGAGCCAAAGATGCCATGGTGCACTCTATCATTTTAGAAAGACCACAGACAATTAGATGGAAAAGGAAGGCAACATCTTGCTAGGATCTTGTGTATGCTTCCAGGCAGATGAACAGCCTTTTTCCTAGGGAAATGCATGGCAGGCTTCATGTAAGAGGTTCCCTCAATAACCAAACACTCCATTCAAAGGTTATATTTACACAGCTCATTAGGAAAATTTTTTATACTTTTGACACTCATTAGACTCATAATCGTCCACTGAAGCTACTGTGTAACAAGAGATAAACACTCCATTCTAGAGGATGAATAATTAGGTACTGCTCAGCACTGTGCTCTTTACACGTCTAATTTTAGAGCATAATTAATCCTGCTGAAGCTGCATACGATAAGTGAAATATTTATGCAGCTGTGTTAATTCATGTATTTACTCCTAGAGAGACATTCAGAATTGGTCATGGCTTTCCGGGAAGATCATCTGGAGACACCCCCTGGACCAATGGCATTTTCTCTCCCAAGTCTTATGCCTCCCGATGGCCTCAAGAGATGAAGCTGAATAGAGACATTTCCCAAACCCAAGTCTGACCAGGAAGGCAATGAGCCAGAACAGAAAATATCGATGAGAACCTAGATGTTCTGTAAGTACATGAACAAACCCCTGGCCCATCTGGATGCTTTTACTGTTTATTTTTTATTTGGTGCAAAGAAGACCTTTTCTGTTTAGCACCACAAAAGTTGTTTCTGTGTTACTAACTTGACTACATTATTGCCAGTGCAACACTAAAGAAGTTGTGTTTGATACTAGAGTTGTGCACGGGCAACTATGGTGATGATGAGAAGGAGAAGGATGAAGAGGAGGAGGAGGGTGGTGGTGATGGCCATGATGATGGTGGTGATGATCGTGGTAATGAGGATGATGGCAATGGTCATGATGATGATGATGATGACGGTGATGGTGGTGGTGATGATAATGATAATAATGATATCAGAGGCGTGTGAACCAGAACACTCCATCTTAAATAGTAGCTGGGTAAAATGAGGCTGAGACCTACTGGGCTGCATTCGTAAATGGCTTAAGGCATTCTAAGTCACAAGATGAGATAGGAGGTGGGCAAAAGATATAGATCATAAAGACCATGCTGAGAGACAAAACAGGTTGCAGTAAAGAAGCTGGCCAAAACCCAACAAAACCAAGATGGCCATGAGAGGGATCTCTGGTCGTCCCCACTGCTACACTCCCACCAGCGCCATGACAGTTTACAAATGCCATGGCAACATCAGGAAGTTACCCTATATGGTCTAAAAAAGGGAGGCATGAATAATCCACCCCGTGTTTAGCATATCATCAAGAAATAACCCAGCCTTGGGTCTGCTCTGTCTATGGAGTAGCCATTCTTTTATTCCTTAACTTTCTTAATAAACTTGCTTTGACTTTACTCCATGGACTTGCCCTGAATTCTTTCTTGCATGAGATCCAAGAACCCTCTCTTGAGGTCTGCATTGGGACCCCTTTTCTGTAACTACAATGGTGATGGCTAACATTTATTGAACCACTTGTATGTTACAGGGTCTATGCTAAGCTAAGCTATGCACTTTACATGTATTCTCCCATTTCATCTTCACACCAGCCTTATTAGGTAATTATTTCTGTACCCTTTCACAGATGAATAAACCGAGGCTAAAAAAGATCACTTCTTTCATAGAAGTATTTGTAAATGGGACAGTAGATTTAGTTCAGATGTGCACTAAATTACTCCTTCCTAAAGGATTTATACATCTCAAGAGTTTAGTCATCTTTGATAGATAACTTAGAGAATTAAATATAACAACAGTCTTCCCTAATTGGCCCCCTTCCAGAGTAAGGTCCCTGAAGTAGAAGCTTTGCCACTTACTAGCTAGGGGATTTGCCCTCTGAGATTCAATTTCCTCCTCTGTAAAGTGGGAATAAGCAACATTTAACCTCATAAGGTTACGAAGATTACATTGAGGAACGTATGTAATGCATCCAGTATGATGATTGACATACCCAAGTCCCTAAATATGTTAGCTGTTTTATAATAGATGCTTCGAGAGTGACACCAATGGTGGGTGGGGCTAGAGTTAGAACTCACTTATTTGACAGATACCTATCACATTTAAAAGTTTCCAGCCAAATGAAATACATCTTAACATCAATCAATCATTCATCCATACATGTATTTATTCATTCAAACCTTTATTGACCAATTTACCTGTGATGTTCAGTGTTTTGTTGTAATGCTGGAAATAAGACTCCTGTTTGCTGAATAGTTCATCCCCTGTAAGGGTGATTATCCACCCCTGTGATAGGCAAAACATTTGGCCCCAATTCTTCAGCATACTCTCAGTGTCCACACTATTGCCATAAAACTTCAAGACCTATCTCATGAAAGGCAGAGTATACCTGCAATCCCTTGACCCTGAACTTGGCCACCTGACCTGCTTTGGACAGAAGGATGTTAGCAGACGTGAACGTGACCAAGCAGTGGCTTGAAATGTGCATGTGCAGCTAGGCGTTCCTTTCTGTGCTTCTGCCATGGCCAGGAAAAGAGCTTCCCCAGGTAGCTGCTACCTTTTCAGCCCGAGACACAGCAGAAACACGTGTGGAGCAGAGACCACACCACTGATTCGTACGCTTGTGGCAGGAAGCAGAGGCACTATCCCCACCCCAGGCAGAGCTTCTCCACTCAACCTGCACTACCATGAGGAAAATAAATGCTTACTGTTGTACGCCTCTAAGATCTCACAGCAAAAAGCTGACCAACACAGCCACAAATCATTATTACACAGCAGAGAACATGGCCAGTGATCTGAGGAAGGTACAAATGCCCTATGGAGAATTCAAAGACTCACATGTTCTCATTTGGGAGTTAAATATAAAACACATTTAGAATGCCTGATGGCACTGTGAGAATCTAGGATTTAACTCTGTGAATAGAAAGAAGATAAGAAGCCACAAGTAATTGTGCACTTCATTCGAATTCACACTAACCCTATGCACTAGCTAACCTCTGCCTATTTTGATATTGCATTTCACTGTAGTGGTAACTAGATTTTTCTCTCCCACCTGTAGCCTGGCATAACACGTTCTGTAATCATCTCTGAATATAGCCTCCACTATTTGAACGGGGCTTCTGCCCTCTGGCTTGAGCCTTTCTATCCTCCTCATACCGAGCTCATTTTTGGTGTTAACCTGCTATCTGAGCTGACTTTGCTTTTCCTATTTCCTCCGTGTTGGCAATTGAAAGGAAACCAACCTGCCATTCCAAGCCACGGCCAGCCTCTAGAGGCCATGCCAGGAAACCCCGGGCTATAGTGAGATCACCAGCTATGAAGTAGAAAGGGCAGACAGGAGGAAATGCTTCTGGTGACACAGCTGGCCCAAGCGGCTTTACAGTTCTATAAATGCCACAGTCTCATTAGACTGCAATAGAGATTGCCTTTCCTTCATTCCTCCACGGGATAAGAACATGAGTTGCCATGTTGGTACAACATGACTCCACCGTGAGTCATGCCTGATAAGTCTAGGAAAGAGTCTTTGACCTCAAAATGCATCAGAAATCCTTTCTCTGGAGTGAAATTGGGACTGATTACAGCCTAGTTATGTAATTTTGTACAGCAGCGTTTCTCAACCACAGCCTACCAACATGTGAGGTTGGATAATTTTGTGTTTTGTGATGTAGGGGGCTGTCCTGGACCCTGTAAGGTGTTTTCCTGCATCTTCTGGCCCTGGCCTCTACCCATTAGATCAGCAAGCAGATTCCCAGCCGTGATCACTGAATGTGTCTCCAGGCATTGCCAAATGTCACCTGAGGGACAAAATTGCCCTTCACCCTTTGAGAACCACTGCCCTAGACAGAAGACCTATAAATTCCCACTTAAGGCACCAGGACTGTCCTGGCTCTTGTCTTTTTCTAAACCTATTTAACTCTTTCCTAAATCCCCTGAGAGAGACTGTATCCTTAGAATACTTTTGTTTGTTAAATTTAGTTATCTAGAATTGCTTTCCATTATAAGCAACCTAAAGAACCATGGTTTCATGTGACAGGAACTCAGTAAATATTTTTAGGGAGCAAACTCATCATGCAAAGATCCACTGGGAAGCCCAGGAGCAAACAAAGCGAGTGTGAGGGTCTCAAGTCCCCCTAAAGAAAGGGGTCACCCGGGGTCTTACCATCACCCACAAACTGAAGCAAGGCCAGGTCGATCTGCCTCTTCCAAGGAGAGCCTTTCTGAAGGGCAATTCCATAACCGGTGGTGGCAAAGATGTACCCACTCCCGATGGTCACCAGCTTGCAGCCTTCATCCCTCCCAGCCTTGTAATTCAAGACTGCGGCATCGTAGATGAAAGCGTCCAGCTTCCTGAAATGACAAGAAACCAGGGGGTCATAGGGGTGGCCAGGTACCACCTCGGGGTCCAGCTCCTGAGGCCTGATCCTGAAAGCATCCCACACTTTCTTTCATGCTGGTGATGATGACTCATGGCCTCTCCATCCCCTCATCATAAAAGGATCTATTTTTAATGAGGAGATAAAAGCCAGAACCTTTTCTCTCCAACTTACAAGAGGCAGCTAAATAAAGACATGAAGGATCCATATACCCAAGTGAGTAAACAGTTGAGTTTGCTGGTTTGCTAAGTGTTTGTCCTTAACACTCCCAGTGGTGGAGGACAGTGCCCTATTTAGAAAGGTTTGCATCAGAACAAAATAAACCACTAAGGGGCAGAAGAATTTGGTGGTAGTGTGTATGAAGGGGAAAGGAACTAAATAGGAATATTTTTTCCTCCCAAAAGAAATACATGTGCTGCTTATTTATCATACAGAAATTATTGCAGAATTTTTAAAAATCCAAATAATATAGAAAAGTATTAAAAATACAATTAAAATTAAAGCTACCTATAATTCTATAACTCAGATTCAACCTTTGTTAACATGTTAGTGAACAGCCTTCCAAATGTTTTAGTGAGTATGCACAAACACGCATACACAGAGATTGGCAAACTTTCTTCTATAAAGACAAGATAATAAATAGTTGAGGCTTTGTAGGACATACCGTCTCTGTTGCAGCTATTAAACTCTGCTGTTGTAGGGTGTTATGGGGCTGCACTGTGTCCACCCCTAACATTCATACAGAAGTAGGGTGAACCCCTAATCCACTGTGGCTGCCGTCCTTATTAAAAGGAGAAATCTGAACACAGACATGCACACAGGGAGAACGCCATATGAAGACTGGAGTTATGCTGCTGCAAGCCAAGGAACTACCAGAAGTCAGGAGAGAGGCCTGGAACAGATCCCTCCCTGGAGCCTTCGGTGGAAGCGTGGTCCTGCAGATGCCCTGATCTTGGACATCTAGCCTCCAGAGCTGCGAGACAGTCATTTCTGTTCTTTAAGCTGCTCAGGTTGCATTCCTTTGTTATGGCTGCCCTAGGAAACCAAGACATAGTGCCAAAGCAGCCATAGAGAATGTGTAAACAAACGAACTTTGCTGTGTTCCGATAAAATGTTATTTAGGAAAACAGATGGGTCCACGGGCTGTAGTTTGCCAACCCTTGTTTTAATCCCGAAAATGTTATTATGCCACACAAACTATTTCACATATTGCTTTCTTCTCTCATTCCATACCTAGTGAATATATTTCCATGTGAATACACATAGCACTTTTAAATTCTTTTTTGATACACTTATTTTTATTGAGGTATAACGTATGTGTAATAAAATGCTTGATGAATTTTTACATATGTATATATCCTTGAAATCACCATGCAGTTCAAAATGTGGAATGTTATCATTTCCTTAGAAATCCTATGCATACCCCAGAAAATAAGCATCAGGTAATCTCTCCAAGGGCACAACTGTGCCTAAATATTATTATTATTATTATTATTATTATTCAGATGGAGTCTCACTCCATTGCCCAGGCTGGAGTGCAATGGTGCGATCTCAGCTCACTGCAACCTCCACCTCCTGGGTTCAAGTGATTCTTGTGCCTCAGCCTCCCAAATAGCTGGGATTACAGGTGCCTGCCACCACTCCCGGCTAATTTTTATATTTTTAGTAGAGACAGGGTTTCACCAGGTTGGTCAGGCTGGTCTTGAACTCCTGGCCTCAAGTGATCCACCCACCTCGGCTTCCCAAAGTGCTGGGATTACAGGTGCTAATTATGATTAGATCCCTGTCAGTAGTCCTGGATATTGTTTCCAAATGTTAAAGTTATTTAACGAGGCTGAAATGATCACTGTGGAATGCAGGGATGAATGTCTCAACTCTAAAATGGGTAAGAAAACTAAATCGGAGATGACTCAACTTCATGACACTTTCTCAACTTTATTGCCTTTCTTTAACAAGAAAACATAAAACAGTGAAGCAAAAAAATAAAAATAAAAATGGCAAAGAGAGGATGTGAAACACTGCATCTTTTCAGAGACAGCTGCCGAAGGACTCCCTATGGGAACAAAACTATTTGGCAGGTTTACAGCCGTGTTCTTCATTTTAATTTTTTTTTGTTTCTATAATGGTTTGAGGTGGCGCAAAACTGTAGGACTTGTCTCATCCACAGAAACACTCTGAAGCTTTGATCTCAAGGTAGGGGTATCAGAGACTTGGTTTTAGGCTCTGAGAGTATTAAAGGGAATCAGATCAAGCAGCAGCAGAAGAGAACTGGGCACTGATTGGCAACAGCGATGGTAACCTAGAGCTGTCATACGTAACCTGGAGCAACCTAGAGCTTGGCTTGATGACAGCAAGTCAAGAGGAACAGCCAGCAATAGTGAGACCTGCAGAAATATGGGATGGAGAGTTATACAAGGTCAAAAGTAACTTGTGTATAATGGGAGTAGGGTGTGTAACAGGAACACTGGAGTAGTAGGTGAAAGGAACCTGAGTTCTAGTCTAGGCTAGGATGATGGTGCAACCTCAGGAAAGTCACTTTCTCCTTTTGGATTTCTGGTTTCTCCTCTGTGAGAGGTGGCGTTCATTGTGGTCTTGCTGAGACACTTGTTCAGCTGTGGTATTCTAAGATTGTGTGAGCCAACAGTCACATTCTGTGGCTATCCATAGGGAAATTGAAACTCTGGATAACACATGTATCCTAAGGACTTAGGGCCGTGGAAGGTGTTGGTCTCTTGATAAAGCTGAGATACTTGCAACGTCAATACTTCCCGTATCCATGTTGCCATGGAGATATAGAAACTTGGTTTTATTTAGACTTTCTAAGTACCACCCAACTCTCGTCTCTCCATTCCTCAAAAAATAAACATATACACACACACATGTACACATGGGCACATTCAAACATTAGGGCCCTCTGTTGGAATTCATGGGGTGAAACCTTCTCCTATCCTGCTAAGCCACTGTGCACTGAGGTGCTGCTAGGCTGGAAATCTACACACGTACCTAGCAACCACATAAGAGTTGTCCAGAAGCAGTTTAAGTTGGTATTTTATGGACAGGCATAGACATCTTCAAATCAGTACCATATTTCATGACAGGTCTTTTTGAGCTGAGCAACAGACAGACATATGAGTACAAGGAATAAAGGAAGTTTTCTTTGGGAACAAAGTTTATAAAAGCACAATGCTGAAAAGTCAGAGGCAGGACAGCTGCAAAAGATGTGGTTGACTCTGACCAAAGCAGTTACACATTGGCATGACTGGGGTGGGCTGGTGGTCATGCTGTCAGAGGGGTCTGGCCATGGAGGCACACAATTGGGCCAGCCCTCCATGGCCTGACTGTCATCTTAGGGCCATGTCAGAACTGAAGTGATTACAACACAGAAAGGAAACTGTAGGGCCACATGAACTGGTTTCTAGATTCTAGAGAGCTGGGGCCTACACACAATGGGCTACAGACAACTGCGTGTTTAAAAATATCCTGGGGCATACACAGTCCCCTCCCAGAGAGATGGTCATTGTCTGAGATACCATCTCACACCAGTCAGAAAGGGCTATTATTAAAAAGTCAAAAAATAACAGATGCTGGCAAGGTTGTGAAGAAAAAGAAAAGATTATACACTGATGGTGGGAGTGTAGATTAGTGCAACCATTGTGGAAAGCAGTGTGGCGATTCCTCAAAGACCTATACTGGGTATACACCCAAAGGAATGTAAATCATTCTATTATAAACACACAGGCACACATATGTTCACTGCAGCACTATTCACAATAGCAAAGACATGGCATCAACCTCAATCAAACCCACCAGTGACAGACTAGATAAAGAAAATATGGTACATATACACCATGGAATACTATGCAGCCATGACAAAGAACAACATCATGTCCTTTGCAGAGACATGAATGGAGGTGCACACCATTATCCTGAGCAAACTGATGCAGGAACAAACTATGAATTAAAATAAATAATAACAAATGGAATCACTAATAATCACTTTAAAAAAAGAGATGGCCATTGTCTGCAAGATGTTTTATAAAATAATACTTAGCATTTCACAGACATCATCCCACTGAGGCCTCACAACTGTCCAGTAGCAAGATATTATTATTGTTATTATTTTTCTATTCTGTCTATAAGCAGACAAGGTTCAGAAAGCCTAAGGCAGCCTGGGGCTTGTTGGTGATATTTCCAGACTTTATATTATAAAACCCTCTAGGACAACACTGTCCAATAGAACTTTCTGCAATGCTGGAAATGCTCTGACACCATCTACTATGGATATCGAGCACTTGAAATATGTTTAGTGCAAATGAGTTGTAAATTTCATTTAATTTCATTAATTTAGATTGTAATGTAGGGGGTCCCACGTGCCTATGGGCTATTGCGGCACAGCCCTAGCTGTTCTGTGGCAAGCAAGGGGAAGGCTTAGGGAGCAGGACTCTGGGTCTCCCTTTTTGCTCTGACCCAAAAAGTCTACTTTTGATCCGTTTTCTATTGGAAAAAATAATTGTTCCTGTTGTTAAAAAGAAAAAAAAATCCCCTAAATCTCTGAGATTTGTCAACAGGGACTTTGGGCAAAGCAACTGCATTTCTCAGGCTCAGTTTTCCCTATGAAAAATGGAGCCAACTTGCCGGGCACAGTGGCTAGCGCCTAAAGTCCCAGCACTTTGGGAGGCCGAGGTGGGCGGATCACCTGAGGTCGGGAGTTTGAGACCAGCTTGACCAACATGGAGAAACCCCGTCTCTACTAAAATTACAAAAAAAATAGCTGGGCATGGTGGCACATGCCTATAATTCCAGCTACTCGGGAGGCTGAGGCAGGCGAATCTATTGAACCCGGGAGGCAGAAGTTGCAGTGAGCCGAGATTGCACCACTGCACTGCTGCACTCCAGCCTGGGCAACAAGAGCAAAACTCCATCTCAAAAAAAAAAACAAGAAAGAAAAATGGAGCCAACAATATTTGCCCTTAGAGGGCTGCTGGGAATAAAGTGTTATTATATAAGTAAAGTATGTGTGCAATGCTCAGAACATAACAAATGCTCGAAACACATAAATGCATTCAATCAAATTCAGATTTTATGCCAAAGGGGCTCACCAATTTTATGGATCCTATAGGAGAAATCCAGTTCTGCATACTTTATATGCATTATTATATTTTTTGGTCCTTCTCCTTGTGCAGGGATGGGCATACTACTGCCATCCCCATTGTCAGATGGAGAAACTGAGGCATTGAGCAGTAAAGTGACTCAGCACTACCACCCAGCCCATACGTGTCAAAAGTGGCATTGGAACCTATGCAGTCTGACACCAAAGACCACTGACATAACCACTGTGACCAAGCCATGCTATCCATAAGACTTGTAGAGTAAATGGAGGCAGCTCTATTACTTAGAAAATTCAGATGGGGGGTTTTAGCTATAAATAAGCCAAATGTTTTGACAGAAGAGGCAAGGATGGGGCCAGAGCGGCCGGAGTTTCAATAGTCGTGGTGGGTTGTTCCACTTCATCTGTCTCGTTCCCAACAGCCACAGAGTCATCTAAGGGGCTGCAGTTACCTCCATAGAAAACTCTTGCCCCTAACATAGTCTACTCCAGTCCATCGGAAGACATGTAGGTATAGGTGGCCATAGCTTCTTGTTGAAGATGGAGGGTAAGAAAGAGAAAAAAGGCCACCTGAAACGGAAGCCCGCCATATTTCAAGTGCTTAATTTCCATAGTAGACAGTGTCAGAGTATTGGTCTGATGTGGACCAATGGCATTTGGAGGGGTTGAGCTGCGACTGCTGGACTCAGAGTGACGTGTTAGGCTGCAGCCTGGTATGGGCAGCACTGGCTTGGAACACCACTGAGGGGCTGGTTCCTTAGAACCAAGAGCATCCAACTGAAAGCCCAGTTAAGAACACACAGCTAAGGGAACCCATTTACTCTTCTCTGCTTGGTGCATGTTCTCTTCCTTTTTTGAAGAGGAATTTGTCTTTGTGCCACATTCTCAGTTCCTACCCAGGTACCAGGGTTGTGTTTCTCCCACTGGGCAGGAGGACGTTCAGAGGTCAGGTCTGAGAACTGTGGGATGTTGCCTGTGATGAGGACAGAGACACCATCTGACACACTGGGGTCCATGCCACCTTTCTGCCTCCACTCCCTATAGAAGATGTTGGAGAGGAGCGATCCCTCTTCTCCAATGTCTGCGACAGACCAAAGACACCTTGGCTTCACACCATGAGGGCTGGAGCAGTGCTGGAGCTCAAAAGAATGCCATGCTATGCTGGCTACATGACAGGCTCACCCCCTGCCAGGCATCTTAGTGGCTGTGCGGGTGCCATTACCTTCTCCATCACCGGCAGTCCTCAAGGAGCACAAATGATTAGAAATGACAGTAATTCAGAACAAGAGGGGGAAATAAGACCTCCTCTCTGTAAATTAGCAAAGAAGCAAGGTAAGGACGGATGTCACATGTGCCCCATGCTACTTTAACCTAGTGGTTTCCTGCCATCCTTATTGACAGCTCTCAAGAGCTGCTACAGCTTTCACAAGTGTGTAGATCTGACCCCATTCCTTTAGTCAGTGGGTCTCTCTTATACCTGCACAATGGCCTTGAAAGTCCAATCCTAGCCCCAAGACTGTTTACTGGCAAATCTAATTGTCCCTACCCTGGGGAGGACTATACCCCACAGTAGAGGCATGGACACATTAGGGATGGGAACTTGTATTATCAAGCGGCTTGACATTTCCTAATCAAAAGTTTCCGGTTTTAGCTCATCATCTTCTTATGCATGTTTGCAGATGCTCTCTGGGGGTCTCAGCACATTTAAAGGCTAATTATATAGTTAAAGTTAATTATTCATTCATTAACATTCAAGAAGCCTTTAACAAGACACTGCTTGTCTTGATGAATTAATGAAACCAGCATGTGCACATGAGTGTGTGTGTGTGTTACTGAAAATTAAAACATCTCTTTGATGATAACTGAATATATTTTTTTCAGATCAAACCAAACCCTTGCCAGGAAGAGGAACACATTAGCACTTGAGGTCAGTTGGCATGTTTGGGCAACTGTGGAACAGGGAACACAATTCAGATTTATCTTCACCAGCTCCATGAGTGAAGCCCGGTCATGGGACCTCTCTGAGCTTCAGTATTCTCATCTGTAAGATGGGAAATAAATAATAACTTATTACAGGGCTGGCTGTTGGATGGATTAAAATGGAAGTGAAGGTGTTTTGCTTGTAATTGCAGATGCTGGTGGGATTTAGGAGATTATCTGGCAGTGGTGGTATCATTATGCAGAGAAGCAGTGGAGGTGTGGATCACCACCGGGTACCCATCGGGGAAGGGCATTCATGATCCCCAGAAATGGCACCACTGAGGCATGACAAGCTTTGAAATTGTTTACTTGGGCAAGAGACACTCAACCTATACAGGGACTACCTGCCATCAGCACAGAATGGTCTAAAACTGGCTTTGGGAAAATGGCCTAGAATCACATTTTGATTCTGGGTTTGTGAATACAAACTCTAAAGTCAGAGTTATACCAACATTGATGAATTTTCACAAAGGAAGCATTTTTCAAAGCAAACTCCCTTAAGCTAATTTAATTCCTCGATCGATGTCTTGCATAGCGTAGTTAAATTGTTTCCAACTTTTTTGGAAACATTTTTACTGGGGTCAATTCTTTTGTGTTTAAATTTTATAAATATTTGCTTCATTGATCAGGATTTGGACCACAACAAATTTTACTAATTTATAACTTCTGCCATTTTGAGTTTTCTTTTGTGGTTATTATTTCCACCAAGTCAAGTCCATTTCTCCTGGGTCAAAATTGTACAGAGATCCAAAATTAGCTAAGAAGATTTGAGTCATCTATGGATTTTTAGTCAATACCAAATTTCACCCTGTGTGCTTTCAGCTCTTGTCAGTTTATTTTGTGTGGCTTATTTTTTTTACCAATAATATTCACTGTGAATTGGGCAAAAAAGATGGATGGTTAATATTTATTTTTTTAGCTGATAATAAATCCTGAGTGATTTTGTAAGACAGAGGCAGAGAGAAGCAGAGAAGGGGAGAGGATAGAAGAGAGGAAGAGAACTAGGGAGGAGGAAGAGATCCAGATGGAAGGAGGTACCAAGCAAAACATGAAGACGGAGACAGAAAGAGAGAAAAACGATGAGAAAGAGAAAGTGAGGAAGAGAAACAGAGAAGGAGAAAGAGATGTTAGTAAGGTACAGAGAGGGAGAGAATAAAAAGTGAGATATATTGCAAGAAACTAAGAGAAAAAAGGGGGGAAAGAAAGAGAGAAAAAGAGGATAGAAGAAGGTAACGGGGAAGGAGTGAGGACAGTGATATGGTTTGTCTGTGTGCCCACCCAAATCTCATCTTGAATTGTAGCTCTCATAATTCCCACCTGTTGTGGGAGGGACCCAGTGGGGGATAAATGAATCATGGGGCCAGTTTCCCCCATAAGGTTCTTGTGGTAGTGAATAAGTCTCATGAGATATGATTGTTTTAGAAGAGTTTTCCTCTTTTACTTGGTTCTCATTCTCTCTTGCCTGCCACCATGTAAGACATGCCTTTCACCTTCCACCATGATTGTGAGGCCTCCCCAGCCACATGGAACTTTGAGTCCATTAAACATCTTTTTCCTTATAAATTATCCAGTATCGGGTATGTCTTTATCAGCAGTGTGAAAATGAACTAACAGAGAGAGAGAGGGAGATGGAGAGGGAGAGGGGGAAAAAGTGGGGGGAGAGAGGGAGGGAGGGGAGAGAGGGAGGGAGGGGGGAGGGGGAGGGGGAGAGGGAGGGAGAGGGGGAGGGAGAGGGGGAAAAAGTGGGGGGAGAGAGGGAGGAAGGGTGGAGGGGGAGAGGGAGGGAGAGGGGGAGGGAGAGGGGGAGGGAGAGAGGGAGGGAGGGAGGGAGAGAAAGGAGAGACAGAGAGAAAGAGAGACAGAGACAGAGAGAGAGAGAAAGAGAAAGAATACCCAAGAGATGAATGTACCCACTTTGTCTATTGACTGCTAATTTCAAAGATAGGGAAGGATTGAAATGATTGTCCAAGTCCATCTAGCTGTAAGTACTTTGTTTCTGTTAAATGTAACGTTGGACCCAAACTGACTATACCCAAGGAGTTGAGACAGTATGTAATCCAGTCTCTTCATTTTTCAGA
The DNA here is from genome assembly GCF_000001405.40 of Homo sapiens. NCBI lineage: Eukaryota > Metazoa > Chordata > Mammalia > Primates > Hominidae > Homo > Homo sapiens. Next base: position 9,807,656 of record NC_000016.10, read on the forward strand.
TGAGGACACTGAGGCCCAGAGATCTCCGCCCAATTTTTCCAGACCGGTCTGTCACTCACCAAAGCAGTGTGCCTTCAGGACACCATTGCCGGGCTCCCCCAGTGCAAGGCCTCAGCTGGGATGCAGGGTCAGAGAACTGGCTCTGCATACTTTGTGGAAAGTTGGGAAAGTCTAAATATTTCTCTAAGCCTTGATTTCCCCATCTGACAGGAAGGAAAACATAATCTGTCTCCTATGTTTATGCACTGGTTGAATGAAGTCCCAGCCATGAATTTGTTTGGTGAATTGCAAAGCACTATGCGATGCTGTATTTTCTTCACCACAACTCATGCTCTGACATAGGAACAGTATTGGTTCTTTCTGGAATGCTACTCTTTATAGAGCTTCTTAGATTGTACTTTTCAAGGGTTGAGGTCAGACCTAACCATTCTGCTGCAGATTTCACGAAGCATAGCGTTTTTATAATATTAGAAAGATGGCTCAAAAAGGTTTTCTTTGTTCAGACTTTTCTTGAACATTTACTATGTGCTGGACACTGCACTCTTTGCCGGAATATCTCATTTAATCTTTACAGTGCATTTCCAAGTGAAGGCAGCACAATTAGTATAATTTTATAAAAGTGGAATACTGGAGTCTAAGATGTTAATAACTTGTCCAAGGTCCCAACACTGGATGTCACTGGAGTGGGAATTCGAATCCAGGATGCTTATCCTTTAAGCACCCCATCATACTGTTAGTAGTGACGACATCACGGAACTTGTCACACAGGAGGACTGAAAGACAGGGACTCTCAGGGGCCAGAAAACATGAGAGTGAAAGAGAGATTCCGAAAAACATCGAGATTTGTGAAAATGCTATTATGTGTTAGATAGAATGCAGGGTACTTTCCATAAGTCAACTTGGTTATTTCTCAGAGGAATTCCAGGAAATAGGATTTTACACATGTGGGAAACAGGCTGAGAGAGGTTATTTAATTTGCCAAAGGTCACACAGCTGGTATTAGAGACAGAATATTAAAGTAGGCGTTTCTTACCCCAAAATCCACTCTCTGCACCAAGAGGCCACTCAGAAAATATAAAAATAAGCAAATCAAATAAATTGACTACGTAAGTTTGAAGGCTTCAAGAAAATATAAATACTTCCACCCAGAAATTCTATGTCCTGGTTTCATTCCTAGAAAACCACTTGTAGAGGTACACAGAGGACTCCCCAACGATCCTTAACACAGCCATATGACTGATAGCCCTCATCCCACCCCCCCAAAAAAAGTCTAGTGAGAAGAAAATGCTTAAAAATATTCTGATGCATGCATATCATGGAGTTCTTTCCAGCAGTCAAAGAGAATGAAGGCAAAAAATGGAAAGCTCTCCAAAACATATCGTTCACTGAAAACCAAACTGTGACATACTGCATAGAGTTTGATAGCATTCCACAGAATAAAATTTTATTCTGTGTGGACATATATTAATATATACAAATGCAGACCGGGCACGGTGGCTCACTCCTGTAATCCCAGCACTTTGGGAGGCCGAAGTGGGTGGATTACTGAAGGTTAGGAGTTTGAGATCAGCCTGGGCAACATGGTGAAACCCCATCTCTATTAAAAATACAAAAATCAGCTGGGCGTCATGGCGCACCCCTGTAGTAGCCTGTAAACCCAGCTACTCTGGTGGCTGAGGCAGGAGAATCACTTGAACCTGGGAGGCAGAGGTTGCAGTGAGCCAAGATCGTACCACTGCACTCCAGCCTGGGCAACAGAGCAAGACTCTGTCTCAGAAAAACAAAAACATATGCAAATGCATATAATAAAAGTCTTGGAGAAATGGAACGTACATCAAACAGACAACAGATTGGCATTGAGATGCCAAGCCAAAGGAATGCTTATCTGTATTTTCATTTTTTTTTTTTTACAATGAGGATACATTTTTTAATGAGAAGCAATATAGCATAATGGTTAAGGGCATAGCTCCTAGAGCCAGTTCAAATCCCAGCTCTGAAGCTTACCAGCACTGTGCCTGCGTCATGACTTAAGCTGTCTGTATAGTGGAGATGCTGGGCATGCCAACCTCCCAGAGAAGCTGTGAAGATTAAACTAAGAGTTACAGGTAATACACTCATAAAAGCTGCTGGGGCCGGGTGTGGTGGCTCATGCCAGTAATCCCAACACTTTGGGAGGCTGAGGAGGGTGGATCCCCTGAGGTCGGGAGTTCGAGACCAGTCTGGCCAAGATGGTGAAGCCCCATCTCTACTAAAAGTACAAAAATTAGCTGGGCATGGTGGCACACACCTGTAATCCCAGCTACTCTGGAGGCTGAGGCAGGAGAATCACTTGATCCTAGGAGGTAGAGGTTGCAGTGGGCCGAGATCGCGCCGTTGCACTCCAGCCTGGGTGAATGAGCCAGACTCTGTCTCAAAAAGAAAAACTTCCTGGCATGGAGTGAGGGCTACCTAAACAACTGAGACCAGGAGGCAGGGGATAGGGAAGGTATGGGAAATTGGCCAGCACAATTACCACCTGATGGTGGGAGTTCACACGCAAGAATCCACTTTGCATACCTGTGTGCTGTGCATTCCTGTGGAATACACCACCACTCCCCACAGCACACCCAGATAAAGTACTGGGCAGCATGGCCTCTTCCCCTGGTCCCCAAGACACCTGAGGACAGCCTCCACTGGCAGCACTGATGTCGGATACCTATCAGGAGGTGATGTTGGGAAAACCACACTACAGCCTAGGTGAGTATACCTCCAAATTCATGTACACCTGGGACATCAGAGTATGCCCTTATTTGAAAATCATGTCTTTGCAGATATAATTGTTTAAGGATCTTGAGATAAAGTCATCCTGGATTTAGGGTGGGTCCTAACTCCAACGGCTGGAGTCCTTAGAAGAAGAGGAGACATACCAAGGGAAGAAGGTCACCTGGAGATGGAGGCAGAGATTGGAGAGATGCAGCCACAAGCCAAGAAACACCTGGAGGCACCAGAAACTGGAGGACGCAAAGAATGGCCCTCGCTTAGAGCCTTCAGAGGGAGCAAGGCCCTGCTAACACCTTGATTTTGGACTCTGGCCCCCAGAACTGAGAATAAAATTCTGTTGTTGCAACCCACCATGCTTGTTATTGGTTATGGCCACTCTAGGAAACTACTTCACTGGGGACACCTGAAGGTGCAGTACCTGAGTTCCTATCACTCCTCCACCTGCATTTCTCTATGGGAGGAAGGAGGTGGGGCTTGCTTTGGGAGAGGCAGCTGTCTGGGGTTGGCCCCGGGCACTTTCCATGGGGTGTAAACAGTGTCTCCTAACCTGTGTTAGAGGCTTTCCATGGTCTGAGTGAGCCCAGTGCCAGGAAAACTCACTTCTCCCTGCAGCAAGAGAACACACAGGGCTGATACATTAACACCATGACCTTTTTAGCACCTGGGTCAGTGGAGATGTGTTTATAATTTTACTGTGGGGAGAAAGGAAGCTGAGCTATTCCAAACCTGTGATGCTTCATGGGTGAGAGCAACTTCGCATCTCCTAACCCCACGACCTTGTAACAGATAGGTACAACCCTTGCCAGAGCTGTTCCCTTCTCAGGACAAGCAGAGGGTTAGCACAACATCATGGGTCAGAAAAGATGTTGGGTCTTCAACTGAATGCTGGCACTGCTACTCATTAGATGTTAACCTTCAGACGAACTGTGGCTTCTGCCTGAACTTCAGTGTCCTCCTCTATAAAATGGAGAAAATGATTATCTGGCAGAGTTGAATCAGGAGGAAATGAGGTCACATGTTTGAAGTTCCCATGTGAGTTCAGCAAGCAATAACAAGAGGTGGGCCAGGTGTGGTGGCTCATGCCTGTAATTCCAACACTTTGGGAGGCCGAGACAGGCGGATCACTTGAGGTCAGGAGTTTGAGACCAGCCTGGTACAACGTGGCAAAACCCTGTCTCTACTAAAAGTGCAAAAATTAGCCAGACATGGTGGTGCACATTTGTGGTCCCAGTACTCGGGATGCTGAGGCACGAGAATCACTTGAACCCTGCAGATGGAGGTTGCAGTTAGCCAAGATCTCGTGACTGCACTCTAGCCCTGGTGACAGAGTGAGGCTCTGTCTCAAAAAACAAACAAACAAAAACAAACAAGAGGTGATCCCTAAGGATATAGAACCTGCCAGGGAGTTCCTGCTTCTTCACAGTTCTTCCCCAGGAGGAATTTTCTGACCATGTGCTTCCTGTGGCTTGGCTCGAATAGAAGAAATTCATTTCCTCCACGCTCTTGCTCCACACATTCATTTATTTTCCTTATCTCAATGGAAGAAGAAACATTGCCCCTTTTGAAACAGTAGTAAAGATTTTAAAGAAAAAAGGAGAACTTTTGAAGTAAAAATATGACGAAATTGGTACTAGGTTTTGCATAATGGTGGGCCATTAGAAACGGCCTTAATTGTGGAATATTATGAGAACAGTCATATTTTTTATTTTTTTTACATTGTGACTCAAAGCAGGGGCTCTGGCGTAAGATTGATCCCAGACACGCTGCTTAATCTCTCAATGCCTGTTTCCTCAAAGGTGGATGAAAATCTTGATGGTCACCGTCATATAGGTTTGTCATGATGTTTAAATTAGATAATGGAGGCAAAGCATTTAACACAGTACCTGGCACTCAGGTAAGCTCCCAATAAATGGAATCTGTTAGTTAGAAATGCCTCACTTAAGCCGGTCACGGTAACTCACGCCTGTAATCCCAGCACTTTGGGAGGCCGAGGTGGGAGGATCACCTGAGGCCAGGAGTTCAAGACCAGCCTGGCCAACATGGCGAAACCCCGTCTCTGCTAAAAATACAAAAATTAACCGGGTGTGGTGGTGCACCCCTGTAATCCCACTACTTGGGAGGCTGCAGCATGAGAATCACTCAAACCTCGGAGATGGAGGTTGCACTGAGCTGAGATAGTACCGCTGCACTCCAGTCTGGGTGACAGAGCGAGACTCTGTCTCAAAACAAAAACAAAAAAGAAAGAAAAAAGAAATAAACAATAAAATAAATAAAAACACACAATAAAAAAATTTAAAAAACAAAGAATTGCTTTGTGTCCAAAGCAATTCAGGTAGCTCACACTCACTGTAATAGAATAGAATAAGGTTTACACATACGGATAAAGCAATTGGAGTTAAGTGAATTCAGAAGTGGAATAGTAGCTCAGTCTTAGGGAAAGTCAGTAAACAGATTTTCAGGCCAAAGGCTCCACAATTGTGAAAGAAGAATCATGCATTAAGCTCTGAATTGTGCGGTAATCCAAGCAAAAAGAAAACCATAAGTTGTTATAAGAATTGTGTTGTCAACAAGATCAAAGCGTGCCTCAAACAGAACAAAGCAATGCTCTTCATCGTACAGAAGTGTGAGGGATGCTACAGGACGACATTCTCCACAAGCTGTCCTGTAATAACCGTATCAGCAACCTTTTCAAAAATAACTATTTCTTGTAGTACCCTTCAGTGCTAGTTAAGGCATGATGAAAACACAAAGCAGTAAAAGCTAAATTAATTAATATTCCTCTAGCTCAATGAAATTATCACCTGGTCCTTAAATGTGGAAACTAAACAACAGAACTGTCTACTTTAATTGAGAAAAGCAAAACAAATTTGCATATGCACCGACTCAACTTGTATGAATTGTATATATGCGTTGACAATACAAGAATGAAATGCAGGAAAAAATAGAGAATTATAGTCAGAAGAAACTTTTTTCTAGCTATTGCAAGTAATACTGTGTTGCTGAAAATTTGTTAAATGTAAAAAGATGTAAAGTCCATCATCCCAATCACCTAGCAGCATCTCCGATAACATTTTGATATATTTCTTTTTAGTCTGTTTTTTTTGCCTTTTTTTTTTTTCCGTCTCTGAGTTTAAAGAATTATGATCTCACTTTATTTAACTCCTGCCCCCCACAGACATTTTTTTCTACTTTAAAAAAAGTTTTTATAGGTGGCCTTGAAAATCCTTTAACGTTGTTTTAATAGAGCTTACCAGGAAATAATTCCAAGAACCCCACCCCCCCGCAAAAAAAAAAAAGATGTCTGTGTTTACTTGAGTTTTTATTAAGGAAAAAACTTTCTAACTCTATGATGTGGAAGCAATTATTTTTGAGCTTTGTTTGCAGTGTGGGGGTGGATCTCAGAAACCAGGTCATTGTTGATCTGATTTTCTCTGGAGATGACGCTACCCCATTTAGAACAGCTCACTGAACCCTGATGTCTATGCCCGCTTTCGAATTCAGCAGCTGGAAATGAACCATTTGTGTCTGATTCTGTTTGACTGATAAAATACAGCAAATAAAACCTGCTCAAATGGCATCTTTGAAAAAATTTGCTCTGCAGAGCAACTGAACCTCAGTGACAACCCTTATACTCTCCTGGTTTACCTTTGCCTTGGGAATGCCAATATCCCTGAACCAGTTTCTTTTGAGCATAGAAATGATAATGCTGTGATTTTATCAGTTCTCAGATCATCAATTAATATGATATGTACTCTATAATATATGCACATATGTAATATCTAACTTTAGTTTTAAATTCTCCCCTGAACCATAACCCCGTATTTCCAACTGCCTAGGTGGCATTTCCAAGTGGGGAAGTAAGCCTAACTTCTATACTTACTAATTCTGCAATGTAGTTACTTAGCTGAATAGCCTATTGGGTAATTAGGTTAACATTGTTGAGCTTCACATTCTTCATCTCTTAAAAGGGATATTAATGGTACCCAGATCGTAGGGGTGTTGTGAGGATTAATTGAGATTAGGCATATGAAGTGCTCAGGTCTGTAGCTCACTAATTGTCAGGTCACATTAAGTGCAAAGATGCCTGGACATATGATGATGGTGTTCCAAAGGCACTTCCAACTTAATATGCCTAAACCTAAACTCACATTTTGCCACATCTCCACCCATCCTGCACCCTCCTTCTGAAATATCCTCCCTCTTCCTTGTCCTGTTTAGTCACTACAGAACTCCATTTCTCAATAGTCAACTAACTAACCTCTCAAAGACATGGACTACCTACATCTGAATCACTAGAAGCACTAATAAAAATGTACCTTCTTGGCCGGGTGCGGTGGCTCAGGCCTGTAGTCCCAGCAATTTGGGAGGCCAAGGCAGGTGGATCACCTGATGTCGGGAATTTGAGTCCAGCCTGACCAACATGGAGAAACCCCATCTCTACTAAAAAATACAAAATTGACAGGGCATGGTGTTGCATACCTGTAATCCCAGCTACTCGGGAAGGCTGAGGCAGGAGAATCGCTTGAACCCGGAAGGCAGAGGTTGTGGTGAGCCGAGATTGTGCCATTGCACTCCAGCCCGGGCAACAAGAGCGAAACTCCGTTTCAAAAAAAAAAAAAAAAAAAGGTACATTCCTAAATCCCACAGGCTTTGCAAACCTGTGCTCTAGGATAGGAATTCAGTGCTCATTTGTTTTTCAATGCAAAACTTTCTATGAAGACATTTCAAACACATACACGGAGATGGGACTACACTGTTCTTTTGTTTTTACAGACATGTCACTGAGGACAACTCAAGCCTTTTAGAAAAATATTTATTGGTAAAAAGACAATACTCCCTAAATTTTTTTTTAAATGTGCATCAAAAGACACTATCAATGTAATAGCTAGAATATAAAAAGGTAACCCATGGAATAGGAAAAAATATTTGCAAATTGTATATCTGATAAGGGATTGATATCCAGAATATACAGAGAACTCTTAAAACCTAACAACAACCAAAAAAAAAAAAAAAAAGAAAACCCAAACAACCCAAATGTAAAATGGCCAAAAGACTTGCATATCCACCTCTCAAAAGAATAAATACAATTGCCCAATAAGCAGGTAAAAAGCGCTCGATACCACTAATCATTAGGGAAATGCAAATCAAAACTGCAATGAGATACCACCTCATACCCAGTGGGATGGCTACTATTAGAAAAACAGAAAACAACAAGTATTGGCAAGGATGTGGAGAAATTGGAACCCTTGTGCACTGTTGGTGGGAATGCAAATGGGACTGTGGAAAACAGTATGGTTGTTTCTCAATAACTAAAAATAGAATTGACATATGATCCAATTATTTCACTTCTGCATATATACCAACAAAAAAAACCAAAGTCTCAAAAATATATTCACACATCTACGTTCACAGAAGCATGATTCAAAATAGTTAAAATGCTGAGACAACTCAAGTGTCCATTGAAAGATGAATGGATGAGCAAAATGTGGTACCTGAATACGATGAAATACTGTTTAGCCTTAAAAAGGAATAAAATTTTGGCACATGCCAAAACATGGATGAACATTATGGTAAGTGAAATAAGCTAGTCACAAAAAGACAAATACCGTATGATTCCACTTAGATGAGGTACTTAGAGCAGTCAAAATCATAAAGACAAAAAGTAGAATGGTGGTTGCCAGGCGCTAGGGAAAAGGGGGTTGAGGAGTTTTTGTTTAGTGGATAGAGAGTTGCAGTTTTACAAGATAAAGAGCTTTGGAGACAGATGGTGGTAATGGTTGTACCACACGATGAATGCATTTAATACCACTGAACTATACACTTAAAAATGTGAAGATGGCAAATTTTACTCTATGCATATTTTATCACAATAAAAAATACTGGGAAAAAAGACAATCCTCTCTTCCAATTCTTCTAACTACTGCATGTAAAGGAAACCAACAGAGACCTGTTTTTTAACATTGTGCTGAGAATGAAATCGCACAGGGGACTGGGGATCCTGAGAGCTGAAAACTGAGGCTTCTAAGGAAATTGGGACTTTTCCATAAATGTATACACCCAGACTTGTACATGAAAATCAATTAAAAGAAAAACACAAACTATCCCACTGTGTCTTGAAATATTAGGCTCTTCGGAGTTCTAGGGACGTTGTTTAATTTAAATCTGGCATATGTGCGACGCTTGCAGTTTTGCCCCCATGCCAAAATGGCTTGGAGGACATCAGCTTCTGATGACTGAGCATTTGTAAATCTAAATCTGTCTCCACTCATTTCAGCTTCAGCTCCCTCTTCTAGAGTGGATGTTCTTAAAATTTGATTAGGGCATATCGGAGTCACCTGAAGAGCTTGTTAAACCATGCAGATCTTCAGACCCCTCCTTACAGAGATTCTGATTCAACTGGCTCAGTGGGGCTCAGCAATCTACATTTTTATTAGCACCTATTCTGATTCAGACTCAGGCTATGCTTGAGAAGCATTAGCCTAGAAACCTGGGGTCACTGACGCTCATCCACCTTTGGTTCACAGGAGTCCCACAAGGCACAACAGATCTGTGCCTGAAAAATCCCATCTCTGTTGATGTTTACACATCAAACCCTTTTTTCTCACTGATTTGTCTGATAATTTCTTTATCTCCATTTATTATGAATTTCAATAAACAGTAAAACTTAGCTTTCAAGTTTTTCTCTGCCTATGCCTTTCTTCAAAAAATTAGGGATTCCAAAGACAAGCATTTGGCTTGTCTACTCTGTATATGCCTATCCCAATAAAATGTGTTTCTTCAACTCCTTTAAAATAGTAGTTCTCAGCTCTGTTGCACAATGAATAGTGTGTTGGACTTCTAAAACAGTAGTTCTCAAATATTCGTGTGTCTCAAAATCACGTGGTGTGGCGTGCTGCGGGGAATGATGCTTATTATAATAAAGATTCACAGGCTCCATAGCTAGAGAGAAAGCCTTGTCCTGGGCCCAGGAATCTGCATTTTGACAGGTAATCATGTGATTCAGGTACAGTTGGTCCATTGGCCAGGCTTGGAGGCACCCAATTTTGGGGCATGATTCTAAATCCTTTCTGCAAAACTGACAGTTGTTTGCATATGTGGTTTGTCTGAGTCTTCCTAAGTGTTTGACACAGATAAAAGAATCTCATGAACTAGTTTAGAGATCAAAGAATTCAACCATTTCACTTCTTAGATGGGGAAACTAGAAAGTGACTTGGAGAGGTGACATGACTTGTCCCAGGACACAGCTAGCTAATGCTCGAGTCCAGACTCAAACCCAGCTGGGACTGTCACTTGACAGTAATCCAAAGCCTGTCTGGTGTTCAGGACTCTCCCAGAAAATTACAACCCACAATTTCACTGACCCTGGTGTGCATGCACGTGGCTTTGCTAGGCAGCAGATGTTACTGAAACGTGTGGGTGGAGCAGTGAGACCCAGCAGCTGAGCCACATGCTCTGGATGTTCTAAGTCAAGGCTTGCTGGATTCTAGGGTGTTGGGGGAATGTTCAAAAGCTGAGCAATTCGGGAGCAGATGAGGTTACCTTCTTCAACCTTCCAGAGGGATGGAACCTTCTACAGATGCTGGTCGTGGTAAAGGACGAGAATGACTTTTTTTTTTTAAGGCTCGGTGGTAGGTACAAGAAGATTTCATTGTATTATTATTATTCCTTAAACAGCAATATATTTCATAATGAAAATTTTAAAAAGGAAACAGGAGATGTGAAAAGGAAGGAAAAGGCCTGTGAGTGTGGTGACGTGGACACCTGAAAGACCGCAGTCTCGTGGTGGGACGTTGAGAAGACACAATCAACACAAAGTTGATCGGATCTTGGTGTAGCTCTGTGGTGGTAATTCTCATATTCTGGTTTTCATAATCATCTGAGGAGTTGAAGTCATGTCTCATACCACCCACCAAGAAAAATTCCAAATATTAAAAAATGCAACCAAAAAAGAAGAAAACACGAGGTAATTATCTTGTAATAAAGAATGATGAAAGACTTTTGAATTACGTCTCAAAATTCAACAGCCATAAGCAAATGGTTGATATATTTCACTACAAAAAAGATAAAATCTGCATGGAAAAAAAAAAGCAAGCTCAAAAGACTAAAAAAGAAATAGGGAAAATATTTGTAATCACATCACAAAAGGCTCATCTGTCCAATATATAAATTAATAAGAAAAAGACCAACAAACCAATAGAAATATTAATAAAAGTAAAAAAGGAATTGCCGATGGCTCTTAAGTATATAAATATGGCCAAAATTTACTGAGAAAAGTGCAAATTTATATCTCAGCATACTTTTTACCTATTAGCAAAATTTTGAAAGATTAATTACACATTGTATTGGCAAAACTTTGGAGAAATAAGCTCTCTCATGCACTGATGGGGTAAGTATGAATTTCCTTTGGAGGGAGATTTGGCAATATCTGTTAAAATTGCAACTGTGACCCACTCTTTCAAGAAATTTATTCTACACTGAATGTGACGCAATACAAAGATATTCACTACAGCTTTGTTTGCAATAGCAAAAGATTGGAAACAACCTAAATGTCCAACAATAGAGGCCTGACCAAATAAAATATGGTATATTTGCATAATGAAAGATTATGACTCTATAAAAAATAACTTTATGGCTTTTTATGCATTAATATAGAAAGATTCAGAAGAACATATTGGAAGGATACACAGAGTAAATGTGGTTACCATGGAGGGGTACTAGATGAGGAATAGTGTGCAGGGAAAACTTTTCACTGTTTTTTTCTTTTTATGTACTTTTTTATTTTTGACGTATATAAATATCTTATCTATTCAAAATTTAATTTAGGCTGGGCATAGTGACTCACTCCTGTAATCCCAGCACTTTGAGAGGCTGAGGCAGGAGAATGGCTTGAGCCTTCTGAATTTGAAATCAGCCTGGGTAACACGGCAAAACCTCATCTCCACACGAAACACAAACATTAGCCAGGTGTGGTGGTGCTTGCCTGTAGTCCCAGCTACTCAGGAGGCTGAGGTGGGATGATTACCTGAGCCCAGGGAAGTCCAGGCTGCAATAAGCTATGATTACACTACTGTACTCCAACCTGGGTGACAGAGTGAGACCCTGTCTGAAAAAAAAAAAAAAATTTAAATAATTAATCAAGGAGCCTGTTAAACATGTATGTGGTTTCCCCAAATATTAACTCCAATGAAATTAAATCTCCAGTAATGATAACTGCTGTGCTTTCATCCCTAAGAGTATATTGAATTATTTTTTAAAAAATGACTTGTGGCTGGGTGCAGTGGCTCATGACTGTAATCCCAGCACTTTGGAAGGCCAAGGCAGGAGGATCACCTGAGCTCAGAAGTTCAAGATGTGCCTAGTCAACATGGTGAAACCCTGTCTCTACAAAAACACAAAAATTAGCTGAGTGTGTTGAGAATCGTTTGAACCTGGGAGGTGGAGGTTGCAGCGGGGAGAGACTGCACCATTGCACTCCAGCATGAGCAACAAGAGCGAAACTCCGTCTCAAAAAAAAAAAAAAAAAAAAAAAAAAAAGACTTGTACTCCTTCAGCTCTAGTTTCTGAGTTTAAAGTAACAATGCAAAGCATCCCCCACATGGGAGATTGAGTATAGAATGAATCTGCCATCTGCCCACGTTTTCTAAGATGGATGTTATAATTATTATATGGCTTCCAGAAACCAATTTGTACAATTTATGGCCACGAATGGTTTCCATTTCTCTCCTTTTTGCTATTATATTAAAAAAAAGATTGAAAAAGAAAGAAAACAACCCATTTTGTGCTCTGGTTAATAAATGGAGGGAGAGAAAGCCAGCTAGGCATCAACCACTGTCTCCAACCATTATCATCTGCATTTGTGCGCATGGTCTGTCCAAAACAACAGTATATGTTGATTAAAAGACCACAATGGAAACAAACAAAAATCCCAAACCCATGGCTAAACTGTAAAGTCATCAACAATTGGTCTTTTCAGGTATCTGTGAAAGTGGAAGACACAAATATTCTATGGCTCAGCAGTTGCAGTCTTCGGTGTATACCAACAGAAATGCGCTCACTCATTAACAAAAGAAGCATTATTCATAATGGCCCCAAAATAGGACATTACCCAAATGTCCATCAAGATTAGGACAGAGACATCCATGTGTGCTGCATTCCAGCAATGAGAATGAAAGCACTGAAATTACATGCAACAATCTTGCAAACACAATGTTGAGCCAAAGACGACAAAAAAGAAAAGAGTGTGGCTTTATTTCTATGTTAAAACAGCAGGCACCAAGAATCTACGGCTTTAGAAGTGCAGGTGGCGGGTGGAAGATATTGACTGGAAGAGGGTGTGGGGCGGGGTTCCAGGGAGTGATGACCTGGATGATCAGTTTGTACGAAGCCATAAAGCAGCATATTTAATATTTGTGAATTTTCTGCATTTTTGTTATACTTCAAAAGTTTAAAGAAATCATTCCAAACCAGAATGAGCACTGTGGGAATGAGTTTTTCAGAAATCATAGACTTAACTTCTGAATAAATGCTCTCCCAGCCCCTGCTGAGATGCCAAAGACATTCCAAAGGCACAGACTGAAAGGACAGAATGCTCACAGCCAAAACTACCGGGATTTCTATGCAGAAATCTGGGCTTTGATGCTTTAGAGGGGCCTCTGTCTCCCCCTACCAGACACAAAGCCAGCAGCAAGGCCTTCACAATGGGCTTGCCGAACAGCCGAAAAGGAGGTTATTTATTAAGCCACAAGGAGAATGCACCTACAGTCATGTTTCCATGCAGGAATCTGTGACAACTGAAATGCCCCATATGAGCTAATTTTCTGGATAATCAAAATCCCCTCATTAAACAACTCTGTCATTTAAAATAAAATCATTTTTATTGGATTTAATCCTTTCTAAAATGGATTTCATGCATTCCTGGGTCTACATCCAGGACACACTCCGTGCTTCCTACGAGAATGATTCCTAGCAAGACTTTCTCCCAGAGAGTTCCACATGCAAGCAGAAAGAAACCAATGTGGGCTTTAGCAAAGGAAGGGGTAGGACAGACGTCTCCATTGTCAGCAAGACCACAGAACAATGGACTTTTCAGAAGAGTCCATGGAATAGAATCTAACCTTTACAATAAATAACAACACTCACATTTAGGTACTGTCTATTTCCCATCCAAAAGGCTTTCCATCAGATTTTCTCTCTTAGGTCCTATTATTATTCCCATGTTAGATATGAGGCTATGAGGTATGAGAAACTCTCTCTCCAAAGCCTAAACTCCTAACCCCTGTGCTATCTTTTCTTTACATCTTCAGCTATGGAGTCTGTGTTACACTCCACAATGCCAACAGACAGAGAGGAATGCTAACTGTAACTTGAATGATTTGAGTTCTCATTGCTTTTCTCCCATCTTTTCTTTCTCTTTCATCAATGTTATACAATTAGTTTTTTCATAAAGCTCCTACTAGCAAGCTACTCCTCCCCACACTCAGAAAACCTCCTACCTAAAATCTGATAAAAATCTTTGTTTTCACTACTTTAAACTCTTGGCCTTCTTGGATCTTTCTATTTGTTAAAATATCCTATGGAGTTGGACAAACTTCTTTATCAGTTTAAGAAACCCCTCTGTTTCTGTGCATTTCAAAGCATCCTGGATTTGCTTTTTCTTCACCCAACTCAGAAGGAAACCTGGGATGCTCATTAGATTAACAAAAACTGCCCTCAACTGGGGCCCATCTGGACCACAGTCACTCTCCAGAAATACAATGGGAGCAGATAGGAACTGAGGCATGCCGAGAGTCAATTTCTGTAAGGTTTATCGCTCGCAGACCTGTGGTGAAAAGGAAACTGCCATCCTTACCCCGTTTTCAGGCTGACCAAGGCGTCCTCTACTCCTTTCTGATTAAATTTGGTCATGTACTGATGCATGTAGGGATAGTTATTCCGAATGTTTCTCTCCGTGCTTCCATTAGGCACTGTCCCAAATCGAAAAGGTGGGGAATAGTCATGAGGTCTCTGAAACTGGAGAGAGAACGAGAAAGGAAGAGAGAGAGTAGGAAAAGAAAGAGAAGGGAGGAGGGGGAGGAGAGAACAAATAATAAATTAGTGATCATTTTGTCTGGTGTTAGGAGGTAAATGCATGCATTAGGGCAGGATGACAATAAAATGTTGCTTTTTGGTCTTTCTTTCTACTTAGTCACATCTTCAGCCAGTCTGTGAGCTCCAGGAGGGTGGACACAGCATCTGTTTTCTTCTGTACTACTGCTCAGATCCTAGCACAGAGCCCGGCTGGGTGCTCCATAGGTATTTGTTGAGTTGAACTTTTCAGTGCCATTACAGAGACTAGCACAGTGTTAGGCACACAGTCAGTACTTAGAAATGCTGAATGAGCTGAACTTAAGGTACTACCTTAGTCCAGTCCATTTATCCACTTTATGATGAAATTTTCTGTGATCTCCACCAATCACTCCCTTCTCTAAACTCCATTTATAATTACCTTCACCTCACCCAGAAAATGACTATATATTACCACTCATTCATTCTCCACTCACTCAGTCATTCATTCACTCCTGCAGGCACTATTTATCTAGTGCCTAACATTCCCCAGGCATAATTGCCAGTGCATGGCAGGCTCCATGAATACTTGTTGAGCCAGAGTCCCTGTTGATCTTTAGCTATCAGGGATACGCAGCACTCGGCACTCAAGCCCCCCATAAAGGCCTGTAGTCCATGCATCACCAGTCTTCTCTGATGGATTGGATGATTCTGTCTGTCCACAGCTTCGATGTTTCAGGTGACTCAATGAGAGTCGAATCAATAGAACTGGATCTGAGTTCCAGAAATACAGCTAAACACTAGAGATGGTGGCGGGCTGTGGTTATAAGCAGGAGCTCGAACTGGCTGGTTGGAAAATTGGGTTCTATCACATACAAGCTATGGAACCCTAGATAACACATTCACTTCATGCTGCCTCCATTTATTTTCCATCTGTAGAGTGGGGGGCCACCATGAAGATCTCAACATACATTTGTCAAGTAACTGGAATAGTGCCTGGACCAGAGAAAGCATTCAAAAATAAAGCTATGATTACCGTCTGTTATTATCATTATGAGTGAAAAAGGAACCTGAACCTCATTTTTCTATGAAACATTGAATTCTGGAACTAGAAAGTAATAACAACAATGACTAACACTTTTTGGGAACCTAGTTGGGTCCAGCACTATGCCAAGAACTTTACAAACGTCAGGTCATTTAATCCTTACAAACCCATGCCAGGTAGTTAATCTTAGAGGCTGCTTCTTGCAGATAAGAAAACTGAGGCTCAGAGAGGCTATGTGATCTATTTAAGATTATGCAACTACCAAGCAGTGGCCCAGAATTCAAACCCGGATGCGTCTGACCACAGGCTGAGGTCTTAACTCTATCATTCCTCAGAGACCATTGCTATTGACTCTCTCCTCATCTAGACATAAAGATTTAAAGACCCCAGGAGGGGAAGAGCACCCAGAAAATCAGTGTCAGAACCAGGACCACAATGCAGCAGTCTCTCCAACTTCCAGACCAGTGTGTCTTCCACAGAACTAAGAACCGCCAGGGTAAGTGTCCAAATTTACCCAAGAGTCAAACCAGCTAGAAACATTATTCTTTTTTCCAGACTCACACTTCACTTCACTGTTAATTAAAATTTCCAGTTGAAAATCGTTTTCCCTAAATTAGGCATGCTGCTGCCTAATATGCAGTCATAACTGGATTTGGGAGAAGTGGCCATCCATTTTCCAAATGAGATCCTCCTGCCAGGGTGTGCCTTGCCCTGGGAGTATGTGCGTCCACGTGTGCATGTGTGTGTATGTGAACAGCAAAATGCTTTTTGCAGTCACTCCACCAAGCAGTGCCTTAACTAATCACCAAAAGCTCAAAAGGCCAAGCCCAGGCTCATCCTCATGGCAGCCGCCTGCTCGGGAGGAGAGAGGTAATAGTGCTGTTCATAAATCTCCTTGTAGCAGCCATTCCCAATCTCCAGAGATATCCGGAGATGGCCTATTTGACTAAATGCCTTCCACTTCACTCCCCGTCTGTTGCAGAGGAGCTGCATAGGTCTTTAAAAATTCACTTTCTTCCCTGTGTCTGGGTTGCACAGTAACAGAGATAGATATTCAGTCTCTGTGATGGTTTCCGTGCTTCTCTGGCCTGGATAGTACCATCACCCACACAAAATTCAGCCTGACACCAAGCTCCAGGAACCTTTTCCACTAGACTGAAGACTGTCAAACTTTTTAAAGCATGACTCACAATACGTTTCCCATCACCACTCCATGCACATGTGTGAAATTTCACAGCACTCATTCTTTCTATCTGTGATATACTCTGAGGTTATCCATTATGTTCTATTTTTTTAAAAAAATGTCTGCAATCCTTAGATTAATTTCATGGCTCACTAAAGAGTCATGACCTACAGCGTGAAAAACAGTGAGGGGGCAAGGATGGCTCATCTATTAAGTCCCAGGGTCTACATCCAGGACACACTCCGTGCTTGCTGCGAGAATGATTCCTAGCAAGACTTTCTCCCAGAGAGTTCCACGTGCAAGCAGAAAGAATCCAATATGGGCTTTAGCAAAGGAAGGGGTAGGACAGAGGTCTCCATTGTCAGCAAGACCACAGAACAATGTAATCACAATATCTGGAGTCAGAGGAACTCCCCTGGCTTCTCTGCAGGGTTCCCTTGCTGTGTAGGTTAACTGGTTTCACCTGGCTTTGGACTTACAGGAGACAAGTTCAGGTTCTCATCTGCTGCTTAGAAACTGCGCCATTTGGAGCAACCAGTTAAGCTCCTGAGCCTGAATTTCTCTATCTGTAAATTGGAGATTGCTTTTGCAACAAATCTTATAGTGTTTGAAAGAACACCTGGCATCCTCTAATGCTTGGGATAGATCACCTGTTGTTACCCACGACATTTCAGCCAAACAATGAAGCCTGTCTCCTTACAGTTTGGAGAACAGAGGATTATTTTCTAATTTTTTTTCCATCCAATATGGAGGCATGTCTGAAGGTCATCCAAGTGACTAAAACATGGCAAGTATTTGATGATGGAGGAGGTAGAGATGCAACACTTGGAGATAAAATTTCCAGAAAAATGCAGCAATTAACCAAGATATTTTTTCTTTTTTTGTGAACCAAAAACTACCCATTTATTAAAAATATCTATCTGTCTTCTGTGCCTGTAAATAAGGGACATCTGGCAACTGGAGCCCCTATTTCTAGTACAGTCTTCTGTTGGTGAAGTCCCACGTGCTTCTTGATGTGAGCAGCAAGCAGGTGTGTCCTTGAGCAGAGAGAGGATCAGCTGGGAGGAGGCCTGGCTGCCTGAACTGGGACCACTCAGCAGCAGCAGCACAGTGCCCAGAGACAGCATGGCTCCTTGAGAACACATTCCTGGGCTCATCCACTGAGAGCAGTTGCCTCAATTCCCTCCATTGGTTGTCACAAAAGACCAACTCAGTGCAATAACATTTCAGGCCCCAGAAGCCAAGAATGGTTTGAGTCAGGCGATGATGAAGATGATGGAAGGAGTAGGAGGAGAAGGGAGACAAAGAGAAGGAGAGGGGGAGGAATGAGAGGGGGGAGTGGAAAGGAGGAGGGTAGAAGAAGGAAATAACACATTACAGGATCATCTACCATGTGCCAGGCATGGTGTGAGGATTATTTCTAATCCTCCTATCAACCTTGCCAGAAAGGAGATAATGTCTTCTCTTTTATAGGAAATTAAGCCTAAGGGGATACTGACATACAGAAGGCCAATCATATGGCAAGGCCAGGATTTGAACCCAGGTCCATTTGACCCCAAACATGATATTGCTCTTCCCACAACATAAATCTGCCTCCCAGAGATGGATTTCCTCTGTCAGAGTGATTCCCAACATTTTGGAAAGCATCCCTATCAACATTGCAATTTTCTCTTAATAATTCCTAGGGAAGCATCTTACCCATGAATTCACCTATTTATAATTTAAGTCCCAGCTCATCTGAGCACACCATGGGCTCCAATATGATTATTTCACAGCAAGCACTAATGGCTTAAAAGCATTGTAAACCTGAGTTGTTACACAGGTATTCATGATAAACAAACAACAAAAAAACAAAAACAAAAAACAAAAACAAAACCAACCACAGTGTACAATAAATTGATTCAATATTGATTTTTTTTTGCAGACTTTCTTGGTGTATCTTCTATTAATCTTCTGGGAGCATATAGGTTATTTACTCCAGGAATTTTGCTGTTTATCTCATTGTATCAAACATTTAATTAAAAGAGCTATCAGCTTGCCTCTAATGTTTTCAGCATGGAGACTGAGCTTTGTCTCTTGAGGATATGGTATCTGTTACTGGGTGTTTCCAAGTCAGTGAAGGTCAGTCAAATTATTAGTGGTTTTAATTAGTTTTCCCACAAGTGGTCATGTTATTTAGACCCAAAACTATGTAGTAAGGATTTCCCCCCGCCCTTGCCTTTGAACATAGCAACAAAAAGCAAAATATGCTGCCAACCACTTTCTTGAAAAATCCTCTCTTCCAGGACATTGCTTCCTGCTGCTTCCACCATACCTCCAATCACTTCTAGGAATTGCACTTTTGATCCCATAATGCGACAGACTTGCACAATAGCGCTTCATGTCTGCAGAGGGATTCATATGCTACAAGATACATTTACATATGTGGCTTTCTTTCATCCTTACTGCAATTGTGACTCCCAAATTTACAAAGCAGACAAAGCAGGCACCGTGAGGTGACATGGCTTTAAAAACATTATACGGCTGGCTGGCGAGTGGCAGAGAGGAAACAGGCAGAGAGGAAACACAACTTTTCTGACTCTAAACACAGTGTGTTATCTGCTGCCTCTGAGATACCACCCGCTTTAGGCGGGGATCTTACAGTAGCTGACCCCAAGTGAAGGATTTGGGGGTGAGCATGATTTACTAGTGAAGGGTTCCAGGAGAAGTCAGCAGGGGAGCAGGATAAAGTTAGGAAAGACTGGAGAAGGGGGAGAAATCAAGGGTCTGATTTAAGGCCAAGTCTCCATCTCAGTCCCGTCCTGCAGGGAGCTCCAGAGAGTGATTCGTACCTTAAAGTTTTTCCTGCTTCGAAGCAAGGGAGCAGCTTAGCCTTTGTATTCTCACACAGATTAGTCTTTGGTTACAGGTGACCACAAAGATTGAGGGAACTTAAATTGCCAGGCATTTACCATTCCAGTGCCCAAAGGCAAAAATCTGCTGAGGATCCCTGAAGTGAGGCTTTGTCAGCAAAGCACAGAAAGGTGGGGCTGGGCACACAGCGCTGCAAAAGGGATCCCAGGAGATCCAGGTGGGGTATGCACAGTGTCCAGTATACCATGCATGTATTCATTCACCCAGCAAGAGTGTCCTGAGCACCTCCAAAGTGCAAAATAACTCTATCAAAACTACATCCCTGAGGGCCTCTTCCCCCAGACAATTTTAGTCTCATCAGCTTTATCTTCTTTATAATACTTATTCCTGCCCCAAATTTCCAAATTTGTTTCTTCCTTGATGTTTACTTGTGTATTGCTTATTTTTTTCCTACTAGAATTTAAGTTTCTTGGGAGCCTGAGCTCATTCTGCCAAGTTTATTACAGTAGCCAGGAAAGACTTCCCTGAGGAGGTAATGTCTTCCCTAAGGCCAGAAATTCCAGGAGGAGCCAACCATGAGAAGATTGGGGAAGAACATTCTAGGCAGAGGGCCTAAGAGGCACAAGGACACTGAGCTGAAATAAACTTAGTGACAGGGATGGAGCAAGAGGAAGGAAACGTGGGAGCAGGTGAGATAACACAGGGCTTTGTGTGCCATGGTAAGTAAAGTGACCCTTACTCAAGCCTCAATCGGAAGCCATCAGAGAGAGGTGAGGCACTCTCATGCCTTTGTGGAAATGACTCCATCTTTAACCCCAACCCCTCATCAGCTCTCTTGACAAGATTCTTTCAACCACAGTGTGTATCATGGATAAGCTGTAAAAGCTTTCCATGGATTGATTTTCTATTCAGCAGTTTGTTGATGAATGGCAAAAGGATATATGTAGACTTATGTCAAAAAGATATGTTAGCGAGGTTTTATAACGAGAGACAAATTATCCCCACACACAGAACAGAAAATCTTTGTGGTGCTGCAATCTCAACACTTGCTGAGCTTAGCAAGTCAGGATGTTTCCTGAACTAAAGTCTCAATAGGAGGATGCACCCAGTTTACCTCTTTTCTTCCTCAATGTGTGTTTCTGAATAGCTACTCAAACCCTGCAACCCTTGTTATATTTCATTTCACTGGAGAATGAGAGAGCAGGTGTTTTTACTCCTGTCTTACTGATGTGGGAAGTACAGCCCTATAAGGGAAGATTAGTGATATATCTGAGTAGAAAGAACCAGTGGGAAATTAAAAAAACAGAAAGAAAGAAAGAAAAAAACTCTCTGCTCCTTTTGTGTGCCTTGAAGACATTTCAGGTGAGTCAGAAGCGCTGATGCTGAGACTGATTTGGCTGTATGGAAAAGAGGAGCTGTCAGATAATTTTGTCTCTGGGTAGGGCTTAAAGATGACTTTTTTTCAGGTCATAGATGAGGTACCCACAGCCTACAGTGCTCCTTCACCCCAATTTCTTCTCATCCAGGAAAATGGGCCTTCCTTAACATCACACATTCGAAAGGATGAATTTCAACCTAAGCACTTGAGTCATAGGTCATTCACAAGCACCATCAGAAAGATCATATAAATAGGAAACACGACCACTCGGGGAAGCCAGGCTTCCAAATTAGATCTGGAATCTTTTAGGTCTAGGAGAGCTAACCTTAATGTTCTGTTTCAAAAACTTTGAGAAAGAGGACAATTTGAGTTAAAGAGAAAAAACCTTCTGGCTTTTGTGCATTCGAGTTGATGGATCTCAATGAGAGGCACCTGAATCTCTTCCTCCTGAAAGGAGAGCAGTTAAGACCAACCCTCAGATGGAGAGGAAAGCAAGGTGACCTTACCTTTTTGTCACTGAGGCCGGTCACTTGGTCCACAAATTCCTCTTGGATCATGAAGGCAGCCAGATTGGCTGTGTAGCTAGCCAGGAATATGACAGCGAAGAAGGCCCATACAGATACCATGATCTTGCTGGTGGTCCCTTTAGGATTCTGGACAGGCACGGAGTTATTGAACACCAGGCCCCAAAGAAGCCATATAGCTTTTCCAATTGTAAAAGAAGGCCCATGGGGTGCTGCAGAAGATGAAAAGGACATTCTCAGCATTTTCTGAAAAAAATGCCTGTTTGTGTATGACAACCACGCAGCAGCCACCAGCAGCACCGAAGGTTGCCAGAAGATGGAATTATATCATAGTTGTGTCCTGTGATTGCCCTAGAACCACAATAACTTATTTTTTTCTTTAAAAATTAGCATTCTTCTCACATTTCTATCTAACTGGATTTTTGCCACATTTCTTTAAAAAAAGAAAGGAAACGAAAATGGTTATGCAAAATGGGGGTTTGAATAAGTAGTGTTATGACCTGTTTTAAATTTGGATTTGATTCCCATTTGAGGAAACCAGCCTTCTTAATAAACATAAAGAGAGCCTGACAAAAATGTGTGCATGGGGACTGCTTCCAAATTCATCGGATGTGCTATCGTATAAGAACCATGCAATTCAGCGGGACTGATGTTTGGTATTCTAATCCGATTGTCCCTAGCAATTGCTCCTGTTCAAACTCAGATGTAAAGTGTGTACAACATAAGAATTAAACCAAACTAAAACCCTCTCCAAATGGAGACATTAAGGAATGGAACAATAGATCTTAATTCTTCCAACACTTCACAGATGGAAGACATTTCATTGCAGGGTCATGGAAAATGAACACTGATGTCATATCACAGCACTTTTTCCAGTATATCCTCGCAATAGCTATGCAGCCCTTTTAAGATTCTTAAATGTTCCTTGCAACAGACTTAACTAAAGAGACAGAATGATATGCCAAAATTTATGGCGATGGGGCATATGCAGGCTGTAAAACACACATATTAGGGTTTTCAAGTCTTTGTTCTGCATGGGCAAAAAAAAAAAAAAAAAAAAATCAACTGATGCCCTAATTTCATAGGGAAGGTTTCCCTTTAACAGGAGGTTAATTTTTATGTCATTTAAGTAAATGAAGATATGAAAAAATGATCTACTCAGATGTCACCTGCCAATATAAGCAGAGTGGGCAATAAATAAAGTGGCAGAAGCAAATTCACATTAATGGAAGTTATGAAGTGCTGGGCAGGAAGCCTAGGAAAAGCAAGCTCTCTGCACATTGGAGGCCAAACCCAGGCTACAGCTGTACTTATAATATCCATGACACAACCCATTAAAGAGAAAGCAGTTAATTCTCTTATTCTCAATCTCTCCTGTTTCTATTTGGCTAGTTTTGTGATCTTCTGGGCTTATTCTCAAGAGGCAGGAAATTCTTGGGGAAAACTTAGAGTTAATCCAGTCAACTTTATGAACGATTTAGTTTTTTTAGGGATGCACACTGATCAGAAATGACAGCTATTTAGGAATCAGATGTAGGCAGTTCAGAAGGATCGGTCCAAGACTTCTAGGAATTCCTGATTCATGAATACTATGACTGGGCCATATAACTTTTCCCATAAAGTGCAGCGAAATGTAACAGAAAACCATTTTGTACAAAGAAACAAGTAGCTGTCATTTCCCAAGAGTTGCCACAGCAGATGAGCTGGAAACAGAGAGCCTGGAGAGAATGGAAGGGCTGAGGAGTTTGCACAACTGATGCCATCCTTTACAATAGTCTTTCCAGCATGCTTCAGGCAAAGGAGAACGTATTGCAAGGATGGGCTGTGGGTGGTTTTTACCTTCCAAAATGTAACTCAGATTTACCTGATTATCTGTATTTTCGTTGTTCTTGACAAGTTCCAAGTCATTGCAGTCCTTTCTCTTGGAAAAGTGACACCTTCTTAACTGCCCTCCCCGTCCCCGCTTCCAACTGTTGTCCCCACACACTATCTGGATAGAGTAGCCCCAGTGACCTTTTTGCTCTGTACATGTATGTCACCTGTCTCCCTGCCATTGTTTTTTTTTTTTCTTTTCTTTTTCTTTTTTTTTTTTTGAGATGGAGTCTTGCTCTGTCACTCAGGCTGCAGTGCAGTGGCACAATCTCGGCTCACTGCAGCCTCCACTTCCCGGGTTCAAGGGATTCTCCTGTGTCAGCCTCCCGAACTGCTGGGACTACAGGAGCATACCACCACGCCCAGCTAATTTTTGTATTTTTAGTAGGGATGCGGTTTTGCCATATTGGCCAGGCTGGTCTCAAACTCCTGACCTCAAGTGATCTGCCCACCTCAGCCTCCCAAAGTGCTGGGATTACAGGCATGAGCCACCGTGCCTGGCCTCCCTCCATTGTATTTTGAAGAAAGTCTGACATGCTTCCCATGGTCAATTGCCTATCTCTCTGATTTCATCTTATACTATTGTCTACCTCATTCACTCACATCTTTTTATTTTATTTTTTAATAGAGACAGGGTCTTGCTCTGCTGACTAGGCAGTGCAGTGGTGTGATCATAGCTCACTGCAACCTAAACCTCCTGGGCTCAAGTAATTCTCCTACCTCAGCCTTCTGAGTAGCCGGGAATACAGGCACGCATCATCACGCCAGGCTTATTTTATTTATTTATTTATTTATTTATTTATTTATTTATTTATTTATTTATTGTAGAGATGAGGTCTTGCTATGTTACCCAGGCTGGTCTCAAACTCCTGACCTCAGGCAATTCTCCTGCCTTGGCCTCAAAAAGCCTTGACATCACAAGTATGAGCCACTGCACCCCCTCAGCCTTTTTCTGTTTCTTGAGCATCTCAAGATTATTTCAGCCTTTCTGTTTGCTGTTCCTTTTACATGAAATGACTGTAACTGTTTTTGACAGATAAAATTGTATGTCACCCTTCAGGTCCTAGCTCAATGAACATCCTTTCCCATTGGACCATCTTATCTAACGTAGTGTCTGCACCCCATCACTATCATGTCACTATGTTTTTTTCTTCTTCTTGATATTTATTATAATCTGTTATTATTAGTTTGTGTGTCTACATGTTATTTTCACAACTAAATTCTAAACTGCCTGATAGAAAATCTCTATTTGATTTACCACATTATCTCTGGCAGCAGTATAGTGCCTCCTGGCACGTAGTACCCATTTGATAAATATTCATCAGAAAATGTGTAAATTCACAACAGCACAAGCCCTGATTATGCAAATATAAGGAACTACTGTATCACAGTGTGGTCACTCACAGAAACTGTCTCAGATTCCACCCTGTTGGAAATCTTCTTAGAGGTTAAATTACCCTTTAAATGAAGGCTTGCAATCTCCCATTAAACACAACATCATTATTTATGGCATTGTTTAGTATCTGGTTGATTGAAGATGGTTTATGTGGTAATCACCACTCTTCAATGGTGAGGAAGAAGTTGAAAGATTTCAATAAAACTAGGTTCCTAATAGATTCCCATGACCTGTTGAGTATTTCCAATATTAAAACATCTAAGTGAAAAGAATATGTATCCATCACATTAAAGTGCTCTGCTTTTTGGGGGATATGAGACTTCAAGTTCCATCCTCTACCATATCAAGTCATTTTTTGGGAAAGAGATTTGGTCCTGACACTTTTCTGATAACACCCATTTAGAAGGTAGTGCCCACTGAGGAAAGCCCACTCAAAATGGCATAACGTGTATGACATAAACCCTGGCTAGAGTGGGATCCTTTTAATGAGTTATAGCTAACGAATGCCTCCCAATTTTATTTCCTATCTACTGATTGTCCCTTTATCAACTACAATGCACTAAGATCAATGCATTTTATTTTAGCACACTTGATTTCCTCCTGGCATCACCAACAGGAAAATATAACCCTATGGGGAAATATATCACTTCATAGTTATATTTATTGTCAAACTAATGTAAATTGATTCAGTAGTTTGAGGAATGTTCTTAAACTAGATTTTATAAAGTCATTTTCTTTGCATAGACTGAAGTTGAAACCCATGACAATTTTAGCATTTGACAAGCATTTTTTAAATTAATTGTCAGAAAAGTTCCTTCAAATCTGCTTTCCCAACAAATTGAACATCAGTGGTTTTCACCTAACAACTATTGACTTCAGGTTATGACAAGATTAAAATATTTCATTTTGTTTTATCCATCAGTTGAAGTACATAAACCATACTTTTCTGGTATTACAAGCAATATCAGTGACCCAAAACCATTCATACAATGGTACACCAACGCAGTATAATGTATTCTTTGTGTGTGTGTGATTGAGTCTCGCTCTGTCCCTCAGGCTGGAGTGCAGTGGCACAATCTCGACTCACTGCAACCTCTGCCTCCTGGTTTTAAGCGATTCTCCTGCCTCTGCCTCATGAGTAGCTGGTATTACAGGTGTGTGCCACCATGCCCAGCTAATTTTTGTATTTTTAGTAGAGATGGGTTTCACCATATTGGTCAGGCTGGTTCTGAACTCCTGACCTCATGATCCACCCACCTCGGTCTCCCAAAGTGCTGGGATTACAGGCGTGAGCCACCATGCCTGGTCTAGAGTAATGTGTTCTAAAACTGAAATTTTCATTAAAGGTAAATGAAATTGCAACAACATTGAATCATGCTCATGAAGGTACCCTTACCTTTCCCTTTGGCTAAGTTTCTGTTGTATCCAACAGGGCTGAAGTATTCAAAGACAAAAACAGCTATGGCAGAAACAATGAGCAGCATCACAAACATCATCACCCAGACAGAGGCGCTGAATGGTTCTGCAAATAAACAGATAAAGGAATGGAAACGTGGTTAGTTATCTCTTCCTCACTTCCAGCAGGAAGCCCAGACATCCATTTGCAGGCTCGCCAAAAATATTTTCTCTAATTTGAATCTGATCCTTCAAAAGAAGCTAATCATTTTTTATTTTTATTTTTATTTTTTAGATGTAGCTTCACTCTCTGTGTCACCCAGGCTGGAGTGCAGTGGCACAATTTCGACTTGCTGCAACCTCCGCCCCCCAGGTTCAAGCAATTCTCCTGCCTCAGCCTTCCGAGTAGCTGGGACTACAGGCATGTGCCACCATGCCTGGCTAATTTTTGTATTTTTAGTTGAGACGGGGTTTCGCCATGTTGCCCAGGCTGGTCTCAAACTCCTGACCTCAGGTGATCTGCCCACCTCGGCCTCCCAAAGTGCTGGGATTACAGGCGTGAGCCACTGCTCCTGGCCAGCCAGACATTTTTTATTCATCATTTTAAATCATTCTTTATTCTACAAAATATTTGAAGTATAAGATTGCATATAATATAATAAAAATAGAGAAGAGCATAGGACATTTTACAAATTAGGTCAAGGATAATCAGAAGAAAAAAGAGTGATAAGAAAGAGGGAGCAAGTTAGAATGCAAATAAACAGGCCATAGTTTCCTTTGTAATTATAGAACCATCCAGGGGGCTAAAGCTAGGAAGAAAAAAGACTAGACCCAAATAGTAAACCATAGGCTCCTGCAAATTGTTATGGTTTTTATTTTTATTTTTTCATGCTAGAAAGATGATATGCAGGGAATTCCAAAAATAAAGGGAGAATTATAACCTGTTGGAAAAGAATTATAAAATCATGGGTGACAGAAATATTGGAAAGTTATAATCTACCACACTCTCCATTTCACCTTTTGCCTCAGATAGATGAGATTCCTACAGCTTTATTAATCTTGTTGATGTTGGTAGCAGCCTTAAATGCAATTGAAAGTCAATTGAGGATATTATCTTCACATGATAATTCAATAAAAAAGCATCACTTAAAGGGTAGAGGCAATAAAATAGTAGATGGATAGATGGTTATTTCCACTAAAAGTAGTTTTCATCAGCTCATTTGCATGTAACTTAGGCAGTAGGTGGATGTCTTAGAAGGGCAGGCCAAGTCATAAGGCTCTAAGCCTTGTAACACTCTAGAAAGGTAAGAAATATTATGTAAAATAAGATTACTATTCAACTTGATTGAGGATATGAAAATTAGCTGACTGCAGCCATTTTATTTATGGTATAGATTTGCTATAAAATCAACAGAAAATAAATTTTAAAAATGAATACATCTCCACCTGAATGTATCATGGGGAAGAAATTGCCTATAGACACCAATGAACTTAAAACCCTTTTCCTCATAAGCAAATATTTTCTGAGGGTTAAAATAAGTCCAATAATACTTCTTGAATAGTAAACATATTATTATTTTAAAATTGTTTTCCTAGTGAAGCTACTTATAATAATAAAGAGCTAGGTTGATAGCAGGCCACCTTCTTATTAGAGTATGACTACTTAACACAGCTAGAGGTCACCACAAATTCCAATTTAATGAGTTTAATGTATAACAAGAAACTAATATGTCCGAACTTAACTTTAGCTATATTGGATAATTTAAAAGCTGGGAGGAATGCTTTCTAATGCATTTGATAGTGCAAATATATTAAAAAGCAACAGGTAACACAACTTACTTAAGTAACACAAGATGCGCTCCAAGAAATCAATGAAACTGCAACTGAAATTTATTTTAACTTTAGCTTGAGTAATAAACAATATTATGTCCCTGAAATAATAGCAATTTAATACTGAGTTGTATCCAAAAAGGAAATTAGATAAATAAATGATTAGGAGATTTATAAGTACTTCATATTCAAGAATAGAGATAAAATAATTCTCCGAGTTGCGTAGTGTGTCTTATTGGAGGAGGATCATTATGATGAGCAAATAAGCATATACATGAAAGTGTTTGTTCGTGTGTGAGGCACACAATATACAGACAATATACTGAGTGGAATAGCTGTGTGATTCCAGGATTAAAGCCAGAAATACTGGGGCAACAATACGCTGTCCATGGTTCTGAAAAGGGCGTGCTGGTTTTTGAAAAAGCACATTTATTAATCTGGTAACGTCTATTTCTCTGCAGGCTGTGAAAACATTATTTTTAAACATTAGAAGGGACCATAACTGAATTATCCTATGTGCATGTAAGAATCTGTAAACCTGCAGTGAACTTTTTTTGGTAGGTGCATCCTTGTCACTAACACGCTAGTCAGAAAATCAAGTGGAAACTGATGAAGCAACTGTTCCCACATGTCTCCCCACTTGGAATTGACCACATCTGTTCCTTAACTTGTGAGCACAGCACGGATCAAAGGACTCTGCTGCAGTAGTCTTGTTTTAGTAAATTAAGTACCTATCAGTGCCCTGAAGGGTTGCTATTCTAAGATACCACACACGTGAATGCACACACATGCTCCAGAACAAAGAAACATCGTTAAAGCAACATCTATAGTGTCTAAGGAGTGACCCAGAAATAGTTTAGATAACTCTCTATTACATCTTCTAATGGCTTAAAACAGATTCAACATTTGTCCATGAAGGAACTGCAATCGAGGAGATACCAGGTCAGCATTTCTTTGGATCAAAGAATCCAACTTGTTTGGAAACTCTTCAGAATTAACTAGATAGAAATATTACAGGAGATGCCATCTCTGTCCTTGAAGAGCCACTGGTTACATTTTTACACAAAAGCTTAGAGGCATTACCTGCAAGTGCTTCTGATGTGAGTTAATGGAGTTTGTGGAGGAGAGAAAATAGGAAATAATGAACAGCAATAAAATCAGATTTTGAATGTTTTGGCTCTTCCAGATGACTAAGCCAGTGAATGGAAAAATGTAGCTTAGCTGGTTCATTATGACTTTCAAAATCTGTAGATAATGACCGTAAATAAGGGGGTGCACAGTCAATCAAATAGGGATGTAATTTAGTGACTAGGAAAAATATTAAGCCTACTGGGTAAAAACAGCTTTGAAAATAGTTTCCTCTGGTTACAATTTATTTTACTTTTAAAAATGCAGCAGGAAAAGTGTGGGGAAAGAGAGGTTTTGCTAAATTTAGCAAAATACTTGACATTTTTATGGAAATGTTTTACAAATGCAAGCAAGATAAAAATCTAGAGAAACTGGGTTGAGGCCAGATTCAATATTCACGACCCATTTTCATAAGACAAGCCAATTGATATTTTTTTCTCTCTGATTGAATTGGAAAAAGAGTTCTCTCTAGCTCACTAAAGAGATACAAGACTTTTTTGTGTGAAAAGAAACAATTTCTTTCCATTTTGATCCATGAACTCACTTCCTCTAACCCTTTCTTAACCTCCAGGACAAAGGATTCCTGCCAAAGAGTCTGAAAGGGAATGAGGGGAAACATGACTAGGAGTGACTAAAGAGTGAATGTCCACTTAAGAATTATTAAGATTCTGCATGTG
Source organism: Homo sapiens (assembly GCF_000001405.40). Classification (NCBI taxonomy): domain Eukaryota; kingdom Metazoa; phylum Chordata; class Mammalia; order Primates; family Hominidae; genus Homo; species Homo sapiens. The sequence goes on from NC_000016.10 coordinate 9,837,739, forward strand.
TTGTCAATATCAGCTGGTTGCATTGTTCCTGGCATAGTGAGGCTCTCTTATTAAAATACGAGTATCTGAATCCATGTCAGACGGAGGGACAAAAGGAACATAATGAGGTGTGTATTTGTCAGGGTCCACATTACTCCAACAAAGGTTACAAAAATTGAAGCAACGAGTGCAAAATCAAATCCAGAGAGTGGCAAGCATTTTAACAGCTTAAATGGATTATCAAAAATGAAAACAGTAAATCCATAGCGCTCTGAATGTAAGGCAGTGTCCAAAATCCTGTTAGTCAATATTTCACTGAAGAGAACGAAACATGAAAGTTTCACTGGATGCCAACATTACATATAAATGAAGACAGTGGAAGAATAAGACAATGGGCTTGGAGTTGGTGTCCACAAATTGGTTTCAGTTTACAATTTGCTTTAAGAGATAAAGTTATTTTTGTCTCTGGAAAAATATAAGAAAGTTAGTTGACTTTAATATAACTGTTTTCCCAGGGGGGAGATTTCTCAAACAACTAAAAGTAGATCTACCATTTGATCCAGCAATTTCACTACTGGGTATCTACCCAAAGGAAAAGAAGTTATTATATCAAAAAGACACTTGCACACATATGTTTATCAGAGCACAACTCACAATTGCAAAGATATGGAATCAACCTATGAGCCCATCAACTGATGATTGCATAAAGAAAATGTGGTATATATACATTGTGGAATACTACTCAGCCATAAAAAAGAATGATGCAATGTCTTTTGCAGCAACTTGGATGAAACTGGAGGCCATCATTCTAAATATATGATAGTCATCTAGCAAATAAATGACTGTTGTTCTTTGTGAGATGGAGGATGGGTATGTAGATGCTGAATAAAGGTTTATGGGCTGATTTAAATTAACTGTGGACCGACAGGTTTATTTTTAAAATGTTTTCAAGACTCTAAGCAATATAGCTATTAATTTACATTCCACAGTGTCAAGACCAGTATCTGAATATGTGATCTTATTTTTTTAGCAGCTTTTTCTAAGTTTGAGATAAATGAAAGATGTGAACTGGGGGATGGGTTTTTCAAGAATGGAAAATCTAATACTACATATTCTCACTTCTAAATGAAAGCTAACCTATGGGTATGAAAAAGCACACAAGTGGTATAATGGACACTGGAGACTCAGAAAGGGAGAGGATGGGAGGGAGATGAGTGATGGAAAATTACCTACAATGTACACTATTTAGGTGACAGGTACACTAAAGGCCCAGACTTCACCACTATATAATTCGTCCATATAACCAAAAATCACTTGTACCCCTGAGCTATTGAAATTTTTTAAAAATTATACATATTTTTCCCCTCTCAGTTTTCCTCCAGAGATTCACGTTTGTCTTAACCTTCCCTAATTTGGGACAAACCCACTTATATGGGAGTGCCAAGGGGGAATTAGTGATCTGAATTTCATGATATTCAACAAGATAGTTACAGTCAAAACTCATTTATGATAACCAAACAGTTAATACAACACTTTCCTTTAAAGACAAAAATAATGCTTTACTATGTTCCATGAAATTTCAACTCTAGCCAGGCTACCCAATACAGTCCAAGTGCTAGAGAAAAGCAGATGATAGAAAACATAGCTCTTCCTTGATTTAAAAAAAAAAAACACCTTTTATGTAAAAACATAAATTTACAAAACGGTTAAAAAAATCACAAGAATTTCCTTCTTTACAAACTATTTGGCTTAATGGGTAGTCACATTTAAAATATGATTCGATTAATTTTAAATCAGCATATACTTTTCAGACTATTCCTATTAGCAGAATATTGGCATAAATCATCGTGCAGTCATCATTATTTTCACTCTTACATCTAGCAAATAAATGACTGCTGTTCTTTGTGGGATGGAGGATGGATATGTAGATGCTGAATAAAGGTCTATGAGCTGGTTTAAATTAACTGTGGACAGCTTTATTTTTAAATGTTTTCAATATTCTAAGCAATATATCTATTAATTTACATTCTACAGAGTCAAGACCAGTATCTGAATATGTGATCATATTTTTTTCAGCAGCTTTTTCCAAGTTTAAGACAAATGAAAGATGTGAACTGGGGATGGAGGGGAGTGAATTAGGATGTATTAGTCTACTCTCACGCTGCTATAAAGAACTGCCCGAGGATCACTTGAGGTCAGGAGTTTGATATCAGTCTGGCCAACATGGCGAAACCCCATCTCTACACAAAAATTAGCCAGGCATGGTGGTGGGCACCTATAATCCCAGCTACTGGGGAGGCTGAGGTGGGAGAATTGCTTGAACCCAGGAGGCAGAGGCCGCAGTAAGCCAAGATCATAACACTGCACTCAAGCCTGGGCAGCAGAGCTAGACTCCATCTCAAAAAAATAAACTGTCTGAGATTGGGTAAATTTATAAAGGAAAGAGATTTAATTGACTCACAGTTCCACATGGCTGGGGAGTCCCCAGGAAACTTACAATCATGGCAGAAGAGGAAGCAGACACGTCTTACATGGCGGCATGTGAGAGAAGTGAAGCGAAGGGGGAAGAGCCCCTTATTAAACCCCTTATAATAATAATAATATAATGAGAGCCCCTTATTAAACCGTCAGATCTCATGAGAACTCACTCATTATCACAAGAACAGAAGGGGAGAAACCATCCCCATGATCCCGTCACCTCCCATCAGGTCTCTCCCTCAACAGCTGGGGATTACAATTCAAGATGAAATTTGGGTGGGGACCCAAAGCCTAACCCTTTCATAGGATAATTCAAATGCAGCATCCTCTGAAATATGCTGCCATGGCCAAACAGAGCTAAACAAGTTCCTTTCTGGTCCCATCCTCTGAGCAAACAAGATTTCCTACAATTCCTTATAGGAAAGCAATAGTCACTATGAAATTCACACACCTAGAAAAGCAGAAGGTGAGACGGTGCCATTACTTCTTGAAACCATGACACTGATTCCCGTTTCCACAAAGGGCACAGAGAAGTCCACCACTTCAGAACGTTCCTCATTGATGGTGAGCGAGCCAACTGCCATGACTGCCCGTTGATAGACCACCTGGATGCAAGGCAAAAAAAAAAAAAAAAAAAAGAGAGAGAGAGAACAACAGTACTTTACTTTTCCTGCTAACATTCCTGAGGACTGCAGGCCCTTTGTCTGAGTAAGAGCCTAGGGGATGAAAAGATAACTTACTTCACCGATCATTCCATTCCACACATTGTTAACTTTCTTGCCATGCTTCCCATTGGTCACCAGATAGAGGTCGTAAGTAAACTTCACAGTTCTGGAAAGCTTCTTCAGAATATCAATGCAGAACCCCTTGCAGCATTTCTTCACATTCATCCCCTCATTGGTTGAATTGCTGTAAAGAAAAACCCCAAGACCACAGAATGTTAGCACTGGAAGGTTTGTTCACAATCATTAGCTGTACTCTTCTCCTATTTTTCAGATGAGTAAACTGAAGTTTAAAAGGGGAAGTGGCTTTCCCAAGGACACACTGTGAGTACATGACAGCAAAAGCAGAAAGTGTCCTTAATTATAGCAGTTATCATGACAAGAACTAACACTTATTGAGTAATTACTATTTGCTAAGCACTATCCTAAAGGCTTCATACTAATTGTTGAATTAATCTTCATGACATTTTCTGAATTAGTTGATATTTGTACACCCATTAAACAGGTAAAAATTACCAACTCTTAAATTTTTAAGAGTTTATAACATACACAACTTTAGACTAGAGTTTAGTCATCAGATCTAAACTGAGTCATAAAAACTTACTAGAGAATGGAAGAGAGGAGGATGTGAAATTCTCAGAGAAAGCAAGGTTTTGCTTCATTCTATAATTACAGAGGCTTGAAACCAAAGGGGAGAAGTGAAGGTACCCAGACAACACCTCAGCCAAGAATCAGGAGACCTGGGTTCTATTCCATGCCTGATTTTGTGCACTGAACTTCTCTTGATAGAGCCAAATGTTACATGAGGGCTCATTAATAACATCTTCCCTACCTACCTATGTGACATGTAGTATAAAAGGAGACACTTCTAAAAGCAAGGTCCTTGATCAGGTAAAGACCCCATTAAAATTTAAACTATCTTAAAGGCTATTGTATACTCTACCAAGGCTACACTTACTGTTTTGTACCAGCCACCTTGCTGTATTCACCTGAACAAGACATATTCAAAGGACACCCAGGCAAACCAGAAAAATACCTTTAAAAAGAAAGGAGGCCGGGTATGGTGGCTCACACCTATAATCCCAGCACTTTCGGAGGCTGTGGCGGGTGAACACCTGAGGTCAGGAGTTCAAGACCAGCTTGGCCAGCATGGCGAAACCCTGTCTCTACTAAAAATACAAAAATTAGCCAGGCATGGTGGCAGGCACCTGTAGTTCCAGATACTCAGGAGGCTGAGGCATAAGAATCACTTGAACCCAGGAGGCGGGGGCTGCAGTGAGCCAATATCATGCCGTTGTACTCAAGCCTGGGTGACAAGAGTGAAACTCTGTCTCCAAAAAAAAAAGAAAAAAGAAAAGAAAGAAAGGAAACACTGGTCTATCCAACGGATAGCAAAAAGTACTTAGACAATTCACATAAGATCAAAGCCTTTCTTCTGGGCAATATGCTTGATTAATGGACATCCCATTAGCTCAACCCTGTCTTTGAGTTATGCATTTCATGAATATGTTCTCTGTTTGAATATCCCATTTTTGGCAAATCCACACATTGGAGTGTTACCTAAGCACTAAAGTGATGTCTATGGAAATCCAACATCATCACAGGAAAATTCTTATGCTTCCATGTCATATGAAAAAAGTAGGTTACACAGTAGTACAAACAGAATAATCACAGCTATATAAAAACAGATGAGCTTATGAAATAACTGTATGGAAAAACAATGAAATATGAAGCATAGGACAGGTGCAGTGGCTCATTCCTGTAATCTCAGCACTTTGGGAAGCCAAGTTGGGTGGATCCCCTGAGGTTGGGAGTTTGAGACCAGCCTGGCCAACATGGAGAAACCCCATTTTTACTAAAAATACAAAAATGAGCTGGGCATGGTGGCATGCACCTGTAATCCCAGCTACACAGGAGGCATAAGAATAGCTTCAATCTGGGAGGTAGAGGTTGCAGTGAGCCAAGATCGCACCACTGCACTCCAGCCTAGGTGACAGAATGTGACTCTGTCGAGAGAAAGAGAGAAAGAAAGAAAGAGAGAGAGAGAGAGAGAGGAAGAAAGAAAGAAAGAAAGAAAGAGAGAAACAGAAAGAGAAAAAGGGGGGAGAGGGAGAGATAGAAAGAAAGAAAGAGAGAGAGAGAAAGAGAGGGAGGGAGAGAGAAGAGAGAAAGAAAGAGAAAGAAATAAAGGAGGAAACGAGGAAAGGAAGAAAGGAAAGAAAGAAAGAAGCAAGCTATTTTGGAACGGTGAAAAACATGTTTTCTTTTTTACATTTTTAGGGTTTTTCCCCAAATTATCTAGTAAGTACATACTACTTATGTAATTGGCAACACAGACACACACACACGCATCAAACAACATTGATTTACATGATATACATCATCTCTATATCCATGAAGGTGGGCAGATTTGACAGAACAATTTTTTAAGAGACACGCTCTTGCTCTGTTGCCCAGGCTGGGTTGCAGTGATGTGATCATGGCTCATGGCAGACTGGACCTCCTGGCCTCAAGTGATACTCCCACTTTGGCCTTTCAAAGTGCTGGGATTACAGGTGTGCGACACCATACTCAAGCTGGAAAACATAATTTTGAGTAACAGAAGTGGGTTGTAAATGACACCTGCTTATCAATGCTTTCCTTTATCTCAGGATCACAGACTGCCTGTCTTGAATCACTCTCTTCACCATTGTATCCCACCCCCACATCCTGTCAGTGACTTGTACTCAACCACTCTGCTTCTGTCAACCCAGACCACCATAGAGACTTTACTCTCTTGCCTAGAGGCTGGATGACCTGCTGTCATCCACCACCCTTAGTGGGGGGGTAGTAGGAGGCCACATCTGTGTATATTTACATGTGATGATTAGTGACCTCAACACTGTACAGTCATGGGATATGTGCCAGCTCCATCTCCACCAATTACCCAGAATGGAGGGGGTTGGGCTAGAGTTAAAACTGCCACAAATATGATAGAAATGTGTCCTAAGTACATTAAAGTTGATGGAATGTCCAGATACCATTTCCTTCTTAGTATACATGGCTCTGAAAAATGTGTCAAAATCGAATTCTCTTTTTCTTTCTGGTCGCTGTTGGCCATGCACTGATGCCCTTTCCCTACCTCTGTTCATTTGTATCACCTTCATTCTATGTTCCTTCCCTTCTTCCCCTATCACAGGCTCTTCCTTCACCTGGTCAAGATTTCTGGAAGATTAGAGAGAAGTTTTAGGTGCCCCAGGTTTAAGATTCAAGGTCACAGGCATATAGTGGCATTCTTTGGTCTCCCTGGAAACCTCAGCCAGTTTATGAGTTATCTCACCCATATCCCTGAACATGAGGTATATTTCTAAATACAAATGATCAATGACGCATTTTCACCCAACAAGCACCCACTAAGTGCCTACTGTGCACAAGACATGGAACTGGGCCTTGGGGACACAGGATGAAAAAGGCACGCAGCAAAGGCAATAGTTGAATTTATCACAGTAATTATGGAATTGCAGACCAGCTTGTAATTGGGAACGTCTGTTGGTTCCTATTACAGCCCTTGTGTGGGTGTGCAGGGGATGTGACTTAACTACACAGACTGAGAAATGGTCCCCATGTGATCTCTCTTAGTGCTCCACCACCACCCAAGAGAGGGAATGACTCACAAAAACAAATACGGGGAAAGGGATCCAACAAATTGTCCAGTTTACCAGCTCTACAATTTCCCAGTATAGCCGGTGGATGTGAGCACAGCCATGCGAGTCAGAGCTGTGTCCAGGTCCTGGGTTGGCTCCTGTCCACCACGCAGACTCAGACAAATCTCATCCAGCACTTAAAAATAAATTTCCTTTCTTCCCACCAATGATTTGACAGTTTGGGAGCTTAATTGACAGCATGGCCATTTCTCGCTACACATCAGGCCAAATGATTTTTCCAATTTTCTCTGCATGTCTTTATCACCCAACTAACAGACCAGAAAGGAAGATTTCTCAGCTCATTTCCGGTTACCTGGTATTCTTAGAAGATCCCACCACTTGCCAGAAGTGAGAAACAAAAAGGTTTCACACAATCATGTTGTCTAACAGGAATTCTTTTTGCAACTGATCAGCCTTCCTCAAAGACGTTCCCTATAGGAAATGCAATTGATCTAATCTTCTTTAATGTTGGGATTAGTGGATCCTAGCAATTCTCTATTGCTCTCACGAGTCAGACTTTCATTTCATCCAGACACAGTAAACTCCTCATATCCCCAAGCGGAAGAAGGAAAGCTGCAAGCTACTATCTCCTCACAGAAACCAAAAACGTGAATTTGAACCTGTTAAGCTGTTGATAGTCTTCAGTAGAAAAGTCAATTCTTTTAAAGACAGCAATTTATTTTGATTTCTCTTCCTCATACAAATGTGACTCAGTACTTGGGGATCTACTTGTTTTCAGCTCCAGGGCTTTTGATTTTAAAGACTCTAAACTCCTATTATTGATTCTGGAGCACACGGGGCCTCAGTTGATTGCCCTATTGAAACACAGAGGGTATTGTTATCATAGGGGAGGTGTCCCACTGAAGTTAGACTCTGCTTTGTGCCAGCCACTTTGCTTTCTTCATCGGGCCAAGTTCTGCTCAAAGAACACCCACCCAAATTAGAACATCCTCTGACAACTTTCCCACATCATCCCCTCCATCCTCCTTGTAACTCATCACTCTCTAGCACTGCACTGGGTTTCATTCCGTTTCCCAAACTCCCAAGCTCCTTTCCTCCCCAGGGCCTTTGCACCTGCCATTGCCTCTACCTGGAAGGCTTTGCCCAGATATTCACATGTCTGGCTTCTTCTCATCCTGTATATATCACCTTAAATCTTATCTGTGTGAGCTAAAGTAACCCCACATACCCCGATGTACTCTCTTCTCACACCACTCTCTTTCTGTTCATCACAAGGTTTATTACAACATGGGGTCACCCATTTCTTCCTGGTCGAATTGTTTTCTAACCACGTAAGTTCCATGATGGAAAGGTCCTAGTCTTTTGCCCTCCCTGTTCATCCATGTATCCCCTGTGCCCAGCAATGTGCCTAACATGCAAACTGTGCTTAATGCACATTCATTCATTCTGTATTAAAACAATTTATTTATAACAATTTTACTTATAACAATGTCTGTGTTATTTCACTGTAAAGGAATTCAGCAAAAATCATTAAAACATTCCTGACCCCAAAACATGGTCTGTTTCACACAATTATGAATCATGATGAATTATGAATCATGAATCATGGGATGTACACTTGCCCTTCCTTGGTGGGCCCCACCTCTTCCTCATCTCCAGGAGAGTGGAGGCTGGGGGACTGCTTATCAAAAAAAAACTTCATCCCAGGGAGCCACAGTGGGGACACTGGAGAAAGCAAGGGCCTTTTTAGGAGGGGCATATTTATTTATTCCATGATGTATTCAGGATTTCAACTTCAAAGAGGCTGACATTTGTGACCTCACTGATAAAATTTTCTCCAAACCAAAACAGGCCTTCACAATACATTTAGCAATCACATATTATATCTTTAAAATCCTGATCTCAAGGACTGAGATCTGGGCACTTGCATCTTGTGTGATAATAGCTGAGACTGGAGTTTGAAACGAGGAAGTAAAAATCTCTCTTCCTAGTCATGAAACAAACATTGGTGTGTCATGCTGTGCCCTTGTAACTGAGGGTGCAAATATTAATAAGTCACATTCCCTATATGTAGGTGGCTCAGAAGCCAGGGAGAAGACAAACTATACACTGTAAAGACAGGTGATGAGGGTAGAGAGAGATACACCCAGGTACTGTGGAAGTAGGAAGAGCTAACCCAGCTTGGGGACGCAGGAGCTACACTTAAAGGATGAGTAAGAATTAGGTAAAAGAAACAGATCAGAAAAGACTCAGAAAACAAATAAAGTTTCCAACAGCAGGCCTTTTTCTTCTGTGAGTCTCCTGTGAGGTGGTGTTTTTGCTTATGTTTGCATTAGGAAATACCAGGATCAGGGCCTTGGAGGTGGCCATGGAGGTTTCTGTGTCCCCAGAGGGTTTGTAGATTAAGGGGACCTCATAATGGACAATGCCAGCTCTTTCTTCAATCATAACAAAAGGAGAAATGACACAGATGCAGTGCCTGCTGGCTGTTGCTGAGCTGAGAAACTGCCAGAAGTTCCATTTGCACCTGGATTGTATCAGAAAGTAACATGCAAGGTGTGTGTTCACTCCCAAATGGAGAGACGTTTTTAACCTTCTTGAGAAGCATAGATCTGGGATCTATAAAAGAGATGGAAGAAGAATGTGTGGGGGGAAGGAAAGGGACAGCCAGAAAAGTGGAAACTAAATAATTATTTTTAAAAAGACTAAAGGAAGCCGGACACAGTGGCTCACATCTATAATCCCAGTGACTCAGGAGGCCAAGGCATGAGGATCACTTAAGGCCAGGAGCTTGAGACCAGGCTGAGTAACATAGCAAGACTCTTGTCTCTAAAAAAAAAAATTAATTAAAACATGAGCCAGACATGGTGGCACAGGCCTGTAGTCTCAGCTATTCAGGAGGTTGAGGTGAGAAGAACACTTGAGCCTAGGAGTTCAAGAATGCAGTGAGCCGTGATCACACCACTGCACTCCAGCCTGGGGGACAGAGCAAGACCCTGTCATTATATAAAAAAAATTAATGTTTTATATATTTTTAACACATAAAAATATATAATGTTTTATATATTTTTAACACATAAAAATATATGTTTTATATATTTTTAACACATAAAAATATATGTTTTATATTTTTTAACAAAAATATGTAATGTTTTATATATTTTTAACACATAAAAATATATAATGTTTTATACATTTTTAACATATAAAAACATACGTTTTATACATTTCTAACATAACAGTAGGGGCATATTTATTTATTCCATGATGTATTCAGGATTTCAACTTCAAAGAGGCTGACATTTGTGACCTCATTGATAAAATTTTCTCCAAACCAAAACAGGCCTTATTTTTATATGTTTTATATATATATAAAAATATATATGTTATATATGTTTAACATGAAAATATATGGTTTATATATTTTTAATATATAAAAATATATTGGTTTCTATATGTTAATATATGAAAATGTTTTATATATTTTAACATATAAATATATATTTTATATATAAACTTGTACATTAACTATATATTTTATCTATAAACATATAGTTTATATATAAAAATAGTTTATATATAAAATATGTAAAAATATATGTTTTATATATCTCAATATATAAAAATGTATAATGTTTATATATTTCTATTTTCATTTATTTATTTATTTTTGAGTCAGAGTCTCACTCTGTTGCCTAGGCTGGAGTGTAGTGGCTCGATCTCGACTTATTGCAACCTCCACCTCCCAGATTCAAGTGATTCTCATGCTTCAGCCTCCTGAGTAGCTGGGATCACAGGCGCCCACCACCATAGCTGGCTAATTTTTGTACTTTTAAGAAAGACAGGGTTTAGCCATGTTGCCTAGGCTGGTCTTCAACTCCTGACCTCAAGTAATCTGCCCAGCTTGGCCTCCCAAAGTGCTGAGATTATAGATGTGAATCACTGTGTCCAACCATATGTATTTTTAATATATAAAAATACGATGTTTTATATTTTTAATGTATAAAATATGATGTTTTACATATTTTAATGTATAAAAATATATGATCTTTTATATTTTTAATATATAAAAACATATGGTGTTTTATATATTTAATACATAAAATATATGTTTTATAATATTTTAAATATATAAAATACACTGTTTTATAATATTTTAAATATATAAAATACACTGTTTTATAATATTTTAAATATATAAAATACACTGTTTTATATATTTAAATATATAAAATACACTGTTTTATATATTTAAATATATAAAATACACTGTTTTATATATTTAAATATATAAAATACACTGTTTTATATATTTAAATATATAAAATACACTGTTTTATATATTTAAATATATAAAATACACTGTTTTATATATTTAAATATATAAAATACACTGTTTTATATATTTAAATATATAAAATACACTGTTTTATATATTTAAATATATAAAATACACTGTTTTATATATTTAAATATATAAAATACACTGTTTTATATATTTAAATATATAAAATACACTGTTTTATATATTTAAATATATAAAATATACTGTTTTATATATTTAAATATATAAAATACACTGTTTTATATATTTAAATATATAAAATATACTGTTTTATATATTTAAATATATAAAATATATAATTTCTATATATTTATATATAATGTTTTATATTTTAATATATTAAGATATGTTTTATATTTATTTTAATATACAAAAATGTTTTCTATATTAAAAATATAAAGATATTTTTTGAATATGTATGTTCAAAAATAAATAAATGAATAAATTAAATTAAACTAGAAAGACTGAAGGGGAGGATTGATTCAACCTAAGGGTTAAAAACATGTCTGTGGAGTCAGTTGGACCACTGTTTGAGTCCTACCTCTTCCATTTCCTAGCTAGATGGCTTTGAACATGTTTCATAATCTTCCCATAACTCGGTTTTATCATATTTACAATGGGCAAAACTACTCACCTCATATTGCTGGTGGAATTAAATGAATGCAAGTGTGGCACATCTCTAGGAATTTATCTAAGTCTTTTTTAAATTGATTATTGTATTATACCTACTATAACGACGTGTATTTTCTATGACATTTTGTGATTCAAGTACACATATTGTTACTATCGATGATCCATGCTATTTCAAAGGGTTGGGCACGTTCAGGTGACAGCATTCCTGCCACTCACTTGATTTTGACGAACTTCCGACATGGCACGGTGTTCCTCACACACGTCTCGGTCAGGGGGTCTATGTCTTCCACGATGACGAATGGGGCCTCCTCCAGGGTGACGATGCTGAGATGGTTGTCATCCGGCTCACAGTCGGAGAAGGACTTGTACCTGGGCCACACGGCGTGCCTCAGGCTCAGCGTATGGTTCTCCCACTTGCCCACCTGCAGCACAAACACAAAGACACAGCTGTGCTTTCTTCCGCCGCTGATTTCTGGAGAGGCAAATCCTTTCCCTGCCAGAGACATCCATCCGTCTCAAGGGCCTTTCTGCCACATATCTCAACATATGCATCTACTTCTGTGCTAAGACAAACGGGCATAAAGAGAAAACAGAATATAGGGCAGTTCTCCATCCCAGCCGCCCTCATCCCCAGAGGAATCAACCTGCATCTCTGGAGGCAGTGCCCAGGCACTGATACCTTTACAGCCCCGCAGGTGGTTCTAATGTTCTGCCAGAGTTCAGGACCACGGATGGCAAGGAAACAGCATAGACTTTTAGAATCAGAGAGGTCTGGGTTTGATTCTCCCACTGTACCACTTACTAGCTGTACTAGGCAAGCTCTTAATCCTAAGATCTTCTGTTTTCTCATCTGTATAATGAACACAATTCCCCCTACTTCCTAAGGATGCCATGGGAATTCAATAAAGCAATGCATGAAAGGCAAAAGCACAACATAGGTACTCCATATTGTTTCTAAGTATAAAGGAGAGAAAGTGAAAAGGAGAAAGAAGAAAAAGGTGCTAAGATGAAGGAAAAGAGAAAAAGGGAGAGGAAGATGAAGCTAGAGAGTGAAAAGAAGAGGAGTGGGGGTTGAGACAACACAGAGAAGAGATGGAGCAGGTGGGGAAATTAAAAGCATCATTTTGACCCCAGATACAGTTCTATTTAAGTTGCAAATTAAGGTGAACTTTTATTAATCCTGCACAGAGGGGAGACTGTCACTGCTTAGCGTACATCAAGACCTGTCAAAATAGAATCGATTGTATTCCCTCGGAGCAGCAGTCGGCATCTTAGTGCAATCAAATTGAAGGCTGTATATTTTGAACCTTAATTTTATTTGACAGCTTATTGGCGCTATTCACATACACGCTGGGAGGAAGCTGCCCCCGCACCGCTCTTTCTCCCTTCTCCTCCTGCTCCCACACGCCATTGCTTGACACCACAGGTCACCGCTTTATTTGTAATACCAACCTCGAGGAAAACACCTCGTGTGAAAAGCTAAGTGCCAAATCCAGGCTTGTCTGTGTTGACCAGACCCACTCACCTCTCCTCCTGTAATGTTTAAGTGTCACCAGAAATGAATCTCAAACCCTTAAAGAGAATTCAAACATGCCGGACACCAGGAGAGGTGACAGGGTGGGAGGAGAGAAAAGAATCAGTGCTCTCTAAGATTACCTCATCATATGGGCTGGAAAATTTTTGCTGGCTATAAAGAAACATTTCCTGTGGCTAATTACAAAATTGTCCAGCATTGCTGATACATTTCTTTTTAAGATAGGATGGCGAGTAGAGCAATTTGGTTAAACACACACACACATGTTCATTTATTCACGCTATGATATGTAACAGGCTGGGGAGAATGCTGAGCGCATCAAATTCTTCATTCATTCGACATAGATTTATTGAAGACCTACGATGTCCCAGTGCCAGCCTAGGAATAATGATGGCTAAAACAGAATGACTCTTGCCTTCTTGGAACTGTCAGTCAGTTGTACGACATAGATCAAACCAAAAATACTGAAATATGCAAATAGATAAAGAAATATACAAGTGTTTCCTTTTGGAACATGTTATACCAATCCCTTTTCTTTCCATTTGCCTTGGAAGACTCAAACACAACCTTCGAGAGAGGGTGGGTAGTTCAGTGGGTAAGAGAATGGCTTTTGAAGTCAAACAGAACTAAGTGTAAATCCTGGCTTCATCCACTAGCTGAGTAGCCTTGGGAAAGTCATTCAACCTCTCTGAGCTTCACTTTCTCCATTTGTAAAATGAAGAGAGCAACAGGGTATGACCTTGAAGACTGCAGTAAGGTTTGAATGAGCCAAAAAGTACCAAAAATATAGAGCACAAAACCTGACATGGCATGTAACACATATGGTGGCTGCTATTATTTTACTATTGTTGTTAACATTTAAAACATAACTGAACTGTCACCTTACCTGTAAAATCATTCCTGCTTTCCCTAGTAATATAGAACTTTGCGCATATCTCCACCGTAGCATTTTATATTATAACCTCAATGACATAACTTTTGAGCACTCCTGTACAGTCAGGAAATGTGCCAATATCACCACTTAGTTTAATTCCTACAAACTCTACATGGTAAGCATTATTATTCCAACTTCGTAGTTCAGGAAACTGAAACACAGAGAGGTTATGTGACTTGCACAAACTCACACAGCAATAAGTGGTGGAACCAGAGTTATAACGTGGGGCTTTCTGAACCCAAAGGTGCTTTCTCGCTATGTACAGTGTTTCTGTGAATTGAGCTACAGTAACCACGTTATAGCTCCAACACTCTTCCTTCCTTGCAGACATGTTTCCTAAAGTCCCAAGATAATGTAAATTAAGGCAAAGACTAGCAGAATCTTTGGTGATGTCATTGACCACATCACAACCCCCACACCATGGGAGTCAGGCAAAAGTTTCAGTCCAACGCTCGCTCATGGAGAGAAAAGTTGCAAAGGTTTATGAGCCCCCAGAGTGCAATAACTTCCTAAATCTTCTCCAAGTTCTACTCCCTGTTCCTGACACATCCAAGTATCCATGGGTCAGCCAAGGAGGTTGAAGATGAGTGGTAGGTAGAGAGAACTCGATCAGGAGCTGAAGCTGCTGTGTCAACACTGCCCTAGGTCCCAAGAGCTCTTACCTTCTTTTCTCATCTGATAGACCCTTCGGCACCCCACTGCAAACACCAAAAATCTCAACTACTAAATCGTATATACCAGATAAAGGAGAACAGACATTCTTCACTTTCCCTGCCTATATTCCTATTTACAAGGGACTATAACTGAGGCCAGTGTTTGTAGACAGGTTTAGCAGAGTCATTCATTCCATAAATATGTGTTGAGTGGTTACTAGGTTCCAAGCACTGTGCTAGACACTGAGAATACTGTAATGGAAGTGATAAAATGTTTGCTTGCATGAAATTTTTGTGCTAATTGAGAAGACACATGAGTCAAATGATTACACAAAAACATATGTTCATACAAATTGGGAGGAAGAAATGAAACATGGGTCTAAGAGAGCATATAGGAGAAAAGATATCAGAGACATCTTCCCTGAGGAGGTGACACTTAAGCTGAAATTGGAAATTCAGGATGAGTTGCATCGTGGCAGTTGTGGGAAGGAATTGTGGAGGAGCAGAGAAGGAAAGAGCACTCCAGATAGGTGGAGACCAGAAAATGCAAAGCCTTGTAGGCTCTATTAAGAAGTTGGGATTTACCTTAAGGGTTTGCTACAGACTGAATATTTGCGTCCCTCCAAAATTCATAGGTTGAAATCCTAACCCCTAATGTGGTGGTGTTAGGAGGAGGGGTCTTTGGGAGCTGATTAGGTCATGAAGGTGGAGCCCTCATGAATGGGGTTAGTGCTTTTATGAAAGAGGCCCCAGAGAGACCCATTGCCTTTTCCACCATATCAGTATGCAACAAGAAGATTGCTGTCTATGAACCAGGAAGCAGCTCTCACCAGACGCTAAATCTGCTGGCACCTTGATTTGGACTTCCCAGTCTCCAGAAGCATGAGAAACAAGTTTCTGTGGTTTATAAGCCACCCAGTCTATGGTATTCTGTTACAGCAACCCAAATGGACTAAGAGTCAATCAAGTTCAATGGCCAGAATGGAAAAAGATTTATAGAAGTCACCATGGATATATGTCCATATATAACCTGCCTGAAGATGGAAGCTTCTTTGCCTACTCCAATTTTTTTTTAATTATGGAAATGTTCAAATGTATTTAAGAGTAGAATCATATAATGAACCTCCGTATTCCCAATGTCCAGCTTCAATAATTAGTACTCATGACCAATCTTGTTTCATTTATACTCCCACTCACTCCTTCTATATTACAGCAAAAAAACCCATTATATAATTTATTCATAAATCCTTAATTTGATTTAAATATCTAAACATCATTTGCTTCACAATATTATACCTCAATAATCTACAATAATCTATGTGTTTATGTATATGTTTTACTTATGAGACTATGATTTCCCAGTCTACCAGGAATTTTATATGCGTAATGATTGGTTTCTATGTCCACAGCTTCTAACTCAGGGCATGCCACATGGAGGGACTTAATGGGTAGTTTTTGGTGGAGTGAATAAACATACAGCCTGTATTTTTTACATGTGCATGAGTCAGAAAGTGTTAGAATGATTAATGTGTCCATATGTGCCTCAGCTTTGGAATCTTGTACCCTAGGCAAAATATGGAAGTATCAAGGACCTGTATTCTCTCCCTTGCTCTTACTGCAACTTCAGCCCCCGAGACTCAGAGCCATTGAGGGTGGCCGTCTGAATAGCCTTTGGGTATTAAATTTCCCCAGAGAAAGCAAACAGCATCATCCTAACACCATTTTAAAAAGGGACTCCAGCCACCAGAGTATTCAGGGAGAAAGAAAGAACCAATGGGTTGAATCCTGAAGACCTCAGTTTCGACTGTCATATTGTTTCTGCTTGTCTCCATTTCCACAGTGGCATGGAGTATGTATGCTCCAAATGCCTTTATTTAGAAGTTATATCCAAAATGGAAGGACCCTGTGCACTTTGAAGATGGCAGCCAAAAATATCTCTGCTCCCACCTTGGACGTGATGGTGACTCTTCTGCTATTCTCTAAACTGGACCTTTTTCCTGTTCCCAATCCTCTCCATAAAAGTGAACACCACACTCAGCTGAGTCTGTAACTTTAGATCAGCATTCCTGACTCATAAAAGCTATTCTGAAGTGTGAGCCAATACCAGGGTTGCACCGCATTTCCTCCAGCAGTGCTTCCAGGAGTAAGGTTTCAATCCATTTCCTCCAGCAGTGCTTCCAGGAATAAGGTTTCAATGCATCAGAGCAAGTGAAATCATACAGTCCTTGTCAATCACATGCTATTTTTGGAGCTTGGAGGGAAAATGAAGTTCCAGGACACCTTGCCAAACTTCTGGTTATATTTATACACAACCAGGACAGGCAAGCACGCTTGTGTGTGTGTGTGTGTGTGTGTGTGTGTGTGTGCTGTATACATGTACATGTATATGCACATATGGATCCCATTGAGTTTTCAGGCATCAACTTCATTGCTACAGAACCCCTCTCTTCTCTCCTTTACATGGCACAGGACAAGAGGGTTCAGAATCATTAATAGCACAGGCTTAGAGATCAGACAGATGAACAGGTTCAAATCTTGTCACTGCTTTAGCCATGTGACCTTGAACAAGCCACATAATCTTTTTGAACCTCAGTTCACTCAATCACCAAATAAAAACAACACTTCCATTTCATATGCTGTTATGAGGCTTACTTATAAGATAATAACAACAAACATCTCTTAATGCACAGTTCCTGGCACACAGAAAGGTCTCCATACGTGGAACTATTATCATTAATTCAACATTTGTTAAACTTATCTTCAGGAAAATGAGCCTCTGTAGCAGAAGAACTAATTGACAAATGGAGATCTGAGTTTCTTCAATGGCATTCCCTTGACTTTTGACCTCACTGATTGGGTGTCATTCTCCTCACTGTAACAGGAATGAGGGGAGTGGGTTTGAATCAGATAATCTCTAAGGTCTTTCAGGTATAGCACTCTATGTAAAATGCAAGGATAAGCTGCCCTCCCAAATCTTTCCTGATTTGAGCTCAGGGTAATGAGTACATAATTAGAAGAGGGGCAAAGGTGGCACTCCTTACTTGACATTTAATTCTGTATGGCAACCATATATTAGGGCAGTCTTGCACCCAGGGTGAAAGGACAGCAGAAAACAGCCAAATGGCAAGCTATCTCTAAAAAAGGTGGCAGGATGGTTCTGAGAACCAGTTAGAAGACTGAGGAAAGAAGAACATGGTCAATAGAGCCCTCTTGGATAGTAATTCTCCATGCTGCACAAAAAACAGTGGTACTCAAATCTGAGGCTTTTCTCAAAGCTGGCTCTTCCTCATTCTCTAAAGAAGGGCATGAGTTCAAATCCTGACTTGTCCATTCCTAGCTGGGGCACAGTGGGCAATAATGACAAAGACCATTGTTAACACTGATTAGGGCTTTACTATGTGTTTCCAGGAGCAGTGCTAAGGGTTTTTCATTCATTATATGACTCAATCCTCAAGGCAACTGTAGGACATAGATAACTATAATTATCCTCATTGCATGATGAGGAAACCAGGGCTTAAAAATATTATGTTTCTTGCTCAGGTCAGATCATAAGGCTCACAGTAAGAATTTAAACTTAGTCAGTGAAAACCTCTAGAGCACAGCTTAATCACTACCTCCCTTTTTGAAATTTAGTTTCTTCATATTTTAAAGGTTACAACAAGGCCACAGAGTTGTTATAAAGATTACATAAGATTCACGCCTGTAATCCCAGCACTTTGGGAGGCTGAGGCGGGTAGATCACGAGGTCAGGAGATCGAGACCATCCTGGCTAACATGGTGAAACCCCGTCTCTACTAAAAAAAAAATACAAAAAATTTGCCGGGCATGGTGGTAGGCTCCTGTAGTCCCAGCTACTTGGGAGGCTGAGGCAGGAGAATGGCATGAACCCGGGAGGCCGAGCTTGCAGTGAGCCGAGATCGCGCCACTGCACTCCAGCCTGGGTGACAGAGTGAGACTCCATCTCAAAAAAAAAAAAAAAAAAAGATTACATGAGATGATAAAAATAAGTCTTTCCGTTTCTACTATTCCGAAAGCTTTAATAATTTCTGTAATCCTAAAAATAGATACATGAATAACATGCTACTTTTATTATCTCCATTTCATAGATGAGGAAACTGAGGCATGGGGTTTAAGTAATTGTCCAATTCATATGGCAGAACCAGGATGTGAACCCAGGACTCATTTTTAAGTCTGTGAAAAAATGCAACTAGAATTTTCTGCTGAACAAAAAAAAAAGACTAACTTTACAATGCAGAAATGTGACAGATGTGATGTCAGCTCAATGGTCAAAGCCAATATGGACAATGATAAATCATTCTAATAGTACATATCCTTAATATGATGTGATGATAATGGCGTGGTGTTCTACCTGTGTCGTCTTATAACCTCGGTGTAATTATAAGAAAACTATCAGAAAAATTCCAATGTAGGGGTATTCTAGAAGATATCTGACCAGTAGTCCTCCAAATTGTCAAAGGTCATTAAAAAACAAGAAGGTCTAAGAAAGTGTCCTAGTCAAGAGGAGCCTAAGGCAATATTACAATTACATGTCATATAGGATCCTGGATCAGCTATCAGGATGGAACAGAAAAAGATTAGATAAAAACTAAGGAAATCTGAAAAAATCATGGGTTTTAGTTGACAATAATATACGAATTGACTCATTATGACAAATATACCATACTAATGTCAGGTGTTAATAATCAGAGAAACTGGGCATTAGGTATGTGAGAAGTCACTGGACTATCTTTGCAAGTTTTTTGTAAATATAAAACTAGTTAACCTAAAAAGTTTATTCAAAAACTGTTTTTGAATTCAAAAGGGAGAGTTTTTTAAAAACAGCAAATATGTTCTCAGACACAGAGTAGCAAAGTTGCCAGGAGTTTAAACTTTGGAGCCAGCCACTCTGGCTTCAAATCCCAGCTGTACCACTTGTGAGCTGTGCCACTTGGGCAAATTTCTTAATATCTATTTGCCTCAGTTTCATCACCTGAAAAGTAGGATGATGTTAATAGTATAATTCACAGGATTGCTGAGAGGACTAAATTAATGTATTAAAGCCCATAAAGGAATGCCCAATGCTATGTGCTATGTATTGCTATTTTGTCATTGTTTAAATCAATGGGGAAACAATTTTAGAGTAGAATTTAGATTATTTCATGTTTTAACTTCATAAGAGCTTTTCTCGATACTAACTTTAGTTTAATTTAGACACAGTTTTTACCATGTCAGTAGTTTTAGCCATAAATCACGCTTTTCTCCACATTTCTCCCAAGGGTTTCACAATAGCCTTATGCTGTTTTGCTTACCTGTCATTCATTTATCAGATTTTTGGTTATAGCATATTCATTTTCCCTTGGAGAGATGCTGCCCTAATTTAACGAATAGGCACGTGTCCTTTATTTGGCAAATCAGTACACTGACTGGCTCAGGAATGTGCATGTGACCTAAGCTAAGCCAATGAGAGTTTTCCCTGGGACTTTTGATGGAACTATCAGAACAGGGCAGTCATGAGAGAACAACTTATCAGAAAATAAATACTGGCTAAGAAATTGAGAGAAGAAAGCAATAAAGTGGGGATGGCATTGCTTGAGTTCTTATAATAACAGTAAAAATTGACATTCACTAGGCACTTATTATGTATCAGGCACCATTCTTAGTGCTATTTTAATTCTAATAAACTCCCTATACGGAAGAGGAAGTTAGGGAAATACTTTTTTATCTCTATTATGAATTTTTTTGGTACTTAAAAGCAGTTCTCAATTCAACAAAATAGGTTGTGTGGGAGGAGAAAAAAAATCTTTACCTTTAAAATAAACTGAATTTTGGTGATAAGCCTTTGAGTGTTTTCAGAAATATACTGAAGTTGTGACGACAAAAATAATAATAATAATAATTGACCGCTGATGGAGAAAAGTGATTTTGCTAAAAGAAATATAAAAAGGGTAGATTAACTTTGTAATGATGTTTAATTCCTATTAATAAAATTTAAATACAGTGCTTTTAGGAAACTAATTGCTCTTCAGCTCCTAGAAAGATTTTTTTTAAAGGGCAGTGATTACTTATCAAAATGTTCAGCCAATATGTTCTTAGAGCAGAGATAATTTCATCTCCAGAAATTGTATGTCTCAAGTTAATATACACCTCTTATGTCCGGATAAATTCAGAGGGATGTTGCCAAGGCTGCAAAAGGCTGGAAGAAATTAGGTTAATAGATGTGCGTGGCTCTTTCAAAGAGATCTGAGTGTTTTATCTTATTTGATCTATTTATGAAATGCTTACAAGAGACAATTAAAATAACCTCATCACAGGTCTCCTGGTCTCTGAAGCCACCTCCTAAAAAACAAATATCTAAACACCAAAATTATAGATCTACTCCATGCTCAAGTCCCTCCATGTCTCATGCTGCCTACAAAATCAAATCCAGACTGCTCTGTATAGTAAAAGCTCTTCTATAATACAGGCCCAATCAACCTCACTATTCTCTTTTTCTCACTTTCTCTCTCTCATTCTCACACACATCGTCACACTAACACACACACACATCTGCCTTTGCACACACACTTATACCTACACATATTCACAATTAAACATGGAAAAATTCATAATAGAGATAAAAAGTATTTCCCAAACTTCCTCTTGTGTATAGGAAGTTTATTACAATTAAAATAGCACTAAAAACCGTGCATACATAAGTGTCTGATACATAAGTGTCCAGTGAATGTCAGTTTTTACTATTATAAGAACTCAAGCAATACCATCAGTACACCTACACATATATGTATACATATTCCTATACATCTATACATGAACCTCTACATAAAAGCACACTTATATACAGGTACATTCATGCCTACCCACGCTCACATTATAATCACATACGCTCACACCCACACGTACAACTACAAATACACACATACCTAACACAAACACATATACTCGAACCTCTACACACACACACACACACACACACACACACACACAGAGAGGATATGAAGCTACAATGATGCATACACTTTTCACAAAACACACCCTGAACGACACCCACTTTCCTGCCTATGCCTACACTATTTCTTCTGCCTGGAATTCTTCTCCTTATTATCTCCCCCTACTGAAATCCTACCCACTCTTTTCAGGCCTAGCTCAAATGCCAATACTCCCATGGAACCTAATTCTCCATCTGGAATTCATTTTTGCATTTTCTTTGCCTTTAGAACACACTTTCCCCTCACTTGTTTATTCATGAGCCCACATGCCTTCAGTGCTTTCCACTGTGCCGGGTAATACTGGAAGCCCTGGGGCTACGGTGGTGAACAGTCCTCAGAGAGGTCTATCCTATCCCTAGAGTTTCCAGTCTCGGTGGAGAGAAGTCAAAGCTTAATAGCAATGAAGTGAATGAAGTGAGACAAATGCTATGCCGGGAGCAGGCACAGGATGCTGTTGAAGAACACAGCTTCCTAATCTGGAAGAGAATCCAAAAAATGCTTCTAACAGGAAGTGGCTTCCAAATATGAAACAGGCATGGTGGCTCGCGCCTGTAATCCCAGCACTTCGGGAAGCTGAGGTGGGCAGATCCCTCGAGATCAGGAGTTCCAGATCAGCCTGGCCAACATGGTGAAACCCCATCTGTACTAAAAATACAAAAATTAGCCAGGCATGGGTCTGTAATCCCAGCTACTCGGGAAGTTGAGGCATGAGAATCACTTGAACCCAGGAGGCGGAGGTTGCAGTGAGCTGAGATTGCACCACTGCACTCCAGCCTGGGTGACAGAGCAAGAGTCTCTCAAAAAAAAAAAAAAAAAAAAAAAAAGAAAGACCAAGGGAGTTAGTAGGTTGCCTGTTATGGGGTTTTATCTTTATCCTATGGGCAAGTGACATATGTAAGGGATGGGGATGAGGACTTACTGAAGACCTTACTGAAATCAATCCCCCAATTAGAAGTGGATTAAACACTTCTTCTCAATGTAGTGCAGAGATAGAGTTTGTAGCTAGAAGATTCGGAAGGCAGAGTGACAAGCTGGGAGATGGCTGCAGGATCTGGATGACACAGGCCATGATGGTCAGGCTGGTGTGAACTCAAAGTGTAAAATCAACAGAAAAGAGATGGGCTGTAGGGGTGGGGAATGAGGGCCCAGTTTGCCTCGAATTATGGTTTTGTAGAGTGTCATGGCTGGCCAGTCTTCCTCAACCACGTGATCCATGTTCGATATAGTATAGTGCTCACCCACAATGCAGTTCAAGAAGTATCCGCTGAACTGAATTCAATTCTGACTGTAGCATATCATCCATTTTTACTTACAATTCAGAGTTTAAAAAGGGAAGTTGCCTGTTTACTCATCTTCTCTCCTTGGAGACAAGACAATAGAAATTGCAAAACTAAAAATCAGACAGGAAATTTATTAAAACCAACAACAGAAGCAGAGTTCAGGCTGCCTGTGCTCTAGTCTGGCTGGACCCAGTTAGCTCATTGGGTGGTTTCATAACCATGGGGAAACAGGCTTTAAAACAAACACATTGAGCTTGCAAACCTTCGGAGTATGTTTCACTCCAGAAAATAAGCAGTGATTTACTCCCAAGCTGGAGAAAACATGAGTAATTAACTCTTCAGGAAGATGATGTTAAGGAGGAAAAACAAAGCAAACGGGAGACCAATTTCTCTCCACCTGAAATATAAAGTCTGCCAAAGGACATGAGATAAATGGCCGTGAAGGAAATTTAAAATGATTTAGTGTCCATATTTATCATAAGTAGCAACATGGATTAGCATCACTTCCATGCCGCTGAATGCACATCTGACACACAAACAAACCGATCACAGGTTAACACATAAGTAATTCTGGGTCTTGGGTTGCTGCTTGAAACCAAAAGCAGATCTAAATGTAATTGATCCAGAAACAACAATAAAGATATCTGAGCCACTGCTGTGGCTTGATATTAGGTTGACATATGCTGTATCTGGAGGACTTTGCAGTTGAGTTCAGTGATGTTTTTTAAACCAATACCTGATCTAAAGAGTATCCCAGAAAACCAGTCTGCTGAAATCAAGCGTCACTTTGGAACTCAATTTTCCCCTGTGTGGTATGCACAAACAAGTTTCTATGCAGAAATTACTAAAGAGCAGGTGTGGGTCAAACCTGCTCTGTCTTCACTGCCATGAGCCTTGGATGGCTACCGGCAGAGTGAAACTAAGAACTGCTTTTCAGATATTGAGGTAAAGTGCCTGCTTCCTCTGAATGCACTGTTTTAAATGCAACGATTGGAGGTGGTGGGATTATGAAGCTTTGGCATGAATAAGAACCTTTCCTGGAAGCTGATTAAGAATGCAGACTCCTGTATCTCTGGAGTGTTGGAATCAGTAGATCTGGGATAAGGTGTGGGATCCTGACTTTTCAACCAGCGTCCTAGAGTCATTCTGCTCCGTGTGGTCTAAGGACCCCATTTTAAGGAGCACCAGGAGGGGAAGACCTATGACTAACATACAGGATTAAATAAAGCATAAGAACAAGATGGAAATCTTTCTTCTTGGGTTACTTATGTAACCACTGGCAATTGCCAGCAGATCTAAATGAGTTTAATCAGCTATTAGAGCCTTAATTAAATTCCTCTCAGTTGAAATTTCAGAATTGCCTAATTGTTACACAGCTCACATTGGAGAAGTAGATTTTTTTTCCTCTCGTAATAACTGCTCTCAAGATAATCTAGTATCTTTATGGATAACAGCATCAACTGTCTTAGAACCCAGTACTGATCTGGTAATTCATAGAAACGTGTTTTGATTGTTATTTCCATGAACAACCCGCATCTCTGCTTCCATTCTCCTCTTGAGGCTCAGCCAACAGGGGAAGAGCTCAATGCTTGTTCAATCTCAAATTTAAAAGCGGAAAAATCTTTGGAACAAAGAGCCATCATTTTCTTCAGGAGTTCATGTATAATCTTCAGTCCTCCAGAGTTCCTTTGTTGCCAGATCCCTGGGGAAAGATAGGAGTCCTATTTCTTTGGATTACTTTTAATTCTTTGTGTGCTCTTAAAAGTGATGGGTTCTTGTAATTAGCTAAAAAGTTAATAGTGTTTTCTCTCTTTTGGTTCTACCTTGGAGTAATATAATGCCAGAGACTTGAAAAATCAGCAAAAATAAAAAAGGAGCTCTTTCATAATCATGGATTAATTTTTTGAACTTGCTCTTGGGAGTCCTTCATTGTGCAAGTTCCGTATCAGTCCGTCTTCCATGGGCTGCAATAATAATTATTAAACAATTAACGAGTATAATTGTTGGCATTTATTGAGGTACTGTGATCACCCCAACGGGCATTTTCTATTTTACCCTCACAATCCTCTGATAAAAACGCCATTATTAGACTCGTTTTGTATGTTGGCAAACAGGGAATTTAAGTGACTTGCCCAAGATCAAACAGCAAGTGAGAAGACCTGGAATCTGAGCTTGGACTTCAGGGCAGGAGCTGTTACCACTGCCTGATATTTCCAAGGCTGCCATCCTATTTGCTTTGGGAAATATTAAGGCAAACATGAGCAGTTTGGTTTCTTAAGGGAATATTTCATGGATCAGTTGGGAAGACAGTATTAATAATTAGCACCATGCAGCACAGTGATGTCCTGAGAGTTGGAGAAGCCAGGTTCTCGCCCCAATATGCACAGTCTTCCACTTTGGGAAGGGGCAACATTTTCTTTCCATGTGGAGCACAGGAGGTGGGGAGAAAGCAGCCAGAGGTGGTCTTACAGTGTGCTTTTACTCATGACAGTTTTACTTCTTCCATTTGCCTGTGAATTGACTCTTCTGAGGACCTTGAATTCCACCACAGAAAATACCTCTAACAGCAGAGCTGCACTGAGCTCTACTTTGCAGGCTTGATGTTGAATTCCACTGCTACCAACACGGACATCCAAAAGGCGATCAGAACAGCAGATCAGGCAGAGAAAATCAACTGTTCAAATGTGAACCATGTGTCAATTAGGTAATTTGGGGGTTTCAACCAAGAGGAATGTCATTAATGCTCTAGCAGCTGATTGGACTTCTCCCTTGCCTCTGTGGTCATCTCCATCCATTATGTAAGGGGCCTTAGAAAGGAGGATTTCATCTTCATTCTGTATCATGTTATATTTGAGATATTGTTGGCCAACACAACACAATTCTGTTTCTATATCTGCATCTGTTATTATAAAAACCCAAACATAAACTTGGTTGAACTTAAGGGGCTGCTTCTTGGAGGAGAAAACTAGAATGCATATAGGTCTGCAAAAAAAGTTTAGGAGGAGATGTGAAGGTAACTAGGACAATCACAGAAACAGGAATTGGGGCTGGGGAAGGTTAAACACATAACATTGGATGAGAACTTGACCTAAGGACAGTCCTTTGTTACAGTAACAGTGATAACTATTATTATTTTTTAATACCTGCATAAAGACAATTTAGAAATATGGTAAAGGTTTTTGTTTGACCTTCTAATGTACTTTTTCTGGGTAAATTTCAAAGATCAGCATAACATCCAATTGTAAAATAAATGAAATGCCATTTGCAGTCTGGCAGAGTAAACAGCTCTTTTGGGGAGTATTTACCTGAATGATATTAAGAAGTTTTTTTTCCCTCAGCAAACTTGCCAATAAGAGTTAGAAAGTGGCTAAGAGAGGTAGACTGTGATCCTGGGCTGACAGCTGAAAAAGCCTTTTATTTATTGTGATAATCAATTCATTCTTACCAGCCTGAAAATTATGACTGAACATGACTATAGATATGACTTCTCTTACTCTATGGCAAGTTTTTTTTTAAATGAAAACCTTGAAAAGTGGTAAAATGTGGGGCTGAGTGTGTAACAGTTTATAAAAGGAGATAAGTTCCAGGTAATTAAACTGCAGGCTAAGGAAGCACGAGACTTCAATGCATCAAACCTGACTTGAAGGATCTAACAAGTCAAAAGCTGATGGATTTCCTCACTCAGCATTATGTAAAAAGCCAATTCCATTTGGATCTCAGCCCTGAACATTCAAAGTTAACCTCATTGACTGTGTCTGCAGAGTTTTGCAATAAGGTTACAGAACCTGGAGGTATCAATCAGTGGAACAGCATTTCATCCCCCTCGCCTGTGAAAAGTTATTGCGTTGTGAGAGGTGAAATGTCTGGAACTTGGTAGCAGGTCTCTGATGGGCATTTGTTCTTCTGTATCTGGGGCAAAATAATAAATTTAAGTTTTTGAGATGGACATTTTCCTTCTTCCAAATGAAAGGGGTTGGTGCCTGAGGCCCTGCTAGTTATTATGAGGATGCTAACCAAAGCCGTTGTGCATGGGTGAAATGCATCGTTATGATGAAATGCACACTGATGAGAATTTCAATTTTCCTTAGATAAGATGGTATTTTGACAATCATTTTTCTTTGCTCATCTCTGGCCCAAAACTACTTTGCTCCAGGCTTGTCTGAGCTCTAAAGTATTCCAACAAGAGGATCATTTGAAATACTAAAGCCAACAGAAGATTTAATAGTGAGAAAACAGTAATAAGCTTAACGACAGCTTTGCCCAGTTAAAAACGTGATTATTCTAAGGCACTGGGGGAAGAGGAGGGTTCCCTTGGGATGGGATGGATAAGACTTGCTGTTTTTGAAAACTAAGCCTAAGTAACCCACCACCGTCAATCCAATTTCACCCAAACCAATTATCCCCATCTCAGACAGTAATCAACAATTTGAGAGCCCTATGGAGCCACTGGGAGAAATGAGAATCATGGTGACCAATCAGGAAGCCTCTCAGCATTGCTTTTCCCACTGAATTATTAATATAGTGGCAAACACAGCAGTTTAAAAGAACCGTGCATTTGGAGTTGGAAGACCCAAGTCCAAGTTCAACTATGATACTTATGAGCTATGTCACATCAAAACCTTTCAAACTCACACAAATTATAGCCAAAAGCAGAATCTCAGGATTCCTAATTACTCCAAGTGTTACAACCAATAAACAGAACTATTCTGTAGGTTTTCAGTTCCTTAGGGTTAGATCACATGCATTCATCTTGCTCATTCATTCATGGAGTGCCTACTATGTGCCATAAACTGTTCTCACACTGGTAACACAGCAGTGAATAGACCCTAAACCTGGGGTCAGCATACCACAGCCCAAGGGCAAGCTGTTTCTGCACAGCCCACAAGCTAAGAATGGGTTTTCCTTTTCCATTTTTAAATGGTTGAAAAAAATGAAAAGAATATTTGGTGACACAATTATAAAATTATATAAGATTTGAATGTGAGTGTCCCTAAATAAAGCTTGATTGGAACACAGCCATGCTTATTTCCTTACATAGCCTCAACGCTTGCCTTTGCACTAAAAATGCAGAGTTGAGTGCTTGCCATAGAGAGAGTATGGCCCACAAAGCCTAAAATATTTACTAGCCAGCCCTTTACATAAACAGTTAGGGGTTTTGTCAACCCCTGCTCTAAGTCCTTATCTGTAAAGGATCCACTCACCAGTGAGGAAGATAAAATACAATGCCCTCTGAATTAATCATACAATAAAACAGAAAATGCTAACAGCCAAAGGGTGAAAGGTGCAAGAAATGCAGAGGGCTTCAGAAGTGAGAGGCAGATCTGATGAGGGAAGGAAGAAATCATGAAGGAGTGCAATGGAGGGGAGTTGTGCAGTTTGCAAAGGACCTGAAAAGTCAGAGTGGAAAGAAGGGATGTGTAGGATCAGAGAACAGCATGCACAAAAGCTTAGAAGCTGAGTTTTAATGACATGTTTGTGAACTAGGAAGTTGTCCAAACAGGAAGAAACACAAATATATAAAGGAGAAGAGAGGGAAAGAGGAATAAAGGGATACCATGGGACAAGACTGAAGAAGCCCTTGGATATTGGGCTACAATCCCTTTGTGCACATTGGAATTTGGTTGCATTTAAGTTGAAATTGGCAATTGGCCTTGGGAAATCCCTCTGACTCAACACCTGGGGATAATATTGGTGATTTCATCCACATATGGCTAGGACTTAGTACTCCTTACATATTTTGAAATTGTCCTATTTGCAAGTAATTGATGTCATTTCATAAACACATCCATACTTGTCAGAGCATTTGGATAAAACTGAAGGCCAGTTTTTTTGACCATCTCTCCACTGACCACCTCCAGTCCACTGTAGCCACCCATTCCTATGGGTGAAATTCACTTAGAACTGCTTGACTTGAGTGACTCTAAATTTAGAACCTCCAGTCCACTGTAGCCACCCATTCCCATGGGGGAAATTCACTTAGAACTGCTTGACTCAAATGACTCTGAATTCAGAAAATCCACAGCTCTCATTCAGGTATTCTTATGTCTCCTCTCCAGCGTCATCCCTGGTCTCTATCTTCTCTCAATTAGTCTATTTGTTCATGCCTTCATTTCTTCCCGATTCCAACTTAGACCTCTTTATCCATAACATTAACAGATTTCTTGTCATACCCACAATTTTCCTGCCCCCACTTTGTCTTCCTATCACACCCACCTGGCAGCACCCTCCCCAACTCTGAGTCAATCCCACCACTTCCACACCTGTAAAGCAGCAAGTACAGGTGGAGAATATCATATAACCACATAGATTAATGTCATTTCAAATTTTAGGACTCCCTCTCTGGCTAAAAATCTTTCCTTTTTCCTAATTGCATCTCTCCCATTCCCTAGAAACTATTTCAAACCTTCACACCTGCCCACAAGACTGCAAAGCTGCCAGCTCCAGCCCCACTCCCAGCTGATGAATCTGCCTCTTATTTCAGACTCTATGGACAACCCACATCACCCACAAACTCACCTGCCTCTGCACACATGTCTTTCTTCTCCCCTCTTTCAGTAATAAAGGAGGCATCTCTCCTCTAGCCTAACACGCATCCCAGCCCTTGGGCTCTAGATACATTCTCTTCTGCACTGTCCTTGCCTCTCAAACTGACCTAAGACCTCCAGTGGTTTTCACTAAATCCAACAGGTGCACTGCACATAAGCCCCTCCTCTGCATTTGACAATGGGACTACTCACATCTTTCTTGAGTTCTCTGCCCTAGACTGTCAGGACACTACCATTACCCAACTGTTTCCCACCTCGTTGGCTGATTCATCTCTGCCAAAATGCAAGCTTCTCCTTCTCTGAACACATCTGACTTGTCTTTCCTCTCCCTCTTGCCCCCAGAACATCCAGGCTCAGGCCTCGGCCTCTTCTGCTCCACAGTCTCCAGTTATCACCTCTCTTGACAGCCCCTGATCTGCTGCCTTTCCCCCATTCTTCTCTACTGCCTCCGAGAAACCTCAAACTCAGTAGGCTTAGAGAAGAACTCAGCCTCTTATCTTCCACCGTAAAAAATAGTTTCTCTCCCATCTGCCATATAGGAGTTCTTGAAATCCCAACCATGGAAATATCCATTAATTCATCTCTCTTCTGCCACCCCCATATATATTAAATCAATCACCAAGCCTTGATAGTTCTAATATTTGAACATTTTTTACTGCTTTCCTAACTCACAGCCACCACCCTCATCCAGGCCTTCACCTCTCACTGGTTTATGACTCAGCTTCTTAGCTGGCCTTCTTGCTTCTGGTAGATTTGCTCTTCATCCCATTCTCCAAACAGCAGCCCAAACCATCACTTTATTTTTTATTTTTTTGAGACAGGGTCTTATTCTGTCTCCCACGCTGGATGCAGTGGCACTATCTCAGTTCACTGCAACCTCC
The DNA here is from genome assembly GCF_000001405.40 of Homo sapiens. Lineage (NCBI taxonomy): Eukaryota > Metazoa > Chordata > Mammalia > Primates > Hominidae > Homo > Homo sapiens. Next base: position 9,868,353 of record NC_000016.10, read on the forward strand.
GCCTCCCGGGTTCGAGCGATTCTTATGCCTCAGCCTCCCAAGTAGCTGGGATTACAAGTGCGCACTACCACACCTGGGTAATTTTTGTATTTTTAGTAGAGATGGGGTTTTGCCATGTTAGCCACACTGGCCTCAAACTCCTGACCTCAGGTGATCTGCCTGCCTCAACCTCCCAAAGTGGTGGGATTACAGGCATGAGCCACCGTGCCTAGCCCAAATCGTCACTTTAAATACCTCTGTGTATCTGGCCCTTCCACTCCCCAGCTTGTGGCCTTTTAATGGTTCCCCACTGCAGCTGGAATCAAGTGAAAATGCCTGACCATGGTCTAAGTGACCTGGCCTCCTCCCCAGGCCTTCCCTTCCCTCTGCATTCATGACAGCCTCATTTTGACAACCAACTCCTGGTTCCAGCCCTGCCCCACATCAACTCATGAATCACACAGAACTAATCACAGGCTTCTGAGTACATTGAGCTTTTCTCTCAGTGCCAGGTTTCAACACGCTACTCACCCTGCCCAGAAAACCCCTTCCCACTCTCTGCCTGGCACTCTCCTATGTGTCCTTCAGAACTCAACACAGAGGGCAGCTGTTCTGGGAAGCAGCCTCTAATCCCATAAAACTGGGCAGGTAGCCTCTCCTTTCCCTACCTCACTAGCTAGTGTGAGACCTGCACACTCATCTGTCTGCCCCAGTGGACTCATTGAGGGTGGGACTGTGTTCTGTTTGCCTTTATGGCCCTCGTACCCAGCCCAGGGCTGCTTACATAATAGATGCACAAATACCTATGAAATGAACAAGTTAGCCAGGAGCGGTGGCTCACATCTGCAATCTCAGCACTTTGAAGGCAAGGCAGGAGGATCACTTGAGGCCAGGAGTTTGAGACCAGCCCGGGCAACATGGCAAAACTCTGTCTCTACTAAAAATACAAAAATTAGCTGAGTGTGGTGGTACATGCCTGTAATCTCAGCTACTCGGGAGGCTGAGGCATGAGAATCACTTTAACCCGAGAGGAAGAGGTTGCAATGAGCCTAAATCACACCAATGCACTCCAGCCTGGGCAACAGAGCAAGACTCTGTCTCTAAATAAATAAAACAGACAAGTTAGCACACAGAGGTACCAACATGACCACCATAACTATGATCTTCCTGCAGTCAATTATCAACTATAATTATCTCTTCTGGTAATAGGCCCTGAAAATGATGTGGATTTTGGAGTCAGCCACATCTGGACCTGAATTCCCAGCTCTTCTGCTTACCAGCTATATGAACTTGACTAACTTTACTTCTTGGACATCAGTTTCCTTATATGTAATGTGGGCATAATAGGAGTAATCACATCATATTATTCTCATGGAAATAAATAAAGTAGTAACTGCAAGGCACTTATTGAACTATCTGCCACATAGTCCCTGCTCAACCAGGATTAGGTGTTTTATTATATACAGGGATCTTAGAAGGATGACATTAACTCATGTTTGTGAACCAGCAGTCAGATGTCTGGCCCACAGAAGGTATTTAGTCAAGGTTCCTTCCCACCTGCAATGTGCATGTTCTTGTAAGCTGAATGGAGGACACTGGCACAACTCCAGAACAGGCAGGAACAAGGCATTGTTTTTACCAAAATTCCAGGCCTAGGGCTTGTATGCCAAAATGAAACTAAGGAAATGTATTTGGATTTTTTTTCCCTGCTCTAAGAGGAGACAGATCTGCTTTTCACTTACGGCTCTCTATTTTGGATAGAAAAAATATCATCTGTTAATATAATTCTGTGCACGGAGAAGGCGGTCCTGCCAAAAGCCACTTGGTGTTATTTTCACTCTACCAATAAATCCAAAGGCCTGGCAATTATTTTTAATTCCATTTGCTAGTTTGAGGTTCTGCACGATTAATGCATGCCATTAATTTCATAACTATAAATGTAACCCAAGCTTTCTTGGATCCTTGTGTCAAACAGTGTGACCTTATGCATACACTTGCTAGTGTTCACTTGGCTAAGAAGCTGTATTGGGGAAAAAATGAAAAGAAATAGAAAAAAAAAGATAGAAATTTCAGATAATAGACACACTGGAAGACACATCCTAGCCAGAAAGCTGCGTGTCATTATGTGGATAATAATACAAAAGTCCTAGAGTTAATATAGCTCTTTATGGGCTAGAAGTTGCTGGTTATTTTCTCATTTCACTTGACCATCACAGCAGAGTCACATAGATGTGAAAGAGATATTATTACAATTTTTCAGAGCGGTAAACTGATGTTCCTTCAAGTAACTTTTTTTCTTTTTTTTTTTTTTTTCTTTTTTTGTAGAGATGGAGTCTCGCTCTGTTGCCCAAGGTGGAGTGCAGTGGCATGATCTTGGCTCACCGCAACCTCCGCTTCCCAGGTTCAAGCAATTCTCCTGCCTCAGCCTCCTGAGTAGCTGAAACTACAGGCACACACTGCCATGCCTGGCTAATTTTTTGTATTTTAGTAGAGACAGGGTTTCACTGTGTTGCCCAGGTTGGTCTCGAACTCCTGAGCTCAGGCAATTCACCCTCCTCGGCCTCCCTAAGTGCTAGGATTATAGGCATGAGCCACCACGCCTGGCTCAAGTAACTTTCAAATTTAAGGACTATTCTCATGTCTCTTTTCCAATGTCATTTTGGCCTCTGGGCTCTGGACCCCTCTATTTTCTCCCAATCAATCTGCTCATTCGTGACTTTCCATTTTTTCCCTATTACAGCCCAGATCTCTTTATCACAGCAACAGATTTCCTGCCACGCCCACAATTTTCCTGCTCCCATCTTGTCCTCCTGTCACACCCACCTGGCACCACCTTCCACCCAGCTCTGAGTCAATCCACCACTTCCTCACCTGTCAACCACCAAGCCTCATTCACAAATTACAGCAAATATGTGAAAGAACCAGAAACAGTTTTCTGGCTCCTGGATGAGGACTTGCTTAACTGTATGTATTGCAATATATTCATACATATGCAGGACTTAAAGGACTCCTTGAAGACACTTGTCTCTAAAACTTTGGACCCAGGTCCTTTGATAAAAGAGAACACTGTCAATAGACTTTTAGAAATCCACTGAAAATGAAAAAAAAAAAAAAAGGTAAAACAACCCTAAAAGTGCCATTTAAAAGTCTAGAAGTCTAGAGTCTAGATTGCACTTTGTATATGCATAATAGTTCCTGTTTATTAAGATCTTTCTAACTACGTTCCAGGCCTCATGCTAGATACTTGGCATGTATATCATTTATGATGCCTCTGAGCTATGAAGTGGCTGGGTGACCATGTTCCAATCAATTCACTTCTCTGGTCCTCATTTTTCTCATCTATAAAATAATATGTACCATTTGGGGTTGTAGTGAACATAAAATGTGGTAATGTACATAAAGTGGTTGGCTCAGGACCTGTGATGGAATCACAGTTTAAAAACTATTAGGCACTTTTTTTTTGGAATGATGCAAGGAAAACTAAGCTCCATTCGCTTCCCACTTAAATTCTCTATCTCCCACAGCATGGCACAATTGCACTTGCTTTGTAGAATTTGATTGAAGAAAGTAGCAGAAGTTAGTAGTCAAAGCATGGGCTTCGGAGTCAGACAAATGGGGTTCAGAATACGGTTCAGGTTAGCGGAAATTAACTTGTTCTCTGTTCCTTAGACTTCTCATTTATAAAATAGGGGCAATAATAGTGCCAATATCATCAGGATTTTGTATGAGTTAAGAGAGATCATGCATCTAAAGTTCTGACTCACAAAAAGCATTTAATAAATAGTAGCTTTAATATCCTCACAGGAACCCCAAGGGGTGGGTATTATCATTAGCTCCATTTTGCTGTTGGAAACAAAGAATGACAGATTTCCAGAATTAGCGGGAGTCTCACAAATGTTACCCCTGGCCAAACTCAACAGCGTAAATGTTGATCAAACTCGCTCTCTAACCCCAAACAGCTCAGCTCCTAACCGGTGCCATGCTCAGTGAAACAGGGGAGGAAGTCGCCAGCCCACTTTTCCTGACCATGATGCTGTTCTCTCTTTGTCTACGTAGACTAGTCACTTCATCTCTTGGCATTGATTTTGTATTTTGGGCTTCTGATCAGACACATCTGTGTTTCTAGCTTTTGTCCCCACTGATTTATAGTATAACTTGACAGATGTCCCATCTGTATTTTTTGAATCCTCATCCATTTTCAGTGAGATGACAATGCCTCAATGCAAAGCCTCCATGTCATTTTGGTAATGAAACTCAAATCTTCGGGTAAAGAAAATGTGGTATATATACACAATGAAATACTATTTAGCCATAAAAAAGAATCCAATCACGTCTTTTGCAGCAACATGGATGGAACTGGAGGCCATGATCATAAGTGAAGCAACTCAGACACAGAGAGACAAATACTAGGACAGATGTGGTGGCTCACGCTTTTAATCCCAGCACTTAGAGAGGCCAAGTGGAGGGGTGGGGGAATCACCTGAGCTCAGGAGTTTGAGACTAGCCTGAGTAACATGGCGAAACCCTATCTCTACAAAAACAAAACAAAATAAAAACAAAAAAACTAGCCAGGCATGGTGGCACTTGCCTATAGTTCCAGCTACTTGTGGGGCTGAGGTGGGAAGATCACTTGAGCCCAAGAGTTCGAGGCTGCAATGAGCCATGATTGCACCACTATTCTCCAGCCTGGGCAACAAAGCAAGACCCTGTGTCAGGTGTTAGAAAAAAGAAAGAATGAAAGAAAAAGAAATAAGGACAAATACTGCATGTTCTCACTTGTAAGTGGGAGCTAAATAATGCATACAGTTAGATGCAGAATGTGTAATGATAGACAATGGAGACTCAGAAAGGCAAGTGGGTGTGAGGGAGGAGGCTGAGGGAAGAGGCTGAAGAGAAGCTACTTAATGGATACAATGTATGTTATTTGTGAGAGGGATACTCAAAAAGCCCTGACATCACCACTATACAATCTATGCATGTAACAAAATTACACTTGTATACCCCATACATTTAAACAAACAAAAAAAGAAACCCAAATCTTGCTGTATTGATTCAAGTCACCAACCTGAATGCCAAAAGTGGAATGAGACTGGGTGCAGTGGCTCATGCCTGTAATCCCAGCACTTTGGGAGGCTGAGGCAGGAGAATCCCTTGAGCTCAGGAGTTTGAGACCAGCCTGAGAAACAAAGTGAGACACCCCCCATCTCTAAAAAACAACAACAACAACAACAACAAACAAACAAACAGAAAAGAAACATCTGTGGAATCTTTCCTGGTCTTAGAGAAAACAAAACAAAAAAGTGGAGTGAAATGTTTACTATTCTTGCAGAAGAAGGCTGAACAAGTCTCGTCTCTAAATCTTAGTCTCTTCACCTATTAAAAGCAGGTAAATGTTTCTGCTTTCCCTGTATACAGCATGGATGTCAGGATCTGATACCCAAAACTAATTGTTGCCCTGCTTTCCTATGTTAGATCTGCCTGTCCTAGTTTCTTCAAACACACTTTAATTGTGGAAAGAAAACATATGCCATCAGCTATAATCTGCTGGACCACATAGAGGCCAGCACGGTAGGAATCAACAGGAATTAGGATTCTTCCGATTCAAATTGTTTGTTTCAATGTTAAAGTTAAAGACAACGTAAGTGAGAGGCCATTGGTTTCTATGAGTCATTCTACAACTCCCTTTAAGGGAATACGAGTTGATTCTCTTGTTTTTCCCCAACTTTAGATTTTTTTCTCATGGGCATTTCCAACGGAGTCTTTCTTCACATCCAGGGAAGTCAAGATGGCTCAGCCTCTACTCTTCCCATCTCAAACAGGCCCACTCAGTCTTTCTAATTTGCAGAATTATAATTTAAATGGAAGGAATATAGACTCCAGGAATATGATTTCGATGAGTTTTAAAGCACGTTTTCAAAAGACAATGGCTAGATAACAAACCATACGGTGGAGTAATAAGGAATAAAGGAACAGTTTACTGCAGGGGTGGGGACTGATTTACAGCTTCAGATGTGCAGAGGAATGCTGATTCGTTTTGCACAAAAATGCAAGAGACTGATTAGGAGGCAGATTTGCATACATCTCAGTGGGATGCTCTGAGCCGAGCTCAGAAACAGACATGTGGTTCAGCAGGGAATCTTGTACCTGTAATAGTCCTTCTTGCCAACGCTGGGGGCACATCCACTGTGCAGGGATGGGGGGACCCCCAACATGAGTTTTTATAATTAAAGCACTGACAGCCTTCACTACTGATATATGAACGCCACCCATCTCTACCATAAGGTACTGTAGAAACAAAATGGACTTTGCAGTCTAGCAGACCTGAGCTAGAATCTAGACTTTGCCATATACTTGCTTTGTAACCTTAGGCAAATCAGCAATCATCTTAGAGCCTCAGTTTCTTCATATGTAACTGGAGGGAGGGGGCAGGAGTGATCATACTCATCTTGAATGTCTGTTAAAAGAGGATCAAGGCTGGGCACGGTAGCTCATGCCTGTAATCCCAGCACTTCAGGAGGCCAAGGCAGGCAGATTGCCTGGGCTCAGGAATTTGAGACCAGCCTGGGCAATCTAGCAAAACCCTGTCTCTACAAAACATACAAAAAAATTAGGCAGGTGTGGTGGCACACACCTGTAGTCCCAGCTACTTGAGGGGCAGAGGCTGGATAATTGCTCAAGCCCAGGAGGTCGAGGCCTGCAGTGAGCCACTCCAGGGAGTGCAGCGGCATGAACATGGCTCGCTGTGGCCTTGACCTATGGGCTCAAGCAATTATCTTGCCTCAGTCCCCACAAGTAGCTGGGACTACAGGTGGCTCCTCACTGCAGCCTCTCGTCTCTTAAAAAAGGGTGTGTGGGGGAATCAAAGTGGTGAATCTATAGCCCCTAGGCCATAATCATCATCATATTTTTTTTATAACATATGGGTAATTATCTCAAGGTACAAGTTCTTCAGAGTCTAGAAAGCACATTAAATCCTCCACAGCTTAGAGACCAATGCTGAGAATATGCAACCTCTTTTTATCTCTATTTCTCCCCCTGTTCCAAACCAGGTTCCAATGCCAAGAAAAACAGGGTAGTGGAATGGGAAGCTTCTGCTGCCAATGGCACAGATGAGGAAACCAAACTGTAGCTACAGAGGCAGGCTGACAGAGCCACTTGTAGCCAGAAGCAGATTGCTGGGGGGAGCAGCTCTCTGTTCTGTCCATTTTCTTAGGGACAGATGTTATTCCTGTCTGTTCCATCAGCAGGCAAATGGGGAAATAATAGAACAGAGACAATGGAAAGAAAGTGAGAAGCAGGCCCAGACAGCAGCCACTGAGCTCCAGTAATTGTGGGTGGGGTAGGGGAGAAATCTAGCTGCTGCTATCAGATGCAATGTGAAATAAAGAAAAATAATGTTTGTGGTTCAGTTACTAGAATGGATAAGATGACTGTCACCCTTTGGATAGCTCTTCTTTATCCTTTAGGACTTGGTCCTAACTTAGGTCTTTCAGGAAGTTTTTTCACCTCCCCAGTGCCCAGGCTGGAGTAGGTGTCCCAGTGTGCCATGTGCACCTCTCCTGTTTATGCTCATTTCACAATGCTGTAACTAGCAGTGCATTTCCCTGTCCCTCCCACTACATTATAAGTTCCCTGTTGGTAGAAGAGCTGAGGCAGGACTAGCTTCTCTGTCATAATGTAAAAGAGTCTTGGAACGTGTCCTGGGCCCAGGCTCTAAACCCCCTCATGGCCTTTGGAACACCAAGCTCTGTGCCAAAGGGTGGAAGGCTGCCCTGCCACACCACAATCTAAGCCCAGGGCATAAAACCCCTCGTGGCTTGGATACAATCCAAGGCTCAGGGCATAAAATCCCTTGTGGAATTGCACTGGAATGGCCTCTGGAATGTGCACAGACTTGCTGGCTCCTTGCTTCTTACTCTCCCAGGCTTGTAAATATGTTCTCCATTATCTCAGGTAGCAGAGCATATTACATATGTGTCAAAGAAAATGCTAAACCATCACAGCTATGCTTGATGCACTGCTACCTTTCTACCCCTACGTCCTCATGTCCTCACCTGTTTACCCCCACATCCGCACGTCCTCACCACCTGCTTCTTTGTTTGATCACCAATAAATAGTGTGGGCTTCCGGAGCTCAGGGCCTTTGCAGCCTCCATACACTAGCGTTGGCCTCCTGGACCCACCTTATATACTCTTAACCTGTCTTTTCCCATTCCTTTGACTCTGCCGGATTTTGTAGCCCCCACAGCCTGGTGTTGGGTCTGATCACCCCAACATTCCCTAAAATCCCGGGGATATTTTATTAGTCATCTCTGCTTCGCCTGTACCTACTACAGGCCTGGCACTGAGTCAGTAATCAGTGAATGCTTGGTAAACAGATCAATAGTGGGTAAGTGGGTGGGTTCAAGAGTGAATGGATGCCCATATGGCTGGATGAATTACGGTTGGTCTGATGGGCTGATGAATGGATGGATGGTTTATTAGATGATTAATCTTTGGATGACTAGCTGGGTGCATGGGTGGATAAATGGATGGGAAAATGGTTCAATCCCATCAGAGACAGTCATAGTGTATAGTTACTTTGTCCTAAAGAATACGAGTTAAGTCCACACAAAAGCCTAGGTATTGTCATACCCCCAACTTCCACTCAACTTCCAAGGCAGATACCATCCCTGTGAATCTCCACAACCTATATGAAAATTTCCATCATTCATCCTAGGAACTGTGCAAAGTACTGGAACAAGCACTAAACTTGGAGACTCACAAGACCTAAATTTGAATCCTTTCTCAGCTATTAATTTTTTAAAAATCATAGAACATCTCTAAGTTTGCATGACTCAAATATGAAATCAGAGACTCACTTCACAGGGTTATTATGCGGCTAAAGTGAAATAATAAGTACAGAAGGCCATACTGTAAGGTTTGGTATAGAATAGGTGCTCAACAAATGCTTACTATTTATTTACGTCATATTCAGACAACTACTACAGTCAATCTCCTTCCTCTACTTGCTTTCAAACTTATTTTAGAAATATTTTATTTTTCCCCAAATGGAAGCTCACTTTGAACCTCAACATAACATACCAATCAGATGAAGCTTTGCCATCTCCAGTTGAAGGTGGGTCTTACCTCATAAGCCCCCTACCCACCCAGAGACCCTGGTGGCACTCTAAGTTCTGAAAGGAATCAGCATTCAAGGGAATATAATTAGAAAAGAAAATTTGCCTTAAAGTCCACTGTTACTTTGTTCTCTCTCTCTCGTCTCCTCTTCCCCCTTCTCTCTCCCCCTTCCTCTCCCCAGTTCCGTCTTCCTCTCTCCCTCTCCCCCCTCTCTCTCCCCTTCTTCCCCTCTCTCTTCCCCCTCTTCAGGCCCTCTCTATCTCTTCCACTCCCTCTCCCACCTCTCTGCCTCTCCCTCTCTTCTCCCTCTCTCCTCTTTTCTCCCCCTCCCGCTCTCACTCTCCCCCTTACTCTTTCCCTCTCCCCCCATCCCCCCTCCCTGTCCTGCTATCCCTCCCTAGCCCTCTCCCTGCCTCCCTCTCCCCCAACTCTCTCTCTCCTGCTTTCCCCGCTTCCTCAGGGCTTTGCGTTTCTCTACAACACAGATGAGCAGATGACCCTGTCAGAAAACCAAAATGGTTTTCATTGGTCTATTCAGGAGTTTCTAGAAATACTTCTGACTGAGAGGCTCTTTGAATAATTTACTCATCTGAGATCATTTAAATAATCTATTTGCTCATTTTCATAATTGATGGCAATGGAAAACTAGCAAGGGTGCAGCTTTTGTCTTACATTTATACCACCTGTCAGCTTAATCATGCTCCCATCACCCTCAGAGAGATCCTTAACAATTTGGGTTTGCGACTGGGATGGAGAAGAATGTTCCATATGACCGAATGTTTGACTCTGGCTCTATTAAAATACTGCTTGGGCTCAAGTCCTGCCTTTACCACTGTATGGCCTTGGACAAGTCATTCAACCCATGTTGCTTCCAATTTCTCTCCTATAACATGAGGATAGAAATAATTATACTTAGAACTGGCATCTATGTGTCAGTGTTCTAAGCACCTGATATATCACCTTGTTTAATTATCCTAACAACCTAGGAGGTCAGTACTATTATGGCCTCCCTTTTAGATATGAGAAAATGCAGAGAATGTTGGGAGACTGAAACAAGATTATCCATTGAAAACACTCTGCATGGTGTCTGACACACAGTGGGAACTCAACTAATGGTAGCTGCTGCCCTCATGATCATCCCATCCATCAAGAACATCACCGTCATCACCATCATCATCAATCATCTTTATCATTAGTATCCCTATCAACGTATGTTCCCATAGAGATGTCTTTTCTATGAACTGCATTTTTTTTTGTTTTAAGTTCTGAAATCTGAAAAACTTTCAGCAGAATGTTGCTCTGCAGGAGAGCGCCTGTTCAACTGCTGTTCTTTTTGGAGTTGGGTTGATGTTACAACTGCAACAACAACAACAACAACAGCAACAACAAAAGAACCAGTGCAAGACACACACACACACACACACACACGCACACACAGTTGCACACACACATGCTTTGGGAGATGGCATCACTTATTTCAGTTGAATGTGTTAATTTGCTAGAGATCTACTATATTTTCCTCACTGTGACCTAACATATTGTACTGTGTGAGTATTTAAAATAGTCACTATGCGTGACTCTAGGGAAGTCAGATGATTATTTTATTTTATTTATATTCACCTTTGCTAAATCCTGATGCACAGATGATAATTTTAAATGTTTTATAATGGCTCAATTTTCCCTCTCTATGGCTCACATCATTTGAGAAACTTAACGATCATTATATAAGGAAACAAATTAAATTCCACACAGACTCTGCTAAGGTTGATATTACCAAACCCATTTTATAAAAAGGAACTTGACTTTAAATATGGATTTGGGAGAAGAAAGAAAAGAAGAGAAGAAAGGAAGGAGGATGACAGGGAAGGATGAGAGATGAACAATGTCATTTACAGGCATGGCAAAGCTCTTCCAGAAATACCTAATCTGAAAATACCTAATTAGAGACTTACACCTAAAAAAAAATTTTTTTAATCTATCTAATTCCCCTCTGTCATGCATCTGCCAGAGAATCAGTGCAGCCAATGCCATGGCTTTCAGTTCTGTTTCTGAAATTTCTCTCAGATTCCGCGGCCACTATTCCTCCCCATACCTCTCTTCCCTCTAACCCAAGCCACGTAAATAGGCCCTTAAAAAATTTCCCAGATTCTTGACAATCACCATTTTCCTTTTAAAGAAGCAGTGTAGCTCATGTCTAAGAGTGCAGACAATTGGGTTCCAAATCCTGGCTTTGAAATTTACTAGCTCTGTGACTCTGAGCAAGTTATTGAATTTCTCTGAGCCTCATTCCCTCCATTTGCAAAAGAGGGTAATAGTTGTATCTGTATTACAGTCCTGATATGAGGATTAAATGTATGCTTAAAACCTAATAAATGTTAAACAAATGTGAGTGATGATTATTTTTTATGTTGTTCTCTCATCTCAAGCTCTTCAATAGTGCCCTGAAGATTACTGAATTAAGTGCCATAACCTATCATTTAAATTCTAGCATAGTCCTTTACCCCCATAAAGTTTCCTTCAAAAGATTTGTACTAGTCTGTTGTTGTGTAGCAAATTACCTCAAACTTACCCATTTGAAACAACACCTGTTTATGATCTCACAGTTCTGCAGGTCAGAAGTCCCAGCGGGCTCAGCTGGGTTTTTGCTCAGGGTGTCACAAGGCCAAAATCATGGCACTACCCAGGCTGGGCTCATATCTGGAGGATCTTGGAAGAATCCACTTCCAAGCTCACTCAGATTGTTGGGCAAGCTCACCTCCTTGGGGTTATATGTCTGAGGTCAGCTAGGGACTGACAGTGCCTAGAGGCCCCTGCATTCCTTATCATGGAGCCCCCTCGATCCTCAAATGTAGAAGTCAGACTAAGCATTCTCACACTCCAAATTTCTTTCTGCAACTATTAGGCTTGTGTGAAACTAATTGCAGTTTTCGCTGTTTTTTTTAAATGGCAAAACCCACGATTACTTTTGCCCCAACCTAATAGCTGCACAAAACTTTCTACTTTTAAAGGGGTCATGTGATTGGGTGAGGCTCGCCCCAATAATCTCCTTGTTGAGTAATTCAAAGTCAACTGAGAAGTCCTTTCTGCCATGTGGCCTAATAAAACCAAGGAGTGACAGCTCATCATGTCACATACTCCCAGGGGAGAGGCTTAGAAAAGGCCAAGTGTCACTGGAGACCATTCTAAGAATTCTGCATACCACACAGCTATGTTCCAATCACATTGAACTCTTCTCCAGATGGGCCTTGGGCACTCTTGCCTCTGAACCTGACTTTTTCCCACTGCATGGAATGGCCTCCTCACACATATTCAGAAATCCAAATCTTGCTTATTCTCGTGAGACCTTGTTCAAACGAGAAATCCTCCATACAAACGCCCTTGATTCTTCTGCCTCCCTATAACATCTCTCTTCTCTAAACACCTGGAGTTGCCAAAACATCTTTATGGCACCTCACATGCTCTCCTGCAGTTACGAGCATCTCTTAGTGCCCCGTTAGACTCTAAGTCTCTTGAAAACCAGATGTCTTATCTGCCTTGCAACCCTCAGATATGACTTGCACATAGTGAGTGCTCAGGAAATTTTCTTTGACAAATAAGTGTGTGAATAAATATGGATTACATAATACCCTAAGTTCTATTATCTCTGTTGATGGGACAAATTTTTAACAAAAAAATCATTTAATAACAATATCTATTGAGAAAAATCTAGGTAACAGGCACTGAACTACATCTATAAACAGCGTTTTATTTGCCTTGTTATTCTCTCATTTGCCAGAAGTTATTCAAGATGCAACAAGATTCCAATTTCCTTCTTTCCTTTTCCTCTGTAGTTTCTCCTAAGCATTGCTACTGAGCAGTATATTCCAAAGGAAGAAAGAAGCACAAAAGCTAAGAAGCAAGAATCTTGATAACAGGATGACCTAAATAAAACCATTTCAGGGTTACACAGAGTAAGTCTATGCCCTAAAGCAGTAGCTTTACATCTTTAATGGGCATGAGAATCACTAGGGAGGCTTATAAAACATGCAGATTCAGAATCAGAAATGCTGATTCCATAGACTTGAGGCAGGGCTAAGGCCTTTACATCTTTCCCAAGGTGATTCTAATCTAGGTAGCCCAAGGAACTACACGTATAAAAAGCCCATACTAAAAGATGCTCCTCATTTGGGGAAGTTAATGGGGAAAAGAGTCTTTCCATTCATTCTCCAAATCCTTATTGAGCCTCTGCTATTGAATACCAGAGATATAATGGTAAAGGAGAGACTGAAAACACACCATGAGCTCTCAGTGCTAGCCGTGGCCAGAATTCATGGCTTTACCAATGGGCTGCTATTGTCTTTCTAAGCAAAGAGAGTTGTAATATGTTTCTCCCTGCCGGTAGAATGTGTCACAATGTTCTTCAATTTTAGCAATCCACATAATCGTTCTATCAATTGTCATTTACTGGTGTCCTCACAATTGCAATTTTTCTCCATGATTTCTTTTACACAATCTTCACTGGGATGTGTGCGGAGAAGCCAAGAACAATGTTTGCATAAATACTTCCATCCTCTGGCTGGATGAACTTTTTTGAAGACTACTGATATCTCATACACACACACAACACACACACACACACACAAACACACACAGAAGCAAACTGACACTAACAACCTGCATGTTTTCTTGAGATCTTGAAACTCACTGGGCCCTGCTAGGCTAAATGTGGTAGTAGTGATGGGAAAGAGATGGCAAGGAGAGGGAGCTAAAATACAATAATTTAGATAGGAGGGAGCTATAGCATTCTATAATTACAAATCACATCATGTAATAATTGCACCCCACGCATCACTATGCCTCACTAGACCTGATAGCACAATGATACACCACAGTCAGAACCACAGACTCAAGAGAGCAATCATAGCTTTTGTAAGATCTCCTTTATCATATCTGTACTAGGAATCCTATAACTGGAATCTACTTTATTTCACACAAGACATAACATATGGGGTGCATCCCCTCCCTTAATGAGACAAATTGGAAGATGAAACTACTGTAGACCAAAAAATAGAAGGGGCCGGGTGCGGTGCCTCATGCCTGTAATTCCAGCACTCTGGGAGGTCAAGATGGGAGGACTGTTTGAGGTTAGGAGATTGAGACCAGCCTGGGCAGCATATCGAGAACTTGTGTCTGCAAAAGAAATAAAAATTAGCCAGGCAAGGTGGTGTGCACTTGTGTCCCCAGCTACTTGGGAGGTTGAGGCAGGAAGACCCCTTAAGCCCAGGAATTTGAGGCTGTAGTGGGATATGATTGTGCCTGCACTCCAGCCTGGTAACAGAGTGAGACCATGTCTCTAAAAAAAAGTTAAAAATTACAAGGTCTGGGAGATGCAATAAATGCCTATACCCTGAGTTCTAATTAGCTGGTTTCAGGTAGAATCAATTGCATCCAGTGAGAGGAAAGGAAGCAGACACCTTTCTAAGGGTAGGAGGAGGAACTCCCTAAATTTCTCCTCTAGAATACCTCCTTCCCGCTGCCAGTTGTTCCACATGATGTAGTGGTGGTGAACACAGCCTTCGGGGGCAGGCGGACCTCCACTTACATCCTTCTTCCATCACACACCAGCTGGGAGATCTTAAGCTGGTCACTAACCAGAGAGAAACTCTGGTTCTCTGAACCAGAACTTCCATCTCTGAAGCAGGGAGAAGAATACCTACTTTAGAAGTGCTATTAAACAAATACCTACTCAGATGACTAAATGAGATAATGAATGTAAAATTGTCATCATAGTTATTGGTACAGAGTAGCTCTTAATAAATGGCAGCTGAAGTCGTCGATACCAACAGATCATAGAGGGGTCCATTTGTGCACTAGGCCCAAACCCTTGTGGTGAAGCTGAAAAAACACAGATGAAAGGAACAGACCTTCCCCTCTTGGGGATTCTAGTCTAAGCGAAGATGAATAGGCAAGCAAACAATGCCAAAGCAAGCTGTTAACACTCTTACGAATTAGTATACAGGTCTGCAGGAATGAAGTGGAAAAGGGCAGACCCACTTTGAGCTACCCAGATATAGAATCAATGGAAAGGGTGTCCTTAGCAAAGAGGACAAATGTTTGAAGGGGCAGGAACATCAGGAGCAGGTGACAGCTGAATACTAGGGCTTGGGGGACACTCCGGGGATAAGAAGAAAGCTTTCTGTGTTGGGGTACGGGCGAATAAACATATCCGTGGGAGGAAGATGATGAGTTTGACTTTGGACAAGGTGATATTGGGTGTCTGTGGGTCAGCCACGTGTGGTGCTGTAGGCAAGTCTGGAGGCCGTGAGACAGATCTGGGCTGGAGGGAGAGATCTGGTTGTATTTCTGTGCAAAATGCACCTGAAACCAAATGTAAACAGAGTGGTGAAAACAAAAAGAAAAACAGACCCATCAGAGCGAGAATGGGACATTTCCTTCAGGAAGACACAAGGAAGGGTCTCCCTAATGTCTTCTGGAACATCGGTATCATCTTTAATTGGATCTTCTCTGGGGAATAAAAGGCTTGTTTTACTTTAATATTTATGTGTTTTGTCCTATTTACATTTAAAGTCAAAACTTCAAAAATCTTTATTTATCTCTCTCTTTCTCAATATATATCCCTTTTAAAGTTTGTCTAGGATACACTAATTAGTTCAGTTTAGCTTTTCCACAGTGTACAAATATATCAAAACGTCATGTGCACTAAAAATATCTACAATTTTTATTTGTTAACTTAAACAAATTTTTAAAAGCTAGCCTGTATGTGTATATAGGTGTATGCATAAACACACATATATTTTCATTTTAAAGCTATTGTAAGGCCAGGCGCAGTGGCTCATGCCTGTAATCCCAGCACATTGGGAAGCTGAAGCCGGTGGATCACCTGAGGTCAGGGGTTCAAGACCAGCCTGGCCAACATGGTGAAACTTCATCTCTACTAAAAACACAAAAGTTAGCCAGG
The DNA here is from genome assembly GCF_000001405.40 of Homo sapiens. NCBI lineage: Eukaryota > Metazoa > Chordata > Mammalia > Primates > Hominidae > Homo > Homo sapiens. The sequence goes on from NC_000016.10 coordinate 9,884,409, forward strand.
AGTGGCTGCACGTGTCTGTAATGCCAGCTATTCGGGAGGCTGAGACAGGAGAATTGCTTGAACCTGGGAGGCAGAGGTTGCAGTGAGCCCAGATCGTGCCACTGTACTCCAGCCTGGGTGACAGTGTGAGATTCTGTCTTGAAATAAATAAATAAATAATAAAATAAACAAAGCTACTATAACCCTAAAATGGTAACCAGAATTATTCTCAAAGCATTTTTTTTCAGGTAGAATAAGTAGTTCAGCCTAGAGCAATCCAATTTATTACTCAAGGCTCAACTCCAATACCTCTAGCTTTACAAAGAATTTCTCTAAGTGAGAAATTCTCACTTAGAGAATTTCTTTTTTTTTTTTTTTTTGAGATGGAGTCTCACTCTGTGGCCCAGGCTGGAGTGCAGTGGTGTGATCTGGGTTCACTGCAAGCTCCGCCTCCTGGGTTCACGCCATTCTCCTGCCTCAGCCTTCAGAGTAGCTGGGACTACAGGCACCTAATTTTTTTTTTGTATTTTTAGTAGAGACGGGGTTTCATCATGTTAGCCAGGATGGTCTCCATCTCCTGACCTCGTGATCCACCCACCTCGGCCTCCCAAAGTGCTGGGATTACAGGTGTGAGCCACCGTGCCCGGCTAGAGAATTTCTTGACTGGCCCAAGTTCACCCTTCTCTCCGCCTATGTAGCACTTATAGCCATTTGTTCCAGGGTTGGCTTAATTCTCTATTATGAGCTACTTGAGAAGACACATAGTTTCCTACACATCCTTGTAGCATCCCTGGTACCTAATGAACTGCTGGCCACAGAGCTGGCATACACGTGGCATTGGTTGTACTAGCCTAGACTGCTAATTGGCAGGAAGACCCCTTACACCTAGGAATTTGAGGCTGTAGGGTCTTCTGAGGCTGAGGTTGAGGCATCTAGGGTTTTGTTTTTGAGCATCTCTGGGAAGCCTTGGACTCATCAAACTCTAAGGCAGACCAAAATCACTGAAGAACAAGGGAGAGAGAAAAGGCATGGAAGTCCCGATTTGTGAGAGAAAGTCTGCTCCATTCTGAGTTCTGTGTCTGCAGTATACAGGCAGGCCTGGTGTTTGGCGTCTGTATAATCCACACCAGCCACCTACAAAGGCCTGGAAAAAAGCAAGTGCCCCTCTAAGGGCTTGTCGTGTTTTCCCAGACACCCTCATTACATGCTGCTGCTTTCAGTGACGCCACTGGCTGACCTCGGAGATGAAAAGAAATCGCCTCCGAGTCCCAGAATAACAGCTCCCTCCTCAGCAGTCTTTCCCCTCTGCTGACCTGCTGTACCAGCGTGTAGTGCTGGGGGGGCAGCTTTAAGGGTAACACGACTGGTATTTACCTGCTCCACTGGCTTTCTCTTTCTTAGAGACAGAAGCACACGGAGTTATTTCTGAAGCACTAGATCCCCTGAGTGCCAAGAGGATAGAGCAACTACAGGCAGTATTTGTGCATTCTAAGCTCAACTCAGCAGCAATTCCCAAAGCTGCCTTTTATGGGAAATTGCTATGTTTCAACAGGAATTTGAAGAAAGGCCCACAAAATATTAAAAGGCATCTTCTGTATCTGGAAATGGAGTGTATCAAGGGCAGCTGTCACCTGCACTGCAGTGGCCTCCTTGTGTACCAGCTCCCTGGAAGATGAGTCAGATTCTAAGGTAGCACAGAAAATTCACAGGTGTGAGTCAAGCCTGCTCCAGGACTGGTTAAAACCAACCAAAGGGAATGATTTGGTGGCTCCAAAAGTGAATCGCAGATTGTGTAACATCAAAAGGTTGAAAACCCCAAAATGCAACAACATAAGGCAGAAAGGCTCCAACTCTCTACCTCCTATGGATGATTAGAAAAAAAACATGAATTGCATTTTGGCTTTACATGTGTAAGAGGAAAAAAAATCAGGATTTGAAAGATGGATAAGAGAAAGTAATGATATAAGAAAATATTATAGGCAACAACAACAACAAAAGCATATTCAAAGTCCCAAATGCATGAAGGAACCCAGTATATACATTCATGGAGTTGCAAATCACTTGCATGGTGGGCTACAGGGTGTATAAGAGGGAAGAAAGGAGGTTAAAACCAAGGACAGTTAACTAGATGCTAACACTTTCCTTAAGCATGACAGAAGCCCATAGAATCCCAGCCGACTCCATCTCCATATACACACTAAGATCTAAGTTTCTTGAGTACAGAAAATATTTTTTCTCTTGTTTATGATGGACTCCAAGCATCAAGGATAGGGCCTGGTACACAGTAGGCACTTAATAACTATTTGTTGAATAAAAAAATGAATAGACGAACCATGAAGTCAGGGCTCCGGTGGATCAACTGAAGGATCAATACAAGAGGTGATCAATAAGCAATGGATATTGTTATTATAATTGGTATTCATGTCAGGGGGTTAAATATGAAAGCTCAGTGAAAACTGTTAGTTAATTGTGCTGGGTATCCCGATCTGAAGGATTTAAGGTTTTGTTGTTTTGTTTTGAGACAAAACCTTGCTCTGTCACCCAGGTTGAAGTGCAGTGGTGCGATCTCAGCTCACTGCAACCCTCGCCTCCCAGGTTCAAGTGATTCTCCTGCCTCAGCCTCCTGAGTAGCTGGGATTACAGGCACCACCACCATGCCGGGCTAATTTTTTGTATTTCAGTAGAGACGAGATTTCATCATGTTGCCCAGGTTGGTCTTGAACTCCTGAGCTCAGGCAATCTGACTGCCTTGGCCTCCCAAAGTGCTAGGATTACAGGCATGAGCCACCAAGCCCGGCCCGGATTTAGGTTTTTTTTTAAACTAAGCACAATGACATACAACAAAATGAATGGATCTTGTGTCATAATTTGATGCCTTTTGACAAATGTTCAAGATAGGAAATAACTGCCATCACTCCAGAAAATTCCCTGTGCCCCTGTCCTGTCAACTGCACTCACCCACAGAAGCAACCACTATTCTGATATCTAACCCCATAGGGAACGTTTGCCTCCCTTGAACTTTATGTAAATGGAATCACACAATATAATCTTTCATGTCTTCACGTAATATAATCTTTCGTGTCTTTCTTTGATTCCATATAATGTTTTTCAATTCATCCATGTTGTTGTACATATTACTAGGCCATTCTGTTTTATTAATATACCATAATTTGTTCATTCATTTCCTTGTTGATGGACATTGAATTATTTCTGATGTTTTGCTATAATGAATAAAGTTGCAATGAACATTCTTGTACAAGTATTACTTTTTGGATATATGTTTATCTTTCTTTGGGATAAATAACTAGGAGTAAAATTGCTGGATAAGATTTGTGTGTGTATGTGTACGTTTATTAAAAAACAAACAAAAAAAACACACACACAGTTTTTGGCCAGGCGCGTGGCTCACGCCTGTGATCTCAGCACTTTGGGAGGCTGAGGCGGGTGGATCACTTGAGGTCAAGAGTCTGAGACCAGCCTGGCCAACATGGTGCAACTATCTCTACCAAAAATATAAAAAATTAGCCTCTGTGGTGGCACATGCCTGTAATCCCAGCTACTCAGGGGGGCTGAGGTGGAGTCTCGTTCTCTCGCCCAGGCTGGAGTGCAGTAGCTCAATCTTGGCTCACCGGAACCTCCACCTCCCGGATTCAAGTGATTCTTGTGCCTCAGCCTCCCAAGCAGCTGGGACTACAGGTGCACACCACCATGCCCAGCTAATTTTTGTATTTTTAGTAGAGACGGGGTTTCACCATATTGGTCAGGCTGGTCTCGAACTCCTGACCTCAGGTGGTCCACCTGCCTTGGCCTCCCAAAGTGTTGGAATTACAAGTGTTAGAAAATAAAAAAGAGGGCTGGGCACAGTGGCTAACAGTGTCTTTAGATGAGCAAAAGTTTTTAATTTTGATGAAGTACAGTTTATTTACTGCTTAATGGTTTTTCATATTTGGTTTAAGAAATCTGAGGCTCACAGATCACAAAAATATTCTCCTACATTTTCTTCTAGATAGTTTTATCTTTCACATTTAAGCCTGTAATCTATTTCAGGTAATTATGTGTGCATGCATAATGTGAGCAATGGGTCAAGGTTTTTTTTTTCCATGTAGATTGCCTGTTTATCCAATACCATTTATTAAAAAGATTTTCCTTTTCCCTGTTGTCATAATCATTGATCAAAAATCATTTGAATGTGCCTATGTGGATCTATTTTCATTATTTCATCATTAAATAAGATATAAGCTTATTTAATATATATATTTTATGCACCGTAGTCTAACTTAGAATAAGACAGAAAAACTTAAAAATTGTCAAATAAAGCATCTCATGATATGCGTATGTGCATATAATATATATAAATCGATATATATATTATAGGTTTTTCATAGATACCCTTTATCAGATTGAGGAATTTACCATCTTTATCATAACTGGATATTGAATTTTGTCAAATGCTTTTTCCGCATCTATTGAAATGACCATATTTCCCCCTTTACTCTGTTAATGTGGTAAATTAATTTAATTTTTAAATGTTAAACTAATCTTGCATTCCTCAGATAGCCCCCACTTATCCATGATGTATTATCCTTTTTAAAATATATTATTACATTATGATTAGTAACATATTGAAAAACTTTGTATAGAGTGCTGTTATTTCTTTTAAATGTTTGTTATAGATAGACGAAGCCATCTAGGCCAGGAGTTTCTCTTTTGTCTTTTTAAAATGGGAAAGTTTTTAGGTATATTTTCAGTTTTTCAGCAAATATGAGCTATTCAGATCGTCAATACCTACATCTCAGTTGTAGAAAATTGTGTTTCTTCAGAATTTGCCCATTTTATCTATATCGTTGAATTTGTTGTCATAAATTTTTCATAATATTCTTTTTATCTTTTAATGCCTGTAGGATCTGTAGTGTCTGTAAGTGATAGTCCCTCTTGCATTTTTAATATTGGCTTATTTGTGTTTTCTTTCTTTTGTGTGATCATTATTGCTAGCGACTGTGAATTTTATTAGTCATTTCAAAGAACTAGCTTTTGGCTTTGTTGATTTTTTTCTATGGCTTGTGTTCCACCTTGTTGATTTTTACTTGTGTATTTATGATTTTTTTCTTCTACTTCATTTGTTCACTTTGCTCTTTTCTAACTTCTAAATTTATAAGCTTAAATCATTGACACTGAATTCACACTTTCCTTTTTTATTATAAGCAGTTAAAGCTATGAATTTCTTAGTGTGCCTTCAATCTTATTCCTCAAATTTTGATATTTTGTGTTTTCATTATCATTCTGACTAAAGTATTTTCTAATGTCTTTCTGATTTCTTCTTTGACCTATAGGTTTAGAAGTGTGTTGCCATTTCCAAATATTTGGAGATTTTCTAGATATATTTTTGTTACTAATTTTTATTTTAATGCTGTTATGATCAAAGAATGCACCCTCCATTATTTCAATTCTTCTAAACACATTGAGACTTTTGTTTTATGCTCCAGAATGTAGTCTACTTTGGTGGATTTCCCATGTGCACTCGAAAGGCTGTGCATTTTATAGTTGCTGGGTGTAGGATGCAAAACTTTCCTAAGCTTCCTCCTCACTGTTCTTTTCTAGGAATCTGTCATTGTCTCCCCAGAGTCAATGCTTCTGTTTGTATAGTATTTCCCCCTGATTTCAGTCAATTACATTATGTCTCCCACAGCACATCCTATATCTTCCTTCCCTCTAGGGTCACTCAGGCCTCCATTTGATGTACTAAGTGAAGATAAATTTCAAGATGCTAAAGTAGTTCAGAGGTCATGCATTGCTTGTCAAAAAACATAACAAAAAAATAAGATAACAACGTAACAACAAAGGCTTTCTGATCCCTTTTATTCTACTCTTTATACGAAATTGTAGCGACTAACTTAAGCATTTAATTATGGAGGAGGAGGGAGGGCAACTGAACCAGATATTGTCATTGTATGTATGAGATCATCTGTAAATTCCCTGTGACATCTCTCCTCTCTGACCCAGGTCATGACATGTATGGTACATAAGATGATGATTTTTTTCTTTGCAAACGATTTTTTGTATTTTCAATAGCTAATATACATGTAGTTGAAAATATGCTTTATAAGAAAAATAACCTCCCTCTCTAACTCATGATTTACAGAAGTGATACATTTAAGTTTTTAAAATTAGTTTATTTAAAGCAAAAGACTGAGTACATGAAAATACAGAGGGTTCGTTCATATGGCAATGACTATGGTACACAATTAGGAAGTTTAGGCAAACTTCTATGATCATTGCTACATAGTCAACACTTATTAGTGTAATGCTGCAACCCAGACTTCACTGTCTTTAAATTATCCTTAGTTCAGACCTTTCCTACTGGGATTTGAGAACAGACATACAGCGCACCACACAATTACCACAGTTCACCCAGAGAAAGCATTCCAATTGCACCTTACAGATTTAGTCTGCCTTGTTGCAAGAAAGACGTGCTCTTGGCTGTGAGATGGGATCTAGAGCAGCTCAACAGGAAATGCGTGGGAGAAAGAAGCACTGTGAGCCCCTTTATTGCCCATGCTTTCTTCCCTCCCCTGCATTCAGCACACAGAAGGATGCTCACCTTTTCCCATTCCCGGTCTTTGTTCAGCACAATCACCACCAGCCTGGGGTGCACCTGGTAGCCTTCCTCAGTGAAGGATAAGTCTTTGCCATCCCATGTAACATTGACCATAAATCTAGAAAGGGGAAGAGAGAAAGACAAATTTTTAGGAAAGAATTAGAGCAATCGAACAAATAAGTGGATGCCACCATTAATGGAATACTGAAAAATTATAAACTTACAATGCTATATTCATCACAAGAAGCCTCTCTGCAGAAGTATTAATAACCATGCAACCATTGCTAGTTGACCATGCTTTAGTAATTGACTGTAATTAACACGTGGAATGTAAGCTTTTTGTCCTGCCAGATTCATAGACCTATATTCAAATGATCTTCTTACAGGAAGATCTGAAAACACATTCTATTATACTCTAACAAACTTCCCTGAAGGAAGCTGCTTGCTCATAAACCACATGGCATTCAATGTTGAAAAAATGACATTCCATTATTCATTATTTATTCAACTAATATATATGAAGCATTTGCTATATGTCAGGACTCAGCTAGTTGGTTCAGGGTAAATAAGAAAATGAACATAATTCCCACCCTCAAGAAGTTTAGAGTCTAAGGGGGAGGATAGTCATGAATTGATTAAACACAGATTTATGACAAATGATACAAGGGACGGGAGAGTATGCTATAAGAAAGTGAAATAGGGGTGAGGCAAGGCTGAGGAAGTGCAGCTTGACCTGAAGGCTCAATTGGCATTAACTAGGCAAGAAAAGACACAAACAGGCAAAAGAGGCAACATGTGCAAAGACTCTGTGGTGTGCATACCAGGAACTGAATGCAGACCAGAGAGGCTGAAGCAGAGAAAGACAGGAAAATGTGAGATCAGGTGAGGCTGAGAAGATGAATAGGAACAGAAAGTGCAGGATTTTAGAGACCATGTTAAATGTCTGTCTTAAAACCGTGGGAAGGTGCAGGCATGGTGGCTCACACCTGTAATCCCAGCACTTTGGGAGGCTGAGGTAGGGGAATCACCTGAAGTCAGGAGTTCGAGACCAGCCTGACCAACATGGAGAAACCCCGTCTCTACTAAAAATACAAAAAAATTAGCTGGGCATGGTGGTGCAAACCTGTATTCCCAGCTACTCAGAAGGCTGAGGCAGGAGAATTGCTTGAACCCGGGAAGCAGAAGTCACGGTGAGCCGAGATCGTGCCATTGCACTCCAGCCTGGGCAACAAGTGTGAAACCCTGTCTCAGAAAAACAAACAAACAAAAAAAACTATGGGAAGACATAGAAGCGAGGGTGACATCAAAGAGGTAATAGATCATGTCAATTGAAGGCTGTGTAGAGAATAGATTGGAGGGGAACCAGAGCGGGTACAGAGGGACTACTTATGCTATTCTTACAAACCAGGTCAAAGATAATGGTGGCTTTGACTCTGGTTGTGGCCAAAGAAGAAGAGAAGGAGGAAGAGAAAAAGCAACAGCAAACAAGACCGAGTGGAGAGATATTTAGGAGGTATTTAGTGAAAGATTAGATGAGGGGAAGGGAGAAAGAGGCATCAACGATGACTCCTAGAATCTACCTTATATAACATGTATAAACTTAATTTTTGGTCTAGGTGTTTTCATTGCAGGTAACATCTATCTGCCTTACAACATTTATACCCTCATCACTCCTCAAAGCCACCTTGGCCTGTACTCAGGCTGAACTCAGAGAGCCAAGGCAGACTTCATCTCCCAGATTTCGGGTGAGAGGTTCCCCAAGGGATCCGCTCTCCTTGCAGCTTGAGAAAAATGTGATGTCGTTAAAGACATCTGAGACAACATGGTGGTGGCCACTCAGCAGACACAAGATACATCCAATATGGTGGATTGAAGCATTCAAAGACTTCCCCAGAAAGATACTGTGTCACTTGCTTCATATTCCATTAACATCCAGAGATGCTAAAAAGTGAAAAAAAAAAAAAAAAAGAAGAAGAAGAAGAAGAGAACTAGGCTACAAGAAATTTTAAGAAGAGACACTGGCCTAATGGGTCACATGTACATCCCTGGACCAGCATGGTGCAGAAGCGACTGATGGGGGTGTTGTGTGGGGGAGAATCTGGTTTCCAAGGACAAAGTGAAGAAATTGGGGAAAAGGAAAAGAGCAAATATTGTGTATTTATTCAACAGACCATTCGGGTCATTGAAAATCATGTTTTTGAAGACAAATTAATGATGCAGAGAAAATGCTTACTATTTAATGTTAAAGAAGCAGAAAAGAGGATAAAAACAGGGCTTGTCTATGTCTAAAAGGGTTATGGGTATTTTTCATTTTTTTGTGTGTGTATCTTTGTATTCTTCAAGTTCTCTGCAATCAAATACTTTAACAAACAGAAAACTAAAACACTGCTATTCTAGAAGGAACAAAGGATAATCACTATTCTATCTGGTTTATTTGGGGTATCTCTTATCACTTCCTAGAAAGGTTTTTTGTTTTTTGTTTTTATTTTTGTTATTTTTTTTAAGACGGAGTCTCACTCTGTAGCCCAGGCTGTAGTGCATTGGCACAATCTTGGCTCACTGCAACCTCCGCCTCCCAGGTTCAAATGATTCTCCTGCCTCAGCCTTCCAAGTAGCTAGGGTTACAGGTGCCCACCACTATGCCCAGCTAATTTTTGTATTTTTAGTAGATACAGGGTTTTGCCATGTTGACCAGGCTGGTCCCGAACTCCTGACCTCAGGTGATCCGCCTGCCTCTGGCTCCCAAAGTGCTGGGATTACAGGCATGAGCCACCACACCTGCCGGAAGGATATTTTCTTGATTTAACAACTAATTACTCTATTTATTATAGAGACGACGGTCAAAGAAAGCATATTTACTGTATGCCTGGTATATAGGTCAGGGCTTATAGTAAGTCTTATAGATACAGAAATAAAAAACACAGTGTTTGTCTTCTTTCTTACCCACATTCTTATAATTCAATGGCATAGACACATAAACAATGACAGTACCTATAATGCCACTTATTCACTGATGGAGAGTAAATGTAAGAAGGTGAGACAACACAGACAAAAGGGTCCCTAACTCAACCTGGGGAATCTGGGGAGGGCTTCCCAGGGAATCTTAATGGGTGAAGGGGTTGAGGCAGGAGAAAGCATTCTGGGCAGAGGCATCATCTTAAGTAAAGAGTCAGCAAAGGTAGTAACACACGCTAGAGGAAGTAGGAAACGGCTTAGTAAGGCAGATGGTTATGTTATGTGCAGTGGGATGAGTCTGCAGAGGATCCCTGAAGCCAGATCATAATGGACACACTGAAGGGTTTGGATTTGTTCAGAAGGTCATGGTGAGCCAGGAAAGATTTTAAGTAGAGGAGTGATATACTCAGATTTGCAGCCAATAGGGGCAGAAGTGAAAATGCTTCTCTGCACTTGAGGGGACTTGAACATTTTTGTTCACGGCTTAAAAACCATTCATTATCTAGACAATTGAAACTTTTTTTTCTCTCTTCCTTCTCCCCTTTGATGTTTCCTGGCTGGAGTTTGATGAACTAAATGAACATGGTCCAGATACACACAGCTAGGTGTGCTCCACCTCACACCTCTTATTGAGACTCTAAAGAAGATATTTGCATGGACTGTTTAGTGGAGAACTGGAGTCAAATTCCTCATTATTAGCAGGACTTCAAAGTAACTAATTGAGCCTAAGTTAAGCTGTTTTTATTTTTTAAGCTGACATTTTGGTTCCATTTCCCAGGGTTATTTTTAGCCCCGTCACATTGTCTGGCATACTGTGGGGGCTCAGTTAATGTTTGGCAAGTATGTTGACAGATCATCACCAAAGGGAAATCCACCCATCCATACATTCATCCATCTATATATCTACCCTTCCAAACATCTGTCAATGCAGTCATTCATCTATCCATCAATCCATCAATACATTTACCTGTCCATTCATCCATCTATCAATACATTCATCAATCCATTAATCCATCCATCCATCCATCTATCCGTCAATACATTCATTAATACGTTCATCCATTCTTCCATCCATTAGGCATGTTTGAGCATCTCCTATGTATCACACCCTGTACCAGAACTATGCCATGAAAATGATACAAAAATGACCAAAAATACTTAATTTTTCAAGGTTGGGGAGAGGGACACACAAAATAACTATAACGAAGAACAATAAGTGTAAAAATAGAGATATGGACTAAGTTGTTGGAAAGCATAAGAGAAGCAGTGGCTAATTCTATGGTGATTCCATGACTGGAAAAAGGAAACAAAGTTAAAGGGATTTGGGTTGTGCTGAGAAGGAAGAGGAAGGAAAAGTTGAGCAGCTCTTGCTCATGCACATGGAGAAAATGCAAAGTCCAAGGCAGAAAACCCTGAAACATCATGATGTGTTCAATGAGCTGCCGTCAGTTCACAATAAGTTGGGGGCAAGTGGGAAAGTAACTTGGGAGAGGACGCTAGAGACAGACGCAGGAGTCAGATAAGCAAGTACTATATAGACTGAGTTTAGACTTCATCTTGTGTTTATTTGGAATGGAGGCTTGAAATGCAAGTTTGTAAGAGGCAGATGGGCAAACAGATGAGGCTTTGTAGTAACGCAAGCAAGGAATAGAGACGACGGTCAAAGAAAGCAACAGGTGGAATGAAGAGATTGGACAGATAGGCAGGCAACTGCAATGGAATTTCAGTACAAAAACTACCGACAAAGACCACCAATGGCCTTTACCTCAGCTAGCGAAAATAAGTTACCAGTCACTCTGTACCTGCTGCCCTAAGTTGATAATTAGGGTGGCCAACTCACTGAGGTGTTTCTTATTGAGTACAATGAGATCTTAAGCCAGGTTTCAATTATCCAACACTTTGGGGTGAATGTAGTTCAGGTTGAGTCTACCTAGCGCCCCAAATGTGGGAAAACTGAAAAATTTAGTAAATTATCAAGAAATTTGGAAATATCCAGTTTGTTATCTGTTTGGAAATGCTGGATCAGGGAACAAATGTTTTGGTTTCGATAAAGACACTTGCTCCTGGGGAGAGCCATTCACAAGGTTGCGTAACATGAACTGAATGTCACAGCAACTTTTTTTTTTTTTGGAAACAGGGTCTCACTCTGCCACCCAGGATGGAGTGCAGTGGTGTAATCTCAGCTCACTGCAACCTTCACCTCCCAGGTTCAAGCAATTATCCTGCTTCAGCCTCACTAGTAGCTGGGATTACAGGTACCTGCCACCACTCCCGGCTAATTCTTATATTTTTAGTAGAGACAGGGTTGCACCATGTTGGCCAGGCTGGTTTGAACTCCTGACATCAAATGATCCACCTGCCTTGGCCTCCCAAAGTGCTGGGATTACAGGCGTGAGCCACCATGCCCAGCCAAAACAGTGATTGTTTTAATCAAGAAGGTAGCATACGCAGTTGAGCACCTTTCTTTGGATTTACTTAAAATCTCCTTCTTTAATTTCCCATCTCCATGTTCTCCACTTGTTCCCTTTTCTTCCATTTGGTAGTAAAATCAGATGGAATTAGCAGAGTGATTACTGAGACGCAAACACTGTTCTTCAGATTATATGAAAATAACTATGCAGAAATCCTCATGCTTCAGATTTTTCTGTGTTCCTCTAAGATTCAATATTCTGGGTGAATGACTCCATATACTCAATGTTAATATTGTCTTTTTCTATTAAAAGTCTTCAGTCCCTTGGGAGGGGGGAAAAAAAAACCTCTAACAGAAATTTCTGCTGAACAGTAATTTCATTATGAAGTTGGCAGGGAGCAAGTACCTATTACCTTCAATTCCCCCACCCAATTTCTAGGAAGGACAATCCATATTTCCATGGGCTTTCTTCCCATTTAAACTTGCTCCAGAGCAGAGTTCTTTACCTAGGGAAATACCATTTTACACCACATTGATCAGTTCCCATTAACACCTGCTGGGCACTTGTATTAAACAGTAAAATCTTGTCATTGTTTTGCTTATCTCTACAAAATTGATCATAAAGCTTTAGTGGTCAGATAAAATGTCAGAAATTCTGACTGCTTCTAAGCCTCAAATTACAGCTTCAATATCTCCATCAGGAGCAATAAGTACACAGAAGCATGCTGGCAAATAGAGAAGGGGAAGACTCTAGTGATTTGCCAAGACGACTTCTGTGTTGTCATCCACTGGTGGTAAAGTGCTAAGTTGTTTTTTATTGCCAGTGACAGTCACAACACTAAATACATATATATTTACATATTTTATATATATAAAAAAATACATAAAATACGTACATATATATACACATTTCCTCTGGTATTTACAGTATTAAGTGTATGAAGCTGAAGTCCAGGTTAAATAAACATTCCTCTTCCCCTTGTGTTTTGTGCTCTATGAATGGTGATGCATGGTGATCAGAGATAACATTGAAAAATAGGTAGACAATATTTCCTATATTTCCTATATTATGATTGAATATAAACGGGGCCAGAATTGTCCAATTCTCACTAGGCCTGCTATCACGTTAGATAGCCAGCCACCAACCACGTGTAGCTATTGAGCATTTGAAATGTGGTTAGTCTGAATTGAAATGTGCCATCCATGTAAAAATACACACAGAATTTTGAAGACTTCGTATTTTTCAAAAGAGTAAAAGGTCTCATAAATAATTTTAGGTTGATTTCATGTTGGAGTAGTTTAGGCATGTTGGGTTAAATAAAATATATTATTAAAATTAATTTTATCTGCTTCTCTTCACTTTTTTAATGGGCTACCAGAAAATTTAAGTTACATGTGACTTGCATTATATTTCTAATGAACAGCTGTTCTAGACTCTCTTTGTGCTTTTGCTTTTGTTTTTAACTGGTAGACTGTAATCATGGAAGCAGGGACCTCATCTGCCTTGCTTAGTATTATATTTCTAGTGCTAAACAGGGTGTGCGCCACAGAGCTGGTGCTGAACATGTGCAGAATGAATAAAAGAATAACTTGCTGCTTCTATGTTGTTGAGGTTTCATGACATCGAGGAAAGAGAATAGGCTTTACAGTGAGACAGTACCTGGCACCTTGGGCAGCGTATTTAAAATCTACTGAGCCTCCATTTCCTTTTTTTTTTTTTTTTTTTTTGCAAAAATGGATTAAGTTAAACCATACAGACTAGCCATGACAGTTTCATATGGTTTAACCTAACTTCATAGTTCGCATAAAATGCCTAGCACAGTGCCTGGTATACAGCTATTAATAAATAGTAGTTAACATTGATGCAAATTTTCCATGCAGTTTTCACTCTTTTTCCACCCTGTCATATTTTCTAACACCCTACTACAAATGCAATGCTTTTTAAAGCCATGCTTCCCCTTGCCATTTAGTATACTCATTTCCAGAGTCCCTCTGTCCTTGTGTGAACAGCCAACCATAATGGGCTGCATAAGCTTCTTTAACTATGACTTAAAATATCTCATTCCTCCAGATTTCTATTTTATCTCTTTCGTCTTATAGTCATAAGTCTCCTTTAACTTCCAAAATCTAATTATTTGAGATGTTCTCTAGACATATTTATTATTCACTATTTCCCCCTTAGACTTTAATTCTCTTACTGTTTCACAAATGCCACCATAACCCATTTAGTGTTTCTCAATTTTCGGTTAATTTTCCATCTACTTTGCCATTTCTGAAGTTCCCAGGGACGTTTCCTGGATCACAGTGTCCCTTAAATGCCTCCTTGAACTGCTTGGGTGTCACAGTTTCTTCGTTTGTCATTTAATTTACATGTTTTTGAAAACACAGTCAGTTTTCTTTAACCTCTTTTCAATTCTCAAGATACTTTCATTTTCACAGAGTGTTTTTTTTTTGTTTTTTTTTTTTCTCTTACAAGCATTCTCCTGGTGTTTGCAAATCCCTTCAACTTTGATGTCTATCTTAGTGCTTTCTCATCTTCCATTAACTATTCCCTCATGGGCGCAAATGAATCCTCATCCCTCTTTAGTACAACTTCACTCTACTTTTGCCAGTTTTCAATTCCCAACTCATCCACCTCCTCCTTCTCTTCTTCCTCTGAATATCCTTGCGCTGTCTTTTGACGGCAGCACCTTCCTCTTTGCCCTGGTGCTCAATTTCATATACAGTACTCATTGGTGGTTTCCTGTTCCCCGTGAACAATTAAAAAGTCTTAACAGCAGAGCCAGAACTTAAACATCAAGGCAGAGAAGGCCAGGCGCGGTGGCTCGCACCTGTAATCCCAGCACTTTGGGATGCCAAGGCAGGTGGATCACCTGAAGTCAGGAGTTTGAGACCAGCCTGGCCAACATGGTGAAACTCCATCTCTACTAAAAATACCAAAAATTAGCCAAGCGTAGTGGCAGGCATCTATAATCCCAGCTACTCATGTGGCTGAGACAGGAGAACCACTTGAATCCAGGAGGTGGAGGTTGTGGTGAGTGGAGATCGCACCATTGCACTCTAGCCTGGGCAACAAGAGCAAAACTCCGTCTCAAAAAAAAAAAAAAAAAAAAAAAAAAGTCAAGACAGAAAAATAATAACTCCAACACAGAGATACTCTAAAATGGGCTCAGAAACCACAACATAAAGAAACAGAAAGAAGAAAAGGATTTTTATAAGGAGAAAAGTATTGTTTATTCTTTCAACACAAATTCTATTGTGGTCAATTAAAAAAATAATGTTAGTTGTCTTGGCTGAGCAATACTGAATTTTAAAGATTTTAGGACACAAAATAGAAATCTTCTTAAGGGCAGGGGTCTTTGTTCTGATCACTGCAACTCTAAAACACCTAGAAGAGGGTGTGTCCTGACTTTTAAGCCAGAGCTTAAAAGTAACTGTGGAATAAATGAAAAAATGAATGAGCAGGCATAGGTCTCTAGGATCCTGCACACTAAATATTTGATTCCAGTACAACAACTGCCAAGAGGCAATATTGCAAGAATTGGATAGCCTGAGTTAGAATTCAATTTTGTGGCTTTCAACCTCAGGTAAGTATCCTCAGTTCTCAGAGTATTTGTTTCCTTTTCTGTAAAAGTGAGGTCATAACAGCCATGTCACTGGGTAATTATAGGGATCACACTAAATGACGTCTAATGAGATACACAACGTGATAAAGGCCAGCAGAGTGCTTGGCACATTATGGGTGTCTGCTAAACTATGGTAGGGGTAGCAGTAGTTGTCATGGTTTTATATAATTGTCTTTCTTCCTCCTAAAATTTGGGGTCAAAAGCTTTCTTTTAAATGCTGGAGAATCATTTTGGCTACTAATTCCAGTCCCCGAAGGGAGGCAATGAGAGCTCGTCTAGGCCCTACCCCAAGGAGAGAGGAGGAGCTCATTTGATTGTTCAGAGCTCACAGCACCCCCTGGACTGGGCTTACTGGTAGATGAAGCTTCTATGGTGCAAAGCCTGTAATCCATGTGCCACCCTGGGCATCCAACTCTATTCAGGGAGCACACCTGAGTCAAGGGTGACTCCTTAAGGAGAGGACCCTATATGCTGTCTTTTGTAATACAACCGCTATGTCTAAAACTTGAGGTAGGTTAGGACAAAGCTTTTTTCTGTAAATATGACTCTCCTCCTCCCAACTCCACAGAGCATACCTGAAACTTTGACCCAACTGGCCAAAGATTTCAACTAGAAGCAGGGTGTATAGAGTAGGGTCTAAGATGCATGTCCTAATTCTACTTTATTGGGAGTTATTGGAATTCTGAATGACCATTAATAAAGTGGTTCTTCGAATCTCAGGCTGCTCTTGGAACCTGGGGTGAGGAATCTGGAAATGCTGGGTAGTATTTATAACACTGTTAAAATAGCACCAAATGCGTCACCATTAACCTCTCATGACTAAGGATCACCTAACCACTTTGAACCAGCTGGCACAAGAGCCAGTGGAACCAGCTCACATAATGAGCTTCTAATCCAAATGAGCAGAAAAAAATGTATGTAACGTGGCGTGCATTTCCAAGTTCACTCAATCACCTGTGCCTATGCTGCCAAATTATTCAAGATCTCCAAGTGGCAGATGTGCGTGCATGTTGCTCTTCCAACCAAAAACTATAGAATGAGATGATATGGATCAATTGACATTCAATTCAAGGTGCGATTTTTATTTCAGAATTTCTGGATATTCACATACTGGAATATAGAATTCATAAAAGCAGGGATTTTGCCTGGTTTTTCCTTCTGCTGCTTTTTCTCCCTTGAAGAACCTAGAATACTACCTGGTATAAAGTAGATGCTCAATGCAAATTTGTGGAATGAACAAAAGTCTCAACTCTCTGTCTTTTTGTTTTCTTTCGTTTTTCCTTTTGATGATGAGCCCTACTTTGTCTCTCTGTCCAGTGGGTGTCTACCTGCTTTCTGTGAATTACAACTAGACATCCAGTGAGGTAACTCAAAGGCAGAGAGGAAAGGTCGGGGGTGATATGCCAATGGGACTCTAACATTCCTAACTCCACTTACATCGTTAATATGTTGTTCTTTTTTATACGATATTATTTGGGGAAAATACATATTATATATATATTTTTGAGACACAGTCTTGTCTGTCACCCCAGCTGGAGTGCAATGGTGCGACCTCGGCTCACTGCAAACTCCACATCCCGGGTTCAAGTGATTCTCGTGCCTCAGCCTCCCGAGTAGCTGAGATTACAGGTGTGCAACACCACACCTGGCTAATTGTTTGTATTTTTAGTAGAGAAGGGGTTGGTCAGGCTGGTCTCAAACTCCTGACCTCAAATGCTCCATCTGCCTCGGCCTCCCAAAGTGCTGGGATTACAGGCATGAGCCACCACATCCCACGCCTGACCAGGGAAAATATCTTTATATTAATCAATTAAACAAATAAACTAGAAGACAATTAAGATATTTGCTCATCCATGCTGCTACAAAAGAACTCTGGTCTTCAAATCAGGAGACCTAGAATCTTGTCCTGTCTCCCTGAATATGTGAGTAAGAGCGATCACTTAAGGATAAGGGACTAAAATGTATTTAGCCTCTAATATATGTTGAATGGTGTGCCAGATACTTTCCATATGTTACCTGAATTCTCACCCAAAGAACTAAGTGCAGATTTTCTCATTTTACAGAGAGAAAACAGAGGTGGGTTTTATAATGGTGTGAAAAGCTATACGGGTCAAGAGACTTCTGGTTGTTCATCAATATCCTCTTTTCTTCTGCCTTAGTAACAGAAATTCTATTTTTAGAGGGGCACAGAACCTCCAATAATAAAGCTTACATTTCTAGCTTCCCTAGTAGCTAGGCATGACCCTATGACAATTTTCTGGATAATAGGAAGACAGAAGGTATGATATGCATAACTTATAGGAAGTACTGTAAAAGAAGGAGGTGAGCCCGTCTTTGTTCCTTCCTCCTTCCTTCTAGTTGCAATGCAGATATGATGGCTGGAGCAGTAGCAGCCATCTTGAATTATGATGTGGAAGCCACTGGCTGAGGGTGGCAGAGCCACAGGGTAGAAGGAGCCTGGGTCCCGGACACTGTGGAATACCACACCAGCCCTAGACAACCTTTGCACAAGAAAGAATTCAATGCCTATCTTCTTTAAGCTACTTTTATGTTTTAGAATTTCTGCCATTTAAAAAAATAATTTTAGCTGAGTTAAGCAGTCAACTGGTTATTTGAACCAAAATCTTTCAGATTTCAAAGGCTTTGAATTAAGGTGCACCAGCACTCATTTAACCTCCCTACACCTCAGTTGCCCTCTCTGAAAAATGGGGGGGTGGTACCACACACTTCTTTATTTTTCCAACTCTACAATATTTAATTTTCTCTCCTCATCTTCCCCTACTCCCATGAATACACAATGCATTTGGTCCTAACCCCATCTCTTAGTATATGCTGTTCCTCCCACCCAGAATGCCTTTCTGCCTCATCCTCTTCAGTCTAAACCCAGTATTTGTTTTTAACAAGGCTGATTTCAAGCTGTTTCTTCATTGTGGGGTTTCCTAATAATCTTTCCTTCTCTTGGTTCTGTTTTTTTTTTTTTTTTTTTGGCGGGGGGGTGGGGGGGTGGGTGGGGGTGACGGAGTCTCACTCTGTTGCCCAGGCTGGAGTGCAGTGGTACGATCTCGGCTCATTGCAACCCCCACCTCCTGGATTCAAGCGATTCACCTGCCTTAGCCTCTCTAGTAGCTGGGACTACAATCGCGTGCCACCATGCCCAGCTAATTTTTTTGTATTTTTAGTAGAGACGGGGTTTCACTGTGTTAGCCAGGATGGTCTCAATCTCCTGACCTCATGATCCGCCACCTCGGCCTCCCAAAGTGCTGGGATTACAGGCGTGAGTCACCGTGCCCGGCCTCTCTTGGTTTTCTTAATCCATTCCTCATGTGACAGCACTTAGCAATACATTGCCTCCTGCTATTCTCTGAGGATTCCACTTTCACACATTTGGTCCCACCAGGAGCAAAGGTCAGATCTTCCCTTCTGTCATTTATGTTTATCCAGCAGACTTGCCATTGAGCACAGCATGTTCACCATTTATTGACTTGATTCAAAAAGGGATACCTTAATCTCCACCCGAGGACCACCTTTTCCCTACTTGACACCAAACACAAGGAAGGCTGAGCAAGGACAATAAGCCAGGCCACAAATCTTTGTCCATATTATTTTTCTGCAGCTGTAATTCCTGTTCATTCCCTGCATCAGGCTTATTGGCCACCCCTCATGATCATCTCAAATAATACCTCTTCCACAAAGTATTACTTGACTCCTTCAGGTTAGACGCATCCTCTTCCAACTCTCAACCCCTGTTCTTCATGTGGCACACACCACTTAGAGGGCACCTTCTTTATTTATGTTGGTCCCAACCACTCAGGACTAATTTTAAAAAGACACCTCTTTCTGAAGACCCTTTACTACCATTTGCCAAAACAACTGTCAAAATAAAACACAAATGTTTGATGAAGCTGATATGAAGGGTGCTCCTGGACTTGTGTAATTCATAGCCTGAACAATGTTATCACCTCTCCCAGACTGTCAACTCCCTGAGGATAAGAATTCATAACTCAGTACCCTGAACTCTGGGAGCACTGTGAGTTGCAGAGAGAGTGGATTTAGAGACAGGCAAACTGAAGTTCAGTTTTAAATCCACAACTGTTGGTGTTTATACCCTTAAGGAAATCAAGTTATTCCAGACTCAGCTCACTTCTGTGTCAATGGGGGTAAGGCCGCTGTTTTCACCAGTTCAGGCTGCTATACCAAACTATCACAGTGTGGGTGGCTTAACTAACAAACATTTGCATCTCACAGTTCTGGAAGCTGGAAAGTTCAAGATCAAGGCACCAGCAGATTTGGTGTCTGGTGAAAGCCCTCTTGCCTGTTTACAGAAGGCTGTCTTCCTAAAGTGTACTCACATGGTGGAGAGAGATCTACTTCATGTCTCCTCCTCTTTTTCTTTTTCTTTTTCTTTTCTTTTCTTTTGAGACAGAGTCTTGCTCTGTCACCCAGCCTGGAGTGCAGCAGCGTGATCTCAGCTTACTGCAACCTCCACCTCCCGGGTTCAAGCAATTCTCATGTCTCTGTCTCCCCAGTAGCTGGGATTACAGGTGTGCACCACCAAGCCCAGCTAATTTTTTGCATTATTAATGAAGACAGGGTTTTTCTATGTGGGCCAGGCTGCTCTCAGTCTCCTGGCCTCAAGTGATCTGTCCACCTCAGCCTCCCAAAGTGCTGGGATTACAAGGGTGAGCCACCGTGCCTGGCTCTTCCTCTTTTTATAAGGGCATTAGTTCCATTGCAAGGGCCCCACCCTCATGACATCATCTAACCCTAATTACCTCCCAAAGCCCCACCTCCAGATACCATCCCTCTGGGGATTAGGGTTTCAACATAAACTTTCAGTCCATAACAACCACACAGCACTGTTGCGAAGTTTCATGGTGGCATCATGAGAGTTAGAAGGGGTCCTATGATAAGCACATTGTTTTTGATTGACATCCAGTAGTAGTGTGACCAACCATCCCAGTTGTCCCAGCACTGAGGTGTTTCCTTTGGCATGAAAATTTCAATGCTAAAACCAAAACCATAAATTATGGACCACAAATTAAGAGTTTGATCCACTAAGAAATATACCAAAAGGACAGCTATAGAAAGGCTTCAAATCTACTTCTTAGTAAACACATCACTTCAATAAACATCCATTGAACATCTACTTTATGCTAGCAAAGTATAGGAATTAAAGAGGTAAGTAAAAATTGTGTGGTCCTTTCTCTGCAATCATTTAGAGTTTAAGGGAAAGGCAGATCCTATGCAAATAATTACAATAAATGGCAATATGTCTGCAGCTAATGTTCCTGTTGCTGTAAGAACATTAGGAGGGGGACCTGACCCATCAGAATACTGGTTAATCTTCCATTACTCCATTTCTACTTGCTTTTTTCAGGGCAAACACCAAGTTGATTTATCAGAAAGAATACAAATTTCTCATGCTTTTCAGAACTGGGCAGATAATATCAATGAGTAAAACGAGCCAGGTGCAAGATGATAACAGTGGTGAAAATCTTAGCTAAAGGCATTCAAATTCATTTAAATGTAAATGAAATAAAACCGATCTACTGGCTGCTCATTTGGACTGTCTGTTCTAAACGAACTGAAAAATATTCATGTTCCTTCCTCTCGCAAAAACCTAGGCTTCCTTCTATACCAGTACAGTTCACGGGACTGCATCCCTTCTGGGGCAGAGCGATGTGCCTATGGATATACAATAAGCCCGGATCTTCGAAAAAGTCCTCCCTTATGTATATCAGAACACTTATTTGTTTCCCTGGCCATAAAAATATATACAAGGGGGAGGGGTGCACCTGTCCCATGGCGGATCAATTAGATTCTGTCTCCTAGGAATTTGAAAGTTGATAGGTAAGACACACAGACCAGGAATTGTTGGCTCTAAACCAATGTAATAGTGACTCTCCTTCGTCGAGGAATGTTGCCTCACCTTATGACCTTTCCAAGATTAGTTGCTCAACTTATACTTTGATTTTTAAAAGGTCTAGTAAAGCCCCAAACAATATTTTCTATTGTTTCTCCTTCATTACCTTTTAATTAAATTAAGCTAATCAGGCTTTATTTCTGTTGCTTGCTACCAAAATGTCTTTCACTTTGTTCCTACCTGCACTATAACATCTGTACTGCTATTCAGATTCCTACATTTCATCCTCCATACTCATATCAAGCCCACTTGCCAGATGAAATGTTCCCACACCTCAGTTCTGATCATGTGCCACCCTTCTCAAAACCCTGAAATGGATCCCCACTGTCCAAAAATAAAATCCATGCTCCTTGGCAACTTTAATTTTTCCAACCTTCCATCCTAAAACTGTTCTTAACAGTATCCTGCATTGGAGCAAACCCAAACCACTCATGGTATCCCAGTAAAGTCTTGTGATTTTCCACTTCTTAGCTTTTGTTCCTACACCTCCCTCCACTGGAAATGCAGTCATAGCTGTTGTTTCTGGTTACTTTCATTTCCTGATAATAGATCTTCCCCCACGAACCCTGGAGGGCATCTCTGGCCACAGAGATTGGTTCAGGGATCGGTACGTGACTCAATCTCATTCAAACACATTTCTTCTCTGGGAATTTTTTATTGCAACTAGAAGGGATCACTGTCTTTCTGGATTAAAAAAGTATGTGAATCAATACTTAGTTTAGATGAGTTCATTCCCTATCTCCTGGAGGCAAACAACTCACCTTAACAGGGAGAAATATGGAAAGGAGAGGAAGACCTGAAGACACCGTTTGAGCCTGGATCTAGACACGCAAGATAACAAGTCCATCCTTTCTAGTTGAATGGACCAATAAATCATTTTGCACTTTTTTGTGCCTAAGTTAACAAGAATTTACTTTCTCTCAGTGAAAATCACAAATTTTTGTTTTTGTTTTGTTTTGTTTTCAAGATAGGGTCTTGCTGTGTTGCCCAGGCTGGAGTGCAGTGGCACAATCACAGCTCACTGCGGCCTCAACCTCCGGGGCTCAAGTGATCCTCCTACCTCAGCCTCCTTAGTAGCTAGGTAATTTCTGTATTTCTTGTAGACAGGGTTTCACCACATTGCTCAGGCTGGTCATGAACCCTTGGACTCGAGCAATCTGCCCACCTTGGCCTCCCAAAGTGCTGGGATTACAGGCATGAATCACGATGCCTGACCACAAAAGTCTTGTTTTTCTATTCAGCCATCGAAGGACATTTAGGTGTTTTACAGTTTGGGGCAATTATGAAAAGAGATTATAAACATTTGTGCACAGGTTTTTGTGTGACCATAGGTTAAATACCTAAGAGTGAGATCGTTGTATGGATAAACAATGAAATACAATATGGGAATACAAACAATGAATTATAGAAACACAGAACAGCTTGAATGAATTGCAGAGGCATTCTACTGATTGACGGAAGTGACCCTCAGAAGGTTACACACTGTATGATTCTATCTTATATGACATTCTCCGAAACCCAAAACTACAGACACAGAGAAGAGATCAGTGATTGTGTGACTAGAGCAGAAAGTGTGGCTGTAAGTAGACATGTAAGGGATTTTGGGGGCTGGTGTGATGGAACGGCTCTGAATCCTGATTGCAGTCATGATTATACGAATCTGTGTGCCAAGAATCATACAGTCATGCCTCCAACAGTCAATTTTACTAGATATTATTTTTAAAAATAAAATTTAAAATTTTCATTAAAAAATAAAAGAAAATAAAGCAAAATCACAAGTCTCATTTAAATACAAAGATCTGTCTCGCCTAAATATTCACATGTTCAAATCCTCCAAAACTGAGCAGAGAGTCCACCTTTTCCCAAAAGGCTCACTGAGCTTCCAGCCTCCACTCCCTCCTCAAAACTCCCCTCACTTCCTCTGCAGCTCCATTTCCACCTTAGAGTTTTTCAAACACATACATTCTCTTCTTTGCTGGAGGGTAAGCTCCCGGGAAACAGGGATCATGTCTGAGCCCTCGCTGCGTGCCCTCACCCCTGCACAGTGTCTGGCATGTGGTAGGCGGTCAGTGACCATTTGCTGAATGAGCAGGAGCAGATTTTCATCTGGCCGGAGCTGGAGTCCTGAGCAGCGTTGAGAATGTCCCGGTGTGCTGGATGGCATGTGAGAACCATCAGGACAGAGTTCACTGTATTCTGGCCTAAATAGAGGTCTGAACTCTGCCGGGCCTCATAATGAAACTTGACAGCACTATGTACATTAGCAGTAATAATGTTTCACACCCGGACATGGATTTCTGGTGTGGAAATGTGTCCCCTAAAAGACTAAGCTCTGCAAGTCCCAGTCACTGCTCTGATATTCATATCTTCATCCATAATTGCAAGGTCACCCTCTTGGTGGGAGAAGAGAATGATGTGTTTACCACCTAAAGGGCAAAGGAACTGCTGGGTGGAGGAGGAGTTTTGTTTTGTTTTGTTTTGTTTTTCTGTATAAATGGTAAAAAGAATATAGCTTTTTTTTCTTTTTACTATAGTCCTTCTTCCAGTTTTTTTTCCCAAATAGCTATAAAGGGTTAATCTTACAACTACAGAGAAATAATTGTGGGGAGAGTAGGAGGAAGAGAAAGAGGGAACAAAGGAGGAGAAAGAGGAAAAGAAGAGAAGTCAAAGAGAAGAAAACCCAGGGGAAGAAGGAGAAGAAGAAGACAGACCAACAGGAGAGTAAAGGGAGAAGTGTGGGAAAAGGAAAAGGGCTGTTTTCTTACACTTGATAATGAAACAAAATGGAGTTTGAAGCCCAGCAGAGCCCTTCAGGAAAGCTGGCCAGGGCTGTGTGGGAGGAGATCCTCACGTCAGTACGATGAGAGCAAGAGAGAGTGGCAAGATGGATTGCGTCCAGAGCTGGGCGAGCAGCAAACAGGAAGGGAGCAGTGAGGGGATGCACCACACCGTGGCCTGGCACCAGGCCCTCCCTGGTGACATTGGGAAAGTAGGTCAGTTTCAGAGCTGGCTGGGGGATGAATGGTCAGCCAGGAGCAAGTGGTGGGAATTAAAGATGCTGAGTGAGAGGTTGACTTAAGCATGGGATCTAGGAGACAGGGAGTGTTATTAGTCTGTTTTTCACACTGCTGATAAAGACATACCTGAACTGGGAAGAAAAAGAGGTTTAATGGACTTATAATTCCATGTGGCTGGGGAGGCCTCACAATCATGGTGGAAGGCAAGGAGGACCAAGTCATGTCTTACATGGAAGGGAGCAGGCAAAAAGAGTTTGTGCAGGGAAACTCCACCTTTTTAAAACCATCAGATCTCATGAGACTTATTCACTATCACAAGAAAAGCATGGGAAAAACCCGCCCCTATGATTCAATTACCTCCCACCAGGTCCTTCCCACAACATGTGGTAATTCAAGATGAGATATGGGTGGGGACAATGCCAAACCATATCAGGGAGCTTCCCTAGCACAACAGAAAGAATGAAAGCCAGCCCTAGGTTGAGCTGTCCAGTAGATCTTTCTAGCACAATGGCAATATATCTGTCACATCCAGTATGGCAGCCACTAGTCACCTGTTGCCATTGAGCAACTGAAATGTGGATAGTGTGACTGAGGATATGAATTTTCCATTTTATTTTACTTAATTTCCATTTAAATAGCCACATATGGCTAGTGGCTGGCTGTCATATCAGATAGCTTAAGTACAGAGAAAAGAGCTGTGTGGATCACATTCAAGGAGAAATTGATTGCCAAGAGGATCCCAAAAGGCTGTTTTCTGAAATGCCTTAAGTGTATTTGAGATGGTACACAGATGCATTTAGATGGCACATGGGCAAACTTTATTTTTAGAATTAGATTTTATTATTTTCATGTATATTGGAAAAATGGAACTAGCATCTCAAACCCACTGTTTCATATATATCGTTGCTTAAGAAGACGCTATGGTGGAATTTTATGTCTCTAAAAGATTAGGTCAATGTAGGTAAAAAGTACTATGTTAACAATACCACAGAGGGCTTACAGATCTAGCAAAAAGTAATACATGTATTTCATGTAAACGGAATCATACACTATGTGGCCTTTTGTGCCTGGCCTCTTTCACGTAGCCTAATGTTTTCAAGGTTCATCAATGTTGGAAAACATATTTCATTCCTTTATGGCTCATATTCTATAGTATGGACAAAACCACATTAAGTTCATCCATCAAATGTCTGTTGATGGACATCTAGGTTTACACTTTGGGTTACTATGAACAGTGCTTCTAGGAACATTCTAGTACAAGTTTTTCAGTTTTTGTTTGAATACCTATTTTTAATTTGGGGAGGTATCTAACTAGAAGTAGAATCTTTTAGGGGTAGGGTAATGAGGTGGTTCTGAAACTAGATAGTGGTGATGGTTGTACAACATTGTGAATGCACTTAATGCCACTGAATTATACAGTTTAAATTGTTAAAATGGCAAATTTTTTGTTTTCTGTATTTTTCCACAACAAAGAATCATTTTAAATGAAAGTAACAAAGAAAGCAAGCAGATGGCTGAATAGAACTGAGCTAATTCAAGGATACAATAAGTAGTTGAAAAGCAGTCATAGCTGAGATATGAGATTTAAACTCATATTTGAGTCTCATATGAAGTCTCAGAGTTCTTTTTTTTTTTTTTTTTTTTGAGACGGAGTCTTGCCGTTGCCCAGGCTGGAGTGCAGTGGTGCGATCTCGGCTCACTGCAACCTCTGCCTCCCAGGTTTAAGTGATTCTCCTGCCTCAGCCTCCTGAGTAGCTGGGACTACAGGTGCCCACCACTACACCTGGCTAATTTTTGTATTTTTAGTAGAAATGGAGTTTCACCATGTTGGCCAGTCTGGCCTCAAACTCCTGACCTCAGACCATCTGCCTGCCTTGGCCTCCCAAAGTGCTGGGATTACAGGCATGAGCCACTGCACCCAGCCTTAGAGTTCTTTTGATTCAATCTTCTGCCCCTGAATCATTTCTACAATACCTCTGGCAGATAGGTGGGCCTATTTTTCTGCTTGCCTGCTTCCATGGAGTAAAGACCTCAGTACCTCTCCAAAACAACCAGTATCATTGGTGTATAGATACACATTTTAGAAAGGTCTTCTTTACTTTAACTAAAAAAAAAAAATCCATCTTGTAATTTTCACATTTTATCCTATAGTCCCCAGAATTATCCAAAATAATGTATTCCTACTATGTGCCTGGCTAACAGCACAGGAGCTAACAGCAGCCTTAAATAGGAGTGACAGCAAAGAGTTAGCGGAGGTCAGCCCGTGTAGAGAAGTTTCCAAAATGACCATAAGCTGAGTGTGGTGGCTCACACTTGTAATCACAGCATTCTGGGAGGCCAAGGTGGGAGAATCACTTGAGGCCAGGAGTTTGAGACCAGCTTGGGTAACATAGAGAGATGCTCGTCTCTAAAATAAACAAACAAAATGGTCATAAAATGAATGAAAGGAACAGTGAAACACAGTGATTACATGCACTAGCTCTGGAGCCAGAAAACCTTAAATTTATATGCTAACTCAGCTAGTTCCTAGTGTTAGCGATCTTGGGCAAGTTATTTAACTATCCGTAGCCTGTTTCTTGATCAGTAAAATGGGCATAATCATAGCAGCCATGCCATAGGTTTGTCATGAGTATAAAATGAGAATTCATCGAGAGTCCTGAGCACCATCCCAATCCCTGTATCCAGTGGCTCTCATTAATATTAGCCCATGAATGTTAACAATGCCCTCCAACTTAGGAACAAGGAAGTGCATTTGGAAAAACATAGCTCTACAAAGGTCTGTCTCCTAACCTGTGATGGCCATTTACCCATCATGTAACAGGGAGAAGCACATGATTATAATGTCTAGAAAATTTTAAATAATTCTACAGAAAAAAACCTGAGTATAAAGGTTGAGTGAACACTTTTACACTTTTGGGAAGTTTCTATGACTTATTTAAGTGATGATTCCCACCCTTAGTCAAGCTGAAAAGCAGCTCCTAAAGGGTGAGAGGCATTAAGGTATTGTGCTTAAGAGCATGACTGGGCAAGCTATTCACTCTGCATCTTAGTTTTCTCAACTGTAAGATGGGGTTAATATCCCTACCTCATAGTGTTGGTGGGAGGATTAAATGAGTTAGTACCTGTAATGTGCTGGCACACAGTGAGCACAAAATATGTGTTAACTATGATGAGGATGATGGTGATGGTGGTGATGGTGATGATGGTGGTGATGGTAATGACGATGACGATAAAGGAAAAGGAGAAGGAAGAAGAAGAATGGGGAAAAAAAGGAAGAAGATGTTGGTAATTATGGCAATGATGATGATGGCAATGATGATAGATAATGATGTTGGTGATGGTGTGATGTTGATAGCAATGGTGGTAGTGATTATGGAGATGATGCTATAAATGGTGATGGCAATGATGTGATGTTGATGATGATGACGATGATACCAATGTCGGCATCATTTAGTCTCTGCCCTTTCCAGAACCATGGTTCCAGAAACACCATTTTCAGAACGTAGCCCCTGATGAAATGCATATAAAAGCTTTATGAAGCTGCAAAAGGAATAATGAAAAGATAAAGCACTCTTCTTAAAATTCAGAGTAAGTGGGTGGGGTGGGGGGAGGGTAGTACAAAGAAGTGGTTAAGAACAGAAGCTTTGGACTTAAGAGTCCTTGCTTTGTATCTCAGTATTGCTAGTTATGAGTCTGCCTCTTTAATTGTGCCAACTGGGATTCATGTTTAAAATCTGCATAATGGGGATAATAAAAATACTCATATGGAGTATCTCTGCGTATTAAAAGGGCAATATGCACAAAACACTTTGTAGAGAGCCTGGAACATAGTAACTGAAGAATAAACATTAGTTATCACTGGTATTAATGGGCACAATTAAAGGTGAATGATCTGAGCCAAGGAACAAATGCTATTGAATTTCATATCTAAAAGGCAGTAATAGCTGTGCTGTTCAGCAAAAGTGGATGGGAGGATTCCAAGGCAGATAATTCAGCTGGACCCAAATAGTCTCCACATAGAAGAGTTTTAAGGTTATCTATCTAAACCAACAGAACTGCTCCCTCTGCCCTTGGCCTCGCCATACATTGCAGAAACTCTTCCCAGTCTTCCTGCCAGAAGATTCCAGTGTCCACATGATTTCTCTCCACTTCTTTGGAGGGTCCCTTCCACTGATAGCTTAAAGTGTCAGCAAGAGTTTCCTTTCACTGAACCACAGTTATTTCCTTGAAGCTTCAACCCACTAGCTCTAGTTCTCTACTGTAAGCAAAGGAGACTAATTCTACTACAATTTCCGGATGGCAGTCCTTTAAAACTCTGAAGCCAGTTCTTGGGTCACTCCTTATGAGTCTCCTCTAGGGAAACATTTCTCATAAGACACATAGTAGATATGGGTGCTCTATTTCATTCAAAAATATACATATAGAGTCTTCACTCTTTTTCTCCAGACAGGATCTTGAATTTGCAGAATGAGATTCTATTCCAGGGACCTTTATGTAAAGATTTATAGACATTTGCTACAACGCATTGTGCAACCTTGTATTTTAGGTCAAATAAGTAATTGAAACAAGTTTCTTTATGTTTCCCCTCTATATAGAAATAATTAATAATAATATTAAATTGAGGGTCCAACATCGGCTAGGCACAGTGCTGGGTGTTTAACATAAGTTATCGCATTTTATACTTCAGCAGCTCTGGAACTAAGCAGCTAATGCATTCAATTGAGAGAGTGTTTGCATGTTTCGGAAATTGGGCCTTGTATCCTGGAAAAGAGCTATATTCTACGCTTCATTTACACTTCACTCATCAAAACACTCTTTGGTAAGAGCTATTTGATGTTCTAGGTCCAACTTTTTTTTTAGCTTTTGCCTTTGAGAGGTCATGTTTTGCATTCTTTGACTCAATCCTCAAGGCTCTGAGCCTGCTTAAAATGTAGAAGGCAGATAACGTTTGGGCTTGAAGTTTGAAATAACATTTTTTTTTCCATTTCTCCTTTGGGAGGGATATTGTATTTCACCCACAGGGGTTCTTTTTACTTGTTGCTGATTTTCAAAAGAAAAAAAGAAAAGAACAAAATTACAAAATCCATTACGTGAAGGCATTAGAACTGAGTGTGAAAAACAATTTAGAATAGAGGCTCCCAAGAATGTTTGATTTGGAGAGAACTAGAAAATCATTCTTGGTTAAAAAAAAAAAAAAGATGCAGTTCCAGTATTAGAATAAAATCAGACACTAATTTCTTCCAGCTAAAGTACAGCCAAGAGTCAAAATGCCAAGTCATCATTTAAAAAAACGGCAAATCTTAGTATTTCTTTCCTGGACAAAAACACCTAGGAAGACAATAAAACTTTACAGAACTGCCAGTTTTCAACATGCTGGCAGCAAAACCCAGCAGATGCACCAACAAGAAAGGCAGACCTAAACCAGCCTAGCAGGGGCATCATTTGGCAAAGGGACAGCCTGCCACCATACTGGTTTCTATTTCAGATAACAAAATTGTCCAATAGTGTCTAATAGAGTTAACTCAACCAGCTGTGTGGCTGACAGGCCTGCACCTGCTTTCAGTATCAGTTCTGGCTTCTGAACAGCACAGGCTATTCCAGTTCTTCTCACCGTGTTAAACCACAGAAAATTTCCCAATGCACAAGTTCTGAAACTATCTTCAACGCATACGCATTTGTTTTGCTGTGGCTCAGAAGTTAGGCTTATTGAAGATGGAAAGATGGTCCCAGAGAGAACAAAGTGGGAACGTAAGGGGCTCCCAGACCCAAAGCTGAGGAAGACGACAGTGAATTGAAACTTGCCATTAAGGCTATAACAGCTTAATCACCTGGATATGATAGCAGCAGTTAGACAAGCCACAAAGAGACTCAACTGAAAGCTGAAGCATTGTGCTACAAGACAGCTAAGGGGCAGAAGAGCCAACAGCAACATTCCCCACATGTGGGAAGGGGCATATGTTTCCATTTATTTACAGCCTATTGATTATGCAGCTTTTTTTTTTTTTTTTTTTTTTTTTTTTTTTTTTTTTTTTTTTTTTAATGAGACGGAATCTCACTCTTTCATCCAGGCTGGAGTGCAGTGGCGCGATCTCGTCTCACTGCAAGCTCCGCCTCCCGGGTTCACGCCATTCTCCTGCCTCAGCCTCCCTAGTAGCTGGGACTACAGGCAACTGCCACTGCACCCGGCTAATTTTTTGTATTTTTAGTAGAGATGGGGTTTCACCATGTTAGCTAGGATGGTCTTGATCTCCTGACCTCATGATCCGCCCGCCTCAGCCTCCGAAAGTGCTGGGATTACAGGCGTGAGCCACCACTCCCGGCCAACTATACAGAATTCTTAATAAGGCAAGCTGAAGCTGACGGCAATTTACAAGTCAGGGAAATAAGAATCAACTGGTCAAGGAACACATCAAAACTGGGAGGACTTGAATCAAGTCCACCACCCTTAATAATAGCCACCTTCCTTAAGAACAGCACAGACCTACACAACTATCCAAATGTTCTAATAAAGGTAGAAAATACATACAAACAAGTATTTTTCTGTGAAAGCAGCTTTATGGTAAGATTATTTATCAAGGCCATTGCCCCAATTACTTGTTTCTACTTATTTGAACAGAGACAGTGTAATGGAATCCTGCTCCTAAAACTTGTATGTTTTTTTAACCAATGGTAAGAGATGGGACTCACAACTCACAGTTGCTCTGTCCAATGAATTGATGTAATTGATGTCATTGTTATTAATATTAGAAGTACACCATCAATGGAGGTAGTTTAGGTGGTGGTGACAAGCACTGACTCTGGAGTTAAATTATTTGGGTTTGTGAACTGTCTCTGCAACTTGCTACTTATATAAACTAGTTGTTATTTCACCTCTTTGAGCCTCCGTTTTTTCATCTGTTAAATGGAGATACTAATGGCACCTACATGACAGGTTTGTTGTGAGAATTAGATTGATTAATAAATAGAATTTAGCACAGTATGCCAGACACACTCTAGGCACTTGATAAATGCTAATTACTGTAGATGTGATAATACCTTTGGTTGTTGTTAATTAATCAACATCTGTACTTCCTTCCTGGGATTATTGAGAGTGCTGCAACAATTTCTCATCTGCCAATTATTTGCCAACTTTGTCTTCTGGAGTTGGAGGCATAAGAGTTAGGTCAATCTCTTTGTGTAATCTTGGTTATATGATGTCACCTCTGTGAACATTATCTGTAAAATTGGAATAATCCCATGCAACTCAAAGAATTGTTATGAGGATTCAAGATTTTGTATATGAGTCTAAAACACTATATAACATTATTGTAATAATTATTAATTATGTCTAATTAGGAGGGTAATAAAGCAAAATGATCCCATGACCCCACAGATCCTCCCAACAGTCAAAAGCTTCATGACATGAGTCCTTGGAAAAAAAGAAGAGAAAGTTGCATTAAACATCACCCAACTTCTCAAGAGAACCAGAAATTGTGAGTAGGAGCTTTTCATACACCCTGAATCTGCCGGCACGTATAAATCGAGGTCTTCTCATTCTTCCCTCATTTTCAATACCACTTATTGGGAAGGAAGGTACTGAAATGAAAACAATTTGGAACCAAAAGGCACAACTCTCAGAGCCACAGCGATACAGTGACAAGTGAAATGGGCTTTCTAATAGTATCCTGCTGCGGATTAACAGACACCTGGTATTCCACCTCGGAGGTGGCTGGTGATGCAGCCTTCTTCACTAGGAGTCAACGGTCCACTCCTAGCTCTTTTTCCACCATCCTCCCTTTTCCAACCTTTCAAGGCATGACCTCTTTTCCACCAGTTCCTCCCCGCCACCCACATCCCATATATTAACAGAAGCCCTTCAAATATCTCCTCCAGCTTTTACAAGGCAGAGATGGAGTTGGTCATTTAACATATGAAAGGAATTTTCTTCTGGGGAGTTAAGTAAGTGATGTGAGGAAGTGATGAGCATCCTTTTGGCAGCTACTGCTCCATGGTGTCTCTTGGCCTTCAAACACCCAACTTTCCCTTTTGCAGAGGTAGCGTTGCCTAGTGGTTCATAGCAGACACTCTGAAGTGAGAAAGACCCGAAACTGAGTCTACCATGAGAATAAGTGTTTTTATTACCTTATAAACACTAAAATATTTCCCATCTCAGGGACTTTGCGCACTCTGCTCCCTTTGGCTGGAATGACTTTTCTCCGGCTCTTTTCATATCTGATTCTTCACCCTTCAGCTTTCAGTAGAAACATCACTTCTGCAAAGAGGCAAGAGGTGTGTTCCTTCCATCCTTCACGTTTTCCATCTCAGTACCCCATATCTGCCCTTCACAGGAGCCATAATATAGTGCAATTATTTTATGTATTTGATTCCTTACTCATTTTTGTTTAAATTCCCTATGAGATTATAACCCCAGGGGTCATGCTCTGTTGTTTTCACTGGTGTATCCCCTGTGGGGTTTGGCACTGAACACTAGGTAAATTCTTCAGATGAATGGATGAATGCAATTGTGACTGCTGTCCACTAACAATGTGACCTTGAAAAAGGCACTTGACTTTCCTAAGCCTCAATGTTCTTACATCTCAAAGGAGGATAATATCGCCTACCTCACAGCTACTTGGAAAACTGGACATGGAATGCACCACTGTTCTACTGCATCGGTTCCAAAATGCACATCTTTTGCACTTTAACTTTTTTGAAATAAAGATCTTATAATAGCTAGACTCTTCAGTCAAATAAAATATGTTAACATCTCACTCTTATACAGGACCCAAGTTCTTCTAACTTTTTAAAAACTTCCTTTGGAAAGACATGGTTGTGTGGTTGGATGTGTGTATTTACTGTTTAAGGACCAAGTTTACACCAGTACTCGTGCGTTCTGCTCCACAATTTCAACACGTCCTCCCTCTCACTCCCCGCCTAGAGATTGCTCCTTCTGCACTCTCTTAATGAGACTGTCGTTGTACATTTTTAAAAATTTTATTCTCAAAAGCCCCAGGGAGTTGGAATAATGAAACATACTTAATTAAGCTATGCAAAGCAATCCTGCCATCTAGGTGGCATTTTTTGTTCTATTTTCCTTGGTTATTCCGAGAATTATATTATTATATAAGAGCCAGCATTCATAGATCACTTACTGTGGGCCAGGTACTGAGCTAAATGTTTTACATGCTTTATTTAATTCTCACAAACTCCCCCACTGTGAGTGGGGACCAGCATTATTTCTATTTTACTGATGACAAAAATGAAGCTCAGATATATTTAGTTGCTTGCTCAAAGTCTCACAGCTAATAAGTGGCAGAAAAAGCTGAAATTTGATTCCAAAGCCTGTGGATGTACTGCAGTATCTCCCTATCCACAGGGAATATGTTCCAAGATCCCCAGTGGATGCCTGAAACTGCAGATAGTACAGAACTGTGTATGTATCATGTTTCTTCTTACACAGACATACATACCTATGATAAAGTTCATGAATTAGGCACTGTAGGAGATTAACAACAATTATTAATAAAATAGAACAATTATAACAATATGCTAGAATAAATGATATATAAATGTGGTCTCTCTCTTAAAATACTGTATTGTATATAATATTTTCAGACTATGGGTAACTGGAATCACAGAAAGAAAAACCAAGGATAAGAGGGGACTACTGTATAGGTTCGAGTCATTCAAAAGCGACTAACATATACGAAGCACAAATTATGTCCATTGAGAAGTTTTCTGTCTGAAATTAAAGTCCAAAGTATCTTGTGCAAAAGTGTTTCTCAAATTCTTACTTAAAATGTCACTTTGTTAACATTCAGCTTTGTTAAATGTAACCATGTAAATTAAAGGGTATAATACATCAACTAATTAACATAATATTATACATTCACTGTAAATTATGCAACCAAAGTTCTTTTGGTTGCAATGAAAAAAAAAAAAACTAACTTAAACAAAATTAAACCACTACGGGCGTTTAGTGGTTAATGTCTGAAATTGGAGCGGCGCGGTGGCTCATGCCTGTAATCCCAGCGTTTTGGGAAGCCAAAACGGGCAGATTACTTGTGGTCAGGAGTTTGAAACTATCCTGACCAACATGATGAAACCTGGTCTCTACTAAAAATACAAAAGTTAGCCAGGCGTGGTGGTGTGCGCCTGTAATCCCAGCTCCTCAGGAGGCCGAGGCAGGAGAATTGCTTGAACCCGGGAGGCGGAGGTTGCAGTGAGCCTGGATCACGCCCCTGCACTCCAGCCTGAGTGACACAGTGAGACTCCATCTCAAAAAAATACATATATATCTCTCTGAAAAGATCAGCGATAGGGTAGATTTCAGATAAAGTCAGATCATGGCTCTGACTCATTCTTCATACCATGCTTCTCTTAGTTCTTCCTCATGTATAAATTGCCTTTATCATCAGCCTGGTTTATTTCATGGTGGAAAAATGGCAGCAGAAATTCCAAGTCTCACATTTACACACTTGCCATATATCATATAGCTCAGAAATTTTTAATATTAGACCAAATTAGATAGTGTGCCCATTCCTGAACCAAGCACTGTAGTGAGATGCATGGGATTATTCTGATTAGCTGTGGTCAAATAGGACCCACCAAGGCCTGCATGGTAAGGAGAAGAGAAATGGAATCTGGAAAGGCAAGTACATTTTGTACCACCCTAGGAAAAGCTGGTGTCTAACAGGAGATGAATTGTCACAGGGAAAAGAAAAAGTGAATGAGGCTCCAGATACAACTTGGGCAAGCTCAGAGGTCACTGCAGTACCTTACTTCCCCGCTAAAACTCTCCAAAGACTTTTCATAATACTTGAAACAAAATTCCAAACTCTCATCGTGGTCTCTGAGGACCTAGAGAACTTGGCTCCTCTCTCCAAATGCATGCTCCTCTGGCTCCTGCCGTTCTGACCATCATGCTGCTCCTCAGACCCTCCAAGCAATTTCCCAGTTCCAGGTCTTTGCCCTTGGCAGTCCCCAATCCAAAACGCTCTTTCCTCAGACTGTCATATTACTTTCTCATTCACTTCATCCAGGTATCTGCCAAATTTCACCTTCCCAACCATTCTGTCTAAAATAACCATCCTTCAGTCTCCATCCCTTTACTCTCTGCTCCGTTTCTCTTCCCATCCCATATCAATAGCAAATTGACATTGCCTGTATTCATTTATTTTCTCTCTTCTCACTAGAATAGGAGCTTTGAGCAGCATGCTTTTTTCTGTTTTGTGCGTGACTGTGTGTGTCTCATACTTACTATAAGGTCTCACCCATAGCAAGTGCACAATAGCTGACTGTTGAGGGTAAATGGATACATGAAAAGACAAATGAATGAAAACGGGTGAATGCATGAATGAATGAACGAATGAAAGAATTCCAGGAAATTGCTAGGTGAACATGGGTAACAGATGCCAGGGGACTGTTTTTATTCTGTGTGTTTTGTTTTGTTTTGCTTTCACCTCATCGGCTGAAGACAAACACCCTCTCCCAGTCCTGCATTCAGAGTTCTAAGAAATGCTCTCTTTTGAAAGATTTATTAAAGTCAAGATAAAATTTAAACTCAAGTAAATAGCTAAGAAGTATGATGGATCCCTCCTCCTGCTGTCATCTTTTACACTGAATGGAAAATATTTACCAGTGTCTTGGCCTCCCTGCATATATGTGAATTGAATTTTTTTTTTTTTTTCAGATGGAGTCTTGCTTGCTCTGTCACCAAGCTGGAGTGCAGTGACAAGATCTCGGCTCACTGCAACCTCGCCTCCCAGGTTCAAACGATTCCCCTGCCTCAGCCTCCTGCCGTAGCTGGGACTACAGGTGCACGCCACCACTCCCGGCTAATTTTTTTGTATTTTAGTAGATGGGGTTTCACCATGTTGGCCAGAAAGCTGACCTCGTGATCCCCCTGCCTCGGCCTCCCAAACTTTTAAAATCCAGGCAGACAAGCCCATTATAGACTGGTTTGCACCCAGTATCACAATTAAATCTTGGTTTCCTTCTTTCTTTCTACCTTTTATTTCCTTCCTTCTGCCTAGTCAGAATTACTAAGATTCCCTTGCTGGGGATTTTGCTCAATCCTCTGTAGAGTTAATATGTATGGGTCCTCCTCAGGGGTGCACGATGTCTCAAGGGACTCATTCCAGAACTAATTTAGAGGGAGTTGATGGTTCTGCATTTGAGCTTTTGACGATTCTTATAAACATTTTCCCAGGAAAGACTAGCTTCTCCCCTTTATTCTTCTGCCTGTTTTATTATTGGCAATGCCAAACATAGATCCCTGTGCTAATGACAATAATAATAATTAGTATTGATGACAACATTAACATTTTCAGAAAGGTTTTGTAGTTTATAAAATTAATTTCCATCAGTCACACTTTCATGATGAATTAACTCTAAAGACAAGCAAATGTCTCCTACCCACAAGGGAGAGATCTTTGTACCAGCTTCGCAGCATTGGAAGACGTCCTCGGACCGCATGAAAACACAACTGACCCCTTTTCTTTCCCCTGAGAAGCCAGAGAATCAGAAGATCGGGTGCTAAAGCCAGAGAGGTCATCTTGATACTGATCCTACCACTAACTGAGCCTCGGAAGGTCATTCTTCTCTCTGAAATCTTTTTCTCATGTGAAAATAGAAATAACACTACTACTTATTTCACAGAGATGTTGTGACAATAATATAAGATGGTGCATGTGAAAATCCTTAACATACCACCTAGATCAGAATAAGTGCTGTGGTAGCAATTATCATTATTGACTTATTCAATATATATTTATTAAGTGTCTACACTATGCTGGGTGCTGGTGCACAAAAGTAAAATGGACAAGGTTCCTGGAATTCATCATCATCTTCATCAATCATGATCACCTTATTATTAATAACCACAAAGAACCTAGAAGGTGTAGTGGAAGCAATGCACCTAGGTGTGGGAGAAAGAAAAACTGTGCTTCTGTCATGCCTTTGCCATGAGCCAGACAGCAAAACATTAACCCTGTCTCTTTGGGGCCTCAATTTCCTCATCTGTAACATAACACAGAGAAGTAATTTATTTTGATTTTGTAAAACCAGTTGAAAATACGTTGTTACAACTAATAATATATTTTATCATTTTGAGGCAAATTTTATAAATTATTAAAAACATAAAAAAGAGAAATTAGACTTTGATCTAATTTAAAGCAGACTCATTATCATCACTCATTTGCCGTCTAATCTTTCTTAAGTGGAAGAAAAGGGTTGGAGCTACCACTTACATCCTAGGGAGTGTGATGATATTGCAAAAGCACCCAGAAGCCTGCTTTGTACAAAGGAGAAAAATAATTACAAGTTAATGGCCTAAGTGATCTCCAGCATCCCTGCCTGCTCTGACATCATGAAATACAATTCCAGATTATTGTAACCAACACCATCAATCTGCAGATTTAAAAAAAAAAAAGGAGAATCAGAAAAGTTAAGAATCTTAACAAAGATTACAACCATATGCAGGAGCAAGCTAGGATTAAAACCCAATGTCTTAAATCTTAGTTTGGGTCCTATTTCCACTACCTCATAAAAACTCGGATGAAGGCAGGGAATGTGGCTTGCCTGAGAATTACATCCACGCCCATCTGGACCCAGTTTTCTATTATTTTTATTAGGAAACACATTCTTCATGCCCTCATACCCACAAACCTCTCTGTAGACATCAATTCCTGACTGTTCTGAGCAGCAACTAACCAAGCAAAGAGCCAAATGTCCCTGTGACTTGGTTAACTGAAGATGGACCGCATGCCTGAGTGAAGAACAGTTTCCCAAAGAGGCTTGGATTTCTGCCAAGGGACAACTTGAGTAAAGAGTCGTTTTTATTTATTCTTTTACCCATAGGTTATTTAGAAGTTTGTTATTTAGTGTGCAAACATTTGGGGAATTTCTGGAGATCTTTCAGTTATTAGATTCTAATTAATTTCAAAGTGGTCACAGAAATACTTTGTGTTAGTGAATCCTTTTAAATATACTAAAACTTGTTTTATGGCCTAGAATATGATATATCCTCATAAATTTTCTGTATACATTTGAAAAATGTGTGTTCTGTTGTTGGGTGGAGTGTTCCACAAGCAAATATTAGGTCAACTTGGTTGTGACATTGTTAAAATCATCTGTATCTTTACTAACTTTGCTCGTTCTAGCAATTATTAAGAGTATTGAAATCTCCTACTATAATTATGAATTTATTTCCCCTTGCAGTTGCATCAGTTTTGCTTCATTATTTTGAAGCTATACTAGATGCATAGTTTGATCTTTTTGATGAATTGACTCATTTATCATAATGAAATGGCAATATTTAATGCCAAAAATCTTCATGATCTGAAATCTACTTAGTGTCTTATTAATACAGCCAGTCCAGTTTTTTAAAATTAGTATTAGTGTGTACATATTTTTCCATATTTCAACTTTCAACCTATTTATGCTTTTATATTTAAAGTGGGTTTCTTATGGGCACCTTAGAGTTGGTTCTTGCTTTGTGATGTTTATACTATTTACATGTAATGTGATTATTAATACAGTAGGTTTAAACCTATCATCTTGCTATTTGTTCTATCTAATCTTTGTTCTCTTTTTCCTTTCTACTTACCTTCTTTTGATAAGTTGAATATTTTTTATCATTCTGTTTTATTTCCTTTGTGGCTTATTAGCCAGAGCATTGGGGTTTTTTTAATGTTAGTGGTTTGTTTAGAGTTTATAGTATATATTTTAAATTTATCATGGTTATCTTCAAGTGATGTTATACCACTATACTACGTAAGTATACCATAAGACCTTCAAATAGTATACTTTGATTTCCCTGCTAATCTTTGTGCTATTGTTGTCATATTTACTTTTAACAACCTATTAACCTCATGCTACATTGTTAGTATTTTTGTTTTAAAAGTAATTTATCTTTTAAAATGATTTCATTGTTTAAAAATCCTCATGTGAGGCTGGGCATGGTGGCTCACGTCTGTAATCCCAGCACTTTGGGAGGCCAAGGTGGGTGGATCACTTGAGGCCAGGAGTTCGAGACCAGCCTGGCCAACATGGTGAGACCTCATCTCTACTAAAAATACAAAAATTAGCCGGGCTTGGTGGCATGTGCCTGTAATCCCAGCTACTCAGGAGGCTGAGGCAGGAGAAGGTGGAGGTTGTAGTGAGCCGAGATTGCACCACTGCACTCCAGCCTGGGCAGCAGAGTGAGACTTGGTCTCAAAAAAAAAAAAAAAAAAAAAAAAAAAAACAAAAACCTCATGCGTTTAACAATCTAGTTTTTGTTTAATTGCTTTTCATTCTTTTGTGATGATCCATATTCTGTTTGGTATTACTTTCTTTCTCCCTGAAGAACTTCATTTAATATTTTTTTGTAATGCAGATCTGCTGCTAATTCTTCCAGTTATTCTATTCTAAAAAGTATTTCATTTTCACTGTGGAAAGATATTATTACTGTGCAAAGAATTCTAAGTTTACATTGTTTTCTTTCAGTACAAAATATCTTTCTGCATTCTTTTCTAACCTGTATTGTTTCCGACGAGAAGTCGGCTGACATCTTTTTTCACTCTGACAGCTTTCAACTGTGGTATATCTTTTTAGCTGATATATCTTTAAAACTGATTTTGAGAAATTTGATTATGCTATGTCTTCATATTTCTCATTCTCAGGATTTAAGTTTTTTGAACTGAGGGTTTATAGTTTTCATTAAATTTGAAAATTTTTCATTCCATTATTTTTCCAAAATTCTTCCTGCCCCCTTTTACTTCAGGGATTCAAATTAAACATATATTAAAATCCTCAGTCGTGCTCAATGCATAGTTCAATTGTGTTTTCTCTAAGAGTTTCATTTGGGGAAATTACTTTGTTTTCAAGTTCACTGATTTTTTTCTTCTTCAATGTCAAACCTGCCATTAATCCATCCAGTGTAGTTTTTATCTCATGCATTGTAGATTTTATATCTAGTAGTTTGATATGGTTCTTTAAAAAACATTCTCTATGTCTCCACTTGAATTTTTGAACCTATGAAGTTGAGAGTTAGAGTTACTCTCTATAGTAATAGCCCCATGTGCCAATTCCAACATTCATTTAAATCTGGGTAAGTTGTTACATGATATTTTTTCATTATGGATTATATTTCCCTGCTGCTTTGCATGCCTGGTAACTTTTGATGGGATGGAAGAAATTATAAATTTTAACTTTTTTCGTGCTGATATTTTTGTATTACTATAAATATCACTGAGCTCTGTTCTAGAGTGACTAAGTTACTTGGAAACAGTTTGATCTTTTCAAATTTTGCTTTTGATATTTGTTAGGCAGAGTGAGAGCAATTCATAGTCTACAGCTAATTATTTCTCCATTATTGAGACAACCCCCTTCTGTGTACTCAACTCAGTGCCCATGAATAACTGGGTTTTCTAGTCTGACTAGCGGCTAACCCTCACTCCACGTGAGTCCTGGGCTCTGTTATTTTCAATCTTTGGGAGGCTTCTTTCTTTGGCTTTAGGTAGTGTCCTCACCCTTATGTTGAGCAGTATTCAGCTCAACACTAAGGTGGGCCTTAGGCAGATCTCCATTTACGCGGATCACTTTTCTCAGGTACTCTCTCCTATGAAATCCAGCTGCTTTTGTTTCCTAGATTCAACTTTGTCTCTGCCATTCAGGGAGTCTGCCACACTTGAATCCCCTATCCTTAAGTTGCAGCCTGGAAACTCTCTCAAGGTGGTGAGTGGAGCCATAAATAAAATGTGGTAAACTCACTTATTTTAGTTTCTATCTTCTTTTCCCCAATATTCAGGGTCTTAAAAACAATCATTTCAAATTTTTTGTCCATTTTGGTTGTTTCAGTCTGTAGGGGATATTACAGTCCATCTTGGTCTGAAGTAGCAGTCAATAGAATGGAATTCATTGAAGGTAAATAAGACCATTAAATCTCTCAAACATATCTCCAAGTAGTTAGAATTTACAAACCCCAAATTTATTTTTAAAGCAAATATTGAAACCCCCAGTATGACTAAGAAAAAGAAAGCAGATTGGAACCAAATACTTTAC
Organism: Homo sapiens; assembly: GCF_000001405.40. Lineage (NCBI taxonomy): Eukaryota > Metazoa > Chordata > Mammalia > Primates > Hominidae > Homo > Homo sapiens. Next base: position 9,925,939 of record NC_000016.10, read on the forward strand.
TACGTTAAATGACACATTGGAAATTTTCAAGACAATTTCTTAAGCAAGTAATACGGGTTCCATCCGGCTCCATCATTTGCCATTCACTTGACAAATGTCATAACGCCACTGCACACCCCACCAGAGCAAATATTTTCTTCCAACCTTAAAATAACATCTACAAATTAATTCAGTCTGTCAAGGGGAACTCTCCTTGGGTAATTCAGGAAGTTTTTGCCTTTGGGTAAGGCACTCTAGGCACAAACAACTCAAATTCTCACCTGTAAGTTGAACCAAGAAGGAGGTTTATGATCTACAGCTACATGAAATGATCACTTAGTCGCAGATGACTATGTACCAGACACACCCAGCTGTAATTTTGAAAGCCAAGTTCATTTTACTTTGTTTTGAGAAAATGTGGGCAAAAGATTAGAGGCGCCTCTCCAATCTTGGGAAGCCTCTAGTCATGGAAAATCATATCCCAGCAGTGCTTTATATGATTTCACCTGCAGCTTTAAGTAAGAATGTTTGACCAGTAATGCTGTAAGCATATAGGATAAGAGAGACCTATGTTGTACACACTTCCAGTTGTGCTAACTCAGGTATGAAGATCTCTGGAGGTGAGCTATCAAAACTCCCTGTTATTGCTCATTCTAATATCTGCCAATCTTAATAATCATCAAGTTCTTGTTTTGGAAATAAATACACATAATGATGATTATGATAAAAATAATAAAAATGAGTACAAGACAACCTGGGATAAAATACTTTAAAAAGCCCTGGAGGTAACATGGATAAATAAACCAACCCAGGTGGGGACTAAGGTGTACTGCGCAGAGATGACAGTCACTTCCAGCTTCCAGTTGATCATTAGCAGGTCAGGATATGGGATTATTATCACTAACTCCATCTTTTTCATGGTAAACAAAAAATATAATTTTTGTGAAATCTGATGATAGTGTTTAAACATTGGGACTTTACTTTTGGAAACAGGAAAAACACTCTAAGTTTAAAAAAAAAAAACATGCACACAACACAGGTCAATTTGCAGCCTCTGAAAGTCGTAACGTGGGGTTTGGAACCAAAGGAAACTGGATTTAACTTCTGGCTCCATTTTACATTACCTGTGTGGCTCTTTTCAAGTTCTATAACTTCTCTAGTCCTGTTTACTTATCTGTAATATGAATCATGATTTTTAATTGACCTGCTGGTACTCTAGCATTCATTTACCTCTTTCTCATTGTTAACAGAACTCAAATTTTATTGAGACTTCATGCCTCCTGTAAGAATCTATGGAACTCAAGGGAAGTTTACCCCATTCCCAGCTCCAGGAGTAGGTCTGGTTTGATTTAACCTATTTGCCTTCTCTGTGACTGGGTCAGGAGTTTGGAGTTAAGCCAGTCAGTACCTGGCATTTTCAAAATCACCATTATTGGCCCAAGATGGGTACATGACCTAATTTGGCCACAAAGAAGTCTTCCCAGGTGTTACCAGCAAACTTGAGGTAACGAGGAAGTCAGTTAGAGAAAAAAAATCACACTGCCCAAAAAGCAGAGTCAAGAGATCATAGAGAAAAGAACTAGAAGCTTGATTATATTGCACCTGAAGTCCAAACTTCTTCTGGAATTTTTGTTACGGGAACTAATTCAATCACATAACTTTGAGTTAACTTGATTGCTACCTGCAGTAAAAACATCCTAACTCACATCTAAGGATGAAAGATAATATATTTAAACAGATTGACACATAGGAGGAAGTCAATACATGGTAGGTCTTACCCTTAGAGTACTTTCACGTTTAAAAATATATATGCTTAGATAATATAACCTATGAAACTTGAAGTTTCCCCACTCACCCTCACATACATAATGATGCGTTGATTAAATTAAATTGTTTAAACTTCCTCTTATTAATAGTGATGGAAATGAAAAGGAAATGAGCACATTTCTCAGGAGAGCTATTTTCTATCACATGGAAAACTGGGCAGTGTGGATTTACTCTTTGTGTTTGGCCAGGACTTAACCAAATGAAGCAGATCCTCAGGAAGCTGACTGTGGGGATTTGGACAATGGTACACCAGACACCAGCAGATCTGCCAGTTCATTTACCCAACTTTGAGGCCCATGTAGAAATGTGGCTGGCCTCCCATGCCCACGCAGAACACAGCTAGCACCATCACGCTGGACCGTGACTCCTCCATCCCTAAGATTCATGCCAGGATTTGAGGCACCAGGAACCTGGACGGGGGCTCATTCACACCTGCAGGCAGGCAGCATCCACATGGAAGCAAGAGGTGAGAGAAGCAAAGAAGCAAGGAGACAAAGGCAGAGAACAGGTGGAGAGGCCCGTTCTGCCTCTCTTGCTCCCACCTGGAAGGGATGATCAGGAGAGCTTTTGGCCTATATATAGATAGAGGTGCATAGACAGATACTCTTTCAGGAAAGCAAACCAACGATAGCTCATAAGTTAATCGGTCGTGAGCACCTGCCCCTTTATACTTTGCTGCATGCTTCTCCCTTTTGGTAGAAAGGATTTTTAACTTTGTCTTTTTGTACAATATCAGATGTTGCCCAAATCGTGTCCAGAATGAAACAAAAACAGAGGTTTTCCCCCTGCCTGAACTATCACTCCCTCATCTCTCCAGACCCCAAAAGCTCCATCGCCTCCTCATCTCTCCAGATCCAAAGTTCCATCACTCGTCACTTACTCATCTGTCCAGACCAAAGCTCTATCACCTCCTCATCTCTCCAGACTCAAAGCCCCATCACCTCCTCATCTGTCCAGATCTAAAGTTCCATTACCTTCTTATCTCTCCAGACCCAATGCTCCACCACCCATCACCTCCCTCATCCGTCGAGACCCAAAGCTTCATCACTTCCTTATCTCTCCAAAGCCAAAACTTGACTTGCCATACTTTCTCAATGTACTGATTAAATAAAACTGCCGGTAGGATTAACTCTGCAAGGATGCACCCAACCCAGATATATTCACCATAGCCATAGATTACACATTTTTGGAAGGCCTACTACGATGTCTATCATGGAGCAAACACTGTGCAGACGCCCACCAGGCATCAAAACAAAATCAACATTGGGAACAGAGTCTCCATGTGGGAAGAGCACCTGGAATTTACAGCGTAACTCTTTCTCTCCAACATTCTCCTTTCCCTTGGAGGATTATTTACCAATTAATGTTAAAGTTCCTCATGGTTTAAACCCAGGCCCTCCTGAGTCATCATTCTCCCCTGCAAGACCTTGCCCAGTCGTAGGGCTTTGACTGCCATCAATAAGCTCAAATCCTGTGTATTGCATTTTCGGTTTGTACTCAGACTCTTCTCTCTGATTGCCTACTGAGATTTCCACTTGGATATCTCAAAAGTATGTCTAATTTAACATGTCTAAAATTGGATGTCCCTGACTCTCTGTTCCCCAACATTTCTTTCCTCATTTCTTCTGTTTAGTAAAAGACACCACCATCTACTCAGCTATACAAGAGGAAAATTATTATTATAGCTCTTTTAACACCTCATATTCATCTGTCAAGTCTTGTCAATTTTATAGCCCAAATATGCATTAAGCCTGCCCACTTCTCTCTGAATCCACAGCTATTACTGTAATGCAAGTCACCACTTCCTCTTTCCTAGACCTGTGCTATGATCTCCCAACCAGCCTATGTTTCTACACATTAAAGCCTCCCAGCCCCAGTATACACTCTGTTAGCAGGCATCAGAGTAATAGAGATGGGGCTTAATTTGCTTTGTTTTTTCACAAAAGAGAGTGGCAACAAATAATTAGCACATGTCACCAAATTACTAAATTTCAAAATGAAAACTTCTCTAGTATTCATCCCTGGAGGAAATAGATCAATGTGCCTTTTTGTTCGGCATTCTGGTTCCAAAATCCTAAGACTTACATCTGGCCTAAGGCAAATGTGAACAATATTTGTGCTTTATGTGTGACCCCAAAACAACCCAAACCACCTTTCCCTCAAGGTAAAGGCACGGCCAACTTCTGGTCCTCCCAAGCTGCCAGCATCAGGTTTCTACCATTTGTCGAGCTATTCATTGGGTGCCAATTGGAAATGATTGACTTGCATTGCAGGGCTGGCATACGGTTCTTTTGACTTCCAGCCATAAAAGGGAGGGCTGTGTTCCAGGAGAGATGCCACAAACAGAGATGATGCTGAAGAGAGGCTGTTGACTTAGTGCTCAGGCTGAACACCCAGCAAGCTCAGCCCACTCTCATGGGTCCATCAGGCCTAGATCAAGCTGTGCCTCTAGTCCAGGAGAGGAGGAGAATTAACACCTGTAGAGTGCCGACTATATCCTAGATGCTTGACTAAGCACAATACCTGCATTTAAGTGGTATCATCCTCCCTATTCTTGGAATTTTCTCTGTTTACAATCAAGGAAATGGAGGCTCAAAGAAGTTAAGGAACTCTCCCAGAATAACCCAGATAATAAGAGGGTTTGAACACAGCACTGTCTAAGTCTACATTCCACAAAGTCACATAGCTTTGGGAAAAATGATTTGTGTTCCTCTGGATTCTCTCACCTCGTATCTCTTGCTGATTTACTTTGAGACTCAGCTGTTTTTCCCACTTCTGAGTTCAGAGTCCCAATCAGATGTACAGCAAAGGCCCACAGGACAGCTTGGCCTCTGAGGTGCCTGATTTCACTGCGAGAAGTGTTTGTTGAGCATATGGTGATCTCCCAGATAAATATTTGCAAAGAGTTAATCACATTCACCTAGGGAAGTTTTAACTCTGGTCAAGCTCAGAGAATTAACTGAGCAGGCATTTCTATTGGCATTACAAAAAACCAACAGTGATCATTCTGATTACTAAATAAAAATATGTCAACCAGGTTTAGCACAGTCTCTTAATGGGTCATTAAACCAAGAATTTTTCCTATGTTATTTTAGAAATGAAGATTTAAAGTAGTATCAATGTAACTTAGACATGAATAAAACTCTTTCTCACATATATATCTTCCTTCTATTTCCCTTTCTGCAGGGGTAATAATTTACAATGTTGTTGGTTTTTAAAGCTGAAGCCTGACTTCATAACTCAAGAAGTCAATCCAAAACACATAAATGGTCATGCCAGGTGTCATCAATGAAGGCCAAATAACTTCCCTTCAATACTAATTCATAACTCTCCTGGGATAAGACTTTTTTTGCCCCCTCATTTGTGCTATAGATCTACTTGAGCTCTTCTACTTGATTTCCAGTGCAGTAACTTCTCCATGTCCTACTTCCCTAACTAAAATGGGAACCACACAGAACATACAGTTGTAATTCAGTAATTAAAGAATAGAACTGAAATGCACTTCCATTGCTTGCTTTCCTAGCTTACTCAGAGCTTGCAGTGTAACAAGTATAAAGTTATAATAATGATGATGATGACCACAATAATAAGAAAAATAAAATTATAATAATGACCTGATAGTTATTTGTAAAATGCCTTCTCCATGCCTGGCACCATGCTAAATGTATATACTTTAAGATGTTACAAGAAGAAGAGATGTCTATCTTACACACGCACCCTCTTTAGGAAAACTCCTGGGTTCACAGTTGTTAATAACTTATACTTGGTAAATATGTGGTAAATTCATAGTCAAGTCTGTCATACTACCTAGACCATGAAGTTTTCTTGATGCCACACTGCCCTCTTCCCAATGGCCATATTTCTCCCAAGGTAATCCTTTGGTAAGAGGGTTTTGGTCTGAAAAACATCCACCCTCTCCCTTCTATGACCTCCTCTTCAGTAAGTGTAAAATGTGTCCCCTCCGCTGTGGAATAAGAAACACATATATGCATGCAGAGAGAAAGACACACACACACGCACACAAAAATGCAGGTAAACGTGTGCACATGTGTGTATATACATACCCATGTACATATATGTGTGCAAAAACACCTGTAGACATTCACAAACACACAGCACTCACAGCACAAACTTAATGCTTTGCATTTCATAAAACCACAGGCTAAAATGTGATATGAATTTCACCTGGGTCTATATGCTTGAACCAAGCCCCAAATAGGCATTAGTGGCTAGAGCTTTAAGCACCAGAGGAAATAAATAAAAGCTACCAAAAAGCAGCTTGGAAAATAATCACAGAGCATTGAGTCACCCAGATCCTACTCCTCTTGTTAGGTGCTGTGCTTTAGCATAAGGACATTTTTCTTTCTCCTATACCTCCAACTTGGGAGGCTGGGCCTCTACTATGGAATATTCCACTGGCCCCCAAACCTCAGAGCAAACAATAGATGAATGACAGCCCTGCCCCGCCTGATAATCACATGATGGCCTTTTTGTGTCTCTCCAACTATGAATAATTGGTGCTTAGCTTATGTAAGACACCAAAGACATTTTTTGAATGAACAAATGGTAATATCATGGGCTATGGCATGAAGAGACACTTACTTCACTCATAACTTTATTTCATTTTTATTTTATTTTATTTTTTTTGAGAGACTGGGTCTTGCTCTGTCGCCCAGGCTGGAATGCAGTGACGTGATCTCAGCTCACTGCAACCTCCACCTCCCAGGTTCAAGTGATTCTCCTGCCTCAGCTTCCCAAGTAGCTGGGACTACAGGCGTGCACCACCACACCCAGCTAAAGTTTGTATTTTTTTTTTTTAGTAGAGATAGGGTTTTACCATGTGTTGGCCAGGCTGGTCGAACTCCTGACCTCAAGTGATCTGCCTGCCTCAGCCTCCCAAAGTGCTGGGATTACAAGTATGAGCCACCACGCCCGGCCTAATAACTTTAGATCTACAAGTTTCATCCATAGTAGTAACCATTTACAGACTGCTTTTCCATACGCCACACACTGGTCTAAGATGCAAATGCTTTTCTTGTCCCCATATTACACCTGAGGGAGCCGACGTGGAGTTCAGTGACTCACCCAAGGTCCGAAGTCTAAAAAAGTACAGATTAGGTTCGAACCCATGCAACCTGGCCCCAGTGCCCATGCTCTTAACCGTGATGCCACTGCCTCCCAGGGGGCCCTGGCCACTCCTGAACTGGACAGATTCTTGTGATGGAACCGGACACAACAGCCGGGATTCCACCAGCCAAACAGGTCATGGTTTACCTTCACAATTTTGGGAGTTAACAGTGACATGGTCTGTGCTTGGTGAAGGAACAGATGTTTAATAACTGTGCAGTAGCAAGGAGGTTATATAACATGGCTGAGCTATTTTTAAACTTTGGAAAATGCTGACTGCTCTTTTCAAAGTGTCTTCTGTAAAATCAGGAATATTAAACATGAAGAAAATGTCCCCCTTTCCTGTACTTTTTTTTGCCTGAAACTCTATGTACAGAAACGGTTGGGTGTAAGGTCATGAACATACCTTCCCTTGCAAGCAGCCCCTGGTACCACGCCCAGCCCATGAGCAACAATATCCTAACTGCACCAGCTCTTTGCCTGAGATTATAAATAAAGTCCATGAGGACCACCAAGTGGCATGTCTAGCTGGCCCCATGACTTTGTTCTCAACCAGTCAAATCTGGATCCCAGATCCCCTCAGTAACTCACCACGAAGATATCAGGTATGACCTCATCTGAACTTCTTCTGGAGCTATTTGCAACCTCCCTGCTACATAGGAGGAATAGTGAGAGCTATTTGTTTATCAGATGCTTTGCAGAGTAAGACCTTAATCCAGCTGCAAATGTAATTTTTAAGCTTGAAGTGAAGAACTCCTAACTCCAGAGTCCTGGGCTTCTATTGAACAAGCTGGTAGATCTAACACAGGCTACAGATAGGTCTGTTCTCTGCTTTCAGCTATCCAGACTGAAAAATATCTTACTATAAAAAAACCTAAATGTCCATCAAAGAGGAATTATGTAAGTGTAAAGATGGAACACTTATACAACAGAATATCATCAATAAAATAAATGCAATTGAATTATCTTCATAGAGGGATTTTGAAAACATAAGGTTGAGGTAAAGGAAGTTCTAACACATTAGACACCATTTTTGTACGTTAGACAGAAGTATGCATTGGGAATACGGTTGCACATGTATGTGTATTGAAAGTACGAACACATGTACATGGATTTGGATGTAAACCAAACTGATTATCATGTTTTCCCTTCTATGGAGAGAACAGGAGAAAACTGGGACAGGGAAACAGATAGAATCAGAACTTCTACATTATCATTAATGTTTTATTGCTTTCAAAATGTTGAAACAAACATTAACCTTTGGCAGGTTTAGCTTTGTTCCCTATGATGAATATCGGGTTGAGTATTTTATCAGATTCTGTTGTTTTCTGTACTATTCTTTTTTCAATATTAAAAAAAGAATTCTTATTCCTAAGTTTGTCTTTAGATAAATTTCCCCCACCTTGATCAGACTGTATGGTGTTTGAGGAGAGAAATTATATCTTAATTCATCTATGTATCCCAGGGGCTAGCACAGAGTCTGTTGGTTGGAAGCAATGATAGACAGAGGATAGAATATAGTGCCTTGACCAGGTGTGGTGGCTCATGCCTGTAATCCCAGCACTTTGGGAGGCCAAGGCGGGTGGATCACCTGAGGTCACCAGTTTGAGACCAGCCTAGACAACATGGTGAAACCTCGTCTCTACTAAAAATACAAAAATTAGCCAAATGTGGTAGTGCGCACCTGTAGTCCCAGTTACTTAGGAGGGTGGGGCGGGAGAATTGCTTAATCCAGGAGGCAGAGGTTGTAGTGAGCCGAGATTGTGCCACAGCACTCCAGTCTGGGAGACAGAGCGAGACTCTGTCTAAAAAAAAAAAAAAAAAAAAAAAAAAAGGAGATATAATCCTTTTTGTTTTTTTGTTTTTAAATGCTTTCTTTGGCCTTTCTCTAGCTCCCTGTCAAGGGCAGCCTGGCAGGTTTCCACTATTCCCTGGGGTGGGCGTCAGGGACCGTGGGAGAGTGTGGGAAGGAGAGACTGCTTGTGCCTTATCCAAACTTACACACTGGGTGGACACCACCAGCCCTGCATGGATGGAGAGATGTTTCATTAAACACCAAGCAGTGGATGGCGACTTACCACGCTTGATGCATTGCTTCTCTGGGGCTGAAATACCATTTACAAAATTACTGTGTTTAAAGGCGTAACTTTGGGAAATTGCGCAACAGCATTTCACAGCAGCAGAATTTTTTAAAAAAAGCATAGAATCCAGGGTGGTCACTGGAAAGGGATCTAAATGTCTTGCCAATTATCCTTCTAGAATTCCTTTTCCTGTATATGTTATATTTCAATTGCCCTAAAATTGATTTATGTTTCCATCAAAATTATATGTTTCTGAATATTCCAGCTGCAGGGCACATATTATGATGGAAGTGAGAATTCATTAGCCTCGTTTGTGTCTTTGGGCTGGCAGCAATCCTGCCTCTGTAAGAGACTCCCATGTCTCATGCTGATTTATCTGAGTTCCTTCCTGATATCTGGACAATTATTTAAAATGCTGAAAGTGGCAGTGTAGAAACAGGATTACTAAAGAGAGTAAAAGGACAGAGGACGGAGAAATGTCAAAGGAGCATGATTTCTTAATTCAAGGTTCATTTTTCAGATTTATGTTAATTGTAAGAAGTATATTCTGTCTACTTCATCACACACACACACACACACACACACACACACACACACACACACACACTCCTCCAGCCCCAGTTCAGAGATAACCTCTGAACTGTAGCAGATTCAAAGTCCTAAAGCCTTCCAGAAATATTTCAGAGTGACATAGTACCCTGCTGGTAATAAACCAACATGGTTTGTTGACTGTATTTCCCTTTTATTATTATTATTTTTTTGAGATGGAATCTCACTCTGTCACCCAGGCTGAAGTGCAGTGGTGCGATCTCAGCTCACTGCAACCTCTGCCTCTCCCTCTTGGGTTCAAGTGATTCTCCTGCCTCAGCCTCATGAGTAGCTGGGATCACAGGCATGCTCTACCACACCTGGCTAACATTTGTATTTTTAGTATAGACAGGGTTTCACCATGTTGACCAGGCTGGTCTCAAACTCCTGGCCTCCAGCGATCCACCCACCTCGGCCTCCCAAAGTGCTAGGATTACAGGCATGAGCTACCACACCCAGCCTGCTGACTGTAATTTCTGATGACCAAAAACTTCACTGATCACTCTGGAAGTTATTTAGTATTACTATGTGGTAAATACCGTGCTAAACAGTACTTTTCATGCGGCACCTCAATGAATATGACAATCTCTAGAACATTGGTCCTCAAAGCACAGCCCCTAGACCAAGAACATCAACATCACCCAAAAACTTGAAAGAAATTGCAAATTCTCTGGGCTCACCCCATATTTTCTATTACATTAGAAACTCTGAGATTGAGGCCCAGTAATTTGTGTCTTAACAAGTCCTCCCAGAGATTCTGATGCCTGCTGAGGCTTGAGAACCACTGCCTAGAAATTAGGTGCTATTATCATCACTTTGCAATAAACACCTGAGGCCCAGAAAAGTAAAATGATGTGCAAGTCATACAGAAAGTGGACGAGACAAGCTTTGAACCCAGACAAGTCTAACTCCAGAGTTGAGGCCCTTAATCACAGTTCTACACTGCTCATTATCTGAGGAATAAAGCGTGGATTAAATCAGTGAACATCAGGCAAAACCATGCAAAATTGGGATAGGAGTGATCATTCTAAATCTCAACAGCTGAACCATAATGATGGGCCACAAGGAACAATGACACTTCTCAGAAACCTAAAATTTAACTTAAATGTTCGCCAAGATGGGAGTAGCTAAATAAATTATGATACATTCACATAATGGAATATAATGCGGTTCTGTGAGTAATGTTTGCCAAGATTTCCAATGGCCTACAAAAATACTTAGAATATAAGAAGGGAAAAAATCAAATGCAAAATCAAACAGAGACCAGGAGCACTAGTGTGGGAAGTTTCCCCAAAGCGTAACATGTTGGTGAGGATGTGGGAAACTGGGTAGTTTCACAAACTGTTGTTGTGACTATAAATTGGTGTTGTTACTTTGCAGGACAATCTGGCAATAGATGCTTCCATTTAAAAATGCACATGAATTAGGACCCAAAAATCCTATATCTTAGAATCAACCCTAGAAAAAACACTTGCACATGTGCTTAGACATGTATAAAGATTATCACAGCTGTTTAGCTTCTAATAGGAAGCTTCAAAATCCCTAAATTAAATGTTTATAAGACAAATGATGAATTCTTGAGGTGATGAAAACCCCATTTACCCTGATGTGATTATCAAACATTGTATGCCTGTACCAAAATACTTCACTTATCCCATAAATAAACACATTTTTGTATTGGGGGTTGGGGCGGGAGGTGGGGATGATCAATAGGGTAAAAAAAAACATAGAAAGAATGAATAAGACCTACTATACGATAGCATAATAGGGTGACTATAGTCAATAATAAATGACTTGTGTATTTTAACATAAAGAATATAATTGAATTGTTTGTAACTGAAAGAATAAATGCTTAGGGGATGGATACCCCATTCTCCATGACGTGCTTATTTCACACTGCACGCCTGTGTCAAAACATCTCATGTACCCCATAAATATATATACCTACTATGTACCCACAAAATTTTTTTAAATAAAAGAAAATTAACTCGTAAATTCCTACCATTATGCAGACTGGATAACTAAATCATGATACCATGATATCATAGTGAAGAATGTGATGAGGGCTATGAGGTTAGACTTATCTGGGTTCAAATCTTTATGAGTTACAAAAAATATAGATACACTTGAGATACAGCCATAGACAGACAGACAGATCGATCAATCCCAGGTGTAGGTTTCCAAGATATATTGTTGAGTAGAAAAAAAAGTTAAGTTGCAGGAAACAAAGTCTAATGTGACTTTTCTTACAAAGGAGATGAAAGAAAGAGAGAGGAGAGCAAAATAAAAGTCCCGTAAGTAAACACATAACATTCTGCATTTTCAGTGCGTATTTCCAACAATGAGTATGTAAGCAAGCAAACAATGACAACAGCAAAACTCTGATCCCACTTTGGGAGACAACAAGCCCTTTCTTACGGGTGCAAGGTGTGCATCGGGACCTCTGGCCTCTCCATCTGCCCGTAGCAGCTGGCCTTGGCCTCGGGGATGTAGGAGAACTTCTCCAGCATAGAAGATGCAGCGGTGGTTAGGATGCCAATGCCGTCCCTCACTCTCGCCTCCAGGCTGTAGTCCCAGTCATCGTAGGAGACAGAAATGAGTCCCGATGGAAACTCTTTTGGGATGAGCTCCGTGTTCCCAGAGACCAAGCTGGGGACAATCCAGAAGAAATCATACCCGGTGAGGCCAAGGGAGCGGGCCTCACTCAGAATGAGAACAGCCTCGTCTTTGGAACAGTAGAGCAAGATGACAGAAGAGTGGATCTTCTTCAGCTGGACTTGTGTCTTTGCATCCTCAAAGGAAGTGTCCAGTGTGATCACATTCTGCATGTCCCAGCCCACAAAGCTGTTGTCCACTGTGGTCTTGACGAAGCTGATGAATTCCCTGTAGCCAGGGAAGATAGTGGTCACCAGGGAGAAGACATGCCAGTCATAATCCTGCATGATCTTCAGCATGACCGTGGCTTGCTGCTGGATGGACGCTCCAAACTGGAAGAAGGTAGACGTCGGATCCTGCCAGTGAAAAGAAAGTAAAACAGAGGATGAGGCAGGAGGTGGTTTATATAGAAGCACAAACTGCGTCCTAGAAGTAAGGAAAGTAAATCACACATCAATCATTTGCAGACATTCCTGAGCATCTACTATATCCCAGACTCCAGAACAGATCCTGCAAATACAGAGAGGACAGAAGCCCCTGTACTCAGGAGCTCATAGCCAGGTCCTGGAAGGATGTCTGTAATTATTGCTTGCTTATCATCTATTCTTCTCATTTTCCTCTAGTTCGTCCTGCCCCTTCCTCCTTTGAGTCTATATGGTTCTAACAGAACAAACTCTATCTGACCCCCACCCCAGCTCATGACCGGAAAATCAAGCCACGGAAATAAAACAGCATCAGCAAAGACAGTTTTCTAACGATATATTTGGAGCCCCTAGAGTCTGCCAAGTATGAAGCCATTTCTCCTGGACCCCTTTGTTATACAAGCCAGTGAGTTTCTATGTTCATTTAAGGAGTTTGAGTAGGGTTTCTGTCACTTGAACATACGGCTCCCACATAATACAGAGTATCATAAATACCATGTGGACATCTACCTTTTCAATCAACAAATATTTATCGAACACCTTATTAAGTGTTCTTAATAAGAATTAAGTGGAAGACAACTTCTACAAACTAAGAGCTAAAAGAGGTATATGAAGTGCTGAAGGAGAATCCAGGTGAGGAAGAGGAGAAGTGCATGGATGTTACAGTCAGAGGAATCCCGAGGATGCACTGCGACTATCTCAGAAGCTGTAGATGAATGCATCATGGCACCGAAAGGAGGCGGACGATACGATGTTGAAGAGCTTGGCAGAAATCCAAGCACATAGGGCCTATTCAGAGCATAAGGGAGAGTCACTGAATGCTCTCACCCTAGAAAGTGGCATGGTAACTTATGTCAGGTTAAAGGGCCTCTATTAGCCCTAACATCTCCACCCATCTACGATTGTGAGAACAAATTTCCATTTAGAAAAGGCAGGTGATGCATACAGTGGTACAATATACAAACTGCCTTCATACCCCCTAACTCATCAAATCCCCATAATGATCCTACAAAGTTGGTATTGCTGGCAGGGAAAACGAGGCTCAAAACAGTCACAGAGCAAGTAGACATCTGTACCTCAGTGCCATGACTCTGCATCCTGCCCCCTTTCTGACACTCAATCACAGTCTTCCTGGGATCACTGAAGATCTGTATGGAACAGATGCTTAAACCACGTTGTTGACTTGTGGACATGGTGCAAAAATGCCAACTAAACAGAAGGTATGCCTCTGTGTTAGAGCAAAACAGGATTTGAGAAGTGCTGAGATGTATTTCTTTCAGGGAACTGAAAGAATTATCAAAAGGTCCTCATCATATTACAGCCATGTTTTTATTTTGCGTTCTGTATTTACCATGAGTATTGAACACAACCTCAACAAGATAACTTATGGGGATTCCACTGAGAGAGAGAGAGAGAGAGAGAGAAAGAGAGAGAGAGAGAGAGAGTGTGTGTGTGTGTGTGTGTGTGTGAAAGGTGGATGTTCCATTCATGTTTTTCAGAACAATACTTTGTAGCTGTGCATGTCAATTCCTTCAACAAGTTTACATCACTTTCCCTGTGGGTGCTCACTAAAAGTTCTATCAGAATGGGCCAAAAGCTATAGTTCTTCGAAATACTGCTCTTTTCTGAAATGCATGGGTTTGGGGGATAATTTGAGTGAAGCATGGCCTGAAGGCAGAGAAGAAACAAGAATAAATGTCTTCTGGGCCCCTTCCAACATTGCAGTTCCATGAATTTTACCTAATTAAATTAATTAAAGTGGGTAATAGATTTAAAGACTTTGGATAATTATTGTTTTCCCTACAGTAGCTTTTGCAGAAATCTAATATTCTTGAATTGATTAACCATTTTAAATCACATCTCAACAAGACTGTGAGCTCCTCAAGGGCAGAGATTTTTGTTGTTTTCATCTTTATGTCCCCAGAACCTGGCAGAAGTCTTGGCACACCCATAAGTGGATGACAAGGGAATGAAGATGTGAATGAAGCCTAAAGGACTGTCCTTGGTTAAGACCAGAAATGGAAAGAATGGGAATTCAGTATCTGAGATTGTATTTTGTGTGGATTCTGAATATTGTGTCCAAAACAAAACAAAACAAAACCTTCAAGATCATCACCTACACCTTCCTACCCTGAGGAACTACCCAACCATCCAATACCCAACCTATATCTCAATGTATCCTTTATTGATAAAGAGGAGAATATAGAAGACCTATAAACCTCAGCAGTTGTCCACAGAACTTCATTAATGCCAAAATAGGGCAACAAGATAAAAAAAACCACCAACAGAAGACAACACAGAAGTAGAGTCTAAAGGCAATTATATTCGCCAACCTCACACACTGTGAGACGCCTCTTGGGATGGGGCAAAAATGTTCTAAATTACAAAAGAAATGTGATAGCTCCCATGTAAATGATGCCTCAAAGGAAGCCAGTCACCAGAGTTACCTTCTGACTGCAAAAGGTGGTGGATCAGCATCTTGCACTAAGTACACAAGGAATACAGAAAGCTCTCAACAAGACACACGCTAAAGGCACCATTGGAACCTAATAAAAAGGGTCTATGAGACACTTCCTTGGGAAGATTGGTACTGGTGGAGAGGTGGAGGTCAGACATGCCAGATGGTGATGGAATGTGGGATCCTCCAACACCCTTGCTCTATGTACTCTGAGCTAGACATGACCAGGGTACCCATGAAAAGGTCTGTGCACAGAGCAAAGCTGTAAGCACACGCATCTTATCTGGTTCTCTACATGTAGAGAGGAAGGCATGGCTGCACTGTGAACTTCCTCAGGAGAAAGATAATTGGAGGGACAGCAGTTAATTGGCCCAGAGCCAGCTCGGCACAGGCCATCTGTGAAAGAGTAGGTGCAAAAACCCTTGCTTTGTGCTGTCTCCACCCCCTGTCATGCCAAACTTCAGCCCAAGCTGAATCTCTCCCATTACCCACTATGCTGATCCCCATTCGCAGCCTCTCTGCAGAAAATGGAGAATACTAGAACCTCTGGGGTTGGACTACCCAGCTCCAATCCTCATTATGTGGCCTTGGATGGGGGGGAAAAAAAACACTCAGCCTTTCTAAGTCTCAGTTTTCTCATCTATAAAATGGGTGTGGCTATGGTAATAATGATCATAGTAAACATGCTAGAAATACTTACTCTATGAGAGTCACGTTGCTCCTCACTTTCTAGGTGCTATCTCATTTAATGCCACCCCCAACCACCTTATTAAGTTGGCACTAATAGTATGCCCATTTTACAAATGAAAAAAGACCCAGAAGTAGGGTGATTTTTCCAGGTTCGTACAGGTAGAAAATCAGGTTTGCCTGCCCTCAGGGTCTCGAGTTTTTACCTCTGCACTCTGCTGTTGCCAATAATGGTGCTTCCTCATTAAGTTGTAGGAATTAAATGATTCTCTTGTATCAAAACACCCAGTGTAGTGCCCATCAAGTATGAAGTATTCAGCAAATATTTCACATCAGGAGATCATGCTATCTTTTGCAAGAGGTAATCCACACTCTGGACTTGGAGCATCTCAACAACTCACCCTGTTCAGAGCTGCCTGGTTGAAACTCTTAAAGCACCCCTTTAACCATGCCACTGCCCTGCTCTATAGTCATCAATAGCTCCCATAGGCCTACCATGTTAAGTTCAGACTCCCTAGCCTACCCATCTATGTGCACCAGCTTTATAGTTGAAATACCATGAGCTCTAGGGTCTATTGAACCTAAATTCAAGTCCTGCCTCTGAGGGACTGTGGCTAACCTAGCCAGCCCCGTGGCTTTGAAAAAGTGCTTAATCTTTCTGGGCCTGAGTTTCTTTACCTATAAGATAGGAATAATGACCCTTCCATCACATGGGTCTGCTGTGAGAATGGGATGAAAAGGTAGAAGTGGGAGACTCATCTGTCCACGCCTGACTTTGACAGTTTGGGTGCTTGTCTCCACATCCTCGGTCCTACAGACCACACAGACATCGTCAGAAACCTAAGAGGGTCCTCATCCTATTTCAAGAACTGGCCTCTCCAGGTCCACTGACATGCTGGTTTCAAATCCCCACCACCCCATGCAAACCAGCTCATTCATTCTGAGCCCAAGGAGCCTGTATAATGCAAAGAAGAAACTGCCTTTCCATACAGCAATGAATCCATGCTTTGGAGAGAAACCATCCCTAATGTCCTTCCTGGGCATCATGCAGTTACCCTGTACTACTGTCATTTCTATTGGTATCTTAAAATTCAACCCAAAAACCACCATGGACCAAAAGCATCATCTACCCCTTGGAGGGACAGAAGCAAGGGCCTATTTGCAAAATATAATTGCATAGCAGAGCAATGAAGAGGCTCACATTTAACTTTGGGATTTCCTAAGGTGATTTTATGAACTGGCAGGACATGATGGGGAATCTGGCCACACTCCCAGGGCCTGGCGTCCAATATGCCAAATAGCCCAAAGCCCCTGAACATCCTTTCCACTCCCTGTCTTGATGGTAGAGGCCACCTCTCCTGCACTTACCTCCTCCTGCCATGGCTCAGCCTGTATTTTTCGGATTCTACATATCAGCCTCTGACCACCTCTGGCACTCGGCTTCCTTAGAATGTGCAGCTGGGGGAGAGGAACAGATTTCATACACCCACTTTGGTTCTGAAGCAAAAGCACTTCTCTCCCCATGCTCACTGCTCTGCGGAAGACAGAACAAACTGTTTTAAACACAGAGCGAGGGAGGCAGGAGGGTGTGGGATTCTGGGTGTCTGCTCTAGACTCTGTGTTTCAGTACCATCATAACTGAGGACTCATTCAATCAGGTCTAGAGCATTCAATCCTGTTCCAGAATGTTCCAGAGCTTGCTCGGTCCCCAGGGTGACACCTGACTCCATGGGTACCAAAGCCTGGTGTTTCCTAGAGCATAATAGCAACTTACATTCCATTTACCCATTCATAAAGGTTACAAAGCCCATCCACACCCATTATCTCTTTGATCCTAACTACTCAAGAGATAACGCAAGTGGCATAACACTCATGGATGGCATTTCTCCTAAAGACACAGGATGAGAGGTTAAATGACTTCCCTGAGATCTACATGGCCCCATGGTGATGGCAGCTCAGTCATCGTGAGATGCATCCAGTTTTCCCTTGCTCACATCAGTGGCTCTCATTCCTGGCTGCACATATGAATCCCTTGAAGAGTTATCAAAGAATAACCTATGCATTGTGCCCCATGCAAGTCTGATTGAAAGGGAATCTCTGTGGCCTGAGTATCTGAACTTTAAAGCTGATTTATTAGTTTTTCCTCTGTCTCTTCTCAACAGCAGTATGGTTGAGAAGTAGGTATTCAAGTTAGTATCTTTAAAGCCAAGTACAATGTCTGACACACACTAGGGGCCTGATAAGTACTTGGGGAAGGATGAGAGGGGCAGGAGGCTTACACCCAAGAAGCATGAGAGAATTGGTCACTATTGTCAACCCCACACCCATTTCCACAACTTATTTTCCTGCTGTCTGCCAAGAAAAGGAAATAATGGAGGTAACTCAGCAACGATCCAGAGAGACTCCTGGGGAATTTGCATTCTCCTGTTGAGGACTGCCCTTGTGAGCCCTGGTAAGCCCTGATGTGCTTTCTGTTACTCTCATAGTGTATCAACTGAGCATTTCAACATATTTTATTTCAATTTCCAGGGGTGAGAGGAAAAGTAAAAACATCAAATAAGCCTGGTAAGCCTGAGGATTCAGATGGATAGCATTCTCACGTGCACATAAGCTGAATTGGTCACACTGGAAAACAACTACTCCACCACCACCCACCTCCCTCCCCCTTCCTCTGTCATCATCATCCTCCATCATCATCACATCCATCCTCCTCCTCCTCACCATCATCATCATGACCATCATCATAGCCAATATCTCTCTTGGGCATATCCAATATGTAGCTCTATATAGCATACAGTGGGATGTCTTATTATTATCCCTGCATTAAAGATTTTAATCTGGATCGTATGTGGTTGCCTAGTTGCGGAGAGGTGTGAATCTTGCATGTCCTTCAGACTGACAATTCTTGAGGGTAGGGCACCGTGCCCTCCTGACTTCTGCTCAGCACCTTGCAGACTGCTGGACCACTTCTTTGAGAAGGAAACTGGCACAAGCATCCCCCCTAGAGTGCAAGACTGCCCGTGGGCAGGAAAGGATCCCATGCTCTATGTACTTAAGCAGACCTGCCAGACCTACCACTCTAGAAAGAGACATTCATCCGTGGATTGTCTTTCATTCATTCAACAAATTTAACAAACTCCAGCTCTGTACCAGGCATTGTTCCAGGAAAGTGAATCTAGGGAAGGAGGCTACCAAAGTGAAGGACCCTGATTCCATGAATTTTACATTCTTAGGGGAGGAGACAAACAAAGAAGGACATCAATAAATAGAACAATTGGCCGGGTATGGTGGCTCATGCCTGTAATCCCAGCACTTTGGGAGGCCAAGGAAGAAGGATAGCTTGAGGCCAGGAGTTTGAAACCAGTCTGGCCAACCCCAGAGTAAGACCCATCTCAAATTTTAAAAATTTGAATAAAACAAAATAGAATAATTTCAAGGAAATCAAATGATGTCATAGTTCAGGAGTGGGGTGGAGAGAGGAGCCCCACTCTAGGTCATCTGATCTGCTACATTGGAGCTGATCAAAATGATATGAAGAAGGAGTCATCCAGGCAAAGATTAGGGGCGAGATGAGAGTAGGGAGAGCCATTCCAGCAGAAGACACATATGCCAAGGTAAGCGAGGGTTCGTCAAGTTCAGGGAACAGAAGGAAAGTCAGAACAGCTGAAGTTTAAGGAGCAAGAGAGAGTGGTGAGACATGAGTTAGGACAGGAAGCAAAGGCCACATCACACAATGAATGCCCTGTAGTCAGGATAGGGAGTCTGTATCTAATTCCTAGGTCAACTGTATTGCAAACAACTCCTCTGCTAAATGTGCCACCAGTGTCTCCCAATAGGGAACCTGGGAGAAACCTGGAATTTGGGGGATTTTGTGTAAGATAACCCTGTTCTTCCCTCTGGAATTCTGATCTGTGCCAATAGGTAAGCCTACATTGACTAACATAGAAGGGCTGTCATACATAGAGGGGTTGCTGCTGAACTGAAGGAAGCAGCTTTATTTCTGGAATAAAAAGGAGTCTTTCAGGCTTTCCCATAACACTTGCTAGGTTATGACTTGAAAGATGCAGCCAGCATCTTTCGTTTGCTATATCATTTAGTCAACTGGTACTCTAACTTCAAATATTGTGGCTAGAACTTCCATGTTTTCCTGGGAATTTCAGACCTTGTCCCAGTTTACCACCCAGAGCCAAGTTTCCCACTATCAAGTCCACAATGCCAGAGGAAAGAACACATAAATGCATGGAGAAATGTATTTCTTGATTCTCGTTGCAGCTGATTTAGGACAGCCCAATATACTGTACATTAATTAGGACCACACAATGATCATTGCTCTTGAACTCAGCCCTGCTTTCTAGATCATTAGCAGGGCTGGCCAAAAGGAGGCCCTGCTGAGATTCAGACCCTTATTGTTATGCAAGGAAACAGCAAAGACCCAAGCTGGCTTTACCTGGTGCTCTGTCAACATGCAGGTGAGCATCTGACTCCACGCTTCCAAACAGGGTCATTAGCAATTATGGATTGTCTGGGGCTAGGTCCAGCTAATCTCACACAGAAAGCAAGCCTGATTCCCACTAAAGCCAGAGGGAAATCCTACTGGACCAGAGACCATGGGGTTGGGTCTCTGAGGAGCTGATAAACTTAAGCACAAGGAAACAGCTTTATTTTGCAAGTCCCAACTGTGACTGGGCCCCTGGCCTTCTCTGTGCCTCTGAAACTATTTTCTTCAGATCCCTTTTTTTTCATGAAGCATGGGCCTCCCTGAGCCACCTGGTGGATATTTTTTATTCTGACCACTGAGCATCTGTTCTTCCTTTACTGGTAATAGTGAATTCCCCCTGAGAGCCCTCATTTTCCTCTCTCTCAGTCAAGCCAATTGGCCCATAGTGCCAGTAATTAATTCGGGGGTGGAACATTTCCTAATCTGATCTAATCAGAGTGGCTTTCTGGATTTATGAAGAAAGGGACTAGGAAAAGACAGCTTCTTTTACTGTTAGACTTGAACTTGGATGGATGTTCTACCAGAATTTCTGGCAGCCACCCAACCACTATATACCATCCTAAGAAGAAAGCTATCAGACCCAAAGTTTAAGCTGTAAGATCGAGAGTTACCAAGTTCTGATATCCATGTTGAACACCTTGTTCAAGCCACACCTGAAGACAAATTCTCTTGTTGTCAATTCCATGTCCCAATTAATTACCTCATTTTGCTTAAGCCAATTTGATTAGCTTTTCTGTCACTTGCAATCAAAGATTACTGATGCCACTTTGGCTAGGAAAAAAATAATGTAACATGTTTAACTCATCTTCCTGAACTTGAATCAGAATAATTCAAACTACAGGGTAGTGCATCTCTCTTCATCATCCTTCCCTTTTCTTACCATTCTTCTCTTTTTCTTCATCATTCTTCCCTTTTTCCTGGGACACCCACCTCTCTTCACAAATCTCACTTTTCCCTGCATGAGCTCTTCATCTTTCCTCATTGTTTTTTGTTTTTCTCTAATATGTGCTGAGATTGGTTTCTTCTCAAAGACTCTGACAGCCACAACAGCCAAGACCAAGACTTAAGACATGACAAGTTGCCACCAATAATAATCGCTTATCATTAAGCTGTTCCAGCAAAGAGAAAAAGCAAACCAGTCCCGTTCATTAAGTTTTCGTCTCCGGCTATCATACATAGAGGAGCTGCTGCTGAACTGAAGGAAGCAGCTTTATTTCTGCAATAAAAAGGAGTGTCTTGGGCTTTCCCATAACACTTGCTAGGGGCAGGCCCTGGTGGTAAACATTATCGTCGAAATGTCCATTTCAAAAATATCCCAGTGTTCTCAAAGAAATGTCTCCAAACAGCTCTGAATGCTCAAGTTCCAGAAGAAATTGCTTCTTCTCCCTTTGGGAGTCTGTATGTTCCTGTTATCAAAGGCACAGACACTGGTACCAAATAGAGGGTTCAAATTTCAGCTCTTTCTCTTACTGGTGTCTGGGCCTTGGACAAAATCCTTACTAGCTCTGAGGCTCCATTTTCTCATTTTTTTTTTTAAATGGAGGGAATTTTATTCCCTACCTTAAAGAGGTTGTTGTGATTGGGATAATGCATGTATTACTCTGAGCACATACCGAGAGCTCCATTAATGAGAGCTGTGATTATGGTGGCTGTTGTAATCAAGAAAGAATCAACCACAATGACAGCAACAAAACCCAAAACACTACAACCCACAAACACAGCACTAATGCAAATACAAACAGCTCCCCTGTGGCTTTTTTCCACGTCTTCTAAATGACACAACTTTGCAGCACCATGGCAAAGGAGCTCTTATCGCGTGCCAAGCACTGAGGTGAAAGCAGGTTGACAACCCATCCCAATGTTAAACCTGAATGTTCCGCTTTGCAGGAACCCTTTCAGTCCTGGACAAATCAGGACAATCAGTCGATCACACAGAGATCTTCAAGTGCATTTATTTAATCCTCACACTAATGTTTCAGGGAATATTTCTATTCCCATTCTACAGTTAAGGAAGTTGGGGCTTAGAGAGAGGCAGTTCTCAAACTCCAATGAGCATAAGAATCACCTTGGATCTTGTTAAAACACAGCGGGTGGGGGCTGGGGCATTGCAAGCAAGCTCCCGAGTGGCATCAGTTGCTGCTAGTCCATGGACCAAGCTTTCAGTAGCAAAGTTCTAGAGGTCAAGTCACATGGCATGCCCAATATCATGCTGCAAGCATCTCTCAGAGTGATGGTTCTGACCCAGGGGTCCTGGTGCCAGGTGACCTCTGTCCATCCCAGGGAGGACTAGGCAATGACATAAGACAGTGTCTGATGTCTAACATTCTCACCACCGTGTGTTTCCTTCAGGTATATCACAGGTATGTCATGCCTGTCAGTCCCCATCGTCTTATCCAGCAAAACACTTTCAGTTATGAGTCAGAACATACTGCATGGGAGTAAAGGAAGAGGGGCCACCCTGGGGTGAACCGCCTCACTCCTGGGAGAGAACTGAAGCCATCCAGGAACGAGAAGAGCACAGAGAGAGAAGGAAGCACCGGTCAGTCCTATGGTGCCCATGGCCATCTGCCAAGCAAAGAAAATGACCCCAGGGTATGCATAGCCACCCTTCTCTGCATGCCAGCGCTGCAGCTCACAAATGTACGCAAGTGGCTGGGTCTCCCTGAGCCTCCATTTTTTTCATCTATAAAATGGACCTGGCAGTTTTCTAATTACCTGGAGGGGAGCTGGGGTATCTGTAACAGGGTAATGAGCAAGAGCTCCATGAACTGAAAGGTAGGGGACTAATGTGGGAGCTCACTGAGGAAATAGGAAACAGCTGCCGCCTCCTCTCTCCCCTCCACCTCCACGGTGCTCCCAGAACACACTGTCCAGGTCTCTATTGTCAATCGTCACCAGGTATTTTAGGTGTCTATTTAAATAGCTGTCTCCATGCAACCAGATTAATGCTAATTCATCTGTACAGTAATAGCACACAGCCCAGCTCCCAGTACATGGGGAGCTGAGAACACATTCAGTGAAGGTATAAGTAAGCAGGTGAATGGATGGACAGACGAATGCATGGATGGATGGACGGACGGATGAATAGATTGGATGGATAGATGGATGAATGGATGGACAGATGGATGGATGGATGGTCAAATAGGACAAATGGATGGACAGGTGGATGGATGGGTGGGTGGATGAATGGATGGGTGGGCAGATGAATGGACAGATGAGTGGATAGATGGATAGGGTAGATGGATGGATGACGGAAGAGAAAAATGAACAGATGGATGGATGGTTGGGAGGATGAATGAATGAATGAATGGATGGATGAATGGATAGACGGACAGATGGATGGATGGGTAGACGGGTGGGTGGATGGATGAATGGAGAGATGGGATAAACAGATGGACAGATGGATGGACAGATGGATGGATGGACAGATAAATGGATGGGTGGTTGGATGGATGGACGGACAGATAAATGGATGGATGGGTGGGTGGGTGGATGGATGGATGGATGGACAGATGAACAGATGGACGGATGGGTGGATGTGACATGAGTTGTGGGTATAAGAGATTGAAGAAATAAACGAACATCCAGTGAGAAAGGCAGTGGCTGAGTTAGTAGCACAGTGATGGGTTAGAGAGGGCAGGGTATAAGTGAGAGCTGGATGAACAGGGGGTGTGAAATGAGGGGGCTCAGAGGTAGAACTGAGTGTCTGCAGTGTGAGAATCCATTGCTACCCAAACTCTCACAATCTGAAGGCAGGAAAGTAATAAACAATTCTGAGGAGGGTTGGGCTGGCATTCTTCACTGTCTGAACCCTTGTTACTTGCTCTCTAGGATTCAGGAACCAAACAGATTCAGGCAAAGTGGATTCCTTCTCTATCAAAACCCAGGAAAGGAATTGATTCCAAAAAGAGCCCATGTCCTTGCTGCTGTCAGAGATGACTGAGGGCTCTTGTGAGCACAGGGACAGACTGTTTCCCTCCCCTAATCTCTAGCCCACTCCCAAGCCCCTTTATGTGTTCTCCTCTCCCAGCTACATATCCTCACCTAAAGCTTTTCCTAGGTATCTTTAGTCTTGCAGGTGGTGTGAGAGGATCCCTAGGGAGCCCTTGGACCTCATGGTTACTTGAGGCCCTAGCCAAGGTAGAAAAAAGAAACTACCAAGGGTCTAGGAGGGAGGAGGTCACCACCCATCAGATGTGGGTACCTGGAGACCCACATCTTATTGCTCCTTCTAGGTATCCAAAGCTCCCAGGAAGCTTTGCAAGCATCATTTTCACCCCTCTCACTTTGCAGAGCCCTACAACTTGAATAGGCTACAATGACAGCCTTCTCTAATGAGGCTACTAAGCAGATAGCAAACAGGACAGCTATAATTGCTTTGCAGGAGCAGAGTCCCAGCCAAATCATGGGAGATGGCTTAGTGCAGTGGAAGGCGCAAGGATTTTGGAATAAGACACATCTAGGTCCAAACCTCAGTTCTTCCACAGGCTACCCGTGTTGCCTTGAGAAACTGGCTCAACCCCTTAAGCCTCCGTGTCCTAGGCTGTAAAACAGGAAAAGCAATTTCCACCAACTTCATAGATCAGATGAGCTCATGTACAGTAGCTGTTTACTGATTATTTATTGCATTCCGATCATTTCTTCCACATTATCTCATTCAGTCTTTAACGAAACCCCATGAAGAAGGTAGTATTAATGTCTAATGTCAAAACTAATTAATTTAAATTTTACTGGATTCCAAAACCCTTGCTCTTCACCACTGACAACGTGCACCTCCCTCCTTATCGGTGCTTAACCTGTGAGCTCCCTTTCCTTTACCTGGTCATTCTCCCATATATTCAGATACCATCTGAAGATCAACCCTTCCCCAGCACAGTGCTTCCTCCATCACCAGCTTCTTCCTCTGGAAGCAATGCATCCACAGCAGAAGAATGCACCCTGAACTAATGCCAGGAGATTTAGCAACCTAATCTGCACTGTTTTCCTGGAGCATAATATTCTGCTCGCAAATCACTCCCCCCACTGAAGCTAACACAATACAGAGCATCCTTTAACTTATGTAAATAAGCATCTTATGGGCATCCGATTTATTCACCTCTCATTGCTTTGGAGACCAGCAGACCAAATACAGAATATCATCTGCCCCTTTAACAGAGCAACGCTAAATTCTCATGGGTGCATTTGTGTTTGTGTTTGTGTATGTGCGCACAGGCGTGCATGTCAAAAAGCTAATATCTGTTTGTTCTCTTCAGCAAGTACTAAGCTGGGCAGCCTGTCCAAGACCCACTTGCAGCTCAAAAGAAGAGGATGAACTAATATGACCAGAGCTCACCATTACAATTAAACTCTGAGCACAAATGGAATTAGGAGCATAAACAAGGGGTGGAAAAGGGAGAGATTTTAACAGAAAAAAATGATGGTTTGTTTTTTTCTCCGAAGTGACATAGAAAAAGAAATTGAATGTCAGCCTCTGAAAAGTGTCCAAATTACTATTTGAAAGGAGAAAAACACAATCAAATAAGGTCCATTTGTGTTCATGCTGAGCCCCAGGGCTTCCTGGCTCCCATCACACTCAGAGCTGGTTGCAGGCGAGAGCCCAAGTCAGCCCATGTGTTCTTCAACCTCAGGTAAGTTTGTCTTCTCCAGTGTTGATGAACACAGAAGGCACTCCTTCCTCAGGGCTCAGAGGACAGAGAAGCCCTGACACTCACTGCCCAGTGACCTCCCAGCCCCCAACGATACCGCTCACCCTTGGGTATTTCATATTTGCTGCAAACTTTGTAGCAACCACGAGAAATAAATAGAAGGCTCTCCTTCACACTTTGTACCTGAGAAAATTAAGGCTGGAAGTGTGGAGGGTTCACTGGCCTCCAAGCCTCACCCAGAAAGAAAGTCATGGAGCCACAGAGCTCAACCCACCCTCAGCATGCTCCAGTAGTGAGAGTTGTGGCCAAAGAAAGCTCAGGGCACCAAGGGAATGCAGAGGAAGGGGACCCACCCAACCCAGCAAGAGAGGGTGAAAGGGTTCCCAGTGACCCCTGAGGTCCTTGTAGATGGAGGGCAACTTGGCACAGGCTGGAAAGGTCTGGAGACAGAGTACAGAGAGGACAGTGTACAAAGACAGTGTGCAGAGACACACAGAATGAAGAACATGGCACCCACTGGGAATGTGAGCAGCTTAGTGCTGAAGAAACACATGCAAAAAAAAAGAAAAAAGAGCCAGAGAAGTGTGTGGCTAGGGGAAGAGGCAGGGCCCGAGGGTAGGTCCATGCCTCTCTGGCTCACAATGAGAAATACCTTTGAATCTGGTTCCATAGTTATCTGTCACCTTTACGTTCCATATAACTCATATGATTTACTTACAATGCTTATTATTAATATTTTCTGTCTGTTCAATGTCCTATTTGATAGAATATAAGCTCCATGAAGTCAGGTATATTCTGTTTGTTCATTGATCCCAAGTACACGTGACAGAGCCTGCCACAGAGAGGAACTCAATGCTTATATCTGTGGGATTGGATTAAAGACATTCAAATAATTATTGAATGAAAGAGAGAAAGTCAGGCAACAAGAAAGTGAGAGAAAAAGGGAAAAAGGAAGAAAAAGAGGGAGGAAGAAAGAGCATGGAAAGGAGGAAGGATGGAGAGACACAGACAGGGAGTGAAAAAAAGAGACAAGGAGTTAATGCTTTCTGGGGTTGACGAGAAGAATCCATGAAAGAATTTTTTAGCAGCGGTGTGACATGAGCAAGTTTTTATCTTCGGGAAGGACCACTTGAGCTTGAGTATGAGGAAGGGCTTGGAGGAGGGAATGAATGAAGGCAGAAAAGCAGGCCCAGAGAAATCTCACTAAAGCAACTCCAGAAAAGAGAGAAAGATCTGAACTAGGATTGCTGCAATACAGATACACAAAAGAGAGGTTCAAGAGATGTTTAGGAGGTACATTCAACTGGTCTTGGCAACTCATGGATCGGATTGGCAGGGAGATTGGGGAGTGAAAGAGGATTGCCAAGTGAATGGTGATGTCACTTACAAAAGTGGAGAACAGGTTAGGGACCCTGCTTTCTTCCTCACAATTGTAGCTCCAGCACCTAGCCTTGTACCTGACATACAGTAGCCACTCTGTAAATGTTTTTTGAATGAATGAGTGAGCAAGGGTGGAAGTGAGTATAGGTAGGGGGACAGAGAAATGCATATGGAATTCAGGTTTAGGTTAGCTGCTTTTGAAACCTCCCTGCAGGGAGTCCACCAAGAAGGTGGATAGGCAGGTCTGAAGATGAGAAAGGGGTCAGGGCTGAGGCTTGAGATTTAGAAGTTGTCTATCTGCTGGGGGCGGTAGTTGTTGACAGCTGTGCATGGCATCCCCTAACAAAAGAAGGAGAGTGTGTGTGGAAAAGAGGCAGAGAAGGAATGTAGGAGAGGTACGAGGAGAAAGCCGGGGAATGCGATAACTTAGAAGCCACGGGAGTAGAGAGCTTGAAGACGAAGGCAGGGGTGAAAGGTGTCTAGTGTCCAGGAAGACAAAGGCTGAAAGGTACTGCTGTGTGGTGCAGTGAGATGTTCACCTGGGACTTTAAGGCAAGTGGAGTAGGTAGAAGCACAACCTCAGAGTGGTCCAGAGGAGTGAAGGAGGCAGAAGTAGTAAAGGGGACAGTGGAGGACGTTCCAACACTTTCCAACTGCCCCATGCTTCTTCTCAAACACAACAGTATTTTAGAGGTATAGAGAAGAATTTCTCTGAATACTGGGATTCAAACTGGGGTCAGGGGGCTCCTCCTCCTGCTTTCTTTTTTCCCCATTCCCCAATGTCCTCTAAGTCAATCCTTCTGTCCTAGACAGAGAAACTTGTGCCAGAAAACACAGGATATCCTAAAATAACTCCCTACATGCTAAAGGAAAACGAAGTGAACATTTTTCCTTTTTAATTCCAAAATCATGCTTGCGATATACCTTCAATGTTGAAGAACAAGATTCCTTAGTTTTTCACCCCGGACATCACCTTTTCCTTACAGAGAAAACGTAAAATCTAAGTGTGTCTTGTTCCCCAGAGAACAAAAAGGAAGTGAAAATTAGATGTGCACATGGTCGGCAGATTGAGATAGACAGATTCCTAGACACTCTCTGGAGTTAAGACGGCTGCTCTTTCCAGCTCACACACATTGCATCATCTTGCTGTTGATGTCTCCTCAAGGATTTGTTCCAACACTCTGATTTGTAAAGGACCCAGAACAGAGCTTATTAAAAACTCAAGACACTATATCTGATGGGGGAGCATCAAGGGGCCATTAAACACTCACCTCATTAATAGCCTGCAGAATGAGTCCTTTTCTAAAGCTCACACAAGATGGTGATTAGACAGTCCTGGCATACAAACCCATCTCTCCATTTTTCAATCCCTTGCCGAGCAAAATTTTCAGGCCACAAATTAGAGGTACCCCTGGCTTAAAACAAAACAAAACAAAAAGGTTGGGATTTTAATGAGCCTTCTGCCTCTAAATAAATCTCTCTACCCGGCACTCAAGTCCTCTCCAGACTTAAATGAAATGCATCGACAAAGCAAGTCATGCAGTGGGATGAATCCAGAATTCAATATGAGTCAAAGTCCTCCTTTCTCCAGGCCAGCGTCCTTTATGTTCATTATGTTGAGTGGTAAGTTTGTACCAAGTGGCGTTAGGCTTACTCCACAGTTATTATGCACATAGTGACTGTGATGATGTGGTTTCCATCACCTGGGATCAGACTGTACTTATTCTACAGACTGTCTGAAGTTGGGGATGAGTTTGGTGTCATCCCCATGGGCAGTCAATAAATCCTTGCAGCCATTTGCCTGAGTCAAGGCGAGGGTTTCACTCTCTCAACAGCCTGAGCTTACCACTACTGCAGTGCTGACCATTCAGTGTCAAATGTCACTGAGGACAAATACCACAAATCACCACATGGCCTGTGGATACCAATGGGATATGTAGTCTTGTCACAGATCACAGCCTCCCCACCTTGCTTTCTCCTCTCTGGATGCAATGACCTCTCGGCCACCTTGTGTCCACCACAGAGACTTTGCTTGTCTTGTTCCAGGTTCCTTGAACTGTTCTTACCTTCTCTGTCCAACTCCTATTCTTCCTTCATTCATTTCTAGATCATCATTTCCTAAGGGATGTCTTCCATACCCTCACGGATTAGGCAAATTTCCGCTCTTCCATGCTCTTTCTTGTATTAGGTTAGTGCAAAAGTAAATTACTGTTACTGCCCCTACCTTTAATGGCAAAAACAGCAATTACTTTTGCACCAACCTAATATTTTCATAGTACTTAATGTGGCTGTTAATCAACATTGATTTATAGACTGCTTTCATGAATGTATGTGTCCACCATTTAAACAAATTGTCCAGAAAGGCAGGGGCTATGTGTGCTGTTTTATTTTGTCTTACTAATCACTATATCTCCAGCACTGTAGAAGCCTAATTCCATTTTTGGTTTTGTTTTGGTTTACTAGTTTACTGGCTTGTTTTGAATGAGGTTAGGCAGCTTGCCTAAGTGCATCAAGGCGAATGAGCTCCCTGTGTCACACAGCATCGAGTAAGTCATTTCTTTCAAACTCTCTCTCACCGCCAGCTTCAACAAACCAGGAAACCCATCAGGCTGTATCACCTTTGGGCAGAAATCCCCAGGGGCTTGGGCATCACGCTGACAAAGTCTCTGCCAGGTGTTAGGTGCTGGTTCCTATCATTGGTTCCATCACCCCTTAAAGCGGCTTGCAACATCCTTGTAAAGTTCTGTTGTTCGGACTCATGATCAAGACACAAAACAATTCTCAGGGGCTTGAATCAGCCCCTCCTAGCTGCTACTGGGTGAACACTGTGATTTGTGACAGGTAATTTAAATGCAACAAGTAGACTTTCTTCAAATGTAGCTGCCACTGAAGTGAGATGTTTGGAAAGAATCCACTGTCCTGTGGGCTTTCTTGTGTTTTCTGTTTTTGTTTCTGTTATTTTCATGTTTTAACTTAAAAAATTTTAAACCTCTACCTATAAGCCACATAATACCCATACTTAAAAAGCAAAGGTGAATAAAAATTCAGATTCTCAGGGGATCTATGCAAGTCCTGGTTTATCACGTATGAGCCGTGTGTCTCAGGAAACTCACTTCATTTCACTGATCTTTAGAGCTTCAGTCTCTTCACAGGAATGACAAATAGTATGAATCTTACCAACTTCTAGAACTGCACAGTGAGCCAGATGTCAATTATCACTTAACTGTGTCTTTAATTAATTCATTCATTTAACCTATTATTTATTCATCTCTGGACCAGGTACAGTGCTGAAGGCTGAGAATCCAGTAGTGAACAAAAACAGCCATGAAACCTGCGCTCAAAGAGCTTATGATCCAGATGGAAAAGACAAATATTAATTAAACAACTACACACGTGTAAAATTGCCATTGAAATTCACATTTTGTAAGAAAAGCTTATGGTGCATTAAGAATGCACAATGGGGGAAACAGAACAATTTAGATGGTTGAAGACTTCTCCAAACAGGAGATGCTGGAGTAGGGGTTATCTAGGCAAAGAGGAGAGGACAGAATGCCTCTTGCAAAGAAGGTGCTTCATATGCAAAGGTACCCAGATAGGAGGCAAGTGTGAGGGTCTTTAAGATAGCCATTGGGGTGAGGGTGAAAGAGACTGGTTCTCTGCTAATAAAATGTATTTGTATTCCTTTGTACCTAAAGAAGAGGCTATTACCTTCCTCTGACCTCTCAGTTGCCCAAGAATCTTTTCACAGTTTCTATCTAATCCCTTTCAATAATTCCCTGGCTGCTAATCAGAGAAAAGGTGTTAATTCCCTTATTAGCATACCTCTGCCTCTCTGTGATCACAAAATGCTCCTAACTTCCTCCACCCTGGGAATGCCCTTGGCTTTCACTCTGGCCCTGTGTGCTATCTCCCTAGGGCTTGTTCTCAGCCAGGGGGACCAGCCTGGCACTCATCTGGTGCCAGCCCCTAATTTTACTCAGGGAAGATTATTTAAGGGAGCTGCCCATGTTCAGGACACACACAGTGGATATAGGATTGAGCTCCAAACACAGGGCTGCTCTCACTGTGGGACACAGCCACTCCCTATCTCATGGACCACCCAAGGAAGAACAAGCTCTTTCACTTCTGCGAGCACTCTTCAGTATTTGGGTCCTGATACTGTGGTACCTTTAATAAACTTTTTTCATGCCTTCCCATGTGAAACCCCAATTCACTTTGAAAGACATTACCAGTAACAATATCACAATCCACAGTTGTTCTCTGCATGCACTGGGTGGCCAGAGTAGTGGAAATAAAGCAAATATAAAACCTAAGAGGCAGCTTCTAATAGGAAGGGAGATTACCCAAATGATGTCATCGCATCATAATTAGCAATAGGGCCAGAATTACCAACCACAGCAAAGCACGTCAAAATGGGGCTATCTCAACTCTTCCTTAATTGGGAAATTTAACAACCGAAAGATGCCCCTCGATGACTCTGAAGGGCTTGGTTTCTCGCATTTCCTGGACCTCTTTGAACCTCACCTGAGAACTCTTCTATAGACTTGGGCAGGTGAACATCACCTGGGCCTCTGCCTGTTGGTTTTCAGCAGGGTTTTCACATTGGTTGCCCCCATGAGCAACACTTGGCCACTGATATGAAGGGCTTCCCCAAAGAACACGGTTGGCTTGTTTTCCATGTTGATTGTGCATGCTTCTCTAGTCTTTCCTCTCAGTTATACCAGGAAAGAGAGATAGTGATAAACTGCTTTAGAATCACAGCTCTGCTATCTCCAAGCTGGGTGACTATGAGGAAGTTGCTTAGCTTCTCTGTGCCTGCCTTCTTCCTCCATAAATGAAGATAACTATAACTTCTGCATAAGCGACTGTGAGGATTAAAATTGGCAATTGATGTAAAAGCATCTGGCATGCAATTAACTTCCAATACATTTAGTTGTTATCATAATTGCCATTAATAACATCCAGCCTGACCTGAACTTACTACTAAATCCATCCTCCTTGAATGCTGACTTGCCACAAAGCCATGGCTCCCTCTTGCTGATGTGGGCAATGTTGGTCTTCTGAGATCATCTTTCTTGGCAAACCAGACCGTGAATTGCCAAATTTACTACTCCTCATGCCCATCAATGACCACACAGACACATGCACACACACACACAGGTTCAACCCCACTTCCATATCTTTAGCAATGGTCTCCTGGGGCTCTGTTCCCACGGATTTTATCTGGCACAGTATGTCTGAGGTGTGACCCAGAAATCCGTATTTTTAAGTAGATTCTGAAGCAAATAGTCTGCAAATTGGTACTAGGACAGACCCCATGGGATGGAAGCACTTTGCCAAAGTGAACTATCAGGAATTACAGAGAGCTGGGGAAAGAATGCTTGCTGTGTATTAGGTTTCAGTTGCATATATTCGTTTGCATACCAGATTGCAAGCAGAGGGCAGAAATTAGAACCTGAATAGCTTCATACCTTACCTCCACCTGTCTCCAAGCCACATATAGTATGTGCTAAATAAACACTAAAGCATAAACTGCCTTAACAGACTAGAAAATCGATACAAGCATGGGCTTGTTCACTGATACATCCCTTGTGCTGGCTGTACAGAAGGTGCCAGTGAATATTTGTTAGATAAATGAATTAATGAATAAATACAGAGGAGTTGGTAGGGAAAAGGCACAAAATGAGCAGAATTGGTGCTAATTTATGTTGAATCAGACAAATGTTCAGCTTATGCCCCAAATTTTTACAACCATCTCCCTTTTAAGTCACTGAACAACTGCTAGGAGCCTCTGAGCCATGCTACCCCAGAATACCCCAGAATACTCATTCCTATTCAAATATTTGGTTTTCAGTGTTACAAGGACAAGTATTCATTTGGACCAGAGAAATAGGCTGGATTTGCACTCATCTGTCACAGTGCCCTGAAATCAGCCTCAAATGATTCACAGCCCTCTTGAAAACATCTCCAATCTCCTAAGAGATAAAAAGCCTCACTCATTTTCCCACCCCTGACCCACCAACCAGCTTCCATCCCTAAACCTAGAGCGAAATTATGATGTTCTGTCTCCTCCTCCTATTTCTATTCCTCATGCCCTGCATGTCTCCCCATAGGAGCTCATAATAGGCTTGTAGGTTCCACCTGATTCTGAAAATCAAGTTATGGCACCGAGGTTTTGGAATCACTTCAATCTATTTGCAGAGTGAGCCTGGTTAGTATTTAAATATGCCACCCAAGCTACCGATGTGCAACGTATCAACTCTTCACCTGGGATGATTTATTCCAGGAGTCGCCGTTCTGACTTAGTACACAGGCTTTCCACTGTGCTAAAGCAAGGAGCCCAAAGAACTAGAGGGCTTGCCAATGGTTTTCTTGTGGTTTTATTCGTGTACTAATTAAAAACATTGGCCAGGCATGGCGGCTCACGCCTGTAATCCTAACACTTTGGGAGGCTGAGGTGGGTATATCACCTGAGGTCAGGAGTTCGAGACCAGCCTGGCCAACATGGTGAAACCCCATCTCTACTAAAAATACAAAAACTACCTGGGCGTGGTGGCGCATGCCTGTGATCCCAGCTACTCAGAGGATGAAGCAACAGAATCGCTTGAACCCGGGAGGCAGAGGTTGCATTGAGCCAAAATCGGGCCACTGCACTCCAGCCTCGGTGACAGAGCGAGATTTCATCTCAAAAAAACAAACAAAAACCATAGCACATACCAGCAAACCTAGAAACTCACTGAAACCACATAATTGAGCAATATTAAAGGCAGAGATGATGTGGCTTCCAGGTTGACACCCAACTATCTGGCCCAGGTAACAGATAGTAGAACCTAGTAGTAAAAAAGGAAAAAAATGAGCTTTGCATATAGGAGGGGCTCAATCAACAATGTCCCATAGTAGGTAATTCATAAATATCAGTTGAATAAATACTGAATGAACTAGATTGCAGACACAGAGTTTATAACAACCTAAGTAGAGATTACATGAAAAAGTTGGATATAATTTTGCATGTATACTTTTATCATAACCTTATTAAATAAACAGATAAAAAACTATACACAGAAAATAATGCAAAAAGATAATACACCCCAAAATACTAAGAGCGACTGTTCTTGGGTTGTAGCATATGGATGCCTTTACATTTTCTTGCTTCTGCTTTTCTGTATTTTTCAAATTTTCCATAATTAGCCTGTTTCTTTTATAAATGAAAAATTAACTGGAAAACGAGGCAGCCTAGGTAGGTAGGGAGAGCATATGCTGTGAAGTCAACCAGACTATCTTTTATTAATTGTATCACTTGTTCCTAACGTGTAATTTTTCTTTTTTATACACTTTATTTTTATTTATGTATTTATTTCAGACAAGGTCTGGCTCTGTTACCCAGGCTGGAGTGCAATGGCATGATCTCAGCTCCCTGCAACCTCTGCCTCCTGGGCTCAAACCATCCTCCCACCTCAACCTCCCAAGTAGCAGGGACTACAGGTGTGTTCCACCACACCTGGATAATTTTTGTATTTTTGGCAGAGATGAGGTTTTGCCAATGTCGTCCAGGCTAGTCTCAAACTCCTGGACTAAAGTGATCCTCCTGCCTCAGTCTCCCAAAGTGCTGGGATTACAGGCATGAGCCACCGCACCCAGCTGTAATTTTCTTAGTCTCAATTTCCTGAGTTATACACTTGAGCTAATAACATTTACCATTCAAGCGAGTTTGTTATTGTTGTTGTCATTTACGTGCAATTTAATGGATGTAAAATACTCAGCACTATAGTACTTGGTATATAGCAAGCATTCAATATATGTATGACTTTAGCACCCAAAAGACTATTAGAAAAGTACAGTACTTATTCACGTACTCGTTTACTTAATGGCTCTTTATTAAGCCTCAACCATGTACCAAGAACTACTATCTCACTGAAGCTGTGGTCCCGGAGGAAGACATTCCAAGTCTGAATCTCTGGTTACCACTCTGATGGAAATACGCAGCTACAACCCAATAGAAGGTCACATGCTCCAGACAGGGAACTCATCTAATGATATGGGGGTGCAGGGGTGGGGGATCACTAGGAGAGTGCAGGAGTAAAGAGGTTTCTACACTTATCCTAACGAATGAACCACAAAAGCATCATGCTGAAGCAAAAGAAGCCAGCCACAAAACAAAGGCATGCTATACAAGCCCATTTATAACAGAACAGAATGGAAATTTTATAAAAGTTCAAGAACAAGCAAAACTAATCTATGATGATTGAATTCAGAATAATGGTTATCTTGGGGTTGGTGAGAAGGGAGCAAATAAGAACTTCATAGGGAACTAGAAATGTTCTATATCTTTGCAATGTATCTATGTAATAAAACTGCACTTGCACCTCTTAAATTTAAACAAAATTTTTGAGATTTTTCGTGAAAACGGCCATACTGCCCAAGGTAATTTATAGATTCAATGCCATCCCCATCAAGCTACCAATGACTTTCTTCACAGAATTGGAAAAAACTACTTTAAAGTTCATATGGAACCAAAAAAGAGCCCACAATGCCAAGTTAATCCTCAGCCAAAAGAACAAAGCTGGAGGCATCACGCTACCTGACTTCAAACTATGCTACAAGGCTACAGTAACCAAAACAGCATGGTACTGGTACCAAAACAGAACAGAACAGAGCCCTCAGAAATAATACCACATATCTACAACTATCTGGTCTTTGACAAACCTGACAAAAAGAAGCAATGGGGAAAGGATTCCCTATTTAATAAATGGTGCTGGGAAAACTGCCTAGCCATATGTAGAAAGCTGAAACTGGATCCCTTCCTTACACCTTATACAAAAATTAATCCAAGATGGATTAAAGACTTATATGTTAGACCTAAAACGATAAAAACCCTAGAAGAAAACCTAGGCAATACCATTCAGGACATAGGCATGGTCAAGGACTTCATATCTAAAACACCAAAAGCAATGGCAACAAAAGCCAAAATTCACAAATGGGATCTAATTAAACTAAAGAGCTTCTGCACAGCAAAAGAAACCACCATCAGAGTGAACAGGCAACCTACAGAATGGGAGAAAATTTTCGCAACCTACTCATCTGACAAAGGGCTAATATCCAGAATCTACAATGAACTCAAACAAATTTACAAGAAAAAAACAAACAACCCCATCAAAAAGTGGGCAAAGGATATGAACAGACACTTCTCAAAACAAGACATTTATGCAGCCAAAAAACACATGAAAAAATGCTCATCATCACTGGCCATCAGAGAAATGCAAATCAAAACCACAATGAGATACCATCTCACACCAGTTAGAATGGCGATCATTAAAAAGTCAGGAAACAACAGGTGCTGGAGAGGATGTGGAGAAATAGGAACATTTTTACACTGTTGGTGGGACTGTAAACTAGTTCAACCATTGTGGAAGTCGGTGTGGAAATCGGTAGATTGCTCAGGGATCTAGAACTAGAAATACCATTTGACCCAGCCATCCCATTACTGAGTATATACCCAAAGGATTATAAATCATGCTGCCATAAAGACACATACACACGTATGTTTACTGCGGCACTATTCACAATAGCAAAGACTTGAAACCAACCCAAATGTCCAACAATGATAGACTGGTTTAAGAAAATGTGGCACATATACACCATGGAATACTATGCAGCCATAAAATAGGATGAGTTCATGTCCTTTGTAGGGGCATGGATGAAGCTGGAAACCATCACTCTCAGCAAACTATCGCAAGGACAAAAAACCAAACACCACATGTTCTCACTCATAGGTGGGAACTGAACAATGAGAACACACGGACACAGGAAAGGGAACATCACACATCGGGGACTGTTGTGGGGTGGGGGGCGGGGAGGGATAGCATTAGGAGATATACCTAATGCTAAATGACGAGTTAATGGGTGCAGCACACCAACATGGCACATGTATACATATGTAACAAACCTGCACATTGTGCACATGTACCCTAAAACTTAAAGTATAATAAAAAAAAATTTTACTCTAAGTTCCAGGATACATGTGTAG
Source organism: Homo sapiens (assembly GCF_000001405.40). Classification (NCBI taxonomy): domain Eukaryota; kingdom Metazoa; phylum Chordata; class Mammalia; order Primates; family Hominidae; genus Homo; species Homo sapiens. Next base: position 9,963,310 of record NC_000016.10, read on the forward strand.
CATGTGCAGGTTTGTTACATAGGTATACACGTGCCATGGTGGTTGGCTGCCCCTATCAATCTGTCATCTATATTTTAAGCCCCGCATGCATTAGGTATTTGTCCTAATGCTCTCCCTCCTCTTGCCCCCCACCCCTGACAGGCCCCAGTGTGTGATGTTCCTCTCCCTATGTTCATGTATTCTCATTGTTCAACTTCCACTTATGAGTGAAAACATGTGGTGTTAAACAATTTTTTAAAAAATGTTCTGCATCTCGATCTGTGTGGTCACAATTGTATATATGTGTAAAAATTCATTGAGCTTTACACTTAAGATTCATGCATTATACTATATGTAAGCTATGCCTCCATAAAGTACCACTGAAACATAAACAAAAGGCTTTTAGATAATTACTACAGGTTTATTAACCTTCAGCCTCTGTATATTTATTGAGAATCTGCTATTCAATAATTCATCCATTCAACAGATATTTACTATATAGCTACTCTGTGCCAGGTACTATTCTAGGCACTGGAGTATAGCAATGATGGACAAACTCCCTGCCTCATGGGGCTTGCATTTTAGAGCTATGTGCCAGACATAGTGCCATGTCCTGGTGGAGGAGAGGAAGTGCTTGTGGTGCAGGAATGAAAGAACTCACAGTCTAGTGGACAGACAGACACAAAGTCACACCGCACCATGCAGTAAGTGCTGTGATAGGGCATGTGGTGTCTTGATGCACAGCAGGAAGGGGCCACGTGGGTTGATTGCAAATTTGGAGAGGGCTCCCAAGAAAACACAACACAGCCTGAGGATGAAGCAGCAGAGATTGCAGGTGACTCTTTGGAGGAGGCAACAGCATCCTTGAAGGCATGTGTGCAAAGGCACTGCCGCATGGACTTGAAGGGAATCGTCAAATATCCAAATGGAGTTTCATACCATGGAGCTTACATGAATTTACAGTACAAGTGTGGCCCTGGAACCAGTGACCCAATCCTGCATCTACCACTTGATAAATATGGGACCTTGCACAATTACTCAGCCTTGAATTCTTCTTCCTGAAAATGTGACCACTGTTAGTGCTTAATTGAGGTTCTTGTGACAATTTAATGGGATCAGCCATGGTGCGTTCATTTTCTATTGCTGCTATGACAAATTACCATCAACTTGGCGGGGGCTTAAATAATCCTCACTTATTGTCTTATACTTCTGTGGTTCTGAAATGTGAAATGGGTCTCGCTGGACTAAAATCAAGGTGTCAGCAGGATTGCTTTCCTTTCCGGAGGCCGTAGGGGAGAATCCACTTCCTTGACTTTTCCACCTTTCAGAGGCTGCCCACATTCCTCGGCTTATGACTCCTTCCTTCATCTTCAAGCCAGCACCACTGCATCTCTCTGACTCTTCCATCTTCACATCTTTCTCTGTCCACATCCTGGAAAAGCTCTTCACTTTTGAGGATTCACAGGATTAAGTTGGTCCCACCTTGCTAATCCAGGATCATCCGAATCTCAAGGTACTAAACCCTGAATCTCACAACTGCAAAGTCCCCTTTACACTATAAGCAACATATTCACAGCATGGACATCTTAGGGAAGCCATTATTCTTCCTATCACACGTGAAATTATTTAGCACAACGTCTGGCTTATAGTGTGTGCTTAATAATTGTCAGGAACTATATTACTATTATTAAATGTGATTCAAGAGTATGAGAAGGAAATGCCAAATCCTCTGGACCAATAAGCATGCAAATATAAACCAAGTTAGGTGTAAATCCTGGGAATACTCAGGTCTCAGGGAACTACTCCAAATGATGTACAAACCTAGAGTTTCCATTTAGGCAAAAGGTTCTAATAAAGTAAGACTTCTTCACTAAATACTATCAGTTGCATACTCACACGCTGGCAGAACAAAGACTGCAGGGTGTTTCAGCATCTCCATACCAACAGCTAGAACAGATTCCTCTCCTAACCCTCTGTGCCGTATCAACCAGCTGGTCTAGTCTGACTCACAAATGGCTACAGCCTGGTGGTAAACGGAACTTTGTTAACCATTTGCAAAAAATTCCAGGCAACTGGGGAGATGGAACAAAAATGCCCCCCAAAGCTGCCTCAATATCATTAAAAGTTGGGCAGTGAGGAAGCCAGGAAATAGAACACAAAGCATGTTGGGCTGAGCTATAGAATAAGAGACTTTTGGGATAGTGAACAAACTCTACCTCCCCTATTTTAAGCAGAAATCACAACCGATTTTGATTCCACTTAATAATTTCCTCGACACTTGAAGAGATGGCAGGCTCCATGAGAGCAAGGATCCTGCCAGGAAGCCAACAGTCCATCTCTGATGTCCAGTCCATGTCTAGCACACAGCTGAGACCCAATAAAATAAAATGTGTGGAATTAAGGAATAAATGAATGGAGAGGAAATCACCCAGGATCACAATCAAGGGTGATATTTACATTCTAAAGCAGGGGTTGACAATCCATGGCTTGTGGACCAAATCCTCCCCACAGCCTCTTTTATATAGCCCCAAAACACAGCCAAGCCCTTTCCTGTATTGTCTGTGGCTGCCTTTGTGCTATAGCAGCAGAATGTGTGGCCTCTTGGTTTGCCAAGCCTAAAATATTGACTATCTGGGCTTTTAAATAAAACACTTGCCAATTGCTGCTTTACAATACTTTCTGGTAGCTTATCAAAATAATCTTGGGATCTTTTAAATATGCAGCACCTTAAGCCCAGAATCTGAATTTTAACTAGTTTCCCAAGGTTCGAGAATCCTTGCACTTATAGAGAATTGATCTGATTTGACAAGCACGAGGGCAGGGTTCTCAACTTTTCTTTTACTTTTAAGTTCAAGGATACACATGCAGATTTGTTACACAGGTAAACTTGTGCCATGGGGGTTTGTTGTACAGGTTATTTCATCACCCAGGTATTAAGCCTAGTGCCTATTAGTTACTTTCCCGACTCTCTTCCTCCTCCCACCCTCCACCCTCTGCAAGGCCCCATTGTGTGTTTTTCCACTCTATGTGTCCATGTGTTCTCATCATTTAGCTCCCACTTTTAAGTAATAATATATGATATTTGGTTATCTGTTCCTGTGTTAGTTTCCTAAGGATAATGGCCTCCAGCTCCATCCATGTCCCTGCACAGGACATGATCTCATCCTTTTCTTATGGCTGCATAGTATTCTGTGGAGTATGTGTACCACATTTTCTTGATCCACTCTATCACTGATGGGCAAATATTTAGGTTGATTCCATATGTTTGCTATTGTGAACAGTCCTGCAAGAACATACACATGCCCGTGTCCTTATAATAGAACGATCTATATTCCTTTCGGTATATACCTGGAAACGGGATTGCTGGGTTGAATATTTCTGTCTTTAGGTCTTCGAGAAATTGCCACATTGTCTTCCACAACAGCTGCACTAATCTACACTCCCACCAACAGTGTATAAGCCTCGATCAGAATCACCCAAAAGGCTTGTTAAAACACAGACTGACAATCCCTGCCCCTCACTTTCTGATTCAGTAGGATGCATATGGGCCTGAGAATGTGCATATTTTGGCCCTATCTCAAGTGATAGTGATGATGCTGGTCCAGAAACCACACTTTGAGAACCACAGCACAAAGGTTACCCAGTGCCCTTCCTTGTTTAATAGTGACTCATTTTCCACACTTCAGCCTTCAGCAGTAGTGAAACATGAGTCACTGTTAAGTTCTCACGATGAAATTCTCACTATTAGTTCAGCACTATTAAGTGACTCATGTTCGACACTTCAGTGGTAGATTCTGTGTTCAGCAGGTCCCACATTTTGAAATTTGGGGTGAATTCTTCCTGCGACTCTGTGGTAATAAAGAATATGAATTATGCTTACAATTGCAAAGATATGGAACAAACCTAAGTGCCCATCAGCCAATGAGTGGATCAAGAAAATGTGGTAGATATACACCACGGAATACTATTCAGTCATAAAAAGGAACAAAATGATGTCTTGCAGCAACTTAGATGAAGCTGGAAGCCATTATTCGAAGCGAAGTAACTCGGGAATGGAAAACCAAATATCGTTATGTTCTCACTTATAAGTGGGAGCTAAGCTATGACGATGCAAAGGTATAAGAATGATACAATGGGCCGGGCACAGTGACTCACGCCTGTAATCCCCGCACTTTGGGAGGCCAAGGCGGGTGGATCACTTGAGGTCAGGAGTTTGAGACCAGCCTGGCTAACGTGGCGAAACCCGTGTCTACTAAAAATACAAAAATTAGCCGGGCGTGCTGGCGTGCGCCTGTAGTCTCAGCTACTTGGGGAGGCTGAGGCAGTAGAATCGCTTGAACCTGGAAGGTGGAGGTTTCAGTGAGCCAAGATCGCACCATTGCACTGCATCCTGGGCGACAGAGCGAGACTCCATCTCAAAAAAAAAATTACATAATGGACTTTGGGGACTTAGGGGTAGGGAAAGTTTGGGAGGGGGTGAGGGATAAAAGACTACAATAGTTAGTAGTCTTAGGTGATGGGTGCACCAAAATCTCAGAAATGACCACTAAACAACTTATCCCTGTAACCAAAAGCACCTGTACCCCAAAAACTATTGAAATAGAAATTAAAAAAATTTTAAAACAGTATGAATTATTAATGCATTAGGAGGCAAAGACAGTGAAATGTCAGAAAGAAAGACACTTATGACTGCGGTTGGAATTCATACAGTGTTTCATTATTTCCAAAGGTAGTCCCCATCTATTATCTCACGTAAACCTCCAGACAACCCAGTGGGTAGGCGTTATTATTGCAACGTGATTCTTACTCCCATTTTGCAGGAAAAAAGGAGGAGGCTGAAAGAGGTTGAAAATAGATACAAGTTAATCTCCCCGACACTCCCCCTATCCATTCAATGACAATCTCTCTAGGCTTTGTATTGCTTCCTTCCTTCTTCTCTCCCCTGCATCTATCATTTCTTTGCCTCTATTGACTTGTATGTATGTATGTATGTATGTATGTATGTATGTATGTATGTATACATGTACGTATGTATGTATTTAGAGATGGAGTTTCGCTCTTATTACCCAGGCTGGAGTGCAATGGTACGATCTTGGCTCACTGCAACTTCCGCCTCCCGGGTTCAAGCAATTCTCCTGCCTCAGCCTCCCAAGTAGCTGGAATTACAGGCATGCGCCACCACACCTGGCTAATTTTGTATTTTTAGTAGATTTGGGGTTTCACCATGTTGGCCAGGATGGTCTCGAACTCCTGACCTCAGGTGATCCACCCACCTCGGCCTCCCAAAGTGCTGGAATTACAGGCATGAGCCACCATACCTGGTCGTATTTATTTTTTTGACAGAGTTTTGCTCTTGTTACCCAGGCGGGAGTGCGGTGGCGTGATCTCGGCTCACTGCAACCCCTGACTCCCGGGTTCAAGAGAGTCTCCTGCTTCAGTCTCCCAAGTAGCTGGGATTATAGGTGGGCACCACCACACCCAGCTAATTTTGTAATTTTAGTAGAGATGGGGTTTCTCCATGTTGGTCAGGCTGGTCTCAAACTCCCAACCTCAGGTGATCCGCCCGCCTCAGCCTTCCAAAGTGCTGGTAATTACAGGTGTGAGCCACTGCGCCCTGCCCTCAAACCACATATATTAAAGTAAAAAGAAAAAGTTGAAATTAATATTAATAATGTATCTTATTCAACTCACTATATTATCATTTTAATGTGCAATCAATATAAAAATTATTATTAATGAGATATTTCACATTCTTTTTTTTCACAGCAAGTCTGAAATTCAGAGTGAATTTAACACATATAGCACATTTCAGGTCACACTAGCCACACTTCAAATGCTCAGTAGACACAGGGAGTCAATGGCCATCCTGTTGCACAAAACAGGTTTCTGTGGTCAAGGTGATCTCCTCGTCCCATGGTCCTTTTTTGAACTTGGTGTTACCGAATCTTTCCTCTACTGACATCACCTCCCTTTTCTCCTTGACACACTCTCCTCCATTGCTGCCTGAAACATCTTTTTCTCCTTGTCCTTCTCTTATATCCCCCTATCATTCCTTCTTAGATGCACACTTTCTTCACTCGCCACTTAATGAGTTAGTGTTCCCCAAGGCTCTGTGTTGCATCCATTGTTCCTCACTGGGTACATCATTTACTTGGACATTTTATCCATCCTTCATGGTTTTAAATATATGCCAATGCCTTCCAAATCCAGATCATTCCACTGGGCTTTGATATTTAAAGAACTGGATGTTCATGGTGCCCCATAAGCCAGTTAAGCTCAGCAGACTCTAAAACTGACCTTGTCATCCACCACCCAAACTTACTCAGTGATACCTCAATCCACAGCCATCCAGATACCCTAGACCAGTGGTTCTCAACATGCAATGACTGTGCTCCACCAGGGGATATTTCGCTATGCCTGGAGATGCATTTAGCTGTCACAGCTAGGAGGCAGGGTATGACTGGCACCCAGTGGGTAAAGACCAGGGTTGCTGCTAAACATCCTACAATGCACAGGAAAGCTCCCTATTCACAAATAATTATCTAGCCCAAAATGTCAAGAATTCCACTGCTGAACAACTCTGCCTTAAAGCCTTAGCTGCATCAGCAGCTCACAGGAGACTCACAGGCACGCCTACTCCCGCACGCCATCTTAGACCTACTGAATTAGAATTCTCTGAAGTGGGGCCTGGGGTTGGTGTTTTAACACACTCTCCGTGTGAATCTTATACACACTACAGTTCAAGAATCACACTCTAGGTAGAGCCAACCTTGACGTCAAAGAAATCTCGAGTTCTTGTTCTGCACCAAGCATTGGGATCCCTAATACAGAAAAAAGCAGCTCAAATTCAATGTTTGAGTAAGCACTTGACTTCAGCCTTCAGGATACAACCTGCTAGGCCTCCAGGTGAATAATTTAACTTGTTTTCTCTTTATTAGCACTATTCCAGAAAAAAATTGACCTGTAAGGTTCATAGTCCAAAGCAACAAGTCTTTAATGTACAATCCTTTTCTTAGCCCTGGAGCTTGGAGATTATTTCTTCAAGTTTAAAGCTAGGAAATAGAGCAGTGTTTTGGTGCATTGCCCACTAGAGAGACTGGAGTAGAGACCAATGCAGGAAAATCCTGAAACCTTTTCATCTTATTAAGCTCAGTTTATATTTTAAAACATATGAAAGAAAGTGCTTTTGAGATATGGAGATAAAGATACGATAGATCTGCTAAGGAAAAGAGGCCTTGAGGATTGTTTAGATTCACTTGGCTGCTGGAGGGCCCTAGAAAGAAGTAAATTAGAGGGGAAATAAATCTGGAATCGAGTTCTTGCTCTGCCTTAACTGACTGTGAATTTAAAAAAAATCATTTTGGTTCAAGAAATATGTATTAAGGATCTCTGATGAGCTAGACACAAAGTTAGGTACTGAAGATAAAATAAATAAAGCAGGCAGAGTCCCCTACCTTAAGAAAATTACAGGCTGGTAAACTCTCAACAGGAGAAATATTGGATATATCAAATATAGTTCCTTCCCCTGAGAAACGCAGACTGGTTGGTGAGACAGACAAATAGATTTTATGATTTCAGAACAATGTAGTAAATGTTAAAGTATTACAGAATGCTATGGAATAATGGAGAGATGAGAGGCTTATTCACCCTGGGAAATAAAGGAAGCCTTTCTGGAGAAGACAAAGAGTTGTGTAGATAGTCATTTGAGAGGCAAGACTGGGGGGAAGGGGAGAGGCTAGAAGGCTATTTCAGGAATTCTATAAAGAGATGATCAAGGCATGAACAAAGGCTATGGGTGACAAATAAGAGCAGACAGTATGAGGTGGGGTGAATTAAGGATGCCCACACTGTTTTCTGTTATTCTTCCCATTGACAGGTGGATTGCTTTATTCTCCTCTTGAATCTGACCAGCACAGTGACTATGTGACCAATAGAAAAGCCTAATTTTCAGTAAAACAGAAGCTTCCACTTCTTCCCTGATATAACAATTTCCCTTGGGTATGTCAACTCAAAACTCAACCACCATGCTTTGTGAAATCCAAGCCACATAAAAAGGTTACATTAGGCAGTGAGCTACGCCCCCAAGCCAATAGCCAGCTCCATCCACTTAGCCATGTCATGAGCCATCTCATACATTTCAGCCCAACTGTGCTCTCAGGGAACTGTAGCCTCAGCTGTTATTACATGCAGCAGAAAAACCACCTAGTAGAGCCCAGTCAACCCACAGAACTGTGACTGACAATAAAATGATTCTTGTTTCTAGCTCCTGTATCTTGTAGCAAGAATATATAAGAATGTAAAACTGCCAATGTCGGGTAAGAAAATGAGATGGCTGAAGATGATGACATGTCAGTCTAACTTTACCATAAAAATTATCTGATCTAGTTTATCTGAAAAATAGTTCCAGCAGTGTAGAAGTTTAAGAAAACAGCAGAAGATAGCCAGAGTTCTGCTTCTGGTATGGTAGGAAATCTCTTAACAGATTCCCTCCCACACCCAAACAGGTAAAAAATTAAAGCTAGAAGGAAAAAAAAAATATACCTGAAGGCTCTGTAGAGTAAAAATAGCCAGTAGATTTCACAGGGACATTGAAACATGGAAGAAGGGCTCATCATAGAGTTCTACATTTTTGCCACCTAGGTCTGACAGCATGCTGCTGTCCCAAAATGGCACCGGGTGGCTCAACATCTAGTGGAAGAGCCAACCTCTTTCTGGCCTGAGGAGGTGGAAGTTAGAGACCTGGAAGTCCACGGCCAGCAGAATATAAAAACCCCAGAAAGAGGAGACTTAGAGAAGGGAATTCTTGGCATGTATATGTAAACTCTGCCCAAGCCTCTGGCCAGTCCTTGAACAAAGGGTGAGTAGACAAGGCTCAAAGTAGTTTGCATTTAAACCCAACAGGACTGAGAACTAAGCCTCCACCTGAGAGACAGATATGGAAATGTAAGTATAACCAGGTTAGTTACCTGCTAAGACACAAATATGAATACTCTTTAAGGAAATATAACCCACAATATAGCATTCACAAAGTGCTAGTACAATTCAAAATTACTTTACATATAAGAAGTAGGGAAATCTGACCCATTCTCAAGCAAAAAAGACTTACTTTACATATAAGAAATAGGGAAATCTGACCCATTCTCAAGGAAAGAAGACAATCAACAGAGGCCAATCCCAATATGATCCAGGTGTTAAAGCAGCTATTCTAACAATACACTTAATGAGGTAAAGGAAAATATGCTCATCACAAAGAAAAAGGTAGGAAGCCTCAGAAGAGGAAAATAAAAAAAAGAACATTTAGAAATGAAAAACAAAATATCTGAAATAAAGAATTTACTGGATAGAACTAACATGAGAATGAAGATGACATAGGCAGGAGTCAGAGAGCTTGAAGATAGATCAATAGAAATGACTTAAGCAGAGGGGCTTTTATAAATTGACAGAGTGAGATCTAACATACATGTGATTAAAGTGTAACCACCCAAGATCACCTTGCCACTGTCTAGACAGAGCCGATTTATCAAGACAGGGGAATTGCAATAGAGAAAGAGTAATTCACACACAGCCAGCTGTGCAGGAGACCAGAGTTTTATTATGACTCAAAATCAGTTTCCCCAAGAATACAGGGATCAGAGTTTTTAAGGATAATTTGGTGGGTAGAGGGCCAGTGATTCAGGAGTTCTGATTGGCTGTCTGGAGATGAAATCACAGGGCGTTAAAATTGTCCTCCTGCTGTGAGTCCGTTCCTGGGTGGGGGCCACAAGGCCAGATGAGCCAGTTTATCAATCTGGGTGGTGCTAACTGATCCATCAGATGAAGGGTCTGCAAAATATCTCAAGTACCGATCTTAGGTTTTACAATAGTGATGTTATCCCCAGGAGCAATTTGGGGAGGTTTAGAGTCTTGCAGCCTTCAACTGCATGACTCCTAAACCATAATTTCTCATCCTCTGGCTTTAGGCAATCCCCAGGCAGGAAGGGTGTTTGTTTTGGGAAAGGGCTAATATCTCTTTGTTTCAAAGTTAAACTATAAACTAAGTTTCTCTGAAGGTTATTTTGGCCTACACCTCCGCCCAGGAAAAACAAGGACAACTTGGAGGTTAGAAGCAAGATGAAGTCACTTAAGTCAGATCTCTTTCACTGCCATGATTTCTCAGTTATAATTTTTGCAAAGGTGGTTTCAAAAGTTCCTACAAGAAAGAGAATGGAGAAGGGGAAAAAATATTGAAGAATAATGGCCAAAAAGAAATTTGGTGAAAGACATAAACTTACAAATTCAAGAAACTCAAAGAACCCCAAATAGGACAAATGTGGAGAAAACCATGCTAGGCACATCACAGTCAAACTGATGAAAATCAAAAGAAAGAAAATCTCAAAATTAGCAAGAGAAAAATAGCACATTATATATAGAGAACAATGATTCAAATTTTTCACAGACTTAAGATTAGAAACTACAGAGTCCAGAAGACAGTGGAATAATGTCTTTATAAGTGCTGGGGGGAAAAAAAACAAATTCTATAATTAGTGAAAATGCCCTTCAAGAATGAAAAAGAATTAAAGACTTTTCAGATAAAATAAAACTAAGAGAATTCATTTCCAGCAGACCAGCCCTTCAAGAAATGCTAAAGGAAGTTATTCAAGCTGATACAAGAGAAAATAATACCAGAAGAAAACTCTAATTCCTTCAGGAATTAATGAAGAGCATTAGAAGCATAAATATCTGGATAAGCATAAAAGACTCTTCTTTTAATTAAAAAAATACATATGCATGTGACTATTTAAAGCACAAATCCTTACATTGCCTCTTAGGGTATTAATGTACAGATGCAATGCATATAACACTATAGCATACAGGATGGTGAGGGTGGAAGAAGAGAGACAGGCCCTCTCACATTGTTTTATACGGTTTTATACTCAGAAAAAGAAAGAGAAGCGAAACTAAAGGCAGTTAGCCTGGTGCCTAGGAACCAGACCCAAAACCAAGGAACCAGACCCGAAATCAGGCCTGGGCCTGCCTGACCTAAGCCTGGTAGTTAAAGATCGACCCCTGACCTAACCGGTTATGTTATCTATAGATTCCAGACATTGTATGGAAAAGCACTGTGAAAATCCCTGTCCTGTTCTGTTTCGTTCTGATTACCGGTGCATGCAGCCCCCAGTCACATACTCCCTGCTTGCTCAATCGATCACGACCCTCTCACGTGGACCCCCTTAGAGTTGTGAGCCCTTAAAAGGGACAGGAATTGCTCAGTCGGGGAGCTCAACTCTTGAGACAGGAGTCTTGCCGATGCTCGCGGCCGAATAAACCTCTTCCTTCTTTAACTCCGTGTCTGAGGAGTTTTGTCTGCGGCTCGTCCTGCTACAAGGGGAATGAGTAGGCCCTATACTGAAAAGTTTCTACATTGTATGTGAAGCAATGCAATACCAACCCTAAGTAGCCTGTGAAAAGCTAAAGATGTTTCATGTGATCCCTAGAGCAATCACTTTAAAAATGCAAATAGAGATAATTTCACTTCTTCCTTTCCAATTTGGAAGCCTTTTATTTCTTTTTCTGGCCTAATTGCTCTGGCTAGGACTTCCAGTACTATGCTGAATAGAAGTGGTGAGATTGAACATCTTTGTCTTGTTCCTGATCATAGAGGAAAAGCTCTCAATTTTCACCACTGAGTATGGTGTTTGTTGTGGGCTTGTTGTATTTGACCTTTATTGGATATACTTCTATCATGAAAACACTCAGAAAACTGGTTATAGAAGGAAATAGTTTAAATTTTATAGGAATTAAAGTATTAAAATTTTTAAATAATTTTCTGCATCTATTAAGATAATTCTGCATCTATTGAGATGAGAGGTATAGATTAAAAGCCAATAAATAAGTTAAAACAAAGTGTGTAAATACTCTAAAAATCCATAAAAAGGCAGATATAATGGGCAAAATGGATCCCCCAAAGATGTCCACACCTTTAACCCTGGAACCTCTGAATGTGTTATGTTACATGAAAAAAGTGATTATGGACCTAAAAACGGAGAGATTATCCTGGTTTATTCCATGGATCCTACTCACAAGTCCCCTGAAAAACAGAGAACTTTCTCCAGCTGGAGTCAGAGAAGTAGCAGAGAAGAAGTCAGAGAGACTCAAAGTGTCAGAAGATCTTCATTCACCATTGCTGGAGGAGCTACATGGAAAGCATGAGAAAGAAGTCTCTAGGAGCAAAGACCAGCCTGCCATCCACAGACTGCAAATAAATGGGAACCTCAGTTCCACAACTCTTCGGTTTGTGAATCATTCGTCACAGCAGCAACAGAAAACTAACAGAGCAGGAAAGGGAGAAGAGAGACATGAAAAACAGAGGGGAAATACAGAAACAACAATAAACATGCCAAACCCAAACACATCGATAACTGCATTAAATGACTGTGGACTAAAAGTTGAAGACTCTCAGAATGGATCAAACAAAAACAAGACCAACTATTCTCTACCTACAAGAGATGTACTTTCAATGTAAAGACGCAGACAGATTCAAAGTAAATTAATGGAAAAAGATACAACACACAACCAGAAAATGTTAGAAGAATGGACCATCTTTATTAGCATCAGATAAAACAGACTTCAAGACAGTATTCCCGGAGGGGCATTTCATAATGAGAAAAGGGTCAATTCATCAGAAAGATATAATAACCATAAATGTGTATGAACTTAATAACAGAACCCCCAAAAATACAGAATGGAACTAAAAGGAAAAATAGACAACTCCACAATCACAGTTTCTCTTCAACTTCCATCACAGATATTTCCCATTATTTATTATTAGTCTATAAACCAACTTTTTAAAATGTAATTAAGCTATTCTAAAGGAAATTTTATAGCTTACATAAATGGGGAGCCTCGTGTCACTTACATAAATAATCACCTTGAACATAAAGCAAACCATATCATTAAATCCTGGCCAGACACCATGGCATGACTACTATGTGAGTCTGTGTTCTTTAACTGGGGCTGTGTACCACCTAAAGCCATCTCATTTACCTGAGGTGATATGCAGCCCCATATTCTGGGAAACACTTATGTAACCTAACTCTCTCACATGTCCAAAGGAGGACAGGACACTAACTGGTCTCCTGTAACCAAACAAGTTGCTGCCAGATCCCGGTGTTCTGATCCTTTGTTGAACGTTCCTTCCTCTGTTCTGTGAGTCTTTTATTAGCATTAAGAGTGGAACCCAAGCCTCCTCTTTAAAGTTGGCGTTTGAAACCCAACAGAAAACTGCAAGCTCCAGGACCCTGAACCAACTGAGACTCAGAAGTGCTGGTGGCATTCAGCATCCAAGAACACTTAGAGCCAAGTTTGTGCTGTCTTTTTAACACGACTAATACCATCAGTGGAATTAATAGAAAAATGAAAGCCGGCACTCTAATTCCAGTAATGAAATCACAGGCGCACAGCTCCCACCTTTAGGAGCCTCACAAATGATGCATGTCCTCTGAAGCCATTCAGCTGGCGTCACTTGTAGATATATCCCTCCGAGGGAAGCCACTATCCATCCGGTGGCCAGCCTGACACCACATCGCGTGACAAATGACATCTGAGAACCAAGTCGTACCAGGCAAAGGCTGCCACATGAGTGGAATACAAAATAGTTTTCTGCATGTGTTCAGTTCACTGCTGTAAATAAGATTCACTGGAGACCTGAAACAGGAGGGCCCAAAATAATTTTGGTTCTGATTCCGACAACAAAGAAAGAGTTGACTCTCCACCTTCTCTAACTGATCATAGTGATTAATCTCTCACCAGCCAGTTTATTACATAGTCCTGCTCAATCTAAAGCTGGCATGCAAGACACCATTTTCAAAAATTAAACAAGCCAGGTGTGGGGACACATGCCTGTAATCCCAGCTACTTGGGAGGCTGAGGCAGGAGGATCGCTTGAGCCCAGGAATCCAAGGCTGCAGTGAGCCATGACTGTGTCACTGCACTCCAGCCTGGGCAACAGAGCAATACTCTTGGAGCAAGGGAGGAAGGGGGGAGGGAGGGAGGACTGACCGGAGTTTGAATCCTGGGTTTATCATTTGCTAATTGAGTGATTTTAGGAAGTTATTTAAGCCTTGAAGTCTCCATTTCCTAATCTGTAAAACTGAAAAAATAGTATTACCTCACCCTAAATGAGATAATTATAATTAAAGTTAATTTCATTGCATGCCATCTGCCAGATACTATGTTAAGCCCTTTATGTGTAGAAATGAAAGGAGAGTTCTGTGCGCACGCTAGGTGCTCTGTATACAGCGTACCACCCACTCCAAAGCTGAGAGTGGAAGGCAGAGCTCAAGCAATCATTAACCACAGCACACGTTCAGGCAGCTTTGCCACTAAATTTTAACCAGTACATATATAAAAGTGTCCCACTCTCCTCCTCATATCCCATATGCACACGTGCACACCCATGTGTGCATGTACTCACATGTGCACACACACACATACACACACACTTCAATTCGGTCGGCTTTTCCTTGGGGAGTAGACTTTGGTGAGTAAATACCTCTCTTAGCTCAATCTCAGCTCCAAGCAAATTGAAAATCTCTACTAATTCACAAAAAAATAAAAATAAAAAAATAAAACTTTTTAATTAGGTCAACCCTGCAGCTTAACAACGAAGATGAAGAAAAAGATCTTGGGCAAGAACAAGACAGCTGTGGTTTGAGAAGAAGGCACTAGACTTGGAGTTAGAACTTGGATGCTGGCTGTGCCATATATTCACTGGATGATTTTGGACACATTCTTCACCTTTCTGAGCCTTTTCTTCCATGCAAAATGAGGCAGTTGGATGTTATACTTCTAAACATGACAATGCTACAGCATAACGAAAGCACCAACTGATAAAGAAAAAGCAATGGGTTGTCAGTTCCCAATGCAAGTTAGAGTTGTGTGTGATTTGGTCTAGAAAGCAAGGGCCACTCACTTTTCAAAGTATCCACGGAGAAGCTATGTGACTCAGGCAAATGCAGTTACAGGGACCTGGCTCAGCCTCTTCCTATCTGTGTGAACTTGGGCAAGTCTTTTCACCTTGCTTACCCTCAGTTTGCTCATTTCGAGAAAGGTGATAATTCCCAGCCTTGCTGGTTTATTGTGATGATTAACATGAGTATGGAAGGTGGTTAGTACTTTGTCTGCTCCTTAGTCCTTCTCCTCCTCCTCCCTATCCTCTTCCTCCTCTCATTCCTCTCCTTCCCCTTCCTCCTCTACTTCCTCCTCTTTCTCCTCCTCCCTTTCCTCCCCATCCTCCTCTTACTCCTCCTTAATGAAGCAAGATCTTCCCTCTGTAAGAACATTACATTTCTTCCACTCCATGACCTGGCTCAAGTTCACTATGAAAATGATCACTGCCAGTAGGAAAATTCCTCCAGAAGGATTTTTATCACATTTCCCTTTGAAGAGGAGCAAGGAATCAACAATTGGCATCCCTTGGAAGATGAAAGCAAGTTCCTCTGTATTCGGAACGGATGTTCCTCTGGAATCAGAGTAATCTCTTAATGGACCCTGATGACATAACGTGGCACGGGCTTCTCGTCTGAAATGGCAGGTTACTCAGCAAGACAGAGGGAGAGAAGCAGATGGATGTGACAGTAAATTCTGCTATGTACCCACAGACACTTCTAAGACATTAAAAAGTAGTGCCCACATTTCCGACTCCCACAACGAAACCTGTGAAGAAATCCTGACGTTGATTTCAGGAGCATGTGGGATCTTGCCTCTCTTACAATGCGGGTCCCTCACTCTGGTTATGCCAAGCACAGCTTAAACTGACCCCTCTGGTTGTGAGAAAGTAAGCCAAGAGGAGACTAAGATTCTAACAGGTTTATTTTATCTACTCAAAAGGAACACTAGATCTGGAGTCTGGTGAAGAAGATTCAAGCTCTCATTCTGTGACTTACTAGCAATGACACAGAGGGTTGCCTCAGTTGCCTTATCTGTGAAATCTAAGGAACAAGGAAGACAGTGCCACATGGTTATTCTGAAGACGAGATCAGCTCCTATCCCTTGGGCCACTCTCCATCTTTCTCATTTTGCTCTACAATAGACCTTGACAGTTTCCTGTCACCAGCTTTTTCCCTCCTCAGTGTCTTCGCACTGTCTGTTCCCTATACCTGGAATGCTTTTTCCTCCGCTGTTCCCATCATCAGGACCTCCTTTTTATCCTTCAGATTTCAGCTTAAACGTCTCATGCTCTGAGAGGCCTTTTCTTGCTAGAGCAGGGTCTTTGTCCATCAGTCTTCACCACAGCTCTGCTTATTACCTCCCCCATAACACTGTCCAAAATCTGTAATTAGTTTTTTCACCTGTGTATTGATGTCTCCCTATACTAGAATCTGGACATGAAAAGACTGTATCCTCATTCTCTAGTACAATGCCAGGCATTTAAGCATTTAATATTCACAGAATGAATGACTGTACTAGAAAACGCTTGGAGGCTATACAGTCCTATATACATATAAGGGACTATGGGACTATATATATATATATATATATATATATGTATATGTATGTATTTATCTAGGACTTATATTCTGTGTGTGTGTGTGTGTGTGTGTGTGTGTGTATGAGATAAAAGTATATATACCCAAGATATTTATATTATATTGAAAATGAAACTATAGACTCTGGTGATATTGGAAAATTCCCCTATATAACTAGGGAATAGTCCAGACATGGTAGCTCAGTCCTGTAATTCCAGCATTTTGGGAAGCCAAGGCAGGCAGATCACTTGATGCCAGGAGTTCAAGACCAGCCTGGCCAACATGGTGAAACCCCCATCTCTACTAACAAAAAAAACAGAAAAAGAAAAATTAGCTGGGCATGGTGGTGCACGCCTGCAGTCACAGCTACTTAGGAGGCTGAGGCACGAGAATTGCTTGAACCCAAGAGGCAGAGGTTGCAGTGAGCCGAGATCACACGACTGCACTCCAGCCTGGACAACAGAGACTGTCTCAAAAAAAAAAAAAGAGAGTGATACCATCTCATACCAGTTAGAATGGCGATCATTAAAAAGTCAGGAAACAACAGGTGCTGGAGAGGATGTGGAGAAATAGGAACACTTTTACACTGTTGGTGGGACTGTAAACTAGTTCAACCATTGTGGAAGTCGGTGTGGCAATTCCTCAGGGATCTACAACTAGAAATACCATTTGACCCAGCCATCCCATTACTGGGTATATACCCAAAGGATTATAAATCATGCTGCTATAAAGACACATGCACATGTATGTTTACTGCGGTACTATTCACAATAGCAAAGACTTGGAACCAACCCAAATGTCCAACAATGATAGACTAGATTAAGAAAATGTGGCACATATACACCATGGAATACTATGCAGCCATAAAACAGGATGAGTTCATGTCCTTTGTAGGGACATGGATGAAGGCTGGAAACCATCATTCTCAGCAAATTATCACAAGGACAAAAGGCCAAACACCACATGTTCTCACTCATAGGTGGGAACTGAACAATGAGAACACATGGACACAGGAAGGGGAACATCACACACCAGGGACTGTTGTGGGGTGGGGGGAGGGGGGAGGGACAGCATTAGGAGATACACCTAATGCTAAATGATGAGTTAATGGGTGCAGCACACCAACATGGCACATGTACACATATGTAACAAACCTGCACGTTGTGCACATGTACCCTAAAACTTAAAGTATAATAATAAAAAATAAAAATAAAATAAATAAATAAAATATTATATTAGGAAAAAAAAAAGAGAGAGAGAGAGAGAATAGTTTCACCCTGTAAAGTCCTTAGAGGAGGAAAAAAAGCAGGCCTGGGCTAAAGGTGCTAAAGAACTACAAGACAGGAAATGCACAAATTACCATTAGAATAAAAACTGAAAATGCCATCCATGCTGTTTGTTGTTCACTTACTGACCAGGAGGATTCCTTCTATGATCTCAAGGCAGCACTGCCATGCTGCTCAGCGCCTCCAATCATGTCTCAAGGTAATTGGGCTGGTAGATGTTTACCTATCTGCAAAGCTTAGTTATGATCCCATTAGGTCATTTCCAGAAAGGTTCACATAAACTTGGGTCACTTTATATTCTTTTTAAACTTGTCATCATGGGAAATGTCAAACATAGAAAACAGAAAAAATAGTATAACAAACCCCCATGTATCCTCCACTCAATTTTAACTATTTTCAATTCGTGACTGATCTTGTTTTGTCCATATTCTTACCAATGTTCTCCTTCCAATGCATTATTTTGAAGTGAACTCCAGATATCATATCATTCATCTGTAAATATTTCAGTATACATCTCTAAAAGTCAAGGACTCCTTTTTACAAATATCATCACAATACCATCATCACACTCAAAATTTACCTTAATCCTTAATATTATCAAGTGTCTGGTCTGTGTTCATATTTCGCTGATTGTTCTATATACTTTTAGAAAAATCGTATTCTTTTGACTTAGAATACACACAAGGTCTATATGATTAATATGGTATTTATTTATGTATTTATTTTTGAGACAGTCTTGCTCTTTTGCCCAGGCTGGAGTGCAGGGGTGTGATCTCTGCTCACTGCAACCTCTGACTCCTGTGCTCAAATGATTCTCCTACCTCAGCCTCCTCAGTAGCTGGGATTACAGACATGTGCCACCATGCCTAGCTAATTTTTGTATTTTTAGTAGAGACGGGGGTTTCGCCATGTTGTCCAGGCAGGTCTGGAACTCCTGGCCTCAAGTGATCTGCCCACCTCAGCCTCCCAAAGTGCTGGGATTACAGGTGTGAGCCCCGCAGCCAGTGTAATTAATATGACTCTTGAGACTCTTTTTATTTCATTGCATTTTTGGTTTTAAAAACTGGGTCTTTTGTTGCAGTTTCCAATAGTCTGGATTTTGCTGATGACATGCCCATGATGTCATCTAACAGGCTTATGCCCCCTCCCATATTTGCTGGCAGTTCAGGCCAGAGGTAGATGCAGATCTCACTTATTTTGCCAGGAATACTTCATAAGTGATGTGTGTACTTTCTTTAAAAAATAAATTTTCTGGTTGTCTTTTGTAACATTAGCAGGCATTGACAATAATTGCCTGGATCCATTAGTTCATTAACGTTTGCAATGTAGGGATATTCCAATTCTACTATTCCTTCTTCATTTATTACCCGGAACTACGCCAAAAAGAGAAATCTTCCTTTGTCAGCTATTTGGCCTGAGGAAGAACTGATACAAGAAGGGCAGAATACAGTAAACGCATGCTTCTTCCCCCATGTATGTTTTCAGAACAATGAATTGGTTCCCTAGCATCCTCCAAGGGTTACCAATTAGTTATCTTTTAAAATATCTTATTATTACAAACTCACGGATTTTATGTATTTCAATGCCCTGCAATTAGTATCTTCATTGATGCCCAAGCTGTTCCATCTTTGGCCAGTTGATTTCAGATTGGCTTCTGAGTCCCTTTGACCTGTAGTCTTTGGTAACTGCTTTGCTCATTGCAGTGACAAGACACTCTAGGAAGGTTTATCTTGTTCATTTCCACCCTACACCTTGAATCACCCACTTTCCCAGTGGTCTCCCTCAGTGGAAAATAATTTAAAAACCAAACTCTAAGTGGAGGAGTACTTAGTTTTACTAGGTTGGTTACTGTTCTAGGATATATGTATTTTAAGTAAAAATACATCATAAGTTCATACTGATACTTTTTAAATTGACATTGTATATTAATATTTATGGGGTACGGTGTGATACTTCAATACATGTATACAATGTGTAATGATCAAGGCAAGGTAATTAGCTTATCCATCACCTCAAACTTGTCATTTCTTGTATTTAGAACATTAAAAAGTCTGCTTTTCTAGCTATTTAAAAATACACAATATATTTTTAACTATGGTCATCCTACAGTGTGATAGAATACTAGAACCTATGCTTCCTGTCTAGCGTAATTTTGTATCCTTTAACCAACCTGTGGCTACACCCTTCCTGGCCTCTAGTAACCACTAATCTACTTTCTACTTCCATGAGATCAATGCTTTGAGCTTCCACATGAAGTGAAAACACGTGATATTTGGTTTTTTGTGCCTGGCTTATTTCATTTAACATAGTGTCCTCCAAGCTCATCCATGTTGCCACGAATGACAAGATGTTGTTATTTATTCTTTTTTTTTTTTTTTGAGATGGAGTCTCGCTTTGTCACCCAGGCTGGAGTGCAGTGGCGTGATCTCAGCTCACTGCAAGCTTCGCCTCCCGGGTTCACACCATTCTCCTGCCTCAGCCTCCCGAGTAGCTAGGACTACAGGCACCCGCCACTATACCCAGCTAATTTTTTGTATTTTTAGTAGAGACGGAGTTTCACTGCGTTAGCCAGGATAGTCTCTATCTCCTCACCTTGTGATCCACCCGCCTTGGCCTCCCAAAGTGCTGGGATTACAGGTGTGAGCCACCGCGCCCAGCCAAGATGTTGTTATTTTAATGGCTGAATAGTATTCCATTGTGTATACATACCACATTTTCTTCATCTGTTAATTCAGTGGTTGATTCAATGTCTTGGCCCCTGTGAATAGTGCTGCAATAAACATGGCAGTGGGTAAAGAATATCTCTTCAACATACTGATTTCCTTTCCTTTGAATATTTACCCAGTAATGGGGTTGCTGGATCATACAGAAGTTCTACTTTTAGTATGAGGAAACTCCATACCGTTTTTCATAATGGCTGTTCTAAATTCCCACCAGCAATGTATACTAGTTCTCTTTCTCCACATCCTTGCCAGTATTTACTTTTTGTATTTTTGATAATATCTTTTCTGAGCTGAGATTATATCTCACTGTGGTTTCGATTTGCATTTTCCTCATGATTAGTGATGTCAAGTATTTTTTTCATAAACTTGTCCATTTGCATATCTTTAAGAGATGTTTATTTAACTCATTTGCCCATTTTTAATCGGATTTTTTTTTTGCTGTTGAGTTCCTTGTATATTCTGCATATTAATCCCTTGTCAGTTGAGTAGTTTGCAAATATTTTCTCTCATTCTGCAGGTTGTCTCTTCACTCTGATTTTTTCCTTTGCTGAGCAGAAGCTTTTACATTTGTCTATTTTTGCTGATGTTACCTGTGCTTTTGAGGTCTTCTCTATAAAAATCTTTTTGCAGACCAATGCCCTGGAGTTTACCCTGTTTTCTTCTAGCAGTTTCACAGTTTTAGGTTTTACACGTCAGTCTTTAACCCATTTTGAGTGTATTTTGTATATGGTGAGAGATAGATGCCTAGTTTCATCCTTCTGCATATGAATATCCACTTTTCCAAGCACCATTTCTGCTGTAGCTGTTGTCCTCAGAATGGTCTGCCTCATTTTCCAGTAGTACCTGATGATGATCTTGAACTTCCCAAACTCTCAGAGGCATCACGAGTAACTTGGTCTTGTCTTTACTTTCTCACACGCAGTTTCTAACACCACATGGGATTTATAGTTGTGATTTTTATCTACATGCTCATTTTAGAATTCATGGGGGCATCCTGTCTCATAATTTTTTGTAGCTATTATCCATTAGTTTTTGGTTTTTTATTACTTTTGTTAGTTTGTCTGTTTTTTGAGGAGTGGGTTCAAAGATATCAAAAACTCTGCTGCTATCTTCCAGATTTCCCTAATAAACGTATCTGCGATATGACACTCCTTCAGCTACAAACACACACATACCAGTATGTTCTCCTTCTCTCACAGACACACTCACATGTGGACACACACTCATGCATGCATGCGTGCACACACACACACACCGAGTAACTTGATTCTCCATGAGACTCTGCCAGAAACTAAACTATTGACAAAAGTTTCCTGATGTGCCCAACTCTCTAGGTGTGCTTCTCAGTTACGTTGGGCCCAAACCTAAAGATGTTAACTTCCTTGTCATCAGTAAGAACAAACCTAATGATGTTATTACAACATCCAGATATGGGGCCAATTATTTATATGTTCATTTTATATGGTCCCGCATTTAGAATAGAATGAAATTTTAATTTATTATTTTGGTTTTTACCTGCCTTTATCATTAGGAAGTGATGTTTATTAGTCAGTGAATTAAGAGGAAAATATCAAGGAGACATCTGCACTCCCATATTTGTTGCAGCACTACTCACAATAGCCAAGATTTGGAATCAACCTAAATGTCAACAGACAAATGGATAAAGAAAATGTGGTACATATACACAATGGAGTACTGTACAGCCATGAAAAAGAATGAGATCCTGTCATTTGCAACAATATGGATGGAACTGGAGGTTAGTATGTTAAATGAAATAAGCCAGGCACAGAAAGCCAAGCTTCATATTCCCACTTATTTGTGAGAGCTAAAAAAAAAAAAATTAAAACAATTGAACTCATGGAGGTAGAGAGTAGAGTGATGGTTACCAGAGGCTAGGAAGGGTAGTTGGGGGATGGTATGAGGTAGTGATGGTTAATGAGTACAAAAATATAGTTAGATAGAGTAAGATCTAATATTTAATAGCACAACAGGGTGACTACAGTCAACAATTTATTGTACATTAAAGAGTAACAGAGTATAATTGGATTGTAACACAAAGAAAGGGTAAATGCTTGAGGTGATGGATACCCCATCTACTCTGATGTGACTATCATGCATTGTATGCTTGTATCGAAGTATCTCATGTACCCCAGAAATACATATGCCTACTTTATACTCACAAAAATTAGAAATAAAAAACATTTTTAACTGATATTTTATAATTATATAAATTCATAGGTACAATATGATGTTTTTATATACATATACAATGGAATGATCACACAACTTTAAAGGAAAAGACAATTACCCAACCTCCTTTGGAAACAGAAATCAACAGCATTGTTCCTTCTGGCTGGGTACCGAGATAAGAAAGGAAATCTGTAGAAAATCCTACAACCAAGGAAAAGAAATATGCTACTACCAAGAAAAAGTGCTTATGGAGAAGTTGTCATAACATGATGAACTGAAATTATGACGTTAGGTGAATAATAAAAGTGAAAACAAAATGTATATACAAGCCAATCATAAAAATATTTGTAAAATAATAAGATTGAAAAACTTCACCAAAGAGTTACAGTTGTGGTGAAATTACAAGTGATCTTTGTCGATTTTATTTTATAGTGTATTTCTGTTTTAACAATGTACAATAACCAAAAGGCTCTTTTAAAGAAATAAAATGGGCCGAGTGCGGTGGCTCACACCTGTAATCCCAGCACCTTGAGGGGCCAAGGTGGGCGGATCATGAGGTCAGGAGTTCGAGACCAGTCTGGTCAACATAGTGAAACCCCGTCTCTACTAAAAAATACAAAAAATTAGCCAGGCGTGCTGGCGGGTGCCTGTAATCCCAGCTACTTGGGAGGCTGAGGCAAGAGAATCACTTAAACTCAGGAGACGGAGGTTGCAATGAGCTGAGATCACGCCATTGCACTCCAACCCAGGCAACAGTGCAAGACGCTGTCTCAAAAAAAAAAAAAAAAAAAAGAAGAAAATGTTTATTTTGTCAGTATTTTATCTTTCAAGATCTAGATATCACCTTTTCCTTCTTCCATAAATACTACAACCTCACATAGGTATTTTCTGTCCTCCAATTGTGTAGAGTGCTAGTAATTCAATAACTTAGCATCAAAATCACCCTAATGAGCTTTTCAGTGTGCATATACCCGAGTTTCCTTCCAGCACCACTGAATCAGAATCTCTGGATATGGTACCCAGGAATCTATATTCTGAACCAGCATACTTGGCATCATTGATGCAGGAGGTCCATAGACTCCAGTAAGAGACATTGTATTAGGGACTCCACTTTTCACTGAGCACATAATTTGATACTTACTGGTATGGCTGTTTGTTATTGCAGAGCATGTCTGGTCCCTGCAACCAGATTACTAATTATGAAAAAACAGAATCTAACCCTAACCCTAACATGGCCCAGACCTCGCTAAATGATTTTAGGCATTAGGCCAATACAGATGGCCTAAAGACTTTTTATATTTCTTCCTTTTATAAAACATTAATTTTGTAGGTGCATATGAAAGCCAACTCACTCCCATTTATAACTCAGAAACTATGGAAGCAAAAAAAATGCAGCTAGAATAATGTTGTTTTCTTTGTATACTGTTAGGCACAGAAGTGGAATTCCACCTATTCACTAAGAATAGTAGCTACCTGATAACATCCAGTTATCCAAATGCAGTAAAATAAATGAGGGCATAAGAAAGCAAACAAATACGCCAAAACATATTTCAAGAGTAGCATACAAAAAATATCTAGTCAGCTCTCCCTTAAGCTAAGGAAATTAAACCAATGACCCCAATAGAAGAAAATTATTAGACATTCAAATTCTGTATATTTGGCTTAAATAAAAGCAAAGAAAGATGGAGAAGGTCTCATTCATGTGAGATCTGTTTACTCTGCACAGCCTATGTCAGAGGTAATGGTCTTAAATAGTTTTAGGAGGATCTAGGTTGAACTCAGATCTGAACCAGGTAGAAACACCCATTCTAAATGGAGAAAATTCCCAAGCATGGAGTCAATTTAATACATTTCGAGAGTTTACTCTACAAAAGCCAACATCTTTCCAGACTTGGGGCAGGAGGTTCTCTCTACCCAGGAGATAAATCCAAAGACTGTACAGCTAATACTTGGACGTGTCTAGCATCATGCTCAGTGGTTTACCTGAATCATCTCTAATTCTCACAGCAACCATTTTGCAGACAAGAAATCTGCAGCTTGTAAAAAATAAGCCCAAGATGCAAACCCTGGTTTTTCTGCCTCCAAAGCCCATATGGCTTCCACAACACCAACCTACCACTTAGACGCAATAGAAGAATACCAGATCTCAAGAGAAGTAGGAGCCTGCATCACTACAGTTGATGTCAGGGGCAGGAATCAAGAGTGAAGAAAAGGAGATGTCAAGATGTCTGGGGAGTGTGTCTCTCCTGAACACTGAAGGAAAGAGATCCATAGGGGTGTGTGTGTGTGTGCGTGTGTGTGTGTGTGTGTGTGTGTGACACAGAAAGAGGTCTTACAAACACACATTTTTAAATTTTTAATACATAAAAACAGTGGACAAATTATACCACTCAATTTTCTACAATTTGAACACATCCATACAACCATTTTCCAAAATCAAGCTTCAAGATACAGAACACCAGAAACCTTCCTCCAGCTCCCCCAAGTCTATATCAAATCCCCACCATGGTTGTCCAGCCATCTCTCTCCTTCTCTGTGTGTACCAATTAATCTCTCTCTCTCTCTCTCTCTAACACAAACACACATTTTTAGCAAAGACAATGAATATTCAAAGAGCATCTTCCATATGCCAGGCTGAGTGATAGGTGCCTTAAACAATATCATCTTCACAACAACCCTCTCAAGAAGCCATTATTATCTCCATTATGAGGAACAGGGAATTTAAATAACTTCCCCAGGTTGAGATGGTTAGAACCAAGCCAAGATATGATTAATCTCAAATAAGACTAACTATCGGCCCAGGTTCTTTCCACAATACTGCAGGTCCCTCCATGCTCCCACTTTTGATGGAATGTAGCCCAAGATCCCCCAGAACAGAACCATGATAACCAGACAGGAGGAGGGTCCTACAACTAACTCTCATTTTCCCTTCAAGCCAATATTGAAGACTTGATATCTTGGTCCATTATTCTGTCCAAATAAGGAAAGGAAACAATGTTGAATCTTGATACGTGACCTGATAAGACTTTGGTGCTCTCTGAACATCCATCTTCTTTGCCTCAAAATAAAAAATATAGGGTTGATGAATGGGCAAGGCAATCCTAAGCAAAAAGAATAAAGCCAAAGCCATCACATTACCTAACTTCAAACTATACTACAATGCTACAGTAACCCAAACAGCATGGTACTGGTAAAAGACACATAGACCAATGAAACAGAATACAGACCCCCTAAAATAAAGCTGCACACCTACAACCAACTGATCTTTGACAAAGTCAACAAAAATAAGCAATGAGGAAAGAACCCCCATCCAATAAATGGTGCTGGGAAAACTGGCTATCCATATGCAAAAGGCTAAATCTGGACCCCTATCTTTTACTATATACAAAAATTAACCCAAGATGGATTAAAGACTTAAATGTAAGACCTCAAACTATAAAAAAATCCTAGAAGAAACCTAGGAAATACTGTTCTGGACATTAGCCTAGGCAAATAATTTATGACTAAGTCCTCAAAAGCAAATGCAACAAAAAAAAATTGACAATCGGAATCTAGTTAAACTAAAGGTCTTCTGCACTGCAAAAGAAACTATCAATACACTAAATAGACAACCTACAGAATGGGGGAAAATATTTGCAAACTAGGTATCCAACAAAGGGCTAATATTCAGAAGCTATAAGGAACTTAAATCAAGAAAAAAAACAAATAACTCCATTAAAATCAGGCAAAGGACATGAGCAGACACTTCTCAAAAGAAGACATACATACAGTGGTCAGCAAACATGAAAAAATGCTCAGCATCATTAATCATAAGAGAAAAGCAAATCAAAACTACAGTGAGATACCATCTCACTCCAGTCAGAATGGCTATTATTAAAGAATCAGAAATAACAAATGTTGGCAAGGTTGCAGAGAAAAGGGATATTTATACACTGCTGGTGGGAATATAAATTAGTTCAGCCCCAGTGGAAAGTAGTTTGGAGATTTCTCAAAGAACTAAAAATAGAATTACCATTCTACCCAGCAATCCCATCACTGGGTATATGCCCAAAGGAAAATAAATGGTTCCACCAAAAATCCCCTGCACTCATATGTTTATCACAGCACTATTTACAATAGCAAAGACATAGCATCAACCCACATGCCCATCAACAATGGAATGGATAAAGAAAATGTGATATATATACACTATGGAATGCTACACAGCCATAAAAAAGAGTGAAATCATGTCCTTTCCAGCAGTATGGATGCAGCTGAAGGCCATTATCCTAAGTGGGTTAACAAGGGAACAGAAATCCAAGTAACACATGTTCTCACTAATAAGTAGGAACTAAAATTGGGTGCTCATGGACATAAAGATGGGAACAATAGACATTGGGGATCCCAAAAGGGAGGAGGGAGGGAGGGGGTCAAGGGTTGAAAAACTACCTATCAGGTAGTGCATTCACTACACTACTTGGGCAACAGGAACATTAGAGGCTCAAACTTCAGCATTACATAATATGTCTATGTAACAAACCTGCACACGCACCCCCTGAATCTCTCTCTCTACACGCGCGCGCGCGCGCGCGCACACACACACACACACACACACACACACACACACGGTTGATGGAAAATGAATGCTGCCTCTAGATACTGACTCAACAGTCTCAACTATGTTCTTACATTGGCATTTTTTTTTTTCACCTGTCTCCTTCTCAAAAGGTCAAGAGCAGGAGAAATTTCGCCTAACAGAGTTTGTAAGGTAGGTTTTGGATAATACTATTTTCTTATTTTAAGAAATAACTTGGGCTAGGTGCGGTGGCTCACGCCTGTAATCCAAGCACTTTGGGAGGCCGAGGCAGGTGGATCACCTGAAGTCAGGAGTTTGAGACCAGCCTGGCCAACATGGTGAAACCTCCTCTCTACTAAAAATACAAAAGTTAGCCAGGCATGGTTGCGGGTACCTGTAATCCCAGCTACTCAGGAGGCTGAGGCAGGAGAATGGCTTGAGCCTGGGAGGCAGAGGTTGCAGTGAGCTGAGATCACGCCACTACACTCCAGCCTGGGTGACAGGGTGAGACTCTGTCTCAAAAAAAGAAAAAAAAAGAAATAACTTGATAATTCTAAGATGCCGATGTCCTCATTAAAAGGAAAATGGAAAAAGGCAAATGCCTGGTATTTCTTAATGAAACACTACACTCAGCACATTATAGGAGTTATCAGATTTAATGCTTCCAACGACTTAATATCAGGTAGTATTATTAACTCCATTTGCAAAGAAGGGATCCAAGTCCTAGATAGAGGAAATGGCATCCCCAAGGTGGAGAACCAGTTCAATCTTGGTCCTCTGGCTCCAGGGTTCAGCTCTGAATTAGTAAGTGGTCCTACAGGTAAAATAAATGATATGATTTCAAGTTGCAATCATGGTTCTTTTAAAAATAGATTTAAGGGATACAACTGCATTTTTGTTATATGGATATATTGTGTAGTGGTGAAGTCTTGGCTTTTAGTGTAGCTGTCACTCAAAAGTGTCTATTGTACCCATTAAATAACTTCTCATTCTTCACCTCCTCCCATTCCCCTCACCTTCGAGTCTCCAGTGTCTATTATGCCACCCTCTGTGTCCATGTGTATACATTATTTAGCTCCCACTTATAAGTGAGAACATGTCACATTTGACTGTTTTGGAGTTGCTGCACTTAAGGGCCTCAACACATATACACCATGGAATACTATGCAGCCATAAAAAAGAACAAGTTCATGTCCTTCGCAGAGACATGGATGAAGCTGGAAACCATCATTCTCAGCAAACTAACATAGGAACATAAAGCCAAACACCACATGTTCTTACTCATAAGTGGGAGTTGAACAATGAGAATACATGGACACAGTGAGGGGAAGATCACACACCAGGGCCTGTCAGGGGGTAGTGGGCAAGGGGAGGGATAGCATTAGGACAAATGCCTAATGCATGCGGGGCTTAAAACCTAGATGATGGGTTGATGGGTGCAGCAAACCACCATGGCACATGTATACCTATGTAACAAAACTGCACGTTCTGCACATGTATCCCAGAACTTAAAGTATAATAATTAAAAACAAAAAAGATAAGGACGTCAAGTTCCCTCCATGTTGCTTCGAAAGACATGATGTAATTACCTTTTATGGCTCAGTAGTATTCCATGGTATGTTTATATCATTTTCTTTATCCAATGATCCGTTCATGGACACTTGAAAAGATAGGGAATCAATCCAAGTTGCAATCCTGGTTCTTAATAAGAAGCCTTCTCAGAGGATAAGCTAGTTTATAGAGGAAGCTGGATGAGGTAAAGAGGAGGCTTTATAAGTCTATTGTCTCTCAAGCTGATGTTCCCATGTGAAGATGGAACAGGGAAGACAGATTCTATTTGCTCAGCAGAAAAGGCCAACTTCACTCTCAGCCAGTTGTTCACAAACAGCAAATTGTTTCTGCCCTATTTCTTTGTACCATCAAAGAAAAGAAACAGGCCAATATATTTCTCAGTTCCCAAAGTTAAGGAGAAGGTGTCCGTGGTGAAAATAACCCGCCTCGTTTTAGCTCCTTCCACCGGAGGCAAGGAACAGGACCAACTAACATGTTTTCTGAAACGAATGCTCTGGATATTTGCTGATGGGGCAGGTTATAAATTGTTCTTGAATTTATGCAGAGGCTCACTTTGCATCAACCAGGGCTAATAAATCAGGATGCAGAGAAATCAAGGCAGCTGTGCAAAATACAGTTCACATGGAAGTGTGGACAGTGGACAAATCTGACACAGAGAGACAATACTCGGCTATGTAAATCGGTGCATAACATAAAGCACAATGTGCATACTACCTGGGACTGAAATTATCTCCTTCTCAGTCTTGCTTCCAACACTACCCGTTCCTGCCATAATAATGATAAACTCTCATATCTAAAAAATAAGATAAAATAAGGCCGGTGGCGGTGGCTCACGCCTGTAATCCCAGCGCTTTGGGAGGCCAAGGTGGATGGATCACTTGAGGTCAGGAGTTCAAGACCAACCTGGCAAACATGGCAAAACCTCATCTCTACCAAAAATACAAAAAAAAACCCCAAAAAATTAGCCAGGTATGGTGGTGCACGTCTGTAGTCCCAGCTACTCCTCGGGAGGCTGAGGCCCAAGAATCATTTGAACCCTAGAGGCAGAGGTTGCAGTGAGCCGAGATCTCTCCACTGCACTCCAGCCTCGGCTACACAGCAAGACTCTGTCTCAAAAATAAATAAATAAGTAAAAATAAATAAAATAAGGTTGGATATGGGGGTTCATGCCTGAAATCACACTGTTTTGGGAGGCTGAGGCAGGAGGATTATTTGAAGCCAGGAGTTCGAGACTAGTCTAGGCAACATAGTGAAACCCCATCTCTACAAAAAAATTTTTAAAAAGAAATAGCAGAGTATGGTGGCCTGCACCTGTAATCCTACCTACTTGGAAGGCAGAGGCAGGAGGATCACTGTAGCCCAGGAACTCAAGGCTGCAGTAAGCTACGATCATGACACTGCACTCCAGCCTGGGTGACACGAAGTGAGAACCCATCACTAAAATAAAATAAATAATAAATAAATCTGTTTTATTTTGTTTTCCCTAAAAATTGAGGCTCTTCCATTTTAAATCTCTCCTGTGCAATGGGCATGCTTCCCTCCTACATTGCAGGTTGGGAAACAAAGACACAGAGGAAATGGGTGGCTTGCCCAAAGTCACCCAAAAACTCTGTCAGAGAGAGAACTCAGACTAAAACCTAAATCTGCCCCTAACTCCAACCCCCATTCGTAAAGACCCCAGTCTCCAAGTCAACAGAGGCAAGAGATCCCAGGTCCATCATGAGTCAGGACAGGCGGCTCATGTGGGGAAAAGGATGCATTCTTTGTTTTTGCTCCTGGCTCAGATTTCGGACACATCATTGTAATCCTCTGGTCTTCTGTTGCACCATCATGTCTTCTTACTTGCAAAGAGTAGTCTGATATTCTACAGGAATTGCAGATGGAAAGTTTATTTTTGAACATTCTGTAGTGAGGCAAGGGAAGAAGAAATCCATCACATGGAATATCACCCTCCATGTTATCATCTTACATCTTTGGCACAAACGCTCGGAAGTAAAGGTAATAGTGTGAAATACCTCCTTTCTCACTTAAAAATGGAATGAATGATCTAGATCTTCAACAATAGGCTCATTTTTCCAATTTCCAACGCGAACTGCTGAAGAGGGCCCTGCACCTGTCAGAATGCAAAGCCCATTTGTCAGTTCCTGGATAGTTTCTTTCAGCTATTTCAAGGGGTGACCTGGGTTACTTCCCCCATCTTCTCTGTACTCAGGCCTTGTAGCTCCTTCTCTCTAAGGCAATAAAGTAAACTGTCATTGTTCCAGAGAATGTGGAGCCCTCCTCGTCCCCAGGTGGGAGGTGAAATGAGAGAGTCTCAGCAATGGGATCCCATCAATTAGGAGGAAAGCATTCTCTTCACTAAGTTCTGCCCTGAGGATTGACGTCCCCGAGATGTTAACCTCTGTGTGTCAATGAAGCAGGGAAACTGGACAGTTGGTTCACTTTTCTAAATGCAGGAGCAAGATGAGGGAAATTATTGATTTGTATCAAAACAGACAAGAAGCAAATAGAAGAGAAGACCATGGGCAGGGAAGGGTTTGAATACAAATGGAAACCACCAGGCATAGCATTGGGAGCTTCTGAACTAAGTTTCAGGTCAGAGGTACCTGCGTCACCACAGCATGGAAAAACGTAAGGGAGAATTCTTGGCTCACCATCTCCATTGGAACTCCTTTACCCTGAAAGTGCTTTTTCCAGTGTCTCCTGTTGCTATGGTAATTAGAGGTATTCCTGGCTGGGATCTTGATGATGGTGAATAAGCAAACAAACATACAACCTCATTTCATCTGGTTTTAAGGGTTAACAAGCAAATAAATGCAAGCTAAGGTGATAGGGTATGACAAGGGAGGGGAGGGGCTCTTGGAGACTGACTCGGTCAAACAGACACCTGAAAAGTCCAGGGACGAGCTGAAGAATCCCCTGAGACTGGGAGAAAGGAAGACTGTTGGTCCTTGGTTTCATCAAATTCTTCAATGTATTTCCTCCTATCATCCCCTTAAGGTTAAGAGTATCTGCAAGAGAGAATGGTTAGAGAAGGCCACTCTGAGGAAGCAGCATCTGAGCTGAGGCCTGAATTATAAGAAATCAGCCCCCTGGAGACTGCAGAGGGTTTGGAAAAGGGAAGAGGGAAAGCAAGGCTAAGCCCATCTAAGACACAAAGAGGTCAAACAGCACAAGCCAGATGTGGTCAAGAGAATCTGGGGGACAAACAAAAGAAGAGACATTTTTAAGCAGGTTCATGGAGGGGATAGATGACGAATTAGGATTTTTAAATGGATTTCTAAGCATTAATCCCCTCAGGTTTAATAAAGACAAGAAGGTTGTTGCTGTTGTTGTCGTTGGTGGTGGTGGTGGTGTTTTGGTCAAGATATTGTGAAGAAGACCAGCCCTTTCAGGCTACAGTAACACAACTTCCAAGGAGGGCTTGGGTACAAGTGAGCAAAGGAAGGAGGGGTCCAAACCAGTCTATTCACTCCCAGTCATAATGAAACTTCCCCAAACACATAAATCACCCAAGGTCCCAGTCATCTAATAACACCTCTGATCTCCCAGTGTATGCTATGCTTATAATGTTTGTGATTCTTGCACTTACATTTTCCAAAGCCCTCATCCCCTTTCCTTTGAGTGGGTCCCCCTATATCCTCAGTATGCTTTTTCAATGCAAGGGATAAATGACCCCCTTAACACTAGCTTCCATTTAAAGAGGGGATAGAGAAGTAAGGCTTATGGGATCTATGTGGGATCATCAATGAGTCTAAGATAATAACAGAGGGATTTGCAGGGAGGTAGAGAAATAAACTAGGAGAGCTAGAAGGGCATTGACCAAGAGTGAGCAAAGAGGTAAAACAATAGATCAAGGAAGAAAAGGAATAGGAGGAATAAAAAGAAAGCAGGCAGAGGGTGGCAAAAAAAAAAAAAAAAAAAAAAAAAAAAGAAAGAAAGAAGTAAGAGGGAAGAGAACAGAAGGAAACAGAGAAAGGAGGATTTGGAAAGTAAAGAAACTAAGGAGAAAGAAGTATGGAAATAAAATAATAAAAGAATGGGATAAGTTGAATGTCAGAAAGAGAAGATGCGAGCCAACCAAGAAAATGACAGAGTTACGTAGGGTGGAAGGGCATCTCCAACAATTACCCCAACCTGCATCATAACCTGCCTCTTTCACCTTCCAGAGGGAGCAGACCTCATTCTCTTCTACCACATTGCATTGCGTGAAACCACTGCTGACACTCCCTCCCACGATGCAGGCTCCCTGGGCTCCCCTGAGCAGCTATTCTTTCAGACTCAGGCACGCATGAAAATTGAGTTCAGCTAAATGCAAACTGAACTCCAGAAGACCTGCTCCTACCCATCACTGTAATCGTTAAGGGAGAAAATTAATTGCCTGAGGCCAGAGTGTCGAAATCCAACTAGACATCTCCTCCCAAGTGACCTGTCCCTGAGCAGATTGTGGTGGGCACACCTGTAAGTAATATTCCAACTTCATTTGTCTACACATAATTTCCCTTGTCAGGATTTATAATCATATACACATAGCTGTTGTGGTTTTTATGGAGTTTCTGTCTTTCCCAATACACCATAAGCTCCACCAATGGGAAGAGGCTATACCTATTTTTTAACACTACAGCACCTAGCACATAGACTAATCACTCATCAAAAATTCTCAATGATGGAGAGATGAATAGGGGTGGGGATTTCAAACCAGGACTCACAGTTCTTAACAAAGAAAACAGAATAAAAATAAAATGTTCATTTTTCTGGTCTGATTCCTCTAACACCAGGTGTTTTTTTAAATCATAAAATTATCTCTCACATATTAAGTAGCTAATTGCTATGACATTTCAAACAAAAAAACGCCAACCTTTACACAACTTAAGTCATGCTCTTTCGTTCCTTTAAGGAAACCATGATTTTTTTCATCATCACCAGCCCAAAAATGTATCATCCTGACAACACAGAAGAAAAAACAACTTGATTAATCTTGGAAAATTTCCTCCAAAATCGAAACACTGATTGCTGAGTTAAAACTCAAAACAGGAGCTCTGTCCTGAACTGGCCTGTAGACTTTCTAACACTGGAACAAACCAGTAATCACTAGTGTTGGAGATGCTATAATTGAAGTCAGCTTATGACAACAGGGAAAAGGCTGAGTCTAAAAGCTCTCACCATTCAACACTCCCCACTCCCAATGTTCCCACTCCAAATGGTACAGTAATGGTGTGATGATAGGTCCATCCAGATTCTATCCCGGGGGATCTCTTCCTGTGTGTAGCCTTCCCCCTACACTTTTTCTTGGTATCATTGATCTCCTTCTGTTTTTCCTTTCTTTTCATGTTTTCTTTCAATTTGATTCATTTATATACACATATGAATATATTCTCCTTTGATAAATCCAAACATTAAGAGACAAAGCTAAAGCCCTCTTGACTGCCATCCCTAATCTCAACTCATCCCCAACATCGACCATTCTTGTGTTACATGTTTGTTGTGTATCCACTCAAACCTCTGTCTATGCATTGATGTGCTAATATGGTCTGGCTGTGTCCCCACCCAAATTTCATCTTGAATCATAGCTCCCATAATCCCACATGTCATGGGAGGGACCCAGTGGGAGGTAAGTGAATCATGGAGGTGGGTTTTTCCTGTGCTATTCTCATGATAGTGAATAAGTCTCACAAGATCTGATGGTTTTATAAAGGGCAGTTCCCTTGCACATGCTCTCTTGCCTGCCACCATGTAAGACATGCCTTTGTTCCTGCTTTACCTTCCACCATGATTGTGAGGCCTCCCCAGCCATGTGGAAATGTGAGTCCATTAAACCTCTTTTTCTTTGTAAATTACCCAGTCTTGGGTATTTCTTCATAGCAGTATGAAAATAGACTAATACATGTACCTACTACATTTATTTATAGAATTATAACACCTCATTCCATAACTTTTTACACAAATAATAGGTTATGCTTTTTGTTCTATAACTGTCTGTTTTTACCCAAAAACATGTCTTGGAGACCTCTCCATACCAGTATGAGGCTCTACTTTATTCTACTAGATGAATCTTTCCCATGGTGCTCATGTGTCATGGGTTAGCCATGGCACTGCGATTGATATTTAGTCCATATCTGTTGTTATATAAGAGTGGCATGAACCTCGAAAACGTCATGATAAACGACAGGAGCCAGGCATAACACTGTATGATTCCATTCACATAAAATGTCCAGAATAGGCAAATCCATAGAGACAGAAATTAGATTATTGGTTGCCAGGGAGCTGGAAGGATGGGGCATGTTGTGTGAATACTTAATAGATACAGAATTTTCATTTGGAGTCATGAAAATGTTTTGGAAGTAGAGATCGAAGGTCCTTGCACAACATTGTGAATGTACTTAATGTCACTGAATTGTACTCTTTAAAATGGTTAAAATAGTAAACTCTATGTTATGGGCACTTTACTGCAATAAAAAACATAGAACTGCCAGATCACAAAGTATGCTCTTTAAATTTTTATAAAAATTGGCAAATTGCCTTGCAAAATCTTACTCCCTTTATGTTTTTGTATTACTGTATATATCTCTATGTATCTTTCTCAACTAATTTCAGAATCAGTCTCACTCTTCTCTCTCTCTCTCCTTCTCCCTCCCTCCTTTTCTCTCCCCCTTGCCTTCCTCTCCAACTCTCTAACAGTTCTGACAATAGTCACAAATACTCCTCCTCCCCCTCCTGCAAAAACTTTTCAGGTCATGTATCAGTTTCAATTACATGCATTGCTTTCTCCTTCAGGACTTCCTGGATGGCTTGCTGAGGGACATAAACATCCTAGGGGTGCGGGTAGGGGGTGTGGAATATACAAAGAATCCTTATTTCTTTAGTCAGCTCAGAGCCAATGGAAGCATTACATCAGCAGAACAAACAATATTAAATTAGAGGTTCCAACAACTCACAATTCCTATTATACAAGTGTAGTATTTTCCTCCAAACAGCACAGAAACTTACACTGAAAGCAGCTTCCCAGGCACCTGCTGGCCCAAGAAGGATGTTCTTATGTCAAAGAGTTTCCAGCTATATTAGAGAGGTAGTAGAGTCAGTGGTTAAGAATCCAAGTTCTGGTATCAGACTGCCTGGGTTCAAATCCTGACTCAACTGCTTAACTCAAGAAGTGACCTTGGCATATTAAACTTACCACTCTAAACAGCATTTTGTAATCTCTAAAATGAAGGATTGATAAGAATCAAGCTGTCCATCAATGAGACTGGATAAAGAAAATGTGGCACATATACACTATGGAATACTATGCAGCCATAAAAAAGGATGAGTTCATGTCTTTTGTAGGGACATGGATGAAGCTAGAAACCATCATTCTCAGCAAACTAACACAAGAACAGAAAACCAAACACTGCATGTTCTCACTCATAAGTGGGAGTTGAACAATTAGAACACATGGACACAGAAAGGGGAACATCACACACTGGGCCTGTCAGGGGTTGGGGGCTAGGGGAGGGATAGCATTAGGAGAAACACCTAATGTAGGTGACAGGTTGATGAGCGCAGCAGACCACCATCACATGGGCATACCTCTTTAACAAAACTGCACATTCTGCACATGTACCCCAGAACTGAAAGTATATATATAAAAAAGAAAAGAATCAAGCAAGATACGGAGGCTAATCACTGATCACAGGCTCTCACACAGGGGGTATTAGTTTCCATTTGCTGTTGTAACAAATTCCACAAGCACAACGACTTAGAATAACACACAATTATTATTCTGCAATTCTGAGGTCATAAATTCTAAATGGGCTCACTAGGCTAAAAATCAAAGTATGGACAAAGCTGTGTTCCTCCAGAACTCTAGGAAAGATTCCATGTCTTTGCCTTTCCAGGTTCCAGGGAGTTCCTGCATTCCTCCCCTGAGCACCCTCATTATTCCACCTCTGTTTCCTCTACCTTCACTATACATCTCCTCCTCTGACTCTCTCCCTCCTGCCTCCTTTCTTCCCTTATAAGGACCCAGTATTATTACACTGGGTTGACCTGAATAGTCCAGGATAATCTCCCCATTTCAAGAGCCTTAACTTAATCACAGTTGTAAAATCTCTTTTGCCAAATTAGGCAACACATCCACTGGTTCCAAGCATTAGGGCATGGACACATTTGGTGAGTCCTTCTCGTACCACATGTGAAGAACATGCATGTGTTAACCACTGCGGCTATTTCTACACTACTCCTACTATTACAGAGAAAGAAAGTTTTTTTTTCTCCTCCTAAAAGGAAAATAAGTAGCAGTCATGTCTCAGCTATCAAGAGAAAGGGTAAAAACCTATACCCTCATTCCTTGAAATTCCTCTAAAATTACTTAATATATTGCTTTTCTTCCACCAGTGGGCCACTTGTTGGAAGTCCTAAGCAGTGAGTTATGTTCTAAAGCACTATTAATAGTCTATAGAGTCCTTTAAGGTACTTTAGCATGGAATAAGGGAGGAAACAGAGGAGAGAGAACAGTGTTCTGGGTACCTTGGCCTACCGGATCTACACTGATTTCATTGTATTAAGGAAGACAAAAAAACAAAGATTCTTCCCTATCCATCATGCTTCTTTGGTTTTGGACAGCACCTTGTAAATATCATTTTCCTCTTTCTCCTTTTTCTTCTCTTCCGCTGCTGTCTTCATTTATTTATTTTTCTATTTCTCCAGAAATGGGTGCAATACTGCATATCTTCAGCTTCTTCAGTTTTGTACTCCCATTACTTTGGTCCTAGTCTTGGTTATACTCAAAGGGCAGATTTCACAAATGAACTCTAGACTCCTCCTGGGCCCAGGAAGTTTGTCCTGCTTACCATGGCCATAATCTGTAGGCAATGACTCTCCATCCCTGAGACCCATTAATTTAACTAGGATGATAAACAGAAAAATAAATAAAGGTGTTGTGATATGGGGAAGAAAAGCAGCATACTGAGGTCAGCCTACCTTACCCGTGGGCCCCAATTGTCCTGGGCAAGTTACTTTTCCTTTCTTCGCCTCAGTTTCCTTATCTGTAACATCAGAGGCTGAGCAGGATGATCTTGTGGGTCTCTTCAAACTCTGAGATTCTATGAGTCTATACAAAGAGTGTTTATCCAAACCAAGAACAGAGGAGAAGAAATGGCACCAATATTGGAACCATGAAGTCCTGGGTTTAAATTGTGGCTCTATTATCTACTACCTGGGTGCATCTATCAGGTAGGATTCACCTGGTTGCAAGTGACAGAAAATTCAAACCATCTTAAACAATAGAGATACATAAGCTTCTGTGACTGGAATGACCAGTGGCAAAGATGGCTTCAGGAGTTTTCAAGTCAGTAGACCAATGATGTCATCAAGATTTTGCTCCTTCCAACTCTCTGCCCTACATACCCTCTGCTGAAACTATCTTATGGCTGATGCCCCATCGTGAACACAACATGGGAACCTGCCAACATTCCACAAGTGCTTCCATGCATGCTCTTGTATCTTTAGAAGGTTCTCAGAAGCCCTCCAATAAAATCTCCCATCTCATCGTTCTTAACTATGATTCATGCTAATCAATGAGCCAGTCACCATGGCCAGTGAATCAGAATTGCATGGATTGGCTTAAGCCTGAGTCACATGGCCTGCTTTTACCAAAGGACATGAAATTCATGGGGTAGGCACGGATATCCAACGGGAAATTATGGCAGTTACCATAAGAAAAAAGAGCAAATTTGAGGAGAGACAAATAAAATGTCCACCACAACGGCCTTTGAGAATATATTTAACTTCTCTTAGTTTCAGTTTACTCATTGATAAACCAGGATAACACCTACCTTTAATTAGGATTAGATGCAGGGATATTTATCAATCATTCATTCTGGCATTTAGTTTACCCTGGCAGCATTTTTCTAATAAAATGTAGCTACTAATATCATCATTATTATCAGCACCATTACCACTAGAGAAAAAGCTATAGAAACTAACACAGCTTCCTTTGGCTCTTACCAGGTGAACCTTGAGAAATCTCTGAGATGGCCTCATGTATCACACTAGAGCTTGCAAATGGCATAAAATAATCAGATAAAACAAGGTACAAGATGAGGAGGCATCAGGTTCCTTAATGCTTTAACATCAGCTCAGTGCAAATGGTGAACTGATAGTTCCTCTGAGCCCTTGGAAATACAATGGAAATCAAGTTTTGGAGAAACAGAATAATCAAAATGGGTTATTGCCAATAGATCTCCAACTAAGGGACAAGAAGACATAATAGATGAAACACCTAATCTGTGGAATACATTCCCCTAGGGAGAGCTGACCACAGATGGAATGGCTATTCAGGAAGGCAATGAGAAATTCATCTCTGGAGGCTGAATGACCGGTTTCACGGATTAGGTGGGTAAGAGAAGGAAGTCAGTGTAGTCATCTATAGGTACCTTCCTCACAGTAAGCCTGGAACTCCATGAGAGAAGTTGGAAACTGAGATGCCTACAGAAAGCACGCAGGCAACAAAATTGAGCAAAGTAGGGTGTGTAGAGTGTGAGATGAGCGAAGGGTTACCACCTTATCCCAAGGGGCAATGACTACACAACTCCAGCTTCTGTGGTCTGTGGCCATAGAAGAATACAACTTGATGTTGCCAGCTCTTTCAGTATTTCAAGACAATCCAGAATTCAGGATTTTGTGTTAAAATCTTCCTATTTTAACAGTTGGTAAACCATGCACATTTAAGATTTTGTGTAGGACACATTTGTGAACGAGAGTCACCCAATGGACTTTGGAGAAAGGCATTTCATGGCCTTTAGGAGAAAGGCAATTTTCCTACTGGAAACCATAAGGCCTTTTATTCTTGTCGAAATTCATCAGTACTTTGTAAAATGGAATAAACTTTTAAGCATTAACTAGCAGAAAAATCTGCCATATTGCTGCTGAGTGAGTGTGTAGCAACTGACAATTATGGACAGTAGAACTCAAACTAGCTCTTGATGCATGGGAAGCGAATACGAGGCAATCAGTTTAAAATTAGAACCACATTTCTTAGAGGCCTCCATCTGTCTTCCTACATGGGGAGTATGGAGTCCCTGATCCTTCATCTATTTTTGAGTGGCCCTGTCCAGATGAAGAGCAGAAACAGAAATCCTGGATTCTGATTCCAATGGGAGAGGCATGGAATGGTCAAAAGGGTGGTAGAAGAAAGAGAAAAACCCATGTGGAAAGTGTTCACAGCAGTAATTACCATAAAGGATTCCAGATAAGATATCTATTATGCAGGAAAAGGAAAAGACATCAAGATTAGCTAGGGATAATTAAAGAACAAAGTTAGTGAATTCAGGAAAAAGCTGGATAGGCCTGCTAAAAGATTAATAAAAAGAGAAAAAACGAACAGAGATGACCATGGTATTGTTTGCATTATTTTGGATATGGAAGGCAGGAAACCAAGAACACAGTGGGAGTATACCAAGTAGAGCTGAGTTCTTGGACAAGGCTGAAATTGTGCACACTCCCACTTCTGGTTGCCTTAGCAATGAGACTCCCACTTTATACGAATGACATGAGAATGAGTAAAACCTTATGCAAATGAAGCACACAGTAATTAGAGGCAGAGCCACATGGAGTCTAGATGAGGCCATGTCGGCAGAATATCTAGGGAATAGTCTGAGTGGGCTTATGCAGCAAAGAATGAGGTCATTAAAGCAAAGACACTGAGCTATGAGTAAGAGGAATAAGTGCTTGAGAAAGACTGTGGGTTCCACAGACTTGTTGGTTCTCCCACTGATTTTGGTCAAGTTATTTCAGGTAATGGATCATGCAGTCACACGTCCGCATTGCCTCACCTGCTCTATTTTACTGTGTCTCTCCTGGGAAGAAATCTTGGAAAAGGGTAAGAAGGTTGTTTACTGTCCTGGTTCCCTGTGTGTGCTGCCTCTCACTATTACCCATGAAAGGGAATCAAAAGGGGGCTGGGAAAGTTTCACGGAGAGGGTTGAGAACTCACAAATAAAGAGGACAATTAGGCCCGGCATGGTGGCTCACACCTGTAATCCCAGCATTTTGGGAGGCTGAGGCGGGCACATCACGAAGTCAGGAGTTTGAGACCAGCCTGGCCAATATGGTGAAACCCCATCTCTACTAAAAATACAAAAATCAGCTGGGCATGATGGTGCGCACCTGTAGTCCCAGCTACTCAGGAGGCTGAGGCAGGAGAATCGCTTGAACCCGGGAGGCAGAGGTTACAGTGAGCCGAGATCACACCACTGCACTCCAGCCTGGGTGACAGAGCGAGACTCCATCTCAAAAAAAAAAAAGGACAATTATGGGATGTTTCTTACGGCTGCTGTAACAAATTACTACAAACCAGGTGGTTTAAAACAGTGTACATTTATTCCTTAGAGTCATGGATGTCAGAATTCCCAAATCAGTTGCACTGGGCTAAAATCAAGGTGTCAGCAGGGGTGTATTCTCTGTGGACACTCTAGGGAAGAATCCAATTCCTTGCCTTCCCCAGTTCCTAGAATTGTAATCCCAGCATTCCTTGGTTCATGGCCCCTTCCTCCATCTTCAAAGCAAGAAGCACAGCATTTTCCTTTGGTCATCAAACTGTCATCTTCCCTGGTAGTAGAATCTCCCTGTCTTTCCCTGATGAGGACACTTGTGATTATATTGTTGGGTCCACTTGGATAATACAGGAAAATCTCCCCATATCAAGATGCTTAACTTAATCACATTGGCAAAGCCCCTTTTGTCATGTAAGGTAACATACTCACAAGGTCAAGGAATTAGAATATAAGCATTTTGAGGGCCCTTTATTCAGCCTACTACACGGGGCAAGAGAGAGTAGAAGTGGAAAG
This sequence comes from Homo sapiens, assembly GCF_000001405.40. Classification (NCBI taxonomy): domain Eukaryota; kingdom Metazoa; phylum Chordata; class Mammalia; order Primates; family Hominidae; genus Homo; species Homo sapiens. The sequence goes on from NC_000016.10 coordinate 10,004,944, forward strand.
GAAAGACAATTTTAAGAATTGTTACTTAAAGTGCATTATAAATTAGATGCCCATGAATTTTATTGAAAAGACAAAAGTAAAACGAAAATTTATTTTTATAAAAGCTCTGTGTTTCTCTGAATTTACAAAGTTTTGAGGCTAGAATATATGGGGCACTGGTAAGTATGTAGGTTACAAGCATGAATCAAATAAAATAATCATTTGAAAAAATTGCATCTAGCAACATGCATCAAAGTAATTAGTTTAAGAAATTACTTCTTTGCCAGCACTTATTTTAAATAACTATTGATATAAAAAGTGACAGCGAAGATTTAGATATCAGAAGCTACTTATATTCTGGGCCAATGTACCCTTAAAAGTTGATTTCTCTCCTGCTTTCTCTCAGACAACTGCTGTTTATATTTGTAAGCTTGTGCAATTCCACAAACTAACAAACATGAGTATAACATTTTTTATTACTCACATTAACTGCTATTTTTCAATCCAAAGGAAAATGAAGGAGAAATTTCAGAGCGATGGTCACAAAACCAAATTTTATAGGGGCCAAGTGTGTACCATGAGTGAGTGAAGTGGTCCAGATACGTAAAGAGGTAAACTGGGGGGGTCCACGCCCTACCTGGAGAAAAAGATATTACTCACTTCCATCTGAATACTGCCATTTCAACAGACAGTATCACTGGAGCTTTTAAATCTTTAAGAGAAGTCAAATATCCAGAATTTCATGTAACATCTCCTGATTTGTAAATGTTGGAGACTAAGTCAAAGCACCATGTGGGCTGAATAAAACTCATTCATCCTGTGGCCTGTCACTTTGCAAATTCCATTATAAATTCTATTAAGTACTTTTCACTTTTTAAACCTAAGACAAAAAGGGGAAGTTTTCATCCAGTGAAATGACATGATCACATTTGTGTTGAATTTATTTCTAATGCAACCACATATACACAGTGACACACACATTTACACAAACCTCTGAGTGTATGAATAAACTACCTTTGAAACCATAAGTTCTTAAGGGATAGCTTTTTACCTCAATATTACAGCTTTGGCCAGCACTGAGCAAAGACTGTTTTCCTTTCAGTGAAGATCTATGTAAGGATGTAGGCTGTTGTAATAATAACCTACTTCATATAAGAGAAAATAAGCTCCCAAATACAATGTGATTAGCCTCAGTGGTCAATCTAAGCACAATTGTCCCAGGAACCTGGACACCATCCTAACTGCAGTCGTAGAAGTCACCAACTGTGCTCTCCTGGCCCTTGGTCAGGACTGCAATGAAATCGTCTCAGGCAAAGGTGCATGCACCCAGATTTTTAAACCCAGTTTTTTTACAATGCAACTTCAACATCTGCATCAATAAATAAACCACGTGAACAACCAAAACGACTTTTTTAGACAGTGAGAAGAGCTGTGTGCAAGACAAAATGGGCCATGAGATAGAGAGTGCTAAGGGGGAGCGGTCAAGGAGGATCTATCACTCCTAAAGAGATGACATTCTGGCTGTGGCTAGAAGAACCCAATCATGTAAATTTCATTTTATTTCTTAAAAAATGTTATGGGTACATAGTGGGTGTATATATTTATGGAGTACATGAGATATTTTGGTACAGGCATTTAATGCATAATAATCGCATCAGGGTAAAATGAGGTTTCCATCACCTCAAGCATTCATCATTTCTTTCAACGTTCCTATTGTACTCCCTCAGTTATTCTAAAATGTACGACAAATTATTGCTGACTACAGTCACCCTGTTATGCTATCAAACACTAGATCTTACGCATTCCATCTTAACTATATTTTTTACCCATTAACCCTCCCTATTTCCCAGCACCCTCTCTCACAACTACCCTTCCCAGACTCTAGTAACCATCCTTCTACTCTCTTCTGTGTTCAATTGTTTTAATTTTCAGCTCCCACAAAGAAGTAAAAAACATGCAAAGTTTGTCTTTCTATGCCTGGCTTATTTCACTTAACATAGTGACCTTCAGTTTCATCCATGTTGTTGCAAATGACAGGATCTCATTCTTTTTATGGCTAAATAGTACTCCATTGTGTATATGTACCACATTTTCTTTATGCATTAATCTGTTGATGAACACTTAGGTTGCTTCCAAATGTTGGCTATTATGAATAGTGCTGTAATAAACATGGGAGTGCAGATATCTCTTCAATATACTGATTTCCCCTTCTTTGGGTATATAGTTGACAGCGGAATTGCTGGATCATATGGTAGTTCTATTTTTAATTTTTGAGGAACCTCCATACTGTTATCCATAGTGGCTGTATTAATTTACATTTCTACCAAAAAAGTACAGGGTTCCCCTTCCTCCACATCCTCCCCAGCATTCATCATTGCCTGTCTTTTGTAAAAAAGTCATTTTAGCTGGAGTGAGATAACTTATTGTAGTTTTGAATTTTATTTTTCTGACCATTAGTGATGTTGATCATGTTTTCATAGACCTCTTTGCCATTTGTATGTCTTCTTTTGAGAAATATCTATTCAGATCTTTTGCCAATTTTTTTAATTGGATTATTAGATCTTTTTCCCATTGAGTTGTTTGAGCTCCTTAAATATTCTGGTTATTAATCCCTTGCCAGATGGATAGTTTTTAAATATTTTCTGCCATTCTTTGGGTTGTCTCTTCGCTTTCTTGACCGTTTGCTGTGCAGAAGTTTTTTAACCTGATGTGATCCCATTTGCCCATTTTGCTTTGGTTGCCTGTGCTGTCGGGGTCCACGTAAATTTTAATTTAGGGGGCTAAAAGTTCTCGGTAAAGGGAAATAGAAAAGCAAATGGCCTTTGACAGGAATGAACACATAGATGTAAGTGACAAGAGGCTGTGTAGCTGGAGACAGATTTGAAAGGAAGAAAATATGATTGACTTGGAGACACTGACATGGGCAGATAAGAACACAGGAGGACTTTAGAATGGAAGGTCCTAAGCAGGAAGGACAGTCTTATTTGTATCTTTAAAAAAGCTTACTCTGACAAGTCATTCTACCTCTTTGAGCCTCTGGTACATCCTCTATAAGATACAAGTAGTATTCTTTTTTTCACAGGGCTCTTAAGAAAGTTAAATTCGATCTTGGACAGAAAGTACATGGCATACAGTAGGCACTCTATGAACATGAGCTGAACTTGAACATCTTGGGGGGAAGTAATAACACCACAGAGAGGAGGCAGGGAATGAAGGTATTGGAGATCTGTCCTCTTGAGCCTTGACGGCTCCTGCTTCTAAGAGAGGTCATGATCTTATGACAGTGCCTTCCCCAATCCCCTTATTTGGATATCCCATGGCTATGCAACAGCTGTGCCCCAACTAGTACCCCATGGTGGCTTCCAACAGCAAAACTAATTTGGTTGTGTCATGCTGAGATATCCATCTTCTAATACAAATGTAACAGATTAGCATACAAAGAATGGACTGCTGTTGACCACAGGGAGTAGTAAGACTAACTTTAAGAAGCTTGAACAGCGTGCAGTCACTCCCCTACTGCTGTTGTTTTGTAGAGCATAAGAAGTGGGTGGAGTTGTTTCCAACAATAACAATCAAAGGACCAAAGACCGGACCCATGAGCACTGTGATTCTTCCCTGAGCATACAATAAACCAACTAGGCAATGTTTACCCAAAACAGCAACATAATCTCAGAAGCAGCAGTTCCACACATAGGTAACTTCCTATAGGTACTCACACTTTTAGGCAGAGATCTGTGCAAGGATGTTCAAGGCATTTTTTGCATGTAATGTCAAGAGATTAGGAACAAGCTAGGTGTCCATCAGAAGGGAATTGGTCACATCCATTAGGGTACATTTTCACCATGGATGCACATTCCATGCAACTGTTAGAAAACAAAACTGATTTACAGGTACCAACAAATAATAATTTGAAAAACATGGCAGTAAATGAAGAAAGCAAGGTGTAGAACAGAGCACAGAGTTGGCTACCATTTGTGAATAAAAAGTAGTATATTTATTTGTTGGGTCTTTTTGGTGCCAGACATTGGAGATTTAGCAGTAAACAAAACAAGCCCTGGCTCCATTTAGCTTACACTCTGATGGAGAGAGACAGGCAATACACTAATACAGATGAAAATACGTTATATGTCAAGTGCTGATAAAGTCCCGTATTTATGCTGGAATTTGGGTGAATCATGTCAATTTGCTGGTAAGTGACCACTTTGATCCATAAAGAAGGTGATTTTGAAAGGCTTAGCCAAATACATACTCAGACAAAATGATGTACAAGAAACAGCAATTCCTCCAGGAAGGAAGCTTAGAAGAAAAAATACTTGCTAGACACATACAGATGCTGATTTAATTTTTGTAATCCCATGTGGGTATTGCCTATTCAAAACAAATAAATATTTTTAAAAATGTAATCATAGAAACACAATAGAGTTGACACACAGAGAGGTAGAAGGTAGGTAAGGATGAAGTGAGGATTAGGAGCTAAGAAGAGGTGAATTTTTTCAATGCAAAAGTAGGCAGGTGAGAGCGACATACTGTAATAGAGTATGCGCCACTCGAAACCATAAGTGCCCTTTTATTTGTGATTCGGCTCAATTCCCAAGGACGGCACAACCCCTAGACTCAGACCAGGAAAGGCAGTGGTAACAAACAGGGAGACCTGGACAGGATGGGGGTTGCAATAGAGTCTGTGCCTGAGCTCACCTGGGCACCCACCCCACATGTTCCTCAAGGGTCTTGCTTGCAGGGAGCTCAGTGATATAAGCACAGATTGCAAAACTAAGCCTTCCCTTTATCACCCTCAGTGTTCCCAGTGCCTTGCTCAAATGAGAAAGAAAAAAAAAAAATCAACCTGCCAATCTGGTCTTTCCTGCAGTAAATGAAAACTAGCTCTGTTCCTGCATAGAACAGAAGAGTCCAGGCAGCTAAGTCACATGACCGGAGACAAACCAGACAGAAAGAAGTCACGTGGGACCACAATGAACAAGAGGCAGAGACAGGCCGGATGATGGCCAAATGCACAATGAAACTGGAACTGAGGTTCCTAAAGATGCTGGCACAGCGTTGCACAGTCACTTGTCTTGGGC